>NC_000016.10:6885000-7510000 GCF_000001405.40 Homo sapiens
CATTTCAATAATTACTGTCATGTTTTAGAAAAGCAGCAAAACGTTTATTTAATATGAAATCTCCTGCAGAAACTGATACAGAGACAGATCAAACCAGGACTGCTCTGACTGAAACGGAAGGAGGAAAGTCTCAAGCTCTGACTGGACCGCCTCCTCCTTCCCTAATTCCCAGGTAGTAATTCCCAATGACTGAGCCATCACTTCAGAAAACTAGAACTGTGGTTTTTCAGATGTGGTCTCCAGTCCAGCAGCGTCAGCATCACCTGGAAACTTGCTACAGACGCGTGTTCTCTATCCTCGCTGCAGGCAAACTGAGTCAGAAGCTCTAGGGTTTGGGTGTCTCTGATTTAAACAAGCCTTCGGGGGGTTGCCGAAGCATGCTCATGAGTCAAAACCAAGAATTTACAAAACCCATTTTAATAACAGCTGAGTTCTATAGTACCTTTCAGTATTCGTAACAGTGATTCCTGGAGACTTTCTTGACAAAGTCCAGGATGGTGCATTAAATCTACTTCTGCATTTTATTTTTTTATTTTTTTTATTTTTTTTGAAATGGAGTCTTGCTCTGTCATCCAGGCTGGAGTGTAATGGCACAGTCTCGGCTCACTGCCACCTCTGCCTCCTGAGTTCAAGTGATTATCCTGCCTTAGCCTCCCTAGTAGCTGGGATTACAGGCCCCTGCCACCACACTCAGCTAATTTTTCTATCTTTAGTAGAGACTGGGTTTCACCAGGTTGGACAGGCTGGTCTCGAACTCATGCCTCAGGTGATTCACCTGCCTTGGCCTCCCAAAATGCTGGGATTACGGGCATGAATCACTGCACCCGGCCTTAGTCATGCAATTTTTATTTTAGAGAAATTCTAGAAATGGATACTGTTTACTCAATGCAGCATTGGAGAATGAACGTTGACTTTATTAACCCAATAATAAAATAAAATGATTTCTCTTGATTTGTTTGCTGTCAAGAATCACAAACCACATGGACTTGAGAAAAGTGAAAGTTATTAACGAGATTTCATGCATCAAGGATACTGTTGACTGTCCAGTGAAAGTATTTTTTTTTTCTTTTTTTTTTTTTTGAGACGGAGTCTCGCTCTGTCACCAGGCTGGAGTGCAGTGACGTGATCTCGGCTCACTGCATCCTCCGCCCCCAGGGTTCAAGTGACTCTCCTGCCTCAGCCTCCTGAGTAGCTGGGATTACAGGCGTGTGCTACCACGCTTAGCTAATTTTTGTATTTTTAGTAGAGACGAGGTCTCACCATGTTGGCCAGGATAGTCTCGATCTCTTGACCTCACGTGATCTGCCCACCTCGACCTCCCAAAGTGCTGGGATTACTGGCGTGAGTCACTGCGCCCGGCCCAGTGAAGCACCTTACGTGTGTGTCACCATTGAGAAGAAAGGTTACCAAATAAATTTTGTCCCGCTATTGATTGCAAAGGCATTCCAATTTCCAAGATATGAAAATGTAGGCCCAGCGCGGTGGCTCACACCTGTAATCCCAGCACTTTGAGAGGCCAAGGCAGGTAGATCACCTGAGTTCAGGAGTTTGAGACTAGCCTGGTCTACATGGTGAAACCATGTCTCTACTAAAAATAGAAAAAAATTAGCTGGGCGTGGTGGTGCTCACCTGTAATCCTAGCTGCTCAGGAGGCTGAGGCACAAGAATCGCTTGAACCCAGCAGGCAGAGGTTGCACTAAACTGAGATCGCACCACCGCACTCCAGCGTGGGCAAGCAAGTGAGACTCTATCTGAAAAAAACAAAAACAAAACAAAACAAAACAAAAAAAAAACCAGAAAAAAAAAGAATGAAAATGTGAAGAAACGTTTGCTTTAGAATCAGTGAAATATGGCAAAAATAAAAGAGATGCTTCCGAAATTTTGTTGCATTAGGTCACTTAGCCAATGAGGTCAGGTGTCTGTGGAAGCAAAACCGTGTCTTTGTAATCAATTTAAAATAACACAAAATGAAAAAAAATGCTCTTGTTCATGATAATTTTTTCCACTTTCTGGTTTGATTATCTTCCATATACTGGTGAGTCTCCATACTTGGTTGTATTGTCCAAGTTGGATTTTCCCTGCAGCTTCAAAATCATCATGTCCCTCACCAAACTCATGAAGTTCCTTTACATTGTTATTGTTGACTCTGCTGTTCTTCTTGTTATTGTTGGTATACTCTTTAGCACTTCTTCCTCCTCTATCTCTAATTCTAGTACTTGGAAGGAGACTATAGAGTAGTGATTACCTGTATTTTGAGAACTGTGTTATCTGCGAAGATGTTTCAAAGTGTGGTGGGGTTATAAAGGGCTTTGATGGTGGGACAGGATGGCATTGAGTAAAGTAAGTTGAGAAGTTGACAGTTCTCCCTGGCCTTATGGGTTCATTGTGATTTCAAGAAGCCGAAAGGATATGGTTGTATCATCTGTGGGCTCCATGAAAACTAATGATCATTTTCTAAACTTCGCATCATGTTTTCTGGCTTTTTCTATCCCTGGAATCATTAATCATGTATATTAGGTGATTTCCCTATATCTGTTTATAGACACAAAAACACATATACTTTTTTTTTTCCTTTCGAATTCTGCCATATCACCATAGAGGTCTTCAGGAAGTTAGTAACCCTAGTTTTAGAAGGGTTTGGTTGTTTTTGCTGTCTTTCCATAGTCATTTTTTTTTTTTTGAGGCAGAGTCTCACTCTGTCACCCAGGTTGGAGTGCCCTGGTGCAATCTTGGCTTACTGCAACCTCTGCCTCCCAGGTTCAAGTGATTCTCCAGCCTCAGCCTCCTGAGTAGCTGGGTTTACAGGCACTCGTCACCACACCTGGCTAATTTTTATATTTTTAGTAGAGGTGGGGTTTGCCATGTTGGCCAGGCTGGTCTCGAACTCCAGACTTCAAGTGATCCACCCGTCATGGCCTCCCAAAGTGCTGGGATTATAGGTGTGAGCCACCACGCCTGTCCCATCCTCATCATTTTTATTACTGCATCTTATTCTGTTTGGGGTTTTTGTTTGGGTGATTGATTTGAGGTGTTTGCTTGTGTGTCTGATTTGGGGAAGACGTTCCCAGGTAATTAGTGTAAAATTTTTAATAAGCCTCATAAGCTTTACAATTATTTCCCTGGAGGACAGGTTTTATTTAGGATTTAAGAACAGTAGGCAGTAGTTGTGACATTTTGAACATTTTATTTCTTTACCCAAAAAATAACTAACTTTTGTAAAACCAATGAAAAGAAATGAAAAGAAAATGAAGGACCACAATGCTTTATGGGTTTGTGTTTCTGACAGCTTAAGTCCTGCTCTTGAAAGTAGTTACACAGTTGGCAATATACAATGAATCACTGAAGCTGTTTGAAAACTTTTTCGTTTTTTTGTGAAAATCCAAACTTGGAGGAGAAAGAGCTTACTGATGTCAACACTTAGAAAGCAGTGTTCTCTTTATATAGTCACTTACTGTCTTGGGTTTCATTTTCGGTTCAGGGGGAAATTAAATTCCCTTGCAATTGCACTCTCTGTCTACCGAGAAATTTTATCTCCACATTGTTTTTACTTGCTGTTTGTCCTCTGGGTAAAATATTGTGTCCGTAGGGTTAGAAGTGCATTTTAGAGGTCTTTTGGTTCATCAGGCTGTTCCTTGCAGGTCAGTATTTATACTATTTCTGACCCAGATGTCTCCTGTATTCTAAGATCCTAGTAAAAAAGCTGGGGGAAGGGAGACCATTGTAAGTACACAGCAGCCTTACTTTGTGAGCTCATGCCTTAGTTAAAAGATTAACCGAAGAATTTTATTTCACCCTATTGTGTTACCAAACATTAGATCTTATTGCTTCTAACTATATTTTTATGTCCTTTATTCATCCCTCTTTATCCCCTCCTCCCCAAAAAAGAATTATTTTAGCATCTGAATTCATTCTCCTGCCAAGCAGATAGAAACCTTTAATCACTTACTTACTGTAGGTATGGGCAGACACAGCTTTTCTGTTTCTTAAGCCTGTCCTTCCACTTAGATTGCAAATAAGTCTTCAGGGAATTGCATGTGTTCTCAAATTTGATTGTATTTTTTCCCTTATAGACACGGGTTGGTTAGAGGGATATCACAGTGGACAAGAATTCCAAAAAACCTGGCTTCAAATCTCCAATCTATTACTGTAACATTCAGTAGATCCCATTGTTACTGAAAATACTGAGTTCATTGTGAGCCACCCCTGTCTTTGAGCCTTTCCATGAAAGTGAGTCTTCTCCCACCCCATTCTTGCCCCCGTTAGCCCCATGGCTTGCTTTGACCAGTGAACTGTGAGCATAGGTGATGGATGTCACTTTCAAGTGGAAAATTTACGAGTATGCATGTGCCTCATTTTGCTCTCTTTTCCCTCTGCAGTAAGGCCAGTGATATCTTACATATGACGGCTCTGTCAACTTGGATTTCCAGAAAAAGGAGAACGTGGAACAGATAACTTTGAGAAATGGGCTTTTAGCAAGTGGGAAAATAGGCATGTATTTTGAGCTGTGTGTTGGGTTCTTCGTGACTGCAGTGTTACTCACCCTGTCTTGAATGATGATGGTTAGTATTTGCAACATATACATGTCGAATTCCCGACTAGTTTGTGGAGGAAGGGAAGAGTGCCAATCCATATCCGTAAGCCCATCCTCAATCCACCAGCTTCCACCATGTAGTCCAGCACCTAATGGTTGTTTAATAAATTCTTGAAGAGCTATATTGAAATTGGTTTGTGTAATCTTGGAATAGACCCTTCAGTGGTAAAAACCAGCATTTTTCCAAAGGTTGGGTGAGATTTTAGGAGTTCTATAAGTTTCTTTTAGGTGGTTCACAGACACAGCAGGAAACAAGATTGAATCATAGGGTGGAGAAAGTTTTCCTTTTTGAGTTTTCTTTTAACACATTGTATAGCATTCAAAACAAAATTTCTCATAGCCACGTATTTCAGTGGTTACCTGTGATAACTAGAATTCCAGGAGACCAATGTGTTTATATTTGTACAGTTGCTTACCATTTATGGTTAATAATAGTAGTGTCCCACTTATACTAGAAGTTGATTTTATAGATTTTCTTTTAAAGTAAAATGTGTTTAGCACAAAGAGTACAATAAAGGAAAATAAATAATATAGGTGGTAAGGTGAAAATGTGAAAGCCTAAAGGTATGGTATATGATTGAAGTTGGGAGAAACACTGCTGTAAGCCTTTTGGTACCCTAAAATATTGTTATGAAAACCTAAGGAGGGTGGGCATGGTAGCTCATGCCTGTAATCCTGGCACTTTGGGAGGCCGAGGCAGGTGGATTGCTTGAGGTCAGGAGTTCAAGACCAGCCTGGCCTACAAGGTGAAACCCCGTCTCTACTAAAAATACGAAAATTAGCTGGGCGTGGTGGTGGGCACCTGTAGTCCCAGCCACTTGGAAGGCTGAGGCTGGAGGATCACTTAAACCCAGATGGCAGAGATTTCGGTGAACTGAGATAGCACCATGGCACTCCAGCCTGGGCAACAGAGCGAGACTCCATCTCAAAACAAACAAACAAAACCAAACCCAAAGAATGTTTGAATGGGTTGTGAGGATGGTAAAGTGATAGATTTAAGGAATCATTGCTTTGGTTATCGTTTATTGTGTTGGTGTTTGTAACAGTCTTTCCTTCCTATCTAGGGATTTATCTCCATCTTGTCTGTCCCCAGTTTCCTGGGATTTCCGTATGAATAGCATATTCCAAGTGGAGAAGAAGGAGAGTGCCTAAATTCACTGTCACCTTCTGATTTAAGCTTTTTTAACCTACGTACCCACTCTCTGTTCTGTGTGAAAAGTAACTGGAACCATTTGTGTAGGTGAAAATAGCACTTAGCAGACTCAGTAGAACTCTAAATAAAAGGGATGAAGTCAGGGGTATGAAGTGAGCATGAAGTGAGAAACTTGAACAGACTCTTGCTTGCTTGTGACTGTAAGTGTTCCCTAGAATTCGTGTGGAGTCACCTGGTTCTTTGTGTCTCAGACCCTTCAACACTGTGAACGTTTTGAGGACAGGAGTTACGTCTGATTCCCCTTCATGTTCCCCGTCCCTTCACAATTGTTTGTTGACACCAGGCGTTCTTCCAATATCCATCCATTCATTCATTAGTGACTTTCAGTTAAAGCCTACTCATGTCTTCCATTACAGGTGCCAATGCATCCATTTTTATTATCAGTAGTGGCTACAATAATATTTGTAGCAGCTACAAATTATAGAATATGAATCATGAATCCTGCTAGCACTTTATAAGAACAACTGCTTGAAGCAACTTAGCAAGGTGGCAGTATTATCTCTAAAGAGGAAAATGAAACTTAGAGTAGTTAATCTACTTGCCCATCGATATAAGATACAGACACTAAATTTGGGTCTACCCAGTTCTGAAAACCCAGAAACCCGTTTGCCTTTTCTACCTAATAGTACCTTGTTGATGAAGACACATACACACACACACTAGAGAGAGAGAGAGAGAGAGGAGAGGAGAGGGGAAGATATATCAGCTACATAAACTTCCCAGTCCTGCCTTATTTATTAGTCTGTGATGGTTAGTTTTTTCCAGTGCTCCAGGCATAGCATTCCTCAGCACCATTGTTCCAAATCACTGAAGCTGGCAGCATTCCTTTCCTTGCTTAATCTCTGCAAGTTTCAACAAATTGTTAATGTAATGTTTTCCTTGAACATACTTAACATTTACTTTTATTCATCTGAACGTGGAACGCAGCACTCCATGAAGGTGCAATCTGTCTTCAATCCAATGTCTCATCAAATTCCTGCTGCCCAAAATAGAGCAAAGGTTGAGCCAGCCTAATGTAGGGTTGGCATATGATACCATTATAGCTACTTAGTGGACAGCAAGGCCAGCACTGCTTTTAAAACAATCCCTGCTCATTCTTTTCTTCCCTTTCTTTCCAGCAAGTCGGTTTTCTGAGAAGGAGCTGTGGCTGGTTGTATTAACATTTGCATTTTGATCCTGCTTACTGATGCACTGCAAAAAAGAATCTTCTGTGTTGCCTACTTAGAATTTTCTGTTGTAGTCGTGTGAAGTTGCCAGGTGGATGACATAGATCCCATTTCTTAGTTTCCTTTACAGCACGTTGACTCTTACCCAAGTCCCCAAACCCCCTGGTTGGTGATTGCAGACCCTCTTTGCACCCCTTCCCTTGGCGATTTTATGCAAAGTTAATGCCCTTTGGCCAAGCAGAACTTCCCCAGAGCTCCTTCAATTCTTCACATTTTTGACAGTAACACTTTGTAACGAATGTATTTTAGACAAGACTCTTCGACCGTAAAGTACTGGATCTCTCTAAAAATAACTCATTTGAAAAGGGGGTTATTTTAAGGAGACTCAGAAAATATCTTAAAATATCCAAAGTCTGAGACCAGGCATGGTGGCTCACACCTATAATTCCAGCACTTTAGGAGGCCGAAGTGGGTGGATCCCTTGAGGTCAGACGTTTGAGACCAGCCTGGCCAACACGGTGAAACCCTGATTCTACTAAAAATACAAAAATTAGCTGCGCATGGTGGCACACACCTGTAATCTCTGCTACTCAGGAGCCTGAGGCAGAAGGATCACTTGAACCTGGGAAATGGAAGTTGCAGTAAGGCAAGATTGCACCACTGTACTCCAGCCTGGGCAACAGAGCAGGGCTGTCTCGAAACAAACAAACAAAAAAGCCTGAGAGTGAAGTACAGTGCTATTTGTAGGGGTTTGTTAGGAAGCAGAAGTATCAGAAATGCATATTCTCAAAGCCTCCCTGTCTCCCTCTCTCTCTCTCTCTCTCTCTCTCTCTCTCTCTCTCTCTCTCTCTCTCTCTATTCTGCTTCAGGGTGTTCTGTGCCCCCCTCCCCTGTCTGATTTCTGTCTCTGCTCATTTCTCACCACTCACTCTCAGTCTTTGCTCCTCAGCTATTCTTGCGTGTGTGGCGCTGGCTCCTGCTCTGCTTTTGCCTTGATCTAGTTTTACTTTTAATTGCAAAAACTACAATTACTTTTCATTGCAAACACTGCAGTTACCTTTGCACCAACCGAATACATGATCTTTCTCTTCAGAACTTGTAAAAGACTGCCCACCTCACCTGACCCTCCTAGATTCCATTCACAGGAGCTCACTGTCTGCAGAATGAATTGCCATTGAAACAGCTCTTTCACCTCATTTTGCAGGCAGTGGAGTGAGTTTACAGGAAATGGACAAGCTCACAGGGAAGCAGAGACTGTGGAGGGAACACAGCTTCTCCCAGAAGAACACCGTGGGAAGTTTGGTTTCTTGTCTTAGATTACTGGGAGTCGGGAAAGAAAGCCCCTAGAGATCAAACTCATATAGGTCATCTAAAAATACACGATCAAGTCACAAAAGCACAAGATAAAAAGAAGGCTTTCTTTATCCCTGTACCATGCCTTTACAGAAACTACCTCATTCATCAAAAGATCTTTCTTTTAAACCTGAACTCTAGTAGCTGTGCGATAGAGAGGTCCCTTGTCAGTATCAACAGCTGGGGCTCTATGCTGAGCTCAGAAAGTGGAGTTCTGAATCAAACCAAGTCCATGAGCCCCAAAGTAAATTTAGACCACAAAGAATCTCCTCTCCAGTTTTTATATAAGGAGAAAAGGAGAACAAAAGCCCTGTTCCTCCAATAGAGCATTGGCCAGAGAAGCCCAGAACTGTACTTTATCAATGTGGAAACTAAAATATCTTTTCAGTGTAATTTGTGATGAATTTTCATTTGCATTTATCATGAAGACCAAAACACATGTATCATCTGGTGAGAAGTATTCTTTCAAGGTATCTAAAACTTATAATCACTAATAAAAATATGCTTAATACTTCAGGGCCAATGGAATGAATTGTATGGGGAATAGTTTAGGTTGTCTGATAGGGTCAGCTGTCACACATAGAGGGAGCAAGCTGACCTGGAGAATGAACATAGAGAGAACATGATAATTAACCAAGTGCTATGATGTCTTCTAATATCCCAAAGACAGTGCTATGATGTCTTCTAATATCCCAAAGACAGCTCTTTATATGGGTTTTCTTCCTTTGCATAATACTGGATCAATAGATAGATACTGGATCGATTGATAGATAGACGAACAGATACAAACATACATAGATTATGGACAGAGATAGAATGATCTATAATTGCTACCTATCTCTTGTCTGTCTGTCTGTCCTTTTTATTCAAAGTAAGCTTCACTTCCATCACTTCTGCATTTTCTGTCACAGATGGCATTGGTCATTGGTCATTTCAGCACAGTTTCATAATATGTCTCTATTTCCAAGGGGTGGTCTGTTGTGCGTTTGAAATCCCCCAGATAGCTCTGTGTTCTGTGTGACTTTGACAGTCAGTCTCATGGATGGGTGAAATGAAGTTTTCTCTTTTGTTCCATTCAGCCCAAGTGGCAGCACTTCTCTAATTCTGTGAGAATGCCTTCCCGAATTTGTGCCTTTATTATCTTTTGGTTGGACTCCTGGGAATCTGTCTCATGTTTCTGTTCACACCTGCTCTCCATCCCAACTAGAGGTACTCCCAAAGTGTACCCCCAAAACAAGAAGTATTTCTGAAAACACTTGCCCCATTTGGGGTTCTCAGTGCAATTTCGTGACAGTTTTAAACTGACACTTTCTCTCACTTTATAACAGCAGGCTAGAGAAAAATAAGAAACTGATAGCCTCGACCTCACTAAAACATTCATGAATTAAAATTTTGTAAAAAGGTTACCAACAGATTGTATCAGTTTAGTTCATTTTTTTCTATTATCTTAAAAAGCCATTTTCCCTGTGTTTGTAATTGTATTTTATCATTTTAGGTAGTAGTCCAGAATAAGACATGTTGGGTTTAATTCTCTGCCACAGTTCTCAAATGGATGTTTCATAAGTAGCATGTGGCTTTCTCAGCTAAAATTAAATGTCTCACTGTCTCCAAATGTTTTCTATCTAGAATTTGCAACATACACCCTTCCAGAACTAACAGAGACTCTGAAAATTACCACTAAACAACGTCAGTCTAGTTCATCCTTCTTACCAGCTTCAAATGCTGGCTGTAGATAAATACATCTTTAATAAATAATCTAATGACTTAAAGAAATAAAGTCTGGTCCTCTTTTCCATAGAAGTTCAGTTCAGAGAAGCACCAAATCAAAAAAGATGATCTATATTAACAAAATCCTCTAGTTTTGTGATGTTCTAGGAATTAAAGAACAAGTCCAAACCTCAGAGACCAAATGTATATCCCAAATGTATATCCCCAGTGGTTCCTGATTCCCAGAATCCCCTGGATAGCTCTAAAAAATATATAAAACTGGTTCCATTCATGATGATTTACTAAATATGGAATGGAACTAAGCAGATAGGAGAACTAACTGGTTTACCCTCTTCGTCTGCCTCAGCCACTAGTTGTTAGTAATATATGTGTGTGTGTGTGTGTGTGTGTGTGTGTGTATATATATATATATATATATATATATATATATATATATTTATTCCCCTATTGGATAACAAGCTGTCGATTCCTCTCATGACCTCTACAAGGCAGCTGCACATGATTGATGAGAGGAAGGATCTATGTTCAGAAAATTTTTTTAAAGGAGGAAGTGGAGGAGAAGAAAAAAATGGAGAGTCATAGATCCTTGACAATGCCAATGTTTTGTGGAAAGGAGGCAAAAGTACCTGATGGAAGAAATAAAGGAAGAGTAAAGGATACTCATGTGATTGCACAAAAGTGGACTACATCTCAACAGTGAGGAATGAGCCCTAAGACAGGTTGAAATCCCAGCTCTGCCACTTCCCGAATGTGAGACTTGAGCAATTTGTTTAAACCTCTTGGGATCAGTGTTACCATGTGTAAAATGAAGATCATCATAGTACTCATCCTCTTATGTCATCTTTTTGTAAAATGTTTTTTTAATTATGGTGGGTACATAGTAGGTATATATATATATTTGTGGGGTACCAAAGATGTTTTGATACAGGCATGCTGTGTGAAATAATCAAATCATGAAGAATGGGATATCCATTGGGTTGGGAGGCCGAGGTGGGCAGATCATCTGAGCTTAGGAGTTTGGGACCAACCTGGCCAACATGGTGAAACCCCATCTCTATTAAAACTACAAATATTAGCTGGCATTGGTGGTGGGTGTCTGTAATCCCAGCTACTCAGGAGGCTGAGGCAGGAGAATCACTTGAACCTGGCAGGCGAAGGTTGTAGTGAGCAGAGATCATGCCACTGCACTGTGCAGTTTGAGACTGTCTCAAAACAAAACATAAAACAGTTTATCCTTTTTGGTACTAACAATCCAAGTACACTCTTTTAGTTATTTTTAAATATAAAATTACTACTGAGTATAGTAATCAAATAATATGTATGTCTTTTTCTTTCTTTTTTTCTTTAAACTCATCAACCATCCCTACTTTCCCCTCTTTCAGCCCTGGTAACTATCCTTCTACTGTCTATGTACATGAGTTCAATTGTTTTGACTTTTAGATCCCACTAATAAGTGAGAATATATGATGTCTGTTTTTCTGTGCCTGGGTAATTTCAGTTAACATAATAATCTCCAGTTCCATCTTTGTCATTGCAAATGAGAGGATCTCATCCTCTGCTATGTAATCTGCGGACGGTATTTCAAACGCACTTAGAACAGTGCTTGGGCATCATCAACGCCATATAAGTGCTGCTGTGGTCATTGTGTTAGAAAAGTGCCCGGTAAATTATGCTCTATGAATGCGAGGTCTGTGGATTGCTCCCAAGAGCGTGAAGACCCACAAATGTACATGAGAGGTGGGAGCATTTGAGATCATAGATGAGTTTATAGGATAGAAAGAAGATTGCAGGTAATATAAAAATCAGTGGAAGAGTGGTGAGAAATGATTAGGGAATTTAGGTGACATTTTTAAAAAAAATGCATTTGGTGAAAGAAAGCAAAGAAACTCTGCCACAACTCAGAATGCAGCTGACAGGCCGTCTAAGGAAATGTCGTGGCTAACAGCAGCAGGGGACGCACCTGTGCAGAGCTCCCTGTGCCCAGACCTGAGCTCTCCACACCTTCCTGAATGCTGGCAGCACCTGAGGAAGGGAGCAATGGATGGGGCTATTTATATTTGGCACATAAGAAAACCATTGCTGACAAATAACTTGCCCAAGCTGACACAGCGGCTGTAGAGTAGAGATTTAAACACAGGTTGTTTTCCAGAACCCTACTTCATAACTTCTAAGATAGAGTAGAAAATATTTGCATTCCCCGTCTTTACTAAAAATACAAAAATTAGCTTGTAAGCCCAGCTACTCAGGAGGCTGAGGAGGGAGAATCGCTTGAACCCAGGAGGCAGAGGTTGCAGTGAGCCGAGGTCGTGCCATTGCACTCCAGCCGGGGTGACAGAGCGAGACTCCGTCACACACACACAAAAGGAAACATTTGCATTGACTGGGGCATGTCCTGACACAGATTAAAACGTGATGTGGCTTCCCACTGTATTTAAGAAAATGGTCAAGTCCAGAAGTCCAGGTTGGGTGCAGTGGCTCACGCCTGTAATCCCAACACTTTGGGAGTCCAAGGCGGGCGGATCACTTGAGGTCAGGAGTTTGACCAGTCTGGCCAACATGGTGAAACCCCATCTCTATTAAAACAAAAAAAAATTAGCTGGGCTTGGTGGCACGTGTCTGTAATCACAGCCAGTTGGGAGCCTGAGGCAGGACAGTTGCTTGAACCCGGGAGGCAGAGGTTGCAGTGTGCTGAGATCATGCTGTTACACTCCAGCCTTGGATGACAGAGCGAGATTCCGTCTCAAAAAATAAAAAAAGGCTAAGTCCTTAACATGGATTACAGAGCCCTGCAGTTTCTGAGCTTATCATCCATCTGTCCCTTCATACCCTATATCCCCAATTCCCTGGAGCTCTTTCTGTGTCTCAGACACGAGCTACCCTCTGTGTCTCACCAGGTCGGATCCCTGTGTTATAGGTAACTTAAGGTCTGTAACTCTGCTAAACTACAGGCTCCACATGGACAAGAGACCAGGTCAGGTTTTTCCTTTTCCTCGGTGTTTATATAATGCCTGATACTTGGCAGTTATTTCAAAGAAATGAGGTGAACCGAGTAAATTCCACACCATATTCAGGACCAATCTCTATTTTGCCAAATCATGCATCATAATTGAGGTCGTAGCCAACGGCATTAAGAATGCTTACAGTCCATTGTGGAGTTTGCACCCATGGCCGCCCCTTTGGCATCAAGCTCTGACTCCAGCTGTGATCACCTGCCATCCTCAAGCTGCCATCTGACCCCTGCCCCTCCACGACCTCTCAGAGCATAGCTTCCCCTTGGATGGAGGGGGGTGAGGAGAGCAGTCAGAGGTGAAGGCTAAAGAATGTGGAGGGTATTGAGTGCACCCCAGCCCCTGACATTTCAGCTTGTTATGTGGCTGTGGTAGTAAGCATTTGGAATCAGCTCTATCAATTATTTAAGTCTCATAATTCAGTCCATAGTAAAGATTTATTGCAACAAACTGAAAAACAAAGTACAGACGCAAAGGAAACAGAACATGGATTCTGCTGTGTTACACGGTACATAAACTTCTCATGTCCGTGGGAGTAACATAAAAGGAAGTAGGTTATTTTTAAAATACTGGAGTGTTTCTGAAAGAGATAATTCAGCTCTGAGTTTCTGTGTGTGTACATGTGTATATACGTGTGTATGTGTCTATAATATATGTGTGTATGTGTATGATACATGTGTATGTGTCCATATATATAATACGTGTATGCACATGCATCTGTGTGTATGCATGTGCGTGTCTGTATAACGTGCATGTGTATAATACATGTGTGTATGTGTGTGCATGTGTATGTGTAATATATTACACACATGTACACGTGTATAATACGTGTGTGCATCTCGTATGTGTTTGTGCATATGTGTATATGTGTGTATGTGTGTATATGTGTATAATACATTGTGTATGTGTATGATGTGTGTATGTGTGCATATATATAATGCGTGTATGCATGCGCGTCTCTGTGTGTGTGTATAATGTGTGTATGCATGTGTATGTATAATACATGTATTACACACATGTACACGTGTATAATGTGTGTACATCTGTGTATACGTGTTTATGCATATGTGTATATGTGTGTATGGACACACGTGTATGTAACATGTGTATGTGTGTGTATAATATGTGTGTGAGTGCATATGTGTGTATATGTGTGTGTATGTGTGGATGCGTGTCCATGTGTATGTTTGCGTGCATGTGTGTATAACGTGTGCATGTATGTGTGTATAATACATATGTGTATGCATGTGTATGTTTCAGGGTTTCCTTGCATTCCATTTTCTATTTAGCATCAGGCATTTTCTTCTTCCCTAGGCATTAAGGCCCTCTTGGCTCAAAATTTTCATGAAGCATGGATACATTACAATTTTTACATTTTTAGTTGGTTGTTTACGGCCATTGGTTGGTCTGTCAAGAGCACCGAGTCATCTGCTTACTATACCATCTTGAGTGGAAAGGAATGAGTTTATATTTAGAGACACCTGGATGTAGATTACAACTCCATCTCTCACCATCTGTGAGATTTTGAGCACAGCTCCAGAATGCTGTCAGCCTTAGTTTTCTCATCTTTGAAATGGGAAGAATAAACGTCCATACCTCCTCAAGCAAGTGTCAATTGGAATTATCTCTACAGATTTTCTCGCCCATGGAGGCTTCATGCATGATGGTTTCATCTTGTGCTGTCCCTCAACATTTACATGAATGAAGTACATCATACTTACATATTTGAAGTATGGACACCTTTTCATTGCAAGAGGAAAGCAAAAGCAGGCAGGAGCATTTCGTTAGTAAATAATAGTAGGGCCATGTCCAGGTGTGAAGTTAACAATGAGAGAGATTTTTTTGCCCATGTTCTGACCATAACCATTTGAACTATGTTTAGTCTTAATAGCTGGGTGGCCTTGGACAAGGTTAATTTGCCTTTCTGTGCTTCTGTTTCCTTATTTATAACAGGAGGATGCTCATAGCATCAACTTCTAGGGTTGTCGGGAGGATTAAATGAGTTAATACTCATAAAATGCTTAGAACAGTTCCTGGCACATGAAACAAAGGTTTATTTGAGTTTTTCTTTAGTTATTGCTGGTGGTGGTGGTGGTGGTATTGTTCATGTTCTTATGCTGAGCCTGTGTGGTGAATTGGAATGTATCTGTGAATAATTCACTTGCTATTTAAGCACGTTCAAACATCCCATCATAATATTCAAAGTCAATATGTGTATTTCTCTGTAGTTCATCCACGAATATCCTGTTCCAAGTTGCCATCATCTCCCCCTGGAGCTACCACAAAATCCTTTAGGGATCCTTCTGTAACCTCTATCCATGCTCCCATCAAGGAAAAAGATTTTGAAACATCTAATCATGCTACCACTATCTGCTCTCCCACTTAAAACTGTTTATTGATTTCCCGTTGCTCTTAGGATGAAAGCAAACACGATTGCATGGCCTTGGATGGTCTGGCCCTGCCCTTCTCTCAACACTCATCTGCTTCTCCCCTTACTCATTATTTCAGAGCCTTTTTAGTCTTTTCCAGTTTTAGCAATGTGCTGAGTGTCACAGCAGATGCTATTCCCTCTGCCTGGAATTCTACCCTTCTTGACCTCGTCCCACCAACATCACTATTCATTCTTCTGGTCTCAGAATCTGTATTGCTTTCTCCATGATGCCGTTCCTATCTTTCGTCTAAACTGGGATCTTCTGTCTACGTGTAAGACCCTCTCCTCTTCCTTCACAGCACACAATGCCATTCCTAATATTCCACTTAACATGTTATGGTTGTTGAGTGTTTGTCTTTGTGTGAGCTCCATGAATGCAGGGAGCTACATATGTCTTGTGAACTGCTAGATCCCCAGCATTTTGCACATGGTAAATGCTAATGAAAACATTTGTAGAAGGTGTGAATGCCATTTAAGATGTTCCCATAACGTTCATTAGAACTAGAAAGACTTCCTGATATCCCTCCCATTCACCGACATTATGTATACCGGGTGCTGTGTTCACAGCTTGGCCACTGGATACTTCTCAGTTGTGCCTCTCACCCTGTATTGTAAATTTCCTATCGACAGGCTTTGTGTTTCCTGTTAGACTGTCTCTTTCATGTCTCCCATCCTAGTGTCTAACATAGGTATTCAATAAATATATACAGAAGGAAGATAAGAAGAAAGAGAGGAAAGATCAGACTTCATTCCAGTGAGGACAGAATTGCTTGTTCATCTCTTCTGTCTAAGCCCATCCCTCTCCGTGGGCTCATTTTAGCAACACGGCAAGTCAACAGAAGTTTCAACCTGGAAATGTCCCACCTAGCAAGGCCAGGGGTGCAAAATCAAAGTGAACAGGACGTTCCTACTACCTTTGGGGAAGACAATAACACAGAGTCCAAGAGGTCAAAGGGTGCCTGGCCTATGTCTGCCCCTACGACTCTTCCTTAGCCCATGACTCTCGACCTGGAATGACAGCAAGTTCATGTCTAGTTAAGCAAATCCAGAGAAGATTTTTGTTTATGTAGTGGAATGTTCAACTCCTCAATTATGCTGTGAGAGGCTGAGGGGGAAAAATAGACATTTTTGCAAAATCTGTTTCTGGTAACCTTCAACAAACTAAAACAGTTGAGCATACAGAATTTTCTGTTGTTTCTGCAGAGATAATTTGTTACATGGAAGCTCATTTGCTTATTTGAAGTAAATACTGCTTCAGACCCAGTAGAGATTAACACTCATAGATGAGATGGATTGAGAAGGAAGAGACATAATACTTCACTGTTATATTTACTGTGTTAAATATAAAGTGGGAATTGATGAAAAATGTTCTGGAGTTCCCCATGTGAGCCTAAGTGATGAACTGGGGTTTATTTGCCATCTGGCTTTTAAGCAGGGATTTTTTTTCATGTCAGAAAAATGGCACCTTCAGAAATATTGCGTTACAGACATCTGTTTATCAGAACTTTGCCTGAATGAATTATTCAGAATGTGCTTAAGGTTGCACTTTACCTGACATATGGAAATATAAAGTTGCATACTTGATGTCGGCATATATTTGTCTACATAAAATCAGGTGTCTTACTTGAAACCAGGAGTGCTGGAACTTGGTAGGTGGTGCTTTTCGTACCTGGGATATTCATTGTTCTACCTCATGTGGTTCTTGATGTCTTCATTTTTTGGAAATCATTGTGTGGAATTACATGTAACTCACAGTTTCTGTATTGAAGCCCCGTTTTTGTTTCCACTGTGTTCCTTACAACTGAAATGGAAAGCTACTCTTACTTGATATGGGTTTCATGGCAAAACTCTGTTAGTAATTTCAAGTTGGTGAAACAAGTGAATATCTGGAGCTATCAAGAGGAAAGTCTTCCAGGCCATACTCAGAAGACCCAAGAGGAAAAGGTGGTTTTGCCAGGTGCAAAACCATGCTTGTAATCCTAGCACTTTGAGAGGCAGGGTGGGGAGAATCACTTGAGGGCAGGAGTTCAAGACCAGCCTAACCAACATGGTAATGCCCTGTCACTACTAAAAATACAAAAATTGGCCAAGTATGGTGGCACACACCTGTAATCCCAGCTATTCAGGAGGCTCAGAAAGGAGAATTGCTTGAACCCAGGAGGCAGAGGCTGTAGTGAGCTGAGATTGTGCCACTGCACTCCGGTCAGGGTGACAAGTCAAGACTCCATGTAGAGAACAGGAAGAAGTGGTTTCCATACACATCAAGTTTTAAAGGAACCCTTCAACTCATCATGTCATCAGAACCAAATAAAGCTTTAACATTATCCATGATTGTACACTGTTTTCCATCTGTTCATTTATTTATTTATAGATTGTTTCATCAGACATTGACTAAGCTCCTACTTTAGGCCAAGTATTGAAGATGTAGATTCTACTCTTTACTTGTTCGGGGCTTACAAGGGAGCAGAGAAGATGGACATAAACAAAATAGTTACACATCAGTCACCATGATTGATGTGTAACTTCAAATGAGATGACTGCTCCTGTGAAGTGAAACAAGGTTTTGTGAGCATCTGTTGGAGCAACCTGACTCAGGACTTCAAGGGAAACTTCTTGGAGGACGCGATTCTGAAGCCATCATAAGTGACTTCACTTGTTGAAGAAGGGGAGGAGCCTTTCAGATGGCAGGACAGCCATATACAAAGATCTGGGGGCTAGAGAGCTCATGCAGCATTGCACAAGCTATTTAGAGGCCATTGTAGCTGCCGCCAGGGGAGCTCATATGGCCAGGAGGGCTGACCGTTCCTAGAGAGGTCAGCAGCCCTTACAGCCTGGAGTAAGGAAGGCGGTGCTTATAAAGCAAGAATGATGGGAAACCATTGCACAGATTCTAACATAGAGGCCAGTTCTGCGCTCCAATTAAAATTGACGAAAGATCCGTGAAGTCTGCCATCATTGCTTATCTGTCTTTGAATTCTCTAGTGTCTAGTGTTCAGCAAGTGCTGGTAAAATAAATACATGATGTGGGGGAAGCACTTCAATAGGATGTGAGCTCGGAGTGAGTTCCAGAAAGGTGCCCCGCAATCACTTATCCCAGAAACTGGTGGGGAGGTTTCAGTCAACCTGTATAAATGCTCCTGGGGACTGTCCTTTGGATAAGCAGGTGTTCTCTTTACCTAAAAAGAGATGCCTTTCAGAAAGTCTTTAAGGGCAGCAGAGCAAGCACTGGGAGGGACTAATAGGACCTCAAAAGAAAGAGGTGAGAGGCAGAGGGCTGAGGGCCTTTCGGAGCTGCCGCTGCTTAGCCAGAGGAGGGAAGCAATTGCATCCCCAACAGGCGGGCTGTAAAGGGAATGCACGTCATTACTTGGAAAGGGTGGTGAAGCTGGGAGCAAACAGCTTCTAGATCAAGCTGCCAGGGAGGATGTTTAGTAATTAAAGGAGGCTGGCACCATTTGGAGGTACAAATCTGCAAATCCAAGGTTCACATCCCAGGGAGTGACCACGTGGTCACAAAACACAGCCTACAAATGCCCCCACCTGAGGTCATACAGAGATAAGCTACCCCCATGGGGGCTGTGCGGGTACAGCAAGTCGGATGCTCTTATTCACCACCCCTATACCTAATAGTGCAGTTCGTTCTCAGATCATTTTTAAAGGAGAAATGAAAGCTCTGTGTCTGTGTGTGTATGTAAACACCATCTTAACACATTGCATGCACTTTTGATGCACATGTGTGTTCTAAACTGTCATTTGCAGGGACTTCTGTTGTTGAACCTGTTCTCTGTGAGGCACGAGTGGTAGGCTTATGAAACCCATCCATCTTTAGGCCAGGTGGGCTGGCTCATGCCTGTAATCCCAGCACCTTGGAAGGCCCAGGTGGGAGGATAAGTTGAGGTCAGGAGTTTGAGACCAGTCTGGCCAACATGGTGAATCCTCCTGTCCACTGAAAGTACAAAAATGAGCTAGGTGTGGTGGTGGGTGCCTGTAATCCCAGCTACTCGGGAGGCCGAGGCAGGAGAATTGTTTGAACCCAGGAGGCAGATGTTGCAGTGAGCTGAGATCATGCCATTGCACTCCAGCCTGGGTGACAGAGTGAGACTCTCTCTAAAAAAAAAAAAAAAAAAAAAAAAAAAAAGAAGAAGAAGAAAGAAAAATTCATACATCTTGTACCTGAGGACTGTTTGGGGAAGCAGCTGCTTTTTCCCGTCAGTTTCTCCTTGGTTTTCTCTACTCACAGGGACCCTCGCCTTGCACCTGCTGGGAAGGCCAGTTCACCTGCCCGGGCTACTTGTGTTACACAAAGCTGGAGGAGAATGAAGTCAAAGTGGCTGATTTTGTTAGAGAAGAATTGTTTTGTTCTGCGTTGGGTGAAGTTTCTCTCTATTACACTTTTCTACAAATTCCCCTGTTCCCAATTCCCTCAGACAACAAAACTACAATTTGCTGGGTAAACAAAAGCAGTGGGGATGAAGCCTCCCTGGCAGCCAGTCTGTCAGAGGTGCTGTGCTTGTTAGCATGGTAAAAGAGTTAGAGGAATTTTTCAAGTTGTACAAAATTGAATTACTTAATAAACTTCGTTTAACTTTCTTCCCTGGGAGTCAGTGTTGTTAAAAAATCCAAAAAGACTGTTTTGCAGCATTAGCATTTTACAGTTGGTCAGGGTTTTCAAATCCTTTATTCTTTATCCATTTTTTTTCTCAATAACACTTGTTCCTTAGCCCTTTCTTCCTAGCTAACAGTCTCTGTAACTGTTTAAAAAAAAAATTAAAAAAAAGAATGGCTGGCCTCAGTAGGTCATTCCTGTAATCCTAGAACTTTGGGAGGCAGAGGCAGGTGGATCCCCTGAGGTTGGGAGTTCGAGACTCCCAGGCCAACAAGGCAAAACCCCACCTCTACTAAAAATACAAAAATTAACTGAGCATGGTGGCACACTCCTATAATCCCAGCTACTTGGGAGTCTGAGGCAGGAGAATGGCTTGAACCCGGGAGGCATAGGTTGCAGTGAGCCAAGCTGATGCCACTGCACTCTAGCCTAGGGGACAGAGTTAGACTCCATCTCAAAAAAAAAAAAAAGTGTAGATGTTTGGTTACCCCTTCAAATCATCTAGCTAGTAGGTTGGACTTTGTGTTTATTCCAATTTTCCCCGTTTAGCAACATTGCCCCCACCATCACCACCAAAAGGGGAAAAAAAGACAGTGGGTTAATCATCCCTGTTAGAAAGAATTTCTCTCCAATGCCTGAGGCAAGTTTGCATGCCATGGATGGAAATGGTATTTTCAAGAGACAGACTGAGCCGGTCCTGCCTAGGAAACCTGCTGCCTTGGCACGGTGGTATTAGTGGCTGAGGGCTGTATGTTTATTCCCTGGCCCTCTGCTGATCCCTGGAAGCAAAGTGAGTGTCCACAGGCTTTCTCTGTAGTGACATTGACTTCCTTCTGCCCTTGTGTTTCCAAGGTGAGCTTTGTTAGGTGCCAGGCTGCAGGGTCCTTCTGCAGCATTCTGAAGAAATCCTCTGCCTTCCTCTGGTTGGGCAGAATGCCCAGTAGAATCAGGAACAGTGAGCTCATCTCCACCTGATACTTTGTCTTCGATGGAACGCTTTGCTTTATCATTAAAAAAAAATTATAATGCCTCACTTAGGGCTGCAAACAGTGTTGATGTATTCAATAGCGCATTAGAGAAAACGTCGAAGCAGATTTGTAGAAGGTGCCCATCCTATGGGCAACCCCAAAAAGCAATTTATTACCCCCCCCCAAAATATACATTGTCATGTGGAGCGGAAGGATTAAATATTTATGTCTGTTGGCTGGGGTAATAAAATTGTATTCAATTGTGTCTCAGGCACTACCTAATGATTGTTGAAAACTCGGTAATAACACCGAAACTCATAAAAAATACAGGATAAACAATGCTGGAAGAAAATTATGGGAAAATAGCCTCTGGCCTGTGGAAATGCGACTTTATTTTGAAATAATTTGAAATAAGAGTGTATGCATTAAAAAAAAGTGAGTTTATATAACCGCAATCTAATCTCTAGAAACTTTTCTTTATGGTTTTGTTCTTTGTCAAGTTAAAAACAAGGGGTACATCAGTAGTGTTTCCAGTAAATCCTGATAGGTTTGGATTTCCTTGAGGACAGGAACAGCGTTTTCTTCATCTCTGAACTCTTGGGACTTAAAAAGAGCCTAGTTCAGAGCAGACTGGGTGCTCCATAAATATTTGCAGAACTATTTTTTTTTTTTTTTTGAGACAGAGTCTTGCTCTGTTGCTGAGGCTGGAGTACAGTGGTGAAATTTCAGCTCACTGCAACCTCTACCTCCTGGGTTCAAGCAATTCTCCTGCCTCAGCCTCCTGAGTAGCTGAGATTACAGGCACCTGCCACCCCACCTGGTTAATTTTTTGTATTTTTAGTAGAGATGGGGTTTCACCATGTTGGCCAGGCTGGTCTTGAACTCCTGACCTTAAGTGATCAGCCCACCTCAGCTTCCCAAAGTGCTAGGATTACAGGCATGAGCCACCGCACCCAGCTTGCAGAACTAAATTTAAAACATAATAATTGTTTATGATCTCCATGTCATCTCCGTATTCCAAGGATTCTCAACCAGAGTGATTTTTGTTCCCCAGTAGGCATTTCACAATATCTGTAGACATTTCTGTGTTTTACAACTTGGCAGGGGAGTATGTCCTCCTGGCATCTGTAGGGCAGGGGCCAGGGATGTTGTTAAATATCCTACAGTGCGCAGGATGGCCCCCGAAGCAAAGCGTTTGTAGTGCTGACAGTGAGAGTCATCTTTACCGATGTGCCTCCTTCAGTATTCCCAGTGCCCAGAGCTTC
This sequence comes from Homo sapiens, assembly GCF_000001405.40. Lineage (NCBI taxonomy): Eukaryota > Metazoa > Chordata > Mammalia > Primates > Hominidae > Homo > Homo sapiens. Next base: position 6,907,330 of record NC_000016.10, read on the forward strand.
ACTCAGAGAAACAGTGTATCGAGCTGTCCTTGAGAGAATGGCGGTATCCATGTATTGGTTTTCTAGGGCTTCTTTAAGAAAGAACTAAAGACTTGGTGGTTTCAATAACAGGAATTGATCGTCTTGTGTTCTGAAGGCTAGAAGTGTGAGATCAAGATGCCAGCAGGGGTGGTTCCTTCTGAAAACTGGGAGAGAGAATCGGTCCTATGCCTCTCTCTTAGCTTCTGTTTTTGTTTGTATGTTTGTTTGTTTCTGTTTTTGATGGAGTCTCACTCTGGTTGCCCAGGCTGGATTGCAGTGGCACGATCTTGGCTCACTGCAGCCTCTGCCTCCTGGGTTCAAGCAATTCTCCTGGCTCAGCCTCCTGAGTAGCTGGGATTACAGGCATGCACCACCATGCTTGGCTTATTTTTTTGCATTTTTTAGTAGAGATAGGGTTTCACCATTTTGGCCAGGCTGGTCTCAAACTCCTGACCTCAGGTGAACCACCCGCCTCGGCCTCCCAAAGTGCTGGGATTACAGGCATGAGCCCCCATGCCCGGCCAGCTTCTGTGGTTGGCTGGCAGTCATGGGTGCTCCTTGCTTGTAGATATGTCACCTGAATCTCCACCTGCATGTTTACATAGAGTTCTCCCCGTGAGCATGGATGTCTCTGTGTCTCTATTTTCCCTTTTAGTGAGGACATGGTCATATTGGATTAGGGCCTATCCAAATCATCTTTACTTGATCTTCTGCAGAGACCCCATTTCCAATAAGGTCACATTCACAGCTACTGGGGGTTAGGACATCCACATGTTTTGGAGGGAAACAATTCAGCTCCTAACAATCTACTTCTCTGCATCCCTACATCCGTGCAGTTCAGATTATTACCTCTGCTCAGCATTGTGTTGCCTGAGATCTGGCATTTCATCTTCTCTCCTCCAGCCTTTCGGGTGTCCTCTCCTGCGGCTCTGGGCAGGCCTGCACCCCCAGCCTCTGACCATGGCTTGGGCCTGTCTTGTTCATCCAAGTTACTCTGCCTTTGCACCCTTCTAACCCCGATGTGTGTCTGTCTGCCTGCCTTCTCTTTCCTCCCAGGAACCTTTGACTTTTCCACTGATACCTCTGGCCTCTGGTGTGACCTCTTCTAGACTTTCTCCCCAGCATGCCCAATCCTCTAGGAAGGTATTTCCGGGTTATAGCTGACAACTCACTTATCAGGTTCACCTCCCAAACTACTTTTCAGAGTGCCAAGCATGTCTTATCCATGTGCCTGGCACAGTGCTGAACCCCCGTGATTTAGGTGGAAATGGTTAATGAATCCTATCCTATTTCTTCCAGAATATGGCCCTCTAATTATCCATGCAGGGTCCAGTTGGGATGACGAGGGCAGGCTCCAGGGTCAGAATGCCTTGTCCTCAATCCTTGTTCACCTCATTGACTCACTGTGCAATCTGGGACCAAGTGCTTACTGTCTCTCTGCCCAGTTACCTCATTGATAAATGGAGGTGAGGTTGTGCCAGCCTCACAAGGCTATTGTGGGGACTAAATTAGTTTATATAATAATTTTGAACAATGCTAGGCACATCCTAAGCATTCATGACTGCAGCTGCTAGGATAATTTGGCATAATCTGTGCTTCCCCCCAACACGCTCTCTCTGGGGGCTCCGTTCTTCTGCTTCTGAACATGCTTAGACTTCCATTTCTGTAGGAGGTTCTTATTGTTGCTATAACTAAATGATCACCAATTTAGGTGTAATTTAAAACAACACAAATGTATTTTCTTGCAGTTCTGGAGGTCAGAAGTCCAAAATGGGTCTTGCTGGAGTAAAATCAAACGTCAACAGTGTTGCATTTCTTCTGGAGGTTCTTTGGGAGAATGTAGTTTCCTCCCTTTGCCGGTTTCTAGAGGCCACCCAGATTACATGGCTCATGGCCCTTTTCATCTTCAAAGCCAGCATTGTGGCCTTCAGACTCCAGCCCTGGCTTCCAGCATCACATACCTCCTTCTCTGGTCTTCCTCTTGTAAGGAACTTTGTGATTACTTTGGGTCCACCTGGATAATCCTGGCAACTCTTCCATTTCAAGATCCTTTATTACATCTGCCAAGGTTCTTTTGCCAGGCAAGGTGACGTATTCACACCTTTCAGAGATTACGATGCAGGCATCTTTGGCATGAGACAAGATTCTGTCTATCACACTCTCTAAAGGCGTTCCACCTGTGTGATGGCTTTATCTCCAGCAAACATGCATTCATATTCAGGCTCAGCTACCTAGAAGCGAGGGACATGTAATCTCCCCAAGCCTGTTCTCTCTTTTACAAAATCAGACAAAGAAATTATCAAGTGAGGATAGAGAAGTCGGAATCCTATGTGCCTAACACGTGGTACATGCATGCTAAGTCGTGGCAGTCACAATGACTGTTGTTGGTTTCACTTTTTTTGGTGTTATTTTCTCCCGAGTGTGGTTCTTCCCTTATTACCTGCAGCCATCGGTCTTCTGTTGATCTAAAGCAAGGTGTGCAGTTGGGGGTGTCTGCTCGGACCACCCTCGTGTGACTGAATTTGCCTGCATATCGGTTCCTTTGCTAATTCTGTTCGGGCAGGATTTGCTTTTTTTTGCTTAGCAAACTTCATGAGCCATTTCTGATTTCCAATATTGCTCCTCAGGCAGATCTCTCTTGAAAGGTGTTGTTTGTTTGGTTTGTTTACCTCTTGTTCATTACTCTTACCTCTACAGGCTACAAGTCTCCTAGGAAGGGATATTGTGCCTGTACGTCCCACCCTGGACCACGGAAAACCTTGGTAGCGTGCAAAGAGATTGGGCATTCTAGCGGGGCTTTGATGGAACTCTAGGAAGTAGAAAAAGCAGACTCAAGCAGAAAATGGGAAAAGAGAAATCCTAAGAGGAGTCTCATGAGATGATTACTTCACATTTGCAGTTCAGGCATTTTCTCCATACTTCCAGAATCGTGTAGGGAGTTGGGCACAGAGAATCTTTTTAGGGGCAAAGAAAGTGAGTGTCTTTTCCACTCCCCGTCTCCACACCCATCTTCCTATTTCCCTTCCACACACACAAAGAGGAGAGCTTTAACTTTATCTCAGGAATTCTGTCCCCAGGTTCAATGCTGGAGTAAAATCAAGGACTTGGCTCTGTGCCTGAGTGGGTGATTCCCCACTTGTGTTAATCACTCAAACAACCTACATGCTTTTCCTTGTAGTTCTGGAGGTCAGAAGTCCAAAACGGCCCCTATTGGGGTAAAATCAAAGCCTCAGCAGGGCTGCATTTCTTCCGGAGGTTTTATGGGAGAAGGCAGTTTCCCATCTTTGTCAGTTTCTAGAGGCCACCTGGATTACGAGGCTCGTGGCCCTTCTCAGCTTCAAAGCCAGCAGTGTGACTCTAAAGCAACATCATTTCCTAAAGTAGCGGAGAGGAGGCCTGGGAAGATTACACAGCAAAACCATCAGATCCTACGTCTGAGAATGAGAAGGTTGTTTCCTTTTCAGTTGACTGGTATATCTAAGCTTATATCCAGAAGAATGCCTCCATTTCATGCTGGTCTTTATACCTTTGCCTTCCTTGCTAATCTCTGTTAGTAAAGAGGAAGGAGGGTCAGGTGCAGAGGCTCACACCTGTAATCCCAGCACTTTGGGAGGCCGAGACAGGCGGATCACTTGAGGTCAGGAGTTTGAGATAAGCCTGGTCAACGTGGTGAAACCCCGTCTCTACCAAAAATACAAAAATTAGCCGAGCGTGGTGGCAGGCACCTGTAATCCCAGCTACTCGGGAGGCTGAGGCAGGACAATCGCTGGAACCTGGGAAGTGGAAGTTGGAGTGAGCCGATAATCGCACCATTGCACTCCAACCTGGGCAACAAGAGTAAAATTGTGTCTCAAAAAAAAAAAAAAAAGCAAACTGAAGACTTGAACCTTGGGTAGTGCGTTAGTTTCCCAGGACTGCTATAACAAAGTTCCACAAACTAGGAGGCTTCGGCAACAGAAATGTTTTGCCTTACACTTGTGGAGGCCAGAAGTCCAAGATCAAGGTGTCAGGAGGGTTGGTTTCTTCTAAGGGCTGGGAGGAGGAATCTGTTCCATGCCCCTCCCTGTGGTTGCTGGCAACGCATGGTGCTGCTTGGGTTTTAACTCTGTCAGTGTGATCTCTGCCTTCACCTGCATGTGTTCTCCCCATAAGCATGTCTGTCTCCCTGTCCAAATTTCCCCTTTTTATGATGACATCAGTCATATTGAACTATGACCCATAATGACTTAATTTTGTTACCTCTGTAAAGACCCTGCTTCCAAATCACGTCTCACAGATCCTAAGGGGTTGGGCTTCAACATCTTTTGGTGGGAACAAAGTTCAATCCATAGCAGACAGGCAATTCTTTTTACCTGCTATTTAATAACACTTTTATTTGTATTGTGTTTATTTTACCATGCATACCTACAGCAAATAATTTTGTTTCCACTTATAGAAGAGATCTATTTTTTCTTCTTTTTCAGTAAATGAATTTACTTTTTAAAAATCTCAGTAAAGTGATTTTAAGAAAAGACGTTAACTATATCATAGTACAGGTGGTCTTCAGATGTGGCCAAATATAGAAGACACAGTGTAAGATTTGGGCAATACTTGGTTCACCAATCCTTTGAGGCTTGGGAGTAGAAAGAACAAGAATAAAGATGTTAAGTAGAGTAAGATGCATTCTTCAAAGATTCCTTTTTGTGGACCATTTCTTTGAGAGAGAAGTTTTCTTCCTGTGAATAAATATGCTGTTGCTTTTTTTAGCTCTATCATTTATACTTACTAGTATTTCAGAACTTTACGTTTGAGTTCTATTTTCATGCCATAAAGAATGAGGTAAATAATCTGAAACTTAAATTCCCACGTGGAGTAATTTCTCTAATGTGGAGTTTCTCAAACTTGAGGGTACGTCAGAAGCACCTGCTGGCATTGTTAAAATGAAGGTTGCTGTGCTCAGCCCCAGATTTTCTGACTGAATAGCTCTGGGGTGGAGCTCTGTAATTTACACTTCTAGCAAGTTCCCAGGTGATGTGGATCTCGGAGTGGGGACGGTACATTTTGCGAACCACGGGGCTACTGAAATGAGGTGTCTGTTCTCTGTGAGTAAAGATTTTTCAGGATCCTTTCCAGCCCTGCGGCTCAGATAGATCAGATTGAAGTATTCTGGGTGGGCTAAGATAACTAAACTAAAGACCTTCTGAGATTTAGGTTTAAATTCTTTTCTCTTTGTTTCTTTTACTTTTTCTTTCTTGCTTTCTTGCTTTCTTTTCTTGTGTGTGTGTGTTATTACTATTTTTTTTTTTTGCAAGGTCTCACTGTGTCATCCAGGCTGGAGTACAGTGGCATGATCATAGCTCACTGTAGCGCCCCAACCTCCTGGGCTCAAGCAAGCCTACTACCTCAGCCTACTGAGTAGCTGGGACTATAGGCACATGCCACCACACGTGCCCGCCTAATTTTTTTTTTTAAGACAGACTTTGTCCCACTGTGTTGCCCAGGCTAGACTCAAACTCCTGAGCTCAAGTGATCCTCTTGCCTTGACCTCCCAAAGTGCTGGGATTACAGGCATGAGCCACCAAGCCCAGCCTAGAGCTCCTTGTTTTTGGTCCTCAGGGGATCTTGGGCAATATCTCACCTCATCTGGCTGTTACCCAACACTGTGCTTTATATTCTACTTCCTATTTCTGCTGGGTGAGGATGGGCTTCTGATGGGTGGAAAAGAACTTGGAAAGGGCCCCAGGCAGGAAAACCATTATGGAAGCAACGTCTGTCCACCCACCAGGCCGCTGGGAGGCTGAAGAAGACACGTTTTTTTGTTTTGTTTTGTTTTTTTGTTTTTCCTGTGGGTTACTTGAAAAACATTTTTTTAAATGCAAAAACAGGGTATCGGAAATTATTATCTGTCCACCTATTTAACTGTTATAAAGTAGCACTTTTAATTCATTTCCATAATTACAGCCTGTGTCATGCTGTTCAAAAGATTCAACTGGGGATAAGGAGAATGGTCCCATTTTAACCCCCTTATGAGCGTGTTAGCTCAGGCCAAGAGCAGCTGCTGTCTCTTCCGGCAAGCCACGGCATTGTTTGAGAACATCTTTCCTCTCATATCCCCCACCAGACCCTGAGCATGTTGCCATCGGCCTTCTTCACACCCCCACAACCCTCGGCCCCATCATCTGCAGTGCCCGATGCCCAGCACTGAGCCCAGTGCCTGGTGTTCAGGGTGTCTTTTGAAGGAGAAGTTATAAGTCGGTAGCATCCCCAAGCTTTTCCCAGAGCAACTCAAGCCCTGAGGCCACCAGATTGTTTGGGCAGCAAGTTGGTCTCCTAGAAGCCCTTGGTAGACCTGGCTCCTTGCCTAGCTGGGCCAGGCTCTGTCCTCCCCTGCGTACCCTCCTAGCCAAGCGTCTGGGCAGCCAGCGGTTAAGTCCACTGTGGGAAGCTATTGAGTCTGAAACACACAGTGACAGCAGGCATGCTAAACTACTTCCCAGCCCTGCATGTGGCGTAATTGTATTTTCAGGGAGGGCCAATCTATTAGCAAGGTGCCAGTCTCAACTGTGTAACTTTTATAAAGCAAACACTAAAGGCCTCTTGGGGTGAAGGATATTATAATTATGGATGATTTATACTCCCCACCTCATGTATACATTGCACTTGATGAGAATGTTCTACTTGACGTAGCCAGAAACATTAAGCAAAAAATAGTGTTGCATTCTGGGTTAGAAACCCATCTTTTGTTTTATGTCTAATCTATCCAGTGCTAAAACATTTGGAATGATACCTCTGCATGCTGCTGTGAAGGAAATACGAACATAATGAGTGCATTTCTGATTTCAGACCAGATCATCATTTCCTTCTAAAATACCTCACTGAGTTTAGCATATTTATTCCTTGGTGGAATGTTTGCTGTGTATTGCAGTACGAAAGCAAAAGAAAATAATCATTATAATTATAATTTCCGGGCTAGGAGGGACCTTAGTGATATATCTAGTCCGGGGTGTCTGGGCTTAAATTACAGGGTCGGCTGATAAGTATTCTACTTTTCATGATTCAGAATCTACAAGTTAAAAGAGGAAGAGAGAAGAGAAAAGACAGTAGTAAAGGAGGTACTTTTGCATTAATAAGAACACAGACCTAGGTGTCTCACCTCCACCTCCTACCTGAGCCACCTTTGATAAGTGAGAATCTCTCTGGACATCAGTTTTCAGCTCCAGAAGAAAACAAAAATAAAAAAAAAAACCCAAAACAGGGATCAAGGCCAGGAGCAGTGGCTCACGCCTCTAATCGCAGCACTTTGGGAGGCTGAGGCAGGAGGATTGCTTGAGGCCACGAGTTCAAGATCAGCCTGGCCAACATAGCAAGATCCCATCTGTACCAATAAGCTGAAAATTAACCTGGCATGGTGGTGTGCACCTGTAGTCCCAGCTACTTTGAAGGCTGAAGCAAGGAGGCAGAAACAACAAGATCGCTGAAGCCCAGGAGTTCAAGGCTGCACTGAGCCAAGATCGCAACATTGTGTTCCAAGCTGGGCAACAGAGCAAGACCCTCTCAAAAACAAAACACAGATGGATAGGTTTGAGACAGCCCTCACTCACATAACTTTTAGAGAAGTAAATCGGATAGTGCCTGCGTACTATTATTATTACAGCACTATTGCCAGGCAGCAAGCAGGCCCAGGGTGGTGTAAGTCGGCTTTGCTCATCCGTAGATGAAGGATGCAGAACATTCCTCAGTTGACTAATGTGTGAACTGCACACTGAGAACTGGCCTGCGGTCCTCCAGCTAATCAGTGGCGGAGCCATGCTCTCCAGACTCGGGGTCAAGGCACTGGGGCTGAGCTGCTGCTTTCCCCAGGCTCCCGGAGACCCACTCCCTTGTTCTCCTAGCAGCTGGATGAAGCCTGTGGTCCTCAGCATTTCTACTAATTCCCTCCAAGAAGGGCCTGGGATTGTTTCCATTCTCTGTGTTGCGGACTAGGGAGCTAACTGCGGTTCCTTTCTGCAGGGAGGAAGCTTGCTCTACAGATTAGAAAGGAAACACGCAGCTTCCCAAGCATGTCACTTCTGAACTGTTTAATAAATCCACGTAGCCCGTTTTCTTATTTCCTTGATAACTTTTCAAAAATTATTCCTTAAACAAATGACTTCCTACTATAGCCTAAATCTAAAATCTAAACAATAACTATTTTTTCTAAGTCCTCACCCCCACACCCCCCTTTTTTTTTTTTTTTTTTGACACAGTGTCTTGCTCTGTCACCCAGGCTGGAGTGCAGTGCCATGATCTCAGGTCACTGCAACCTCTGCCTCTCGGGTTCAAGTGATCCTCCTGCCTCAGCCTTCAGAGTAGCTGTGAGTACAGGTGCGCACCACCATGCCTGACTAAATTTTTCTACTTTTTGTAGAGACAGGGTTTTGCCATGTTGCCCATGCTGCCCTCAAGCACCTGTACTCAGGTGATCTGCCTGCCCTGGCCTCGCAAAGTCCTGTAATTAGAGGTGTGAGCCGCTATGCCCAGCCTTCATTCCTTTTTATAGTTGAATAATTCTCCTGAAGTGGACATGTTCCGTGAAAGGGCCGTATTTGCAAAGTGGTCCCCAAATGCTGAAGTTGCTGAGAAACCAAAGTACAAGGCAGAAAAATCCAGTTTGACATTAAAAGCTGTTTTACTGGGAAAACTTAAAGACAGCTGTCTTGACTGGCAGGAAGACAGAGCTCCACACTGCTACTCCCCAGACCCAGGGCTTATATACCTTAGGGAAAGGGCATAAGCGCTGTGTACAAGACAACTGAAGGCAACCCTCCAGGAGAGGCAAGAATGATCAAAGTTGACACGTTGTTATGCTAAGGACTGGAAATAAAGTAGGAATCAGGAGGCATTCACGGAGCTGGGACTGATCAGAAGTCAATATGGCAGATTAGCATCCAAGATGGAGTCACTGTTGTTTCCACAGGATACCATAGTTTGTTCATCCGTTGATGGACAGTTGGGTTGTTTTTACCTTTTTGCTATTATGGCTAATGCTGCTTTGGACCTCTGTGCATGGGGTTTGGATGTAGGTTTTCATTTCTCTTGAATATATCCCTAGGTGTGGAATTGCTGGGTAATGTGGTCTAATACACCTTTGGTTAACGAAATAAATAGCATTTTAGTTGTTTTTTTTTTTTTAATTGTCATTCTACGACCATCTCCAGGACCATTAGTGGCACAGATACCACAGTTTAAGAAATCCCATAAATCATCGTGACCTACACACTTGTAAGGCCTTCCATCTTGCAACGCTATTGGCCGTTCTGGCTTGTGTTTTTCTGGATGGTCATCACGACCTTCCCAGGTCGTCCTTTTACCTCTCATTGGCCGCAGTTATGCCCATTCCTACTTAAAAACTCTTGCATAAGCTCGGATTACTTCCAGCTTTTTTCTACCACCCACTTAAACTTTTCCCATCTTTGAAGGCTGAGTTCAAACTTCGAAGTTTGAATTTGTACCTTGATCTTGTTTTTTTATTTGTTTGTTTTTGTTTTTTTGTGTGTATAAGATGGAGTCTCTCTCTGTTGCCCAGGCTAGAGTGCAGTGACATAATCTCGGCTCACTGCAACCTCCACCTTCCAGGTTCAAGCGGTTTTCCTGCCTCAGCCTCCCAAGTAGGTAGGATTACACATGCATGCCATCACATCAGGCTAATTTTGTATTTTTAGTAGAGATGGGTTTCACCATGTTGTTGGACAGGCTAGTCCTGAACTCATGATCTGAGGTTATCCACCTGCCTTGGCCTCCCAGAGTGCTGGGGTTACAGGTGTGAGCCACTGTACCCAGCCTGCAAATGATTTTGTCCACAGAGCAGACTGAGTTTCTGTTCTTAATTTGTATTTAAAATAGAAAATCTCAGTGGCCACCTTGGTCCCCGCTCTCACTGCAAAGAGTCTGTCCCAGCTACTGTTAGGGACTCATTTGTAACCAAACACTGAACAGAGGATGTCACAGTTAGTGACTAATCCCATCTGGTGAAATCAGTATATGGGATTGCACATGAAATGAAGAGTTTCTGAACTTGAGTGTAGCTCTATATCTTATAAAGAAATCTACAAGTGCTTTTGTCCTTGATGTGTTTCATTTGGGGAATACATCCATTTCTGTCTCCGCCTTCTTTAAACCTGAAAGGAAGAGAGTTGGTAGAAACACTCTGTCCAAAGGAAGATCAATGCTAACAATGTTCATTTTTCTAAGTGTCTCCTTCTTCTGAAATAAAAGTTAGGAAGCTCTGACACCGGCTCCCTTCCTGCCTTCTACACCGAAGTGGGAGTTAAGATGTTCCAGATACCATTTGCTGTTTTGAAGGAGGGTCTGTGTGCTGTGTGATGAGTAGACTCTTCCCCTTTGCTTCGATGGGAACCTCGGCATTCCAAGTGGACATATTTCATATCCTCAGGGCTTGTTCTCCTCCTCTGTGGATCTCAGTAGCAGACCTTCAGCTGCCTCTTAGAGAACAGGGCCCTGGGGGAGACATCATCCTTTGTCAGAAATCCTGGAAAAATACCAAGAAACTGACACAAGTCGAAAGAGGGACAATGGAGACCTGGGTATTATCCCTTTAGGGTGTTCTTACTCAACCTAAGTCTCAGGGTAGCCTACAGGAGAGCCACTTACGAATTTGTTAAAAATGTACATTTGTGGCCAGGTACATTAGCTCACGCCTGTAATCCCAGCACTTTGGGAGGTCGAGGCGGGTGGATCGCTTGAGGTCAGGAGTTCGAGACCAGCCTGGACAACATGGTGAAACCCCTGTCTCTACTAAAAATGCAGAAATTAGCTGGGTATGCTAGCCTGTAGTCCCAGCTACTAGAGAAGCTGAGGCAGGAGAATCACTTGAACCTGGGAGGTGGAGGTTGCAGTGAGCTGAGATTGTACCATTGCAATCCAGCCTGGGTGACAGAGCAAGACTCCATCTCAAAAAAAAAAAAAAAGGAAACACACATTTGGGGACTCCACCCCAGGCCTACCGAATCAGACCACTGGGCTTGGTGCCATTGTTTATGAATTTTTAACAAGCTACCCGGGTGATTCTGGGGCCCACTAATATTTTTGAACTGTAGCTATAGGAAGACTTCATACATGCAGAGTAAAACCATCTTAAATCCAATCAAATTAATTGTTAATTAAATTAATGTCTGCCTGGGCCCTAATTCATAACTTTCATGTTGCAATTCCCTCCTGATATCCAGAGGCATCATTTAAAGAATAAGTAACCAGGGACATAAAAATGAATTATTTATCTTACCCAAATCTCATACCCTTCTCAGTGAAAATGTGGTTGCTTGTCACTGAGTGTCCTACCCAATGGGCATATCTCTGGTCGTTTCAGAGAAAGAAATCATTCTCTGCCTTCCGAATGCAGACAACATGAAGCGGCAGTCTCACGTTGATATTATGGTTAATTAATCTTGGGCATAGGAGTATGCAGGAGCATTGAGCAGAAGCGCACTCGTTAATAAACAAGTATTTTCAGTGCAACACATTGCAGGCTTGGCCCTTACCTGATGTAACAGATGGAGGAGAAAGTGGGGGTGGGGAGGAAAGTGGCTGTGATCTAGTTACGCAGGGTCCTATTTCAAACACCATTTCTCCATTTAATAACAACAGCTAATGATTTTTGTTTGTTTGTTTTTGAGGCAGAGTGTTGCTCATTCATCCAGGCTGGAGTGCACAGGTAGGATCTCAGCTCACTGCAACCTCCGTTCTTGGGTTTAAGCCATTCTCCTGTCTCAGCCTACTGAGTAGCTGGGATTACAGGCACCTGCCATCGTGCCTGGCTAGTTTTTTGTATTGTTTTTTTGGAGATGGGGTTTCACCATGTTGGCCAGGCTGGTCTTGAACTCCTGACCTCAGGTGATCCGCCCGCCTCAGCTTCCCAAAGTGCTGGGCTGGGATTACAGGTGTGAGCCATGGCGCCTGGCCCAAGAGGTAATGTTTCTTGACCAATTCCTATTTATCCTGTTTACATGTATTAATTTCTCCAAATTAATTCCTCACAACAGCCCAGCAGTTTAGGTTCTCTTATTAGCTCCATTTTATAGACCAAAAAATAAAATAAAGCTCCCCCAAACTGGAACATAGAGGGTTTTTTTTTTTAAGTAAACTTCTCAGCATCACACACTAATAAAGAGTAGACCTGGGATTTGAACCATGAAATCCCAAGAGAGATCCAGAACCTACTCTCTTAGACATTTCTCCACTTCCTATGGCTTGAAATTTGTTTTAAAGGAAACCCTGGTATCTTCGAACAAGTATCTGGAAATTCCGTCCTTTTTGTTGATGGAGAGATAAAAATCCAGATTGAATCCAGATCCATAAGACATTGTCATCAGCACTGATATATTGTATGTTATAGATAAGGAGAAAAATTTCCAGGAGGCTGAGTGACCTGGCTAAGATCATTCTTTTTTTTTTTTTTTTTCATTATTATTATTTCAATAGTTCTGGGAGAACAAGTGGTTTTTGTTAAATGGTTAAGTTGCTGAGTGGTGATTTCTGAGATTTTGGTGCACCCATCACCTGAGCAGTGTACACTGTACCCAGTGTGTCATCTTTTATCCTTTACCCCCTCCCACTTTTCCCCTCTGAGTCCCCAAAGTCCATTACATCATTCTTGCCCCTTTGCATCCTCAAAGCTTAGCTCTCCCTTATAAGACGGAAAATATGATATTTGTTTTTCCGTTCCTGAGTTACTTCACTTAGAATAATGGCATCCAACTCCATCCAAGTTGCTGCATAGGCCATTATTTTGTTCCATTTTATGGCTGAGTCATATTCTATGGTGTAGGTGTATTTTCTTTATCCACTCATTGGTTGATGGGCATTGAGTTTGGTTCCTTATTTTTGCAATTGCAAATTGTGCTGCTATAAACATGGGTATGCACATGTGTTTTTTTATATGACTTCTTTCCTTTGGTAGATATCCAGTAGTGGGATTGCTGGATCAAACGGTAGTTCTGCTCTTAATGAAGTTCACTCCTGATATTGTCATGATACAATCTCTCTCTTCTGCATGAAACCAGAGTCCTTTCTACTGTTTCTCTTGCTTCCTCAGCTTATAAATGGCTTGTTTAAGTTGATACGAAAAAGTTAGATGTGTCCTAGACATTAAGGGAGCACCGAGTCCACAGAGGCTCTTGTAATTGCCAAGGGCTACCATAACAAATGACCAGCTAGTGGCAGGCTTGAAACAACAGAAATTTATTCCATTACTGTTTGGGGAATTAGAAGTCTGAAATCAAGATGTGGAGATATTAGCTCCTTCTGGAAGCTTTGAGGGAGAATACATTTCATACCTCTTCCCTAGTTTCTTTTGGTTCCAAGCAATCATTGGCACCCCTTGGCTTGTGGCTGCATCACTCCAGTCTTTACTTCATCTGCAGTGGGCTTTCCCTCTGTCTCTGTGTGTGTCTTCTCCTCCTCTTAGGAGAACATCCACCCTGAATCCAGGATGATTCCATCTTGAGATCCTTAACTTAGTTACACCACCTGCAAAAGCTTTATTTCCAAATAGGGTCACATTCACTGATATCAGGGATTAGGACTTGGACATAGGTTTTTGCAGGACACTATCTGGCTAGTCTGTAATGACTATCAGAGAATGGATTCTATAGTTACTGGATAAGTTTGCCCTTGTTTGACTGGAACACAGTATCTCAAGTGGTTGTGGTGAAGCCCACAGACTATGGGGCTCAGCAGGTGTTGGTTTGAGCTCCTGCACCATTCGTTAGCTTTGTGACCATTGATAAGTTTCCTAAACTCCCCCAGGCTGCCATCTCTTCATTTAGGAAATGGTGATATTCATCTTAACTAAATGCATGAGTTTTCTATTCTGTGTTACAAATTACCCACACACATTTAGCAATTTAAAACAGCACACATTTGTTTTCTCACAATGTCTATGGGTTAAAATTTTGATACAATTTAGCTGTGTCCTTTGTTCATGCTCTCACATGACTCCAGTGAACCTGTCAGGTGGGTTGTGTTCACATTTGGAGGCTCAAATGGGGATGGATATGCTTCGAAGATCACCCAGGTTGTTGGCACAATTTATTTCCTGTGACCGTAAGTCTGAGATTGGTGGATTCTTGCTGACTGTTGGCCATAAACCATGTTTACCTTCCAGAGGCTGCATTCAGCTTTCTGAGGTCACCCATAGTTCCTTCCTACATGGCCTTTGCCATAGGTCCTCTCATAACATGGCAGCTTGCTTCTTCAAGCAGTGGAGAAAGAATAATTTATGTATATACATAAATTACTGTATATATATATATATATATATTTTTTTTTTTCTTAGGGTTGCTTTCAATCAATAGACAGTATGGCAGGCAGAGGTGATGGAAAGTTATACCGTGATAATGTTCATATATATGAGCATATGTATGTGTGTGTGTATATATATGAAGATGTATGTTGTATATGCACACACACATGAACATAATCACCATGTAACTTTCCATCACTTCTGCTGCATTCTGTTGGTTGGAAGCAAGTCCCAGGTCTACCCATAATGAAGAGGAGGAGATTATGCAAGGGTGAGAACACAGGAAGTCAGGGATCATTGGCAGTCACCTTAGCTTCTGCACACCACTGAAATATTGTATGAATTAGAATATACACAGAACTAGCACAATGCCTAACACCTTGTGGCTATTTAATGTATATAACTGCTGTTACCAACTGGCAGCTGGTATTACTATTCAGGTTAATCACTGCCCAGATTTTAGCATCTACAACTTTCTTCACACAGGCTGTTCCCTGTGCAACTTCAGGAGCACCTTACACACAGGGGAGGATGTGAAATGGATCCTGGGGGGTAGGTGCAATTCAGTGGTTCTTGCTACAATGGAGAGGTCTGAGGCATTGGCATCGATCTCAGAAAGACCTGAGCATCCTACATTGATATAAACTGTAACTTATTCAGATATTGGAAAGCACTGGTTTTCAGTTCCGAGTGTCCGGTGGTAATGGCAAGTTTCGCATGCTGCAGCCCCTTGCAAGCCCACTAAAGAACATCTGCCACCCGGCACAGCAGTGGCTGCTGGTTTTTGCTCTCTGCAGTGAGCACTTCCAGGCTGTCTTGCCTCTTCCTGAATTTGTGGGTGGTTGCTAATCTTTTAGCTCATTTTCTTTGCTGTGTTTTTCCACATTTAAAATCTTTTATTTTCCTGCGTCTGTGTTTTCATTTCCAGGAGACAGTTGGCTTTTTTCGTGTGTGTGGAATAAATGAACATGTGATTCTTTTACTTGCTGACTGTTGAATGTGAAATGTGCAGCCACCTGTAAGCCAGGTGAGGGTGGAGTAAACTTAGGCCATGTTTTGGGCCTCACTGCATCCACCACTCCAAAAACTGGAAAGCCTTCTGAGATTTTAAACATTTTCCAGTAATTTCCTTATTGTATGGTGACTGTGAGTAATAAATCAGGAGGTCAGCGTTCATCACAGGTGGGATTGTGTGATGATGGTGTCACAGAGCACATCATAGTGAGCATTTCCATTTCTAGGTGTACCTTGGGAAGTCTTAAACAAGGGGGTCTATATGTCTGTATTTCCTTTTGGCCATTTTTGATAATGACCAACCAGAACATATCCAAATCAGATGATGTAAGGTGCCTTTAATACACAAACTACTTATAAATCTATAGGCAGTGTATAAGCAAACCATAGACAGTGCAGTACCGTCGGCTGTTTATACAAGAGCTGTTATTACCCCTAAGCCCAGAAGGCAATGAGAGAAAGTGATTTGTAGAATTCCAAAGGAGATAGGAAAGCAGCTGGTCCAGTGTGAGTCTGAGAATAAATACCCTGGTCCCTGCTCCTGGTCTTCAGTTGCCTGCCTGAGCTCTCCATCAGCCCAGCCCCACAGGCTGCTAGATGTGGTATCCTGGCCAGGTGTGGTGGCTCATGCCTATAATCCCAGAACTTTGGGATGCCAAGGCGGGAGGATCATGTGAGGTCAGGAGTTCAAGACCAGCCTGGCCAACATGGTGAAACCCCATCTCTACTAACAATACACAAATTAGCAGGCATGGTGGGGAACACTTGTAATTCCAGCTACTTGGAAGGCTGAGGAAGGAGAGTTGCTGGAAACCGGGAGGTGGAGGAGGCAGTGAGCCAATATCACAACACTGCACTCCAGCCTGGATGATGGAGAAAGACTCCATCTCAAAAATAAATAAATAAAAAGATGTGGTATTCTGTTAATCATGGCTGACCATTTTCCAGGGCAGAGAGCAGGGTGGAATGGGATGGAGAGTGAATCAGCAGGGGAGCATGGAAGATGCATCAGATATACCCACACACCCTTTACTCTTTACCCCTTGACTGCCATTTTCTAGCCTTTAAAGCAGTAGAAGGCCAGCAAAGTGGTCAGGAACACAGATATCAAAGCTTAATTAATAGTTAGTCTATTTTGGAGTCCAATAAAGGATTTGCCACCTTCTAGCCATGAAACTTCAGGCAAGTGACTGAACCTCTTTGAGTGTATTAGTCCATGCTGCATTGCTATAAAGAAATACCTGAAGGTCAGTTGTGGTGGCTGACACCTGTAATCCCAGCACTTTGGAGGCTGAGTCAGGCAGATCACCTGAAGTTAGGAGTTTGAGACCATCCTGGCCAACATGGTGAAACCCTGTCTCTACTAAAAATACAAACATTAGTCAGGTATGGTGGTACGTACCTGTAGTCCCAGCTTCTCGGGAGACTGAGGCATGAGAGTCGCTTGAACCCGGAGGTGGAGGTTGCAGTGAGCTGAGATTGTACCACTGCACTCCAGCCTGGGTGACAGGAAGACTCTGTCTCAAAAATAATAATAATAATAATAATAATAGCAATAATGCCACCTGAAACTGGGTAATTTATAAAGAAAAGAGGTTTATTTGACTCACAGTTCTGCTGGCTGTGCAGTTATGGCTCCAGCATCTGCTCTGCTTCTGGTGAGGCCTCAGGGAGGTTCCACTCATCATGGGAGGCATGTTGGGCAGGGAAGAGGAACACGCAAGAGAGAGGGGAGGAGGTGCCAGCCTCCTTTAAACAACCAGATCTCGTGTGAACTAACAGAGTGAGTGCTCACTCATCACTAAGGGGATGGCAGGCACCAAGCCATTCTTGAGGAAGCCACCCCCATAACTCAAATATTTCCCTCCAGGCCCACCTCCAACATTGGGGATCACATTTCAACATGAGATTTAGAGAGGACACATATCCAAACTGTATCACCGAGCCTCCATTTCTTCACCTGCAAAATAATGAGGTGCAAGTACCTACCTCTTGTCCTTACTGTGATAAAATATTTCTACCTTTATTCTTTTTTTTTTAATTTTATTATTATTATACTTTAAGTTTTAGGGTACATGTGCACAACGTGCAGGTTTGTTACATATTTATACATGTGCCATGTTGGTGTGCTGCACCCATTAACTTGTCATTTAGCATTAGGTATATCTCCTAATGCTATCCCTCCCCCCTCCCCCTCCCCCTACCCCACAACAGTCCCTGGTGTGTGATGTTCCCCTTCCTGTGTCCATGTGTTCTCATTGTTCAATTCCTACCTATGAGTGAGAACATGCGGTGTTTGGTTTTTTGCCCTTGCGATAGTTTGCTGAGAATGATGGTTTCCAGTTTCATCCATGTCCGTACAAAGGACATGAACTCATCATTTTTTATGGCTGCATAATATTCCATGGTGTATATGTGCCACATTTTCTTAATCCAGTCTATCGTTGTTGGACATCTAGGTTGTTGGTTTTTTTTTTTTTTTTTTTTTTTTTTTTTTTTTTTTTTTTTTGAGATGGAGTTTTGCTCTCTTGCCTAGACTGGAGTGCAGTGGTATGATCTCAGCTCACTGAAGCCTCTGCCTCCCGGGCTCAAGCAATTGTCGTACCTCAGTCTCCCAAGTAGCTGGGATTACAGGTGCAAATCACCATGCCCATTTAACTTTTGTAGAGATAGGGTTTCGTCCTGTTGGCCAGGCTGGTCTTGAACTCCTGACCTCAGGCGATCTACCTGCCTTGGTCTCCGAACGTGCCGGGATTATAGGAGTGAGCCACTGCACCCAGCCTATCCTTTTTAATGCGACTAATGGACTCCACATTTATTTATTTATTTATTTATTTATTGTCCTATCCACCCTATTCCACTGTGAATGTAAATTTCCGGGGGGGCAGGGATTTTGATCTATTTTATTCACTGACATAGCTCTAGCATTAAGACTAGTTGGTGGCATAGAGGAGGCAATCCATAAATATTTGGGGGCATCAGTAAATAAGATAGTGGCTACAAAGGGCTTAGGGTAGGGCCTGGAATGCGTTAACAGCTTGATATTTGAGCAAGTATTTGGTAGTAAATACATCAAAGTTGATTTTAAACACCCAAACACAGACAAGCAAAGAACGGGAAATCCCCCAGGTAGGGATGATATTTAGAAATAGGAATAAAATAAGCCTGGCGAAATTACCTTTGGTGAGTTCCTTGCAAGGTTATGTGATTTAAAAAAAAAATCTGTAATTACATTTCTCTATGTAATTTTGTTTTATCATCTATTTATTTATTTACTTTTGCAATTAATTTATTTTAGTAACCTAAACTCATCGTTAAGTCTGTAGTCCTGGAAACCATGTCAACCGTCAGATCTCTGTCTATGCTCAAAAACCTCAACTTGCTGGCTGGGCTTGGTGGCTCGTGTTAGTCCCAGCACTTTGGGAGGCCGAGGTGGGTTGATCACTTGAGGTCAGGAGTTCAAGACCAGCCTGGCCAACATGATGAAACCCTGTCTCTACTAAAAATACAAAAAACTAGCTGGGCATGGTGGTGTGCATCTGTAATCTCAGCTAATCCAGAGGCTGAGGCAGGAGACTCCCTTGAACCTGGGAGGGGGAGGTTGCAGTGAGCTGAGATCACACCACTGCGCTACAGCCTGGGCAACAGAGCAAGACTCCATCTCAAAGAAAAAACAAAAACAAAAACCCTTATTTGGCAGTGACTGGGTACACAGAGTTGTGCAACAGGAGACCCGCCTGCAGAAAGTACCCACTGGGATCCTCACCACACAGCAGGCCTCAGAATTTCCCCTGCCTCCTGATCGGTGTTCAGATGTAGATAGTAGGTTCAGTGGGTTGATTAAGTTAATGACATTTGTAGCGGTGTTATAGGCTGCAGGCCAGGGAGAGGCTTTCTGGAAAATTGCAGGGAGAAATCCTGCAGGCTCTGCCTTTGAAAGATAATGCTAGTTGCATGCTGGGGCTGTCTCCTCCCTTTGTCTTGAAGGTGTAGAAGACACAGCTTTGCGGGCTGAGTAAACATATGTGCATGGTTAAGGTAAAAATGCTACTTAGCTCTTCTTCCCGTTAATTCGTTCAAGAACTGGTGAAAGAGAGCACACTTCTTGGAGACTGAACTTTTAAATGCTTCTGCTGGGTCTCTTGAGTTCTTAAAATTATCGTTTTGATCTTTCTGTCCCGTGCAGATACAAAATACATAAACATCCACGTGACTCTTTTTATTTTTCACTTAGAACCTGCGCATTGTCCTAGCAGGTACTCCCTCAGGGCCTGGGTTTTGTTGTCACTGCTGGAATGCAGTTGCTCCTCCTTGCCTTACTCAGGCCTCTGCCAGCTTCTCAGACAGCTTTGTCAAGCAATTGCTACTCAACCAGCGATTACTATTAACCCTTCGTTACCTAAATCCACCCACCATTTTTCTTTTCCTATACCGATGGGCCTCAAGCTTGAGTTTGCATTAGCTTCCCCCAGAGGGTTTGATCCCCTAGAGACTTAGAGGGTCCCCACCCTCAGAAGTTCTGAATTGTTAGGTCTGGGTGGGGCTCAGGGATTTCATTTTTTAACGAAACCCTAGGTCCTGCTGAAGCTGCCAGTTCCCATCTCTACTAAAAATAGAGAAATTTGCCAGGTGTGGTGACACACACCTGTAGTATCAGCTACTTGGGAGGTTGAGGCACGAGAATCGCTGGAACCCGGGAGGCAGAGGTTGCAGTGAGCTGAGATCGCACCGCTCCACTCCAGCCTGGGCAACAGAGTGAGACGCTTTCTCACAAAAAAAAAAAAAAAAAAAAAAAAATCCGAACGTCTCGTGTTAACAGGCTGATCATTATTTTCAAAAATGTTTCCTCTCTTTCTTTCCACATGGAAGCTCCATGTGAGCAGATATTTCTTTGTTTTGTTTTGTTTTGTTTTTCGTTTTTGCATCATTCACTGCTGTGTCCTGTGTGCCTGGAAAAGTACCTGACATTTAGCAGGGGCTTAATAGACATCTGCTGCATGTTGAATAATAGTGAGGATGTCAGCATCACCTGCTGCCCTTTGGGGGAGCAGATTTTAGGGCACTGTAGCAAGGCTGATTATAAGTCAGTGCCCTATGTAAGGCCTGGAACCTAAAATCTCCAATCATTGTTTTTGTTCTGTTGAATTAAGCCACCACCCTAAAGAGCCAGAAGCCTAACACTGAAGGAAATAGAAAATGTGGATCTCACAACACATCATTTCAAGTGTGTACATATACTAATAGCATACGCTAAACATCATCTAAACACTAAATATAATGATATAATGGCATTGGTCATAATCTTGAAGGTAGTTGCATCTCCGTAAAGTTTCCCATTGAGCTGCTGTTCCGCTGCTGCTGGCTTCCACCCCCAGCACCCACCCCTCTAGATTTATAATTTCCCCAACTTGGGTTGAAGCCCCAGATGACTGGGAGCTGCTTCTTTACTTTGGTTCCCTTCAGTCCCTTCGGCAGATGGCACAATTCTTAGTGTGTGTGATTGGGGTTTTCAGCATTGGCTGTGCATTGGCATTGCATGGGGAGTGTTAGAAAAGATTGATGTCTGGGTACTGCCCCCGAAGATTCTGATTTAATTGGTCTGAGGATCCCTGGGCATCCAGATTTTTAAAAGCTTACAGCCAAGGTTGTGAACCATCAGATCAGGGACAAAGGCGATCTGGAGGAAGACGGGGCGGGGAAAGAAAAGAGGAAAAGAGAATCCTGATTTCTGGAGCCAACAAAGGGCCCTGTGGGAGCAGAGGTTGTTGTAGGATAATGAAGGGGTGAGCTGGCAGCCAAGAGCTCAGGACATGCTTGAGGAAAGAACGTTCAACTCAGAAATAAGACTGCTTTCATGCGTTAATTATGCACCTCTTGTCTTCTCTAATCGTTTTATCCAGGGTAACCTTGTTGGCCCAAGGAAATTATAAATTCCTTGGGATCAGCAATGTGTCTTACAGTTACCCTGTAGCTCCCAAGGTCTCTAGCAGCCTTGCATTCATGTGGGATTCTTCAAAAGTAGCCCTCAAATTACTGAAGAACTGTGAGGTCAGAGTGGTAAGTAAAAGATTAAAATGTCTGCCAATCAATCACGGTTGCATATGTGTGTGTTTCATCATTTCACATTGTTTGATTTCTTTCCGCTATGAAAAGACATATGCACACAGAAAAAGAACAGTAACACACACAAAAAAATCAGCCAGTTAAAACCACCACCACCACCATCATCACCACAGAAACTTAGAAATGGAGCCCAGTAGAGCATCAGTTGTCAGATATGGGGGCTTCAAGTCCCCAAAGCAGATGTCATCTCATGTCATTGGGAAGTAAAGATGTTCACGGTGCAAGCGTCATTCACAGACACGCATGCTTGAGTTCCAAGGGAGCAGATGTGAGCCAGTTAGGAAGACGCCAGGAAAACACCATGCTTGCCCCACTCCCCAGTCTAGTGTTTAATTCACAGGCCCACATTGCAACTCTTCAATACTTTATTAAACACATCTCTTCTCCTGGATACCCTACTACCTTCAGAGCAAACACATTCTACTCTTTGAAGGCAAGTGTGTTCTTAACTGCTTGGATCCTACCCTTTATGACAGAGAAGAAGAAGATATTGCTAAGGGTTGGATTAGAGGTAGGAAACTGGGGAAGCTCTGGTAAATGGAAGAGGGGTTTACCTTGTTTTTTCATTCATAATGTGAATATAGGCAAGGTTAGAATCCCGGTGCACGTCACCATTGTCAAAATGACATCCACAAGCAGTATTGATGCCTCCACCAGGTAAACAGCAGTTCCCTGGTATATATCAGAAGCGTGCTTTTCTGTATTCTAAGCAGTTTTTGACACAGTGCTTTGCTTTATTGCAAGCCACAATATTTTCAGAAGGCTTAAAAATCCAGTTATGACTGTAGCTGTGAGGGAAGAGGTCTGCATGGGGCCGGGGAAATTTAATTTTTAGCTTAAAAAAAGTCCCACCAAATTCAATTTTTCTCACCTTTAGGGATTCTCAGAGTTATATCCAGCTTGCATAACTAGTGTGTTAGAGAATGTGTTACTACGGGGTTATTTTTTTTAACACATTTATTATTTATGAAATGCAGAGGAAAATAGAAATGATCGTTTCAGGGAATATCCTGTAGCTTTTTTTATTGTATTCAAAGAAGTTGCTCATGCTGTTTTAATTCAAATATTAAAAGTTAAATCTCTTTTCATCCTGACCTACATTTAAAAAACACTGCTTTAGCCCTTATGGAGGACAGAAAATGTGTGGAAGGAAAACATCCACTATGCATTCCTTACCCCATAGTTCGTCAGGAATCAGAATGACTGGCAAACCTGTCCAGGAAGTAATAGGAAAAACAGAGCGAGATCTCTCTCTTCTCTCCACATCCTTGCTTATCCCCTCTCTCCCATAGCAAACCAGCCCTGCTGGTTATGCTGGTTTACTCGGCCTGCTCTTGAATGTTGAGAAGCTCCATGTGAGCCCCTCAATCTGTGCTAGGGAAATAAAGAGAAGAGAGATATTATCCCATCTTTGATAAGGGATTAATATTGAGAATATATTGAGAACTCCTAAAACTCAACAACAGAAAAGCAAACAAGCTGACTCAAAACCGAGCAGAGGATTTGAATAGACGTGTCTCCAAAAGATATATACAAATGGCCAATATGCACATAAGAAGATACCTAACATCACTAATCTCTAGAGAAATGCAAATCAAAGTCACAATGAGATACCACCTCACACCCATCAGGATGGCTATTTTTGTTATTGTTGTTATTGTTGAGAAACAGTCTCACTCTGTCACCCAGGCTGGAGCGCAGTGGTGTGATCTCGGCTCACTACAACCTCTGCCTTCTGGGTTCAGGTGATTCTCCTGCCTCAGCCTCCCAAGCAGTTGGGATTACAGGTACCCCCCACCATGCCTGGCTAATTTTGGTACTTTTAGTAGAGATGGAGTTTTACCATGTTGGCCAGGCTGGTCTTGAGCTCCTCACCTTAGGTGATCCGCCTGCCTTGGCCTCCCAAGTTGCTGGGATTACAGGTGTTAGCCCCTGTGCCTGGCCTAATTCCCCGTTTTTAAAATGGGTTTAACATCTTTTTATATGTTTATTGGCCACTTGATCCTCCCTCAGAGAGCTATACAGTTTTCTCACTTTATTCAGTCTATGAGCAAATGTCATCTTGTAAGAGAATGTTCTGGATCAATCTTAACTGTAATAGCATGTTCCTATCCAATACCCCTGCCCCCTCACCATAGCCGAGTCTTCTGTGTATTTGTATGTATATTCATATATATATATATAGTATCCCACCCCCCTACACACATACATATGTACTTATTTCCTATCTTCTCCTTTCTGGATTGTAAATTTTTTGGATGTAGAAATCAGGTTTTGTTGGTTTGTTTTTCATTGCTGTATGCCTAACATTTAGAATAGCAGATATTGAATAAATACTTATTGATTTATATTATAAAGGTTGTAGTTTTAAGAAAAATTCAGAACACATTGACCTTTCTTTACTAGTAATGCGCTGTGTAGATATGGCATAATATTTTTAACCTCTTCTCTCTACTGATGGGAATTAAGGGGTTGTTTGCTCTTTGGTGCTACCAAAAAAAAAAAATCTATCTATCTGTCTGTCTGTCTGTCTATCTATCTATCTATCTATCTATCTATCTATCTATCTATCTCTACACACACACACACACACACACATACATACACATATATACATACATATATGTGTATGTTTATGTGTGCATGAACCACTAAAGGCATAATAAACGTCTGCTGCCTTGGACCAGCATCTCTGCAGGGTATAATCCCAGAAGTAGAACCTACTACATCAATGAGAACACTCATTTTAAGGCTGGGGACATCTTGCCAATTTGTTCACCCAAGGGCTTTGTCAATTCACACTCTTGCCACCCTACAATGGACAACATATCCCACCCCACAACCACCACAATGCTTTGTCTTTGCCAGCTTCTATCCCTATTTGAGAGATGAGAAAACTAATGAAAGGCTCACAGACTCAAAGTCAGACAGTTTCTAGTTGGTGGGTCTAACCCTCCCTGTTGCTTGTGCAGATCTCTTTGTTGTGATCTGTTTCCTGTGGTCTGCCACAAACTGGGTAATTTATAAAGAAAAATAAGTTTACTCAGTTATGATTTTGGAGGTCGGAAAGTCCAAGAGCATGGCACTGGTATCTGACGAGGGCGTGGTATAAGGCATCACATGGCAAGAGCGCATGTGAGAGGGAGGAGGCGAGGAGTAAGCAAGAGAACCAGGGGGCTGAAGTCATCCTTTTAATCAGGAATCAACTCCCAAGATAACTAACCCACTCCAGTGAAAACTAACTGACACCTGCAGTAGCTAACCTCCTGCAACAATCCATTCTTGAGGGCAGAGCCTTCATGACCTGATCATCTTGGTTTTTGTTGTTGTTGTTTTTTGTTGCTGTTTTTGTTTTTTCAGATGGCATCCCATCTGTCACCCAGCCTGGAGTGCAGTGGCATGATCTTGGCTCACTGCAACCTCCACCTCCTGTGCTTGAGTGATTTCCCTGCCTCGGCCTCCCAAGTAGCTGGGATTACAGGCATGCACCACCACACCTGGCTAATTTTTTTTGAATTTTCAGTAGAGACGGGGTTTCACCCTGTTGGCCAAGCTGGTCTCAAACTCCTGACCTCAGGTGATCCACCTGCCTCAGGCTCCCTAAGTGCTGGGATTACATGCATGAGCCACCATGCCCAGCCCAGATCATCTCCTAAAGGTCTCACCTCACAATACCATTACATTGGCAGTTACATTTCAACCTTGGAGGAAACATTAAAACCATAGCCCTTCTTGATGGATTACATCCTTAGGAGGATCTGCTTCCAAGTGTCTCACCTATATGGTAGGTGAGTTAGTGCTGGCTGTAGGTCGTAGGCCTCACTTCCTCATCCCACGGGCCTGTCCACAGGCTGCCCAAACATCTAGCCCCAGGCATCTTTCATGGAGAGTTGCACCAGATTCTGAAGTGCTCAAACACATGTCTCTACTTTCACTAATCTCTTTCTGTTAAATTTGTTTTTGAGTTGTGTGAAATAAATACAATGTAAAATTTACCATTTTAACTTTTTATTGCACAGTTTGGAGGCATTAAATATAGTCACACTGTTGTGTAACCATGGCCACTGTACATCTCTAGAACATTATTCATCTTGTAAAACTGAAACTCTATATCCATTAAACATTAACTCCCATTATGTCTTCCCCCAGCCCCTGGCAACTACTATTCTCCTTTCTGTCTTTATGAACTTGACTGCTCTAGTATCTCATGTAAGTGGAATCATTCAGTATTTGTCTTTTTGTTACTGGTTTATTTCACTTAGCATAATATCCTTAAGGTTCATCTGTGTCATCACATTTGACAAGATTTCTTCCCTGTCTAAGGATGAATTACATTCCATTGTATGTGTAAACCACATTTCTCTTATCCCTCCATTCATCTGTAGACGCTTGGGTTCCTTCCACACTTGAGTTACTGTGAATGATGCTATGAACGGGAGTGTACAATACCTTTCAGAGTCCCTGCTTTCAGTTGTCTTGGGTGTATAGCTGCAAGTGAAATTGATGAATCATAGAGTAATTTATTTATTTATTTTTTAGTAACCGACATACTCTTTTCCGTAGCACTGCATCATTTTGCATTTCCGTCAGCAGTGCACAAGGGTTCCAATCTGTCCACATCATTGCCAACACTTATATTCAATTTTCAGAAATAATGGCCATCCTGGCCAGGTGCAGTGGCTCATGCCTGTAATCCCGGCTCTTTGGGAAGCCAAGGCAGGCAGATCACCTGAGGTCAGGAGTTCCAGACCAGCCTGACCAGCATGGTGAAATCTCTTCTCTACTAAAAATGCAAAAATTATCCAGGTGTGGTGGCAAGCACCTGTCATCCCAGCTACTCCGGAGGCTGAAGCAGAAGAATTACTTGAACCTGGGAGGGAGAGGTTGCAGTGAGTCAAGATCGTATGACTGCACACTCCAGCCTGGGGGACAGCACGAGACTGCGTCTCATTAAAACAAAAACAAATTGGAAGAATTTAAAAGGGAGTGGGGAAGAAGTATGGTCAGAACATTTTCCAAACTAGTGTTCATTTTCTATATCCAAAATTTTCATGCAGTGTTTACCTCTCTTTATCTTAAGAAATCAATAATTGGGATTTCATTATTTTGTTTTGTCAAAACAAAGTTATTGAACAACAAAATACCAGTGTTTGAGTGATTAAAAAACAACAACATGGTATTGAAAAATCAAAGTACTTATCACTAAAGTTAATGCTCATCCTCTCAGCCCACCAGCCAGGGGTCAGGGAGGGGACACGATTGCACACTGGGCTAGAGCTGCTGTCCGAGAGGCCTTGAGGGTAGGCGTACGACAGCAGCATTTCAGAGGTAGTTGGCAATGCTCCTCTGCCACCCATAGTGAGACAGGGAACTTCCTGGGCTTCTGGTACAGAGTTTTCCTAACAGTATGTGCATACCTAGCTGCAGTTCCTGGTCTAGGGATTCTTGCTATAGAACTACAGAGCGGTAACTTGAGTCACTGTGAAAGCAGCTCTTCAGTCTGGACTGAAGTTGCTGCGCTTGGGATTTTCTTTTTCATGATGTTTTCCTTTATTTCTTTTATCAATACAGAATACGTATTTATGTAATAAATATGTGAGTATTTTTTTACATGCAGAGAATATGTCATGATCAGTATTTGAAAGGGAGACCTGCCTTTACATGTTTATTGCAGCACTACTTAAAATAGCCAAGACATGGAATCAACCTAACTGTCCATCAGTGGGCTAATGGACAAAGAACATGTGGTATATGTATGCAGTGGAGTACTATTTGGACATAAAAAGAAGGAATTTTTTAAAAAGATAACAAAGTCATGTCATTTGCAGCAGCACAGATGGAACTGGAGGTCATTGTGTTGTGAAATTACTCAAGCACAGAAAGACAAGTACCATATTCTCACTCATATGTGGGAGTTAAAAAATATGATCTCGAGATTTTTTTCTTTAAAGGAAAAAGCTGTGAGGCCCTTTGCTTAGTTTGGAGGATCTCAGAGGGAAAGGGGCCACGCTTTGTGTATCACTTGAATGGTCAATTTAAGCCAGGTGCGGTGGCTCCTGCAGGTAATCCCAGCACTTTGGAAGGCCGAGGCTGGCAGATGACTTGAGCTCAGGAGTTTGAGACTAGCCTAGGCAACATGGTGAAACCCTGTCTCTACCAAAAATAGAAAAAAATTAGCTTGGCCTGGTGGCATTTGCCTGTGGTTCCAGCAAGTCGGGAGGCTGAGATAGGAGGACTGCTTGAGCCCAGGAGGCAGGGGTTGTTGCAGTGAGACAAGATCGTTCCACTGCACTCCAGCCTGCGTGACAGTGAGACCCCCATCTCGGAAAAAAAAAAGAAAAAGAAAAAACAGCTTATTTAACCTATTCGAGTGACCTTGAGCTATATGCCTATCTGGCCTAATTTTCCCATCATCGAAGTGAGATAATAATACATAGCTCAGAGTGTATGGTCAGAATTAGGGGAGGCAGCAGAAGTAATGTGTTTAGTGTGGTTCCTGGCATGTAGCAGATGTTCAGAGTGGTAGTTTCAGACGATCTCTCCAAGTCTTTGATAGTTTCCCTTCATAAAGTAGAGCCTCATCTCCCTCCCCATGAATAGAATAGAATGTAGCAGACACAATACCATGTGACTTCCAACAGTAGATCATAAAAAGGAAATCTTTTTCTCTCTCTTCTTGTCAATTTTCTTTTGCAATAATGAATGATTACTGTTGTCTTAAGCCATTACATTTCAGGGTAATTTGTCTCATGGCAATAGATAACTCACACTTTCAGTAGTATTTGCAGCCAAGATCTGTTATCCTTGAATATTCAAAAATCTGTGACCTATCCCCATTGTGCATGTACACACAAGCACACGCTCCCCTACATACTTTGCTGACATCTTATTCTTAAATGTAATGTGCCTTATTCAAAGGGTGATTAGGAGGTTTGAGAATCAGTGTGGCAGCTAAGCGAGACATCTTCCTTGTTTTAATCAGAAGAATGGAAAGTGCTTTGTAGAGGCGAGGTGGACTGTCAAGCACAGAGCATGCATGTCTCTAAGGCATGCCACAGAGTTTATCCGGGGCCAGGATACCTGTGGTCTAGATCCTAGAAAGGAGGGATGCTAGCCTGCACATCGGTTGCTAATGGAACCCTTGGGTTTGTGTGACTGGGGACCAATCTGTGCCGATGTGTGAATATGTCTGCTTTGCTTACACTCAGGCAGTGATTGCATATCTGGGGGCTAATGAGCTAAGTTTGGATAATGGCAAGAGGGTTTCTTCTCAATGCGCAAGAGTATTTTGCCTGCGTCAGGCTGACTGCGGGCATTTCCTTAGATCTGAGGTTCACTTTTTGCTCCGGGGGTTCAGCTTCTGTACACTTGATGGATGCTGGTCTTAATTTGGTGTGTTGCAGTCATTGCGAGTTGTGCAAGGATATTACCTTAAGGATATTCTTTTGAATATTAAATTAGAATAAATTAAGGGATGCTGGATATTAAGCCTAAATCAGAGATGAGTAATTGCCTTCCGTTTTATGCCGTTAAGTTTGTTGGAAATGCAAGATATTTGTTTTAATTACCAAGTTGTTGAACCAACTCTCAATGAGCATAGGCACAAACAGAAACAAATAAAAACTTCTTGGTGAGTTTGTGAAATGTAGATAACACCTAATTGGATGCATTTTGTTAGTGCCTGTCCTATTATCATTACTTTCTTCCTTCATCCAACATTGAGTAATTGACTCCCGACTATGTATCCAGAAACGTAAAATGCTCTGGGGAGGATATTAAGGGCTACATTTTTTTCATTGCTTAATTGTTTCCTGTATATGCCAGCCTAAGCACTTGACATCCCTATAAAATATTCACAGAAGCACTATAAGGTAATTATGACTATGACCGCTATTTCACAGATACAAAACTAAGGCTGAGAGAGGATAGCATTAGATTAATATTAAAACAAAAACTCATACAGCTAGAGGTAGGGTAATTCCATACTGTATTGGTAATTCAAAGCAGATAAAATTGTTGCCTCTTGAAAGCCTGTGCCCAAAACGCTTTAAAGAGGTTCTTTCCGAATGCTCAAAAACAGTGTATTTTAAAAGCTGCTCTCTGAAATTTTTAAGATCCATCAGCCAGAGTGTGATGTTCCCCTTCCTGTGTCCATGTGATCTCATTGGGACTGTTGTGGGGTGGGGGGAGGGGGGAGGGATAGCATTGGGAGATATACCTAATGCTAGATGACGAGTTAGTGGGGGTAGCACACCAGCATTGCACATGTATACGTATGTAACTAACCTGCACAATGTGCACATGTACCCTAAAACTTAAAGTATGATAATAAAAAAATAAATAAAAAAAGATCCATCAGCCAGTAATTTTACCTTTAAAATGTTATCAAAAATGATATTTTTTTCCAAATTTTTATTCTGGAAAATTCAACTATGTCTGTAAGAAATCAAAATAGTATAATGAATCCCTGGGTACTCAGATACCCAGATTCAACAATTGCCAACTCACGACCAACACTGTTTCCTTTTTACCTTCATTCCCACATCCCCCGAACAACCACCCCACATGCACAATGTATCTTTTGAAGTAGATACTTTTCTTTGTTGGTATTTTAGGAAAGTCTTATTAATGTAGACTTTTTTTTTATAGTTTTCTATGTGTTGGCCATTCAGATGTCAATGAAAAGAGTCAAACTCTGTAAAACGGTGAAGATATTTATTCTGAGTGACATAGGAGTGACACAGACATCAGGAGATCCTGAGAACACACACCCATAGTGGTCAAGGCACAGCCTAGTTTCACACATTTTAGGGAGATGTGAGGCATTAATCAAATACATGTGAGATTTACATTGGTTCGGTCTGGAAAGGTGGGACAACTGGAAGCAAGGGTATGGTGCGATGGGCTTCCACGTTATTGGCAATTGGTTAAAAGAGTTATTATCGATAGAAAAGAATGTCTGGGTTAGGATAAGGGGTTGTGGAGACCAAAGTTTTATCGTGTGGATGTAGCCTCCAGGTAGCAGGCTGTGGAGAGATTAGATTGCAAATGTTTCTTTTCAGACTTAAGGTCTGTGTTGATGAAATGCTGGCTGGCTTTTCCTGAATTCCAAAAGGGAGATGGGTATCATGAGGCATTCCTATCATGGTCTGAATCAGTTTTTCAGCTCAACTTTGGAATGCCCTGGCTGAGAGGAGAGGTCCATTTAGATGGGTGGGGGTGGGGGGTGGGCTTACAATTTTATTTTTGGTTTACGCAAGTCTGTAGAAATGGGAGCTAATTGTGATATGGATATCCCTCAGTTTCTGCTTGCTTTTTAGAAGAAACTGCAATCACATACCTTAAAAAAGGAATCTACATATAGAAATTTTGAACTATTCAAGTTCATTGTTTAAAAACAAATTTCTGGATTTACTTTCCTAGTGTAGAATATAATCTGTCATTGTCCAGATTAGATCATTGTCCTATAAATATCAGGTAGGTTGCAGATACAATAATGCTGCGCAGATCTTTAGCCTTTGTATTTTTTGGTATCGTCACAAGGAAAGTAAAAATAGTAATTGAAACCGAAGCCTATTGTTGGCAAGAAGGTTAAGTTAGCACAGCACATAGAGCATTACCTGGAAAATAGTAAGGGTCGGAAAAATGTAACTGTTACACTGTTGCTGTTGTTATTTTTGTTGTTCTTGCCATCACTTTTCTTGTCTGAGAAATTTCTAAGTCTCATCCATAATATTAATAAGGATTAAATAAGGTAAATGCCTAACATTCTAGCATTACCAGACACTGAATTACTGTATTTTTTCTCTTCATTTTTTTTTCCTCTGGCTATGTGTGGTGGATTTAGTTGGACTGTTTATAGGAGGACAATCTAGGTTAAAGGGCAGAAAATTGTATTTTTGGTAGAATTGGGGCTTTGCCATGTTGGCCAGGCTGGTCTCGAATCACTTGAGATCAGAAGTTTGAAACCAGTTTGGCTGTCAGGGTGAAACCCTGTCTGTACTAAAAATCCAAAAATTAGCTGGGTGTGGTGGGTTGTGCCTGTAATCCCAGCTACTCGGTAGGCTGAGGCAGGAGAATCACTTGAACCTGAGAGGCAGAGGTAGCAGTGAGCCGAGATTGCACCACTGCACTCCAGCCTGGGTGACATAGTGAGAGTCCATCTCAAAAAAGAAAGTAAAATAAAAAATGGAGAATGGAGATTTTGCCCAGGAATGCACTGTAACTGTTCTTGTAGTCACTTTCCTTAGAGATCTGCCTTGACATGTGACGAACTCTGGAATATCAATGCTACCATGGGGTTTGTTCTTTTCCTGTCATTTTACTCTTGAAGAAACAGTGGCCCAGAAAAATTTAGCAACCTGCCAAGGTCACACCACTAACTAATGGCATAGCTGGAATTAGAACTCAGGCCAATGAAGAGAAAAATAATTTATTAGGTTTTGAAATTTGATATATAAAAACCATAAAGGTTTCCCCACTTCTCAAATATTGCAGACATGAGTGTAATATGAGTCATTATTTTGGGCCAATTTTGCTTGAAATAACAATAAATTACCTAGAGTCACAAATAATATATAAATTGGTCCAAAGTTTTAGGTAGCTTTATATATGTGTATGTGTGTGTGTGTGTGTGTATATATATATATGTAGCTATATATAGTAGACATCTGTTTTTATCTGGGTTAATGAATGTGCTCTGCTTTGCACAGAATTTAAATAGTTTCAGAATTTTTCTTTCTTTTTTTTTTTTTCTTTTTTTTGAGATGGTGTCTTGTTCTGTCATGCAGGCTGGAGTTCAGTGGGAGTGATTTCAGCTCACTGCAACCTCTCCCTCCCAAGTTCACTTGATTCTCATGCCTCAACCACCTGAGTAGCTGCGATTACAGCCGTGTGCTACCATACCCAGCTAATTTTTGTATCTTTGGTAGAGTTGAGGCTTCACTATGTTGGCCGGGCTGGTCTCAGACTCCTGGCCTCAAATGATCAGCCTGCCTTGGCCTACCATAGTGCTGGGATTACAGATGTCAGCCATCATGCTGGACCAGAATTTTTCACTAAGAGGGTATCATATAGCTGGTGGAAGATACATGTCAAGGCTCTTTGTAATTTACTGCATATTATTCAATTTCACTCCATAAATGCATAATTTAATCACAACTCTGGTTTAAATGATATAGCAGGAATGACATGGGTGGAATTTAAAGTTTGTATAATTTATATCATCCATAGCACTTTGAAAAGGCACAGGTCAGCCTGGCCTACAGGGCAAAACCCTGTCTCTACTGAAAATACAAAAAATAGTAATCCCAGTTACTTGGGAGGCTGAGGCAGGAGAATCACTTGAACCCAGGAGGCGGAGGTTGCAGTGAGCCAAGATCACGCTGCTCCACTCCAGTCTGGGCAACAGAGTGAGACTCCATCTCAAAAATAAAAATAAATAAATAAATAAATAGGTACAGGTAGGTTACCTCTGGCTATCAGAGGGGCTTGGGCATGAGTCCTTGTTGCTGCCCATATAGGAAGGGGCTGCTGTGAGTTGCTCTGACCAAGCTAGGTTTTGGGAGATGCTTAAAAGCAAAAGCTCAAACTACATTGCTCACTTCCCATCCGACAATTCCAGGAACTTAACAATTCAGGAGCAGCTAAAGCTCCTTTAATCTTCTCTCTGTCCACACAGCAAAAACTGACGAGTGAGTGATGACAATGATAATTTAGGTAAATATTGATGAAGGGAAGAATAATTCTCTATACTTTGAATGAAATTCCTCTAAATCTAATTCATCCTCTTGGAGAGAAGCAAAAAATTGGGTATTCAGGGGTCTTATTTGTACACTTCTTTTCTTTTTTGAGGCGGAGTCTTACTCTGTCACCCAGGCTGGAGTGGAGCGACGCGATCTCAGCTCACTGCAAGCTCCGCCTCCCGGGTTCACGCCATTCTCCTGCCTCAGCCTCCCGAGTAGCTGGGACTACAGGCGCCCGCCACCATGTCCCGCTAGTGTGTGTGTGTGTGTGTGTGTGTGTGTGTGTGTGTGTGTGTGTGTGTAGCTGGGAGTACAGGCGCCTGCCACCATGTCCGGCTAGTCTGTGTGTGTGTGTGTGTGTGTGTGTGTGTGTGTGTGTGTTAGAGATGGGGTTTCACTGCTTTAGCCAGGATGGTTTCGATCTCCTGACCTCGTGATCCATCCGTCTTGGCCTCTCAAAGTGCTGGGATTACAGGCATGAGCCACCACACCCGGCCCCCCTTATCGTATACTTCTATATGTGTATGGACGCCTATGTGCGTGTACGTAAGTGTGGAGGGAGAAATGGAGGTGGGTAGTTAAACAGGAAAGAGTCTTAGTTGGAATTTCATTTCAAGTCTACTGGGATATGGAGGCAAGAATCCTCAGGAAATCCATCAGCAGACTCTCATTCCATGCATACATATATATATATTCCCTTCCTTCCCTCCCATTACCTCCCTCCCTCCATCCCCTCCCATTCCCTCCCTCCCATTTCCTCTCTCCCTCCCTTCCCTCCTTCCCTCCCTCCCTCCTTCCTTCCTTCCTTCCTTCCTTCCTTCCTTCCTTCCTTCCTTCCTTCCTTCCTTCTCTATGGCTTCCAGCAAGTAGATTAGCCGTGTGGAAACTCAGTTTTCTCATTTGGAATATTAGGAAATCCCTAATTTAAAATAAACACCAAAGTCCTCTAACATACTGTAAAAGTGCCGTAAACTTTTGATCTATTCTTTCTTCCCAGTAAGGGGACCCTGCTGGTGGGTTTCCTGAAGGTTCTCACACCTGTCCACCAAGAGACTTGAAATTCCAACAGGGAATCTCCTCTACCTACTAAATTATGCCCCTCCTCTGCCCTTCATACCTGTTGAATATTATAAGAATGGGTTTATCTATAAAGCAGGTCAGTCATAGTAATAGAGCTGATGGTTAGGAAAGGTGGATAGACAGAGAGAGATTGGATTTGGCTTCTGAGAATGTGGTAACTATACCAAGCAAGAGGTAGAAGGCAGGTGAACTCATACTCACCCTATTGGAGGACCTAACAAATAAGAATGAGCTGCTTTTTTTTCCCCCTAACTCTTTCCCATCTGGAGTGCAGTAAGTGCAATCATAACTCACTGTAGCTTCAAATGCCTGTGCTCAAGCAGTCCTCCCGCTTCAGTCTCCCAAGTAGCTGGGAAAGGATGGGCACAATGGCTCACACCTGTAATCCCAGCACTTTACCAGGCGGAGGTGGGCAGATAATTTGAAATTAGGAGTTTGAGAGCAGCCTGGCCAAAATGGTGAAACCCCATCTTTACTAAAAATAATAATAATAATAAAAATTAGCCACGTGCAGTGGTGCACACCTGTAATCCCAGCTACTTGGGAGGCTGAGGCAGGAGAATTGCTTGAACTTGGGAGATGGAGGTTGCAGTGAGCCAAGATGGCACCACTGTGCTCCAACCTGGGTGACAGTGAACCAGGATCCCACCACTGCACTTCAGCCTGACTGACCGAGTGAGACTCCATCTCACAAACAAAAAACAAGTTGCTGAGACCACTGGCACACACCACCACGCTCAGCTAATTTTTTGATTTTTTTTTGTGACATTTTGTTGCCCAGGCTGATCTCGAACCCTTGGGTTCAAACCACCCTCTCCGTCAGCCTCCCAAAATGCTGGGATTACAGTTTTGAGCCATTGTGCCCAGCCAGGATGAGCTTTAAGAATGTTGACAACATCTCCATCTCCTGGGAGATGAAGCTTCCTAGTGAGACTATCAGTTAGAGCATTTTCCTGTGGAAGCATCAAGAAGACAAGAGTAGACTAAGGCAAGTGATTGGGTGATCAAGACAGAGTGGACTTTTCAGTGCAGGAGACGGTGCTAGGCAGAGTTGAGTGGACAGCGAGAAGGATAAGATGGTGTCTGACTTGGATGTGAACTTGACACTGGGGCATCTCTTTGGACAAGTGACCATTTAGAGACTCTCTTGAGAGACAGACTCACAAGCAGGTAAAAAATAAGGGCAAATGGTTTTTATATATTGTCTCCAAGTCATTCTCAGAAAAGATGGCTGACCCTGAACAGGTTTTGAGGAGGACAGTCCTTCTACATGGGTGTAGTGTGATGCTCGCAGTTTGCAGTATACAAAGTACACAGTTGTGGTACCGACAGGGCTCGCATTGGAGATTCGACATCACCATGTGCTTTTGTGACTTGTTTCGTGGTTGAAAAAAGCAAAATGGATCCCCCAAGGCTCTTCCTACCCAGACCCAAATGGGCAAGCGGGGAGAAAGCTCCCTGAATGCCTTTACGTTAGATGCTGTTGGGATTCAGAGCAGGTCCCCAGGAGGGAGCCAATCTGGGTATTCATTCCTTAGCTGCTGTAATACTGGCTTGCTAATGGCTACCAGCTCTCCACTCTCCACAGACCTGAGCTTGGCCAAATGGGAACTGCTTTGCCTATAAGGTTATAGAGCCCTCAAGAGAAAGCCAGCAGTCAATGACTGATCAAGGTGCAAAAAGAATAGCCCATTTGTCTTAAAGAGGGTGTTAAAGCAAACCAAATATGGCTTGAAAAGGACTGCATACTTCTATATTTGAGTTCTTGTGGATGAGCTGTCAGCTAGCTTAATAGACAGACAAGACTGAAAATCTAACTTAAGAGTATGGGCCTGTGGGCCGGGCGTGGTGGCTCACACCTGTAATCTCAGTACTTTGGGAGTCTGAGGCAGGCGGATCACAAGGTCAGGAGATTGAGACCATCCTGACTAACATGGTGAAACCCCATCTCTACTAAAAATACAAAAAATTAGCCAGGCGCGGTGGCGGGTGCCTGTAGTCCCAGCTACTTGGGAGGCTGAGGCAGGAGAATGGCGTGAACCCGGGAGGCGGAGCTTGCAGTGAGCCAAGATTGCGTCACTGCACTCCAGCCTGGGCGAGAGAGTGAGACTCTGTCTTTAAAAAAAAAAAAAAAAAAAGTATTCGCCTGTAACAATAGCTGAGTCTTGGCCAATCCCAGCAGCTGAACTTCAACCACTCATAGACTGTTAAGTGTTCAAAAACTGTGTTCAAATAAGGCAAACGCTGAGCTGTAACCATTCTAGCTTTTTCTGTACCTCACTGCTGATTTCTATACATCACTTCCCTTTTTTCGTCTATAAATTTGTTCTGACCATGACATATCCCTGGAGTCTCTCTGAATCTGCTGGGATTCTGGGGGCTGCCCAACTCACGAACTGTTCATTGCTCAAACTCCTTTAAGTTTAATTTGGCTGAAGTTTTTATTTTAACAGGGACAACCAACACTGCAAAGCCTGAAACCTGTGGCTCAGGCCCAGGCTAGACTCTACTTAAGACCACACCCTGGCCAGGCACAGTGGCTCTTGCCTGTAATCCCAGCATTTTGGGAGGCTGAGGTGGGTGGATTATGAGGTCAGGAGTTCAAGATCAGCCTGCCCAACACAGTGAAACCCTTTCTCTACTAAAAATACAAAAATAAGCCAGGCATGGTGGTGGGCGCCTGTAATCCCAGCTAGTCAGGAGGCTGAGGCAGGAGAATCGCTTGAACCGAAGAGGCGGAGGTTGCAGTGTGCCAAGATTGCGCCGTTGTACTCCAGCCTGGCAACAGAGCAAGACTCCATCTCAGAGAAAAAAAAAAAAAAAAAAGAAAGAAAAGAAAAAAGAAGACCACACCCTTGCTTGGCCACTTCCCTGCCTTACATGACTTATCTCCACATAGGTGACAGTGACTTTGGATCAGAGTGATAGTAACCAGAAGTGGTCACGATCTGGTATATTTTGTAGACCTCTTAGGAAATGTGTACATTAAGAGACTGGGTCTCGTAGATCTCAGGTGGAATCTTCAGCCTCTGTCTAGTTTTTGTGGGGGTCTGGCCATGCATCACAGCCTAGAAAGTGCAGGAACCTGGGCTGATTTCATGGTTCAGTACATGGTTTCCTGGGCAACCTTTCTGCCCCTTGACATACATGGATAAAGTCCTGTTGCCATAGTACCCTCATATGGGTGTATCTCATCTATGCCAACTAGAGAATAACCTGAGGACTGGAGGGCTTTGGGTATGATTTGTCAGAATCCAATTAGCAACTCCAATTGATTGATGATGGCTGATTCGTGGGTAGCTATGAATTTGCAGCTCTTAGCTATTCTGTCTGTAAGGATGAAGACAGTCTGAAAAGTGGCTGACTGCTGTATGGAGTACTCTTTGCTCCTCCTGGGTGAAAAGGGTCGTGACTTTTAGCAGCTCTTCTTCTTATCTTAACATTCTGAATCCCGTGTTCTAATGCATTATTGAGGGTTTGTGAAGACAGAGCAGGGGCCAGCTCTGCACCCAACGTCCCTTTGC
The DNA here is from genome assembly GCF_000001405.40 of Homo sapiens. Classification (NCBI taxonomy): domain Eukaryota; kingdom Metazoa; phylum Chordata; class Mammalia; order Primates; family Hominidae; genus Homo; species Homo sapiens. The sequence goes on from NC_000016.10 coordinate 6,945,114, forward strand.
TAGGGTCACGCAGAGGTAGGGGCACAGTACATAGGGATGAGAGTATGGGGAAAAAAGGGCTGTGACCTCAGACTGCTTAGGAAAGCAAATTGGCAGCAAAGTTCCAGCTCAGCCACTTAATCTTCACGTGTCCTTGGGCAAGTCATGTGACCTCTGTTAGCGTGTTATGATGGTGAGAATGTGTACACTAGGGGTCTCAAACGCAGATGCTTACCTAGGGCCAGACAGTTAATGTTATCAGTCAAACATGGCCCATTGCTGGTCTGAACAACCTGTGCCATTTCTAGATGGCCATGCAGGAATGTAGATCCAATGGTGCCAGATTTTATCGTTTTAAAGAAAATATGGATATTTTGATTTTTTTTTTTGTAAAATGGGAAATCTAATTCTCATTTTTGGAAAACACTACCTGACCATGTAAAGCCACATCTGTGACTCATGGGCAACCAGTTTGCATCTTTGATGTTTATTTTTGTATCAGAATCCGCTGGTGCTGGCTAGGCTCGGTGGCTCACGCCTGTAATCCCAGCACTTTGGGAGGACGAGGTGGGTGGATTACCTGAGGTCAGGAGTTCAAGACCAGCCTGGCCAACATGGTGAAAACCCGTCTCTACTAAAAATATACAAATTAGCTGAGGGTGGTGGCAGGCACCTGTAATCCCAGCTACTTCGGAGGCCGAGACGGGAGAATCGCCTGAACCCAGGAGGCGGAGGTTGCAGTGTGCTGAGATCAAATCACTGCACTCCCCACTGGGTGACAGAGCAAGACTCTCGTCCCCCACAAAAAAGGAATCTGCTGGTGCTAACCCTAAGCCCCCAGGGGCGTTTACCATTTCAAGGCATTCTGCCTCAATTTCCACAAGTGTCTTTTGGCCTGAGGTCTTTCTGGAGCCTCTGGAGCCCCCTTTGCCTACACAGATGCTTCACTGGAAATGTGAGGGAATTAAAGCACCCTTTCCCCAGCAACCTTCAATGGGTAACTCAGGATTTGCTTTATAAATAACCCAGTTTTCCTTGCTTCTCAAGTGGGATAACTCATGATTAGGGGTTGGCAAGTGTTTACAGTAAAGGACCAGATACAGAGAATATTTTAGGATTTGGGTGCCATATGGTTTCTGTGATAACTGCTCCACTACATCCTTGTAGTACAACAATAGCCATAGACAATAACATATGGGTGTGGCTGTGTTCCAATAAAACTTTATTTACAAAAATAGTCAGTGGGCCAGGTCTGGCCAGCTGGCCCTGTACTGGGCCTATATTGCTTATCTGTGCCATAAAGCAAGCTCTACGCTTATTGCCTGAGTTCTGTGATGAAAATAAGCTGTTACCCACTATGGTAACTGGCTTGGTAATGGGCTTTCTGCATAGCCTGTTTTCTCCTCCTTGTTTTACATCTCCCATCCCTACTGTGTTTTCTAAGAACCTTCTTTCATAAAAGCTTCTTGCATTTAAAACCTGTTCTCCAAGAACCTTTTTTTCATTTTTTTGAGGGGGAAGGTAGTAGGGGTTAGGGTCTGGTTCAGTCACCCAGGCTGGAGTGCGGTAGTGAGATCACAGTTCACTGCAATCTCAAACTCCTGGGCTCAAGTGATCCTCTTGCCTGAGTCTCCCAAATAGCTGGGACTACAGACTCACTCCACTCTGCCCAACTAATTATTTTTAAAATTTTTTGCAGAGACAGGGTCTCACTGTATTGCCCAAGGCTGGTCTCCAGTTTCTGAATCTCAAGCAATCCTCCTGCCTTGGCCTCCCCAAGTGCTGGGATTATAGGTATGAGTCACCACATCCAGCCCAGAAACCTTTCAAACGTTGTTATTTGGCTTTATGTTTGGGAGCCATTTGAATGTGTATTTGAATCCCAGCCTGACCAGTTTCCTAGCCCTGTTGGGTTGAGCAAGTCCCTTCACCTCTCTCCTGGCCTCAGGCTCCTCATCTGTAATTGAGAGAAGGTCTGTGCTTTCTCAGAGAATAGTTAAGAGGATTTAATGGGATAAGATCTGTTAAACTCTTAGCACATAACCTGGCCCATGTTCAAGGTCCAATAAATCACTGGCTGTGATTTCAACTCTTTATGTGAAGGATGCAGTTTATGGCTGTCTTTTAGGAATTGGCCAAAATGATGAGTCAGAAGCTCTTCTTATTTTCCTGTTTTTCACCTTGATTTTGGAGTAAGGTCACCCTTCCCACAGGTAGGGTGTGATTTAACAGTCTTTAAGAGATAACATTATGAAGACACCTGGGTGCCTGAGCCTTTTGCATCTTAATCGCTCTCCCTGGTTTCCTAAGAGAAGGAACAGATGGGAGAATGGAGACTGGCTTCAACTGGCCGTATTTCATCCGGCTGAGAACATATGTTCTTGGGAAGGATGTAGGAACACCCTGAAATAGAGCGAAAAAGAGATGTGAGATGAGAGAAATCCTCCTGAAACATGAATGGACTTGAGTTCCTGTTGCCCTTCCTTGCAGCTTGCTGCCTCCTGCCTTGCGTAGAAGGAAAACTGTTCCTGGTTCCAGACAGAATGGATTTAAGTTCTGTTCTATCGTTATCTCCTTGGGAAAGCTATATGACTTCTCTGAGCCTCAGTTTGCTGAAATCTATTTATAAACGTTTACTTAGGTGGCTTTCTTTTTTAGCTATTCATCTGATTACATTTTCTCTTGCTCTTTTTCATTTTTTGGAGATGGAGTCTTGCTCTGTCGCTCAAGCTGCAGTGCAGTCGTGCAATCTTGGCTCACTGCAAAGTCCACCTCATGGGTTCAAGCGTTTCTCCTGCCTCAGCCCCCCAAGTAGCTGGGATTACAGGCTCAACCCACCATGCCCAGCTAATTTTTGTATTTTTTAAATAGAGACAGGCTCTTATCACGTTTGCCAGGTTGGTCTCAAACTCCTGACCTAAAGCAGTCCAGCTGCCTTCACCTCCCAAAATGTTGGGATTACAAGCATCAGCCACCATGGCCTGGCCTACATATTCTCATTTTCTTCTGCGGTTTGAGAAGGAGTAGAAAACAATACAAAATAGAAACATGCCTTTCAGCCAGGCATGGTGGCTCATACCTGTAATCCCAGCACTTTGGGAGGCTGAGGTGAGAGGATGGCTTGAGCTGAGGCATTCAAGACCAGCCTGGGCAATATTATGAGACCATATCTGAAAGAAAAACATAAAATAAAAATTTTAATTTAAAACAAACAAAATAAAGCCAGGTAATGGAAACAAACTCTGACATCTTTCTGCTACATGTCCTTTTCTTTCTCCCTTTCTTTTTTTTTTTTTTTTTTTTTTTTTTTTTGAGGCTGAGTTTTACTCTGTTGCCCAGGCTGGAGTGCAGTTTATCTCGGCTCACTACAACCTTTGCCTCCTTGGTTCAAGCGATTCTCCTGCCTCAGCCTCCCAAGTAGCTTGGACTAGAGGCGCCCACCACCATGCCCAGCTAATTTTTGATTTTTAGTAGAGACAGGGTTTCACCATGTTGGCCAGACTGGTCTTGAACTGCTGACTTCAAATGATCTGCTCGCCTTGGCCTCCCAAAGTGCTGGGATTACAAGCGTGAGCCACCACGCCTGGCGTTGTGTCAGTCTTATCAGAAACTCCCTCCTCCATCATTTGACTATGTTTTGAAATGTTCACTACTCCATTCAACAAAAAATGCCCATACAATCCAGAAGAGGAAGCGTCTTTTCTGATAATTTTAGCCTAAATCCTAGAGAGATGATTTGATTTGTGTCATCAGTCTTCTGTCCGTCTATAAACCGATTACAGTGACCAGAGGGACAGCATCCTCTGACTGTCAATGAGGAAGGGAGAGTGGGTTATACCATCCTACGTTGTGTGGACGAGTTGGGTTGCTGTAGAATGGGATAGTTTGAGACAGTTTCTCAAAGGAAGGGATTCTCGATTAAGAAAAGAAATTCGACTCTATGGAGTGTGATTCGTAAAAGGGAGAGTAAGGACAAAGCTATTGTCAAGGTTTCTTTATCCTCTGAAATGTAATTATTGACTTTTTTTAAAACATGGATAGGGATATGTAACTGATGCCTTCCCCCACCCCCCTGAAAAGTCTAAGGTCTAGAATAAAAGCTACAAAAGCTAAATTCCAGGATATAGAAACAAGCCTATAAAAAGCACCTTCATCAACAAGAAACAGGCTCAATTTCACAAAACAAACCCATAAAGGGAGAAGAAAGACATGTACCAGTTAGTTTTCAATCTTCGCTCACCTTTTGTTCCTTCCCTTCAGTGAAACAGGCCTTGCTGATGGGTTTTACTCATTCCATGGTGTATTAGCTGGCTAGGGGCACCATAACAAAATACCACAGGCTGGGTTGCGTAAGCAACACAGATTTGTTTTCTTACCCTTCTGGAGGCTGGAAATCTAAAGCCAGAGCATTGGCAGGGTCTGTTTCTTCTTGGGCCTCTCTCCCTGGTTTACTGATGACGATCTTCGGGGTGTGTCCTCACTTGGCCTTTTTTTTTGTGCCTACGTGCATCTTGGATATCTCTTTCTCTTTTTCTAAAAATGGCAGTCAAATTGGATTAAATCCCCAACCTTATGACCTCCTTTGACCTTAATTACCTCCTTCTAGGTCCTACCTCCACATATAGTCACGTTAGGAGTTAAGACTTCAACTAGGAATTTTGAAGGGACACAATTCGGTTCTGGGAATTGTTCATTTTCTTCTGAATTTTTTTTTTCTGTGTGTGTATGAGCAGAACATCTCTTCACCCGGACAGAATGCAATTCCAAGCCCCTCTGTTGCTGAACTGTTCTCCCTTTAAAACTGTCTTCATCCTCAGCGTAGGTAGCTCCTTCCCTGAGTACGTTTTTTTGTTGTTGTTGTTGTTGTTTTTTGGTACAGAGTCTTGCTCTGTTGCCCAGGCTGGAGTGCAGTGGTGTGTTCTCGGCTCGCTGCAACGTCTGCCTCCTGGGTTCAAGTGATTGTCCTGCCTCAGCCTCCCGAGTAGCTAGGATTATAGGCATGCGCCACTACGCAGAGGTAATTTTTTTTTTTTTTTTTTTTTTTAAGTAGCCATGGGGTTTCACCATGTTGGCCAGGCTGGTCTCAAACTCCTGACCTCAAGTGATCCACCTGCCTCAGCCTCCCAAAGCGCCGGGATTACAGGCATGAGCCACCATGTCCGGCCAGCACATTCTTTGTCTTTGCAGAACCATGCTCCCCTCTGCATCTCACAGCCTCATGTACACACCCATTGCTTTATCCCATAGAATCACAGTTACTTGTGTGGATCTCTGTCCCTCTGTCCACCCACCACCCACTACCCACTACACCAGCATGCACTGAGAACAGGGTAATGATTCAGCAGTTTGGTATCCTAGTGCCTGGCACAGAGTAGATGTTTGATAAATGTTTGATGACCTGAATTGGATTGAAGCTGAACAAATAGAAATTGCATTTGGCCATTATTTCCAGGCTTAGAAATGAATGTGTGTTAGGAGACTTATTTCCATAGCATTAAGATAATACAATATATATGCAGGTGCTGTGTGCCTTATGTAGAAGCTCTAAATCTCTCTCAAGGATGCAGAAAGAGGTGAGGTTCAGGTTGAGTTGAAGAATGAAAAAAGAGTTGCTTAGGAGAACAATGCTGGGAAAGGGAGGAGATTTGCGGCCATGTAATATGGGTAGGTGAATTTCACTTAATATTGTGGCAGAATGCTCTATCACAACAGATGCTAAAGGACTACATTTCCTTCCTCAGCTCTTTCTTTTTTCTTTCTTTCTCTGTTTTTGTCTCTCTTTCTCTCTTTCTGTTTCTTTTCACTCTTTCTTTCTTTCTCTCTTTTTTTTTGACATAGGATCTTGCTCTGTTTCTCAGGCTGGAGTGCAGTGGCATGATCACAGCTCATTGCAGCCTCAAACTTCTAGGCTCCAGCGATCCTCCCACCTCTGCCTCTCGAGTAGGTGGGACTACAGGCACGTATCACCATGCCCAGCAATTTTATCTTATTTTTTGTAGAGACAGGGACTCCCTATGTTGCCCAGGCTGGTCTTAAACTCCTGGACTCAACAAATCCTCCAGCATCAGCTTCCCAAAGTGTTGGGATTATAGGTGTGAGCCAACAGGCCCTGCCTAACTTTTTTTTCTTAACCAGTTAAGAAAAGGCATGTGAGTGAAAGAAACGTAATAGAGTCACCCATCTTCTGAGGGGTCAGTTTCAGCTGTCTGTAGGCTGGATACTGGAGTCATTGTCATTATTGTCTGAGGGTATTCTGGCTAACTCTTTCTACCAAATAAATCACCCTAGTATAATGGCTTAAAACAATAACGTACATTTATTTTACTTAAGAATCTCATAATGGAGTCAGCTCACTTAATCAGGAGCTTTTATATAGTTACATAGTGGCTGAGTCTGGGGTGGTTTTTTACTCATAAGTCTGGCCTGGGAAGACTCATAGAGTAGGAGCAGGAATATTGGGGACTACTAAGATCTCTCTTTCTCTCCTTGTACCTTGTTCTCATCTCTCCATGTGGTTTTTTCTCATGGTGATTTCAGGGTAGTCAGCCTTCGTAAGTATAGTATCACTTTTGCCTCATGGATTCAGTGAGTCACACACAAATGTCCACCCAGATTCAAGGAGAGACTCCACACTTCTCTCTTTTTTCTCTCTCTCTTTTGAGATGGAGTCTCGCTCTTTCGCCCAGACTGGAGTGCAGTGGCATAATCCAGGCTCACTGCAACCTCCGCCTCCTGGGTTCAAGCGATTCTCCTGCCTCAGCCTACTGAGTAGCTGGGATTACAGGCATATGCACCACCATGCCCAGCTAATTTTTGTATATTTAGTAGAGATGGGGTTTCACCATGTTGGTCAGGCTGGTCTCGAACACCTGATCTCTTGATGGGGGCATGGCAACATTACCAAAAAGCATATTAACAGGAAAGATAATTGTGGCCACTGTTGAAAAAAGTGGTTTCTCATACGTGGTTGATCAGATACATGTACCTTTATCTTTCTGAAAACGATTGCTTTGTTCCTTCATTTAATATTTCCCCACAAGTGCTTCGCAGAGCACATAGTCGTTGTGAAGGCTCTATGTGGCACTCTGAGAGAAGGAATCCTTCACTGCTATCACTGAGATGAAAGAAAAAGAGTAGGACCTTTCCCTGCTACGTTTCTGTAGATTTCTGGTTCTAAAAGAACAAACTTAAAGGTAAAGCTCTTGTGTGTGCAAAAAAGTAGAACTCCAGTTTTGACAAAGTAGTTAACTTAGACCTGTTAGAAAGTAAACTTGTTGGGCATGGTGGTTCACACCTGTAATCCCAGCACTTTGTGAGGCCAAGGCAGGAGGATTGCTTGAGCCCAGGAGTTTGAGACCAGCCTGGGCCACGTATTAAGACCCTGTCTCTACAAAAAATTAGCAGGTGTGGTCATGCACACCTGTAGTCCCACCTACCTGGGAGGCTGAGGTAGGAGAATCACTTAGGCCTGGGAGATCAAGGCTGCAGTGAGCCATGATCATGCCACTGGACTACAGCCTGGGCAACAGAGCAAGACTCTGTCTCCCTCCTCCCTCCAAAAAAAAGAAAAGAAAAAGAAATGAAAAAAAATTATCCTTGGTAGGGCCGGGCACGGTGGCTCATGCCTGTCAGCTCAGCACTTTGGGAATCTGAAGCGGGCGGATCACGAGGTCAGGAGTTTGACACCAGCCTGGCCAACATGGTGAAACCCCATCTCTACTAAAATACAAAAATTAGCTGGGTATGGTGGTGCATGCCTGTAATCCCAGCTATTGGGGAGGCTGAGGCAGGAGAAGGGCTTGAACCCAGGTGGTGGAGGTTGCAGTGAGCCTATTGCCCCATTGCACTCCAGCCTGGGGGACAGAGCAAAATTCTGTCTCATAAAGAAAAAAAAATTGTCATTGTTTGAACTATACATCTTTACCTCACCTGGCAATGTATATTAAGCATTATTATTTCTATATTGCAGGTGGCGAAACCAAGCCACAAATACAAAAACAAAGAAGGCTTGAAGGTCTGCGACTGAGTAGAACTTAGGTGTATGTATGCCTCTTTCCACTGAAGGAAAAATAACCATGATCATTCCCTTATATTTTGCTAAGCTGGGTATGTGTCCGGTGCTCTCAGACCTGTTACCTATGGTACTCTTTAATCAAATAAAACCTTAAGTTCAAACATATACACCGAAATAAGGCAGAACTACTCTGAAACAGAAGATTTATGGAGTCTCTTTCACCAGCAACTTAATAACATAGAGATCACAATGTTTCCCATATACATGATTTTTTTTGTTGTTGTTATTGTTTTTTTTTGAGATAGAGTCTTGCTTTGTCGCCAATGCTGGGTACAGTGGTGCAGTCTCAGCTCACCGCAACCTCCACCTCCTGGGTTCAAGCGATTCTTCTGCTTCAGCCTCCCGAGTAGCTGGGATTACGGGGGTGTGTCACCACACCTGGCTAATGTGTTGTATCTTTAGTAGAGATGGGGTTTTGCCATGTTGGCCAGCGTGGTCTGAAACTGCTGACTTGAAGTGATCCACTCATCTCGGCCTCCCAAAGCGCTGGGATTATGGGCATGAGCCACAGTGCCCAGCCTCACACGCACACGATATTTACACATACATACATATAAATATACATATTTTATATACATAATGGGTGTTGGTGCATTTCATAGGCTTGTCTTTGAATATCAAGATTTCAAACTGGTTTGCAACTGATAGAACCGAGAAAAATAACTCTTGGATACCTGACTTGAATCTCTCTTTGCCCATTGGCGGCCAAAGCCAGTTGTTGACGTAAAGTTTTTTTTGGTTGTTGTTGCTAATTGCATCTCTTTCCTGACAGAGGAGTAACCTCTTATTTACAAAAGTGTTTACAGTTTTACATACCCGATAGGTCTTACGCACATGTCAAGACAAGGTATTGAGCCAGGCGCATATACCCCTAATATGGCAAGAGAGAGAACTTCTCTGTCAACAAGGCGGTAATAAAGTGTAACAGACAACACTTAAGGTGTCAGTCACCTTTGCAGGCGTATTGGAAGTTACAGGTTAGATCTAGTGGTTTTGATTTATTTTGATGTCAAAAAGTTACTCACATATTTATGTAAAAAGAGAGTGGCAAATCAACGGGGTGTTGATTTTGAAGGTGCTATGTAATAAATCAGGGTAGCGATTCTGGTCATCTCGCCAATTTTGACAGTGAGACTTGCTTATTTATGGCGTTTTAAGGTCTGAGGAGTTGATTTATAGTTACAATAACGGTCTTCCATCCATTAGTAGTTCCGGCATGCATAGATGTGTCCCTCGTTTGCATTTAATGATTGGCATTTTTAAAATTACACGACTATAAATTGTCAAGCAGGAACAAAACTCAGTTTAAAACGTAATTTTGTTGAAACATTTGTTTTAATAAAAAGGGGGTAGTTGGGATAAAATACATGCCAACTGTCCTCACCTGTTGTCCACCCCAATGCTATATTAATTATGATCCTATATCCTCCTCATTATGTAGATGGAGAAACTGAGGCAAAAAGAGGCATGATTTTTCTAGGGCAGTTCTCCAATATCAGGTCATTGCATTTAGGGGCTCTCTTAAGTGCAGGTGCCCAAGTCTAGCCATAGGTGAGGAGATGAGCCCCAGAGAACATGCCCTCCAGAGGATCTTAAATCATCACCTGACTTGAGCACCCAGTTTGAAGGCAGGTAGAAGGGTTCGAACCTCATTTCTGTGGATTAGCAACTTTATAACCTTGGGCAAGTTGCCTTTTTTCTATCAATTCATGTGTCCTCAAATAAAGAAAGGTAATTATCCTAAACTTATTAGGCTATTTTAGGCATCAAATTTAATATGAAGGCTGGGTGTGGTGGCTCGTGCCCATAATCTGAGTACTTTGGGAGACTGAGGCAGGAGGATTGCTTGAGCCCGGGAGTTCAAGACAAGCCTGGGCAACACTGGGAAACCCCATCTCTACAAAAAAAAAAAAACACACAAAAAATTAGCTGGGCATGGTGGATTATGCCTGTAGTCCCAGCTACTTGGGAGGTTGAGGCAGGAGGATCAGTTGAGCCTGGGACTGAGATGTTTCAGTGAACTGAGATGGCACCACTGTACTCCAGCCTGCGCAACAGAGTGAGACCTTGTCTGGGAAGAAAAAAAGAAAAAAAGAAATTTAATCTAGAACTCCCTAGCGTACGATTAAGTAAGTTATCAATAATTTTTTTCTCTTTCACCTTTAAGCCTTCCCCACATATGCACACACACACACACACACACACACGTGCACATACACACACTCAAAACCCCTGTGTTCTGGACTTACTGATTAATTTTATGAGAACGTTGTTCTGTGTTCCACTGGTTAGAAGTACTTAAAATGATCACATTCAGGCAAGATATGAATCTCACGGAATTAAATTAGCTCATTGCTTGCTTTTTTCAAAGGGCAGTTTTACTCTTCTCTGTGAACATCTTAGTGTAATATTGGTTTTATATGCTGGTGCATTGTATTGCCCATGTGACAGCAATATGAGAGAAAATTAATAGTATTTTTCATCTTTTGCTACACCACCACTTTATTTATTTAGGTATGTATGTATTTATTTATTTATTTATTTATTTATTTTTGAGAGGGAGTTTCACTCTTGTTCCCCAAGCTGGAGTGCAGTGCCGCTATCTTGGGGCTCACTGCAACCTCCATTTCCCTGGTTCAAGTGATTCTCCTGCCTCAGCCTCCTGAGTTGCTGGGATTATAGATGCATGCCACCATGCTCAGCTAAATTTTGTAATTTTAGTAGAGATGGGGTTTCACCATGTTGGTCAGGCTGGTCTCAAACTCCTGTCCGCAGGTGATCCAACCACCTTGGCCTCCCGAAGTGCTGGGATTACAGATGTGAGCCACCAGACCCGGCCTCCATCACTTTTTGTAATGAGGGTGAGGACACATTTTTGATTAAGTGAGTTATCTTCCCTTTAGTGAGTTACCTTCCCTTTGTTTTGCTTATCTGAGTGAGGGCCACAGAGGCTGGAGTTGTAAATGGGACCTGGACAGATTGCTAAGTCTGGGAAAAGATGGAATGAGGAAGGATGAGAATGGAGATGGGAGTACCACACAGGAGATCGTGCAGAGAGGCAGAGGAGAAGGACTTTGCTTTGAAGAGTCAGGCACAAAGAGCTGGGTGAAGAGAGTTTTTAGAGAGTCTTGCTAAGGAATCCCCATTCGTCATCTCCCACATTAATTATTCCCCAAAGTATTTTGCTGCTGGAGTTCTTCAGTGTCAAGACTGGACTCAAGGGGAATGAGCAGGCTCCGCTGTCTTCCAGTGAATACTTGAATTTGTCAAGAGTAAGCTACATGCTGGGCTTTGTCATCGTCTTCTCAAAGAGATGGTATTGAAGATTTTAATTTCAGAGTAAACCTGGAGTGGGGAAGGAGAATTGAAACCTAAGGGCCAGTGGGGGCAGTTGTACCTCTTGCCTCTGGTCAGGTGTGGGAGACAGAGGAGTGAGTGGTTCAAATCCACAGCCCGTCTTCCCTTCTTGTGCCTGCTATTTGTGGCTGATGTTGCTCCAGTTATCTATTGCATCATATCAAAGGCATTTGCTCTGCTTAATGCCTTTAGAAAACAATTTAATATCATCTTCGATGGTCTTGTGGTTTGACCAGGCACAGATGGGTAGATACCGCTTGGGGTATCTCATGTGGTTGCAGACAGAGAGCAGCTGGGGCTGGAGCTATCCAAGGATTTGGATGGGCTGGGTATTCAAGGTGACTTCTTTCCTCATTTGTCTGGCATCTGGGCTAGTTGTGTTACCAGGAAGGGGTCCAGATCCAGACCCCAAGTGAGAGTTTTTGGATTTCACACAAGAAAGAATTCAGGGCAAGTCTGCAGAGTAAAGTGAAAGCAAGTTTATTAAGAAAGGAAAGAAATAAAAGAATAGGCATATTCCATCGGCAGAGCAGCCCAAGGGCTGCTGGTTGCCCATGTTTTTTGGTTATTTATTTTATTTTTTTATTTTTATTTTTATTTATTTATTTATTTATTTATTTATTTTTGAGATGGAGTCTTGCTCTGTCACCCAGGCTGCAGTGCAGTGGTGTGATCTCGGCTCACTGCAAGCTCCGCCTCCCGGGTTCACGCCATTCTCCTGCCTCAGCCTCCCGAGTAGCTGGGACTACAGGTGCCCACCACTGCGCCAGGCTAATTTTTTGTATTTTTAGTACAGACGGGGTTTCACCATGTTAGCCAGGATGGTCTCGATCTCCTGACTTCGTGATCTGCCTCCCAATGTGCTGCGACTCACGCTCAGCCGGTTATTTCTTCATGATATGCTAAACAAGGGGTGGATTATTCATGCCTCCGCTTGTTAGACCATATAGGGTAACTTCCTGACGTTGCCATGGCATTTATAAACTTTCACCGTGCTGGGGGGAGTGTAGCAGTGGGGACGATCAGAGGTGACTCTCATCACCATCTTGGTTTTGGTGGGTTATGGCATCTTTACTGCAACCTGTTTTATCAGCAAGGTCTTTATGACCCGTATCTTGTGCCGACATCCTGTCTCATCTTGTGACTTAGAATGCCTTAACCTCAGGGGAAAGTAGCCCAGCAGGTCTCAGCGTCATTTTACCCAGCCCCTATTGAAGATGGAGTTGCTCTGGTTCAAACATCTGTGACTGTTGGGCTGGGATACCTTAGGGAAAGCCAGGCATCTCTCTTTTCACACAGCCTCTTTGTGTAGTTAGCCTGGACTTCCTCCTAGCGTGACAGTTGCAGATTAGTCAGAGCCCTTAAATGGCCCCTCCCTTTTCCATGCAGGACATCTGTGACCTAGCCCGAGAAGTCACACAGCATCACTTCCAGCATATTCTCTTGGTTACACAGGACCAGCTCCTGCATAGGGTGGGAAGGGACTACTCAGGGGTGAGAATACCAGGAGGCATGGTTCATCGAGGGGCCATCTTTGGAGACTAGCTCTCATGGATGTTAAAGGCAGCGGCTTGTGAGCTGCAGAAATGGGTGACCGGATTTTGCACGTTTTTTGAGAAGCAAGGGGAGGGGAAAGTTAACTTAATATGGGAGGGCTGCAAAAGTTGAGGCACAGCATTTTTTCCAGTAAGCTTGGCCGTCTTTGCTGAGCCCTGCACGATGCAGCCGTTAGCAGGCTGGGCAATGCTTTGCTTTATGAGGCAATTATTCCAACACACTCTATTCAAAATACACATTAGAACTTAACCTTCTGAATCCTCAAGTAGCATTTTTATCACCCACCATTAGAAAAGAGATGGAGTCAGCATATTTCCCCCCCTTTTTATGATCGGGTATCATTAATAAAGCATTGGGCAAGGACCTTCTCGCAATTCCTCGGGATAATTTGTGACACAAAAGGCGTTCTGTGATACAATGGTCTGTTGACTTATTCAATAACAGAGGAAACACATGGATTGTTTTAAAAAATAAAGCCAAGGAATTAAACAACCAAACGGAATATTTCCTTTCAACAATGGGAACGCACGCTCAGAGTAGGGATGTGATGCTATTGGCTATGCATAACTAGAAATGGGAAGTTAATATGGAATTTCTAATTGGGGTCACATGCTAATGAACTCCCTCTTCATGTTAGTTTTATGCCGCTTCAGAAATCTTTTATCATATGCTTAAAAATTTATGGGCAGAAACATTAATGAAAATGAGGCGTGAATTGGAAATCGTGTCATTATGGAGATGAGGGTGGCCCGGCATTGCTGATTTTCAAGGAGGTATCTTTTATTACCTTTTTTTGAGAACTGAGAAATGATACAGGTAAAATTAATGACAAGGCGTATTCTCCATCCTGACATAGGCAGCATGGTTCTATGTAAAGTTATAAAAGTTTGATTTTAATAAGATTTTGAATTAATTATAAGGAGAATATTAATCATAATGGACAGTCATTTTTCAGAATAAAACTTCACCATCTAAGTAATATTATAGTTCTTAAGTGCATAAAGATAGGCATTTTCTTTTTTCTATCGGCTTTGTCTTTTCAGAAATTAAAATCCACTTTTTCAGACTACGATGGATTGGAAAGCCTGGGCCTTTTCATCTGTGAAATACTCGCTCGATTTCAGATTGTACTTAAAAAGTACCTCTCTTTGCTAAGCTCAGGGGACAGGCAGATTTTGTGAGGCCATGTTTATGTGGAGGGAGCCAGTACAGTCATATTAAACTTTTTCTGTTTTTAATCTCTCAGAAACTATTGTTTTCAATACATCTGATAACCGTCACATTTGAATGGATTTTCAGAAAGTCGTTTTGTGGGGTTTCTAAGAGTTGTACTTCACGCTTATCACAGCAGGGATGAAGGCAGAAGTTGGAATAAAATCTTGTTTCTAGGCCTGATCTCAAGGGAGTATCTTTTTTTATTTTTTATTTTTTACCCTCTCTCATTCTGTGTGCATTTGGACCCAGGTCTCAGTGAGTCTGTGGCAAAGCAGGTCTCCCTCAAGGCTGAACAGGCAGGCCTCTGTAACAACTGTTCCAGCACTGACTGAGTGGTTACGTTAAATATTAAAAGCTGAGGCTGGGCGTAATGGCTCACATCTGTAATCTCTAAACTTGGGGAGGCTGAGGTAGGCGGATCACCTGAGGTCAGGAGTTCGAGACCAGCCTGGCCAACATGGTGAAACCCCGTTTCTACCAAAAGTACAAAAATTAGCCGGGTGTGTTGGCAGGCACCTGTAATTCCAGCTACTCGGGAGGCTGAGGCAGGAGAATCGCTTGAACCTAGGAGGCGGACATGTAGTGAGCTGAGATTGTGCCATTGCACTCTAGCCTGGGCGACAAGAGCGAAACTCCATCTCATAAATAAATAAATTAATAAATGCCAAGAAAGCCAGTGCCCTTAAACAAAGGCTGAAATGTAACAAAAACCCCCCAAGAGTTTTGCCTAGGCCTTTCCTAGGCCTTGAAACATGACAAGATAATAAAGGAATTCTTAACAGGACCCATTTAGGATTAAACAAGTGTATTGGGGGTCTGAAGAAACTCCCCAGGTCTTGAGAAATAAGTTTTTTGGGTTTCTAAAGGAACTCCCCACACCTCCATGATTTAGCAGGAGACAAGAGAAGGATAATCATCCCAGCACCTGGACCCATTTAGATTAAGTAAATTTACTGAGGCTGCAGAGGAAGGTCTTCAGGCCTCAGATCTTATAGATGAGAAGTTAATCACTTACGTCTTTAGACGAATGCACACTTACAGGTAGACATATAGCTTAGAAGCTGTATAAGCTCTGGAAAACTTTCTAATTTTAAGTTGGTCTGGTGATATTTCCCAGGCCTTCTCCCTGTACCCGGTTACAGGAATAAACTCCCTTGTCTCCCAGTTCTCGTGTATGTTGTTATTGGGCCACGAGAATAAGCAGCCTGACCCTCAGTTTGGTCTGGGAACAACTCTTCAGGAGTCACCTCTTTCTTGTATCTGTTCCCCTGTGCCCTTCTTACCTCCTTCCAAACTCTGCAGAGGAGGCCCCCGCCTGCCTTTTTTCCTGCCTTCTCTCCTTCCTTCCTCTGTTCTGGAGACAGGACATACTCTTGCAGGACCAGCATCTCCTGTCTCTGACGGGCCCACTCTCTGTACTGTCTCTACCTGTCACCACTGCAAGAGGGTACAGAACTCAGACTTTGAGCTCTTCAATCATCATATCCCTGACTGTAGGGATTGGCCCAGGGTTGGGTACCTGACCCAAACAAAGTCAAAGAGATTAAATGCCTCAGGTCCGGGTGCAGTGGCTCACATCTGTAATCCCAGCACTTTGGAAGGCCAAGGTGGGCGGATCACTTGAGGTCAGGAGACCAGCCTGGCCAACGTGATGAAACTCCATCTCTACTGAAAATACAAAAAAAAAAAAAAAAAAAAATTAGCTGGGCATGGTGGCCAGCAACTATAGTCCAGCTACTCAGGAGGCTGAGGCAGGAGAATCACTTGAATCCGGGAGGCGGGAGTTGCAGTGAGCCGAGATCATGCCACTGCATTCCAGCCTGGGCAATAGAGACTCCATCACACACACCCACACAGACACACACACGCAAAAGAAAGAAAGAAAAAAGAAAAGAAAGATTAAATGCATGGGATAGTAAGCTGATAGGATGTCCCTGAGCTGCTGATGGCCATTTTCTCAGAACCTGGGGAGACCCCACCAGAGGAGAGGAGAGCTAAGCAATGCAGACAGTCCTGGCCATGCAAGTGGAGCCCCTGGGTCCCTGCGTCCACTCCAGACCGTGTTCAAACTGTAGTAATTTCCCAGCGCTGCTATAGCAAATAGCCATGAACTTGGTGACTTAAAACAACAAAGATTGTTGCTTTTGTTATCAGAAAGGGGTCCCGATCAAGATCCCAAAGGAGGGTTCTTGGAAATTGCAGAAGAAAGAATCAGAGCGAGTCCGTAAAGTCAAAGCAAGTTTATTAGACGAGCGAAGAAACAAACGAATGGCTACTCCATAGGCAGAGCAGCTCTGAGGGCTGCTGATTGGCTACTATTATGGTTATTTCTTGATTATATGCTAAACAAGGGGTGAATTATGAGTTTTCTGGGAAAGGGGTGGGGACTTCCTCTGGAGGTGAGGTTCCTTCCTCACCTTTAGACCATATAGGGTAGCTTGTGATTGTTTCACGGCGTTTTTAAATTGTCATGGCACTAGTGAGAGTGTCCTTTAGCATGCTAATGCGTTATAATTAATGTATAATGAGCAGTGAGAGCAAACCAGAAGTCACTTTCCTTGCCATCCTGGTTTGGGTGGGTTTTAGCTGGCTTCTTCACCACATCCTGTTTTATCAGCAGGGTCTTTATGAGCTGTGTCTTGTGCAGACCTTCTGTCTCATCCTGTGACTAAGAATGTCTAACCTCATGGGAATACAGCTCAGTAGCTCTCAGCCTCATTTTACCCAGCCCCTATTCAAGATGGAGTTGCTGTGGTTAGAAGGCCTCTGACACTTTCATGATTCTGAAGGTCAGAAATCCAAAAATCAGGCTGTATCCAGGACCATATTTCCTCTGAAGTCTTGATAGGAGAATCCCTCCTTTCTACTTCCAAATGCTCCTTGGTTTATGGCAGAATGACTCCAACTCTGCTTGTTTGCACATGGCCTTCTTTCCTAGGTGTGTGTCAGACCTCCCTCTCCTTTCTCTTACAAAAAGACTAGTCATTGGCCCACCCTAAATTCAGGACAATCTCATCTTGAGATCCTTAGCTTAATGACATCTGCAAAGATCCTACACATTCATAGGTAGCAAGGGTTAGGACTTCGACTTATCTTTTTAGGAGATAAATTCAACCTGCTACAACCTGTGCAACTTTTTCTGTTACATATATGACATTTCCCCTGATAAAGCAGCCTGGTTTAATATAGCCGCAGTGTGTCCCTGGCATCCTTTCTTCTTACTTCAGAAGCTCAGAGGTCAAAAGCACCTTAAAGTTCATTCAATTCAACCTGTTAACATGAGGCTTGGAGCCAGGAGCTCATGCCTACCTATAATCCCAGGGCTTTGGGAGGCCGAGGCCGGTAGATTGGTTGAACTCAGGAGTTCAAGACCAGCCTGAGCAACACAGTGAAAGTCAGCCTCTACAAATAGTAAAAAATTAGTCAGGAGCAGTAGCATGTGTGTGTAGCCCCAGCTACCTTAGAAGGCTGAGGTGAAAAGATCACTTGAGCCCAGGAGATGGAGGCTGCAGTGAGCTGTGATCATGCCACTGCACTCCAGCCTGGGCGGCAGAATGAGACCCTGTCTCATGGAAAAAGGGAAAAAAAGAAAAGAAAGTGAGCCTTGGGATGGGGTGATTTGGGTGGGCTGGGGTGGGGTTGTTGGATCTTGCTTTGATCGCTCAGCAGTTTGCATGGCAAAGGAGAAAAAGAATGCTGACTCCCAGCCAAGAATCAGCTCTGTAAACCTTGGATTTGAAACACAGTCACTGTGTGAACTGCCCAAGTCAAATGCTCCAGGCCCACCTTCCCTCTCCTTTACTGAGGAAGTCCGAGATTCACCTCTGGGTGCAGGACTCTTTGGGGTTCTGGCTGGTAGTTGCCACCCAAGCCTAGCACTGCTATTTTTTTTCGGAGTCCGTCATGCCATAATTTTCTGTAAAGAGGTAGCATCAAAAGCAGCATTTGTGTTGGCAAAAAGCTAGCCCATCTTAGGGTCTTTCAACAGTGACTTTTTTTTTTGTTGCTCTTGTTGTTTTAAAATAAGTGGGGTTCTCAGCTTTGAGATAATGGGAATGAAATCGAACCTCTATTTTTAGAATTAAAACACACACACACACTTGAAATAAAAATGTGTTGTTGGACTTCTACCAAATGGTTGGTGACAACATAAGTTATCTCATGCTGTCTGAACCACTGGTCAGTAATGAGATACATGTTAGAGGATCTGATTTGTTTGCAAAGGAGTGAATGACTCACTTGCAATGTAAAATGTACATTTTGGCTGTGTTCTGTAGGATTTCAACTATAGGCCATCCTAGAAAAGCAAAACTGTGGGGATAGTAAAAAGATCCAGGGGTGCCAGAGATTATGTGGGAGGGAGGGATGAAGAGGCAGAGCATAGAGGATTTATTTATTTATTTTATTATTATTATTTTTTTGAGATGGAGTCTTGCTCTGTTGCCCAGGCTGGAGTGCATTGGCGCGATCTCGGCTCACTGCAAGCTCCACCTCCCGGGTTCATGCCATTCTCCTGCCTCAGCCTCTCGAGTAGCTGGGGCTACAGGCGCACACCACCACGCCTGGCTAATTTTTTGTATTTTTAGTAGAGATGGGATTTCACTGTGTTAGCCAAGACGGTGTCGATCTCCTGACATCATGATCCACCCGCCTCGGCCTCCCAAAGTGCTGGGATTACAGGCGTGAGCCACTGCGCCCAGCCCCGGATTTATTTATTTACCTATTTTTATTTTCTTTTTTCAACATGAAGTCTTGCTCTGTCACCCAGGCTGGAGTGCAGTGGTGCATTCTCGGCTCACTGCAACCTCCGCCTCCCGAATCAAGCGATTCTCCTGCCTCAGCCTCCCAAGTAGGTGAGATTACAGGCATGTGCCAACATGCCTGGCTAATTTTTGTATTTTTTAGTAGAGATGGGGTTTCACCTTGTTGGCCAGGCTGGTCTCGAACTGCTGATCTCAAGTGATGCACCCCCCTCGACCTCCCAAAGTGGTGGGATTATAGGCATGAGCTGTTGTGCCTGGCAGCATAGAGGATTTTTAGGGCAGTGAAAATACTCTATGTGACACTGTAATGGTGGATCTGTGTCGTTATATATTGGTCTCAACCCACACAATATACAACATCAACTGTGAACTTTAATGGAAACTCTGCTCTTTGGGTGATTGTGATGTGTCAGTGTATATGGTTATCAACTGTAACAAATTGCACCTCTGGTAGGGGGTTTTGTTAAGGGTGAAGCTATGCCTGTGTGGGGCCAGTGAGGGTATATGGGGAATCTCTTTATACTTGCTGAATTTTCTGTGAACCTAATACTCCTCTAAAAAATAACGTTAGTTTGAAGAAAATAAAAATACATTTTGACAAACTCATTCCTTCCCAGGATTTGCAAAAGCTGATATCACAAAGGGTGTCTCTGATGAGGTAAGGTCCGGAAGCACTTGTCCCTGCAATTCCTGTTGGAGAGCCTTTAAGAACTTCTCAGCAGGGCTGTTTGAAAAGCTTAAAGCTAAGAAAGGCCTTTGTCTAAAAGAGCCTGGTTGAAATCCCTGCTCCCAGCTCCTTGCTGTGTGACCCTGGGCAAGTCACTCCTTAACCTCCTCCCTGACTTAAGCCAGGCTAATCCCCATCTCTGCGGATTAAAGGAGATAACAGACGCCAGGCACTTAGCAGCGAGTGTGGCCTATCCTACGTGCTTCATAAATGATGGTGGAAATGATTATGATTGTTGCTTTATTATCTCTAGGTTCTCCTCCTTCCCTGGAGTCTGGGGGTGGCAGTGTTATGTAGCTTCTTCCTAGGTCATGAGGTGGGTTTATCTAGACTCTGCCTCCATGGTTCTCGGGGCCAAGGGCAACTGTACTGCTGCAGATTGCTGTGGTGGTAGATTCTGGGAGAGGTGGGTGGTGTAAATCACTAATGAAAAGGAAAGCATTGCTTTGCACTCATTTGGGTGTAAAAAATGGAGAATTCAGGACTAGAATGACCAAACATAAACAAATCCAATTTCCTTTTTCTTTTGTTGTGTGTGTGTGTGTGTGTGTGTGTGTGTGTGTGTGTGTGTGTGTATGATGGAGTCTTGGTCTGTTTCCCAGGCTGTAGTGCAGTGGCGTGATCTCAGCTTACTGCAGCCTCCCGGGTTCAATTGATTCTTCTGCCTAAACCTCCCCAGTAGCTGGGATTACAGGCGTGCGCCACCATGCCTGGCTAATTTTTGTATTTTTAGTAGAGGCAGGGTTTCACCATGTTGGCCAGGCTGGTGTCAAACTCCGGACCTCAAGTGATCTCCCCAACTTGGCTTCCCAAAGTGCTGAGATGACAGGCATGAGCCACTGCGCCTGGCTGACAAATCCAGTTTTCACTGAGTTCTGGAAAATGTGAGTCCAGTGACTATATTATCTGAACTTAAAAAGTAGATGTGATTGGCTCCAAATGGGAATGATAATAATCATGTTTATTATCCTGGGGTGCTTTCTCCATAGCAAGTACTCACTTAGGTCCTGTTCATTAGTCAGTCTTTTAATCTGTACTGAAATAGGTGCTGTCGCATCCATGGGGATAAGGAAACTGAGGCATGGGGGGATTAAGTTGTTTGCCCAAGGAAATGCCGGGAAATAGTAGCAGAGTTGGCATTTAGCATCGGGGGATCCAGTGCCAGGTTTTTAATGGATTCACTTAGGGCTTTGGAATGGGGAGTAAATGCTCAAAATGGAGCGTATCATAGAAAATCGGAGATACGTTTTCTTATCTTAGAAATAAGAACCTGGACTTTGAAGGTAGTGATTTTTACTCTATCACGGGGTTCTCAACCATAGACTGGGGGCCTAAAAAGCACATAAGGCATGGTTCCACTAAAAGGAGACATTTACGCTCTTGCCAGAGGCTTCCTATCTCTCTGAGCCAGCTGCCTTCCCCTCTCTGTCCCAGCTTCTCACATAGGGCCACATCCAGGGCCAAGGAGGGTAAAATGAGCCTCCCGTTGACTGGGCACTCCTGCAGGCACTGAGGATAAAATGGGAGTGAAGGGAGAGCAAGTTTTGGCTCTCAGAGCACACACAGTCTAGTTTGAAAGAAATAATAAGTCATGGCAGGACAGCCAGGAGGAAGGGGTACATGACCCTGGGGGGTCTTCCAGAGGTCCCTGGGCGAGGTGGAGGGGTGAGCTCATTCTGCCATCCACGGAGCATGATCACAGTAGCTTATTAGGTGGCGAGAGGGGCGGACGGGGGAAGACTGAGAGAGATGGATCGAGTTATGCAATGTCTTTGAGAAAGAATGGAAGATACGTTAGTTAAAAATAAGGCCAATGGACTGGAGAACATGGGGTCACAGAGCAAGAGGCAAGGTGGAATGATGTTGCTGTTAGGCATGAGATAGTGCAAGCTGGGCTGAAGTGAAGCGAAATTGATCTAAATTACACCTGTGATGAGAAGTCACTGTAACTCTGCCTGCCTCTATCTGTCTGTCTGTCTATCTATCTATCTATCTATCTATCTATCTGTCTGTCTGTCTGTCTGTCTGTCTGTCTATCTATCTGTCTATCTATCTATCCATCCATCTATCCACACATCCATCTATCCATGTATCCATCTATTCATCTCTCCATCCATCCATCCATCCATCCATCCATCCATCCATCCATCCATTGGCCTACCTATTATCTATTTGCCTATATAGACATTCATCCATCATCTACTTATACATCCCTCTTTTATTTCTGTATGTACCTATCTACTTATCTGTACGTGCATCCACCCTCCATCTATCCATATATCTATACATTCATCCACCCATCATTCTATTTGTCTATACACTCATTCATCCATTACTTATCTATTTAAACATTCATCCATTCATCATCTATCCATGTGTTTGTACATTCACACATCCATTTTCTATCTATACATTGATCCATCTCTCCATCCATCATCCATTTGTTTATACATTCATCTACCATCTGTCTGTCTGTACACTCATCATTTCATCATCCATTATCCAT
Source organism: Homo sapiens (assembly GCF_000001405.40). NCBI lineage: Eukaryota > Metazoa > Chordata > Mammalia > Primates > Hominidae > Homo > Homo sapiens. Next base: position 6,967,292 of record NC_000016.10, read on the forward strand.
CCATTATTTATGTATGGATCTGTCTATACATCCATCCATCTACCAGCAGTGGGGTTGGCTCTCATGTTCCTTGAGCAGGGAAGAGATTAGAGGGAGCTGAAGCCTCATGGGAAGGCCAGTTGAAGCCAGTTCCAAAAAGTAATGACATTTGGAGCTAGGATTAGGATGGGGGCAGTGGATAGGATAGGAGCAGTGGATAGACGTTATTTCAGAAGAAAAACAGGAACCCTTTCATTTGCTGAATAGACTGACTTGCTTATGTGTTTCTCCTACACCTCTTTACATGTCATCAGCTTCTCTAGTTCACCCTGCCCCTCAGTACTCAGTACACTTCGCTGTTGAACAGCGAAGTGTGTGTTCAGTAATTATATTGCTCTTCTAAGGGCCTGGTTCAAGACATTGAACACGGTAGGTCCTTGGTCAAATGGGTCTTCTTTAATTGTTTGTGCCCATCTGCCCGTGCAGCTGTGGGACCCTGGGGAATGTGTGGGAGGCAGCAGGTGACCAAGCCCTGAAACTAAGAATGTAAGGGGACAGGGTTTAGAAGCAACCAGACATACTTCCTGAAGAATTGGGTTGTCAGTCTGAAAAAAGATGCCCCAAATCACTGCTCCAATTCCTCCCACCAACTGTTCAGCTGCCCCGGGTGCCAGAAGGATAAAAACGCTCGGGGAGAGAGGTTGGCAGTTCTGCTGATGACAGCGGGAAGGTGCTGCCTCTGCTCTTGTAAGGAAGCCATGTGGGCTCACAGTGCTGGGAGGTGCTTGGGTCTGACCCTCGGATGCATGAGAGAGCCACTGGAATGGATCTGTGGCTCTGAACTTGCAACCCCGCACAGACACCACCGCTAGACTCGGCCTCAGGGTGGGAACCCCCTCTCCGTGGGTGTCCTTTAGCTCTCTTTTCAGTTCAGAGTGACTGACAGGCTTTTCTCTGGTTGGTGCCTTTAACTCAGCAAAGACCCCCAGGCAAGCTGTCACTTGGAGAGAGGATATTTGAAAAGCAGCCTGGTGAAATTAGCAGCGATGGAAACAATGCAAACATTTCATTTCTTTTCCTTCTTTTTTCTTCACTTATTTTTCCTCCTTCATCAGGCATTTTAATACTGTCTTTTTTTCCTGGTCTCATCTCACGCAGCTGAAATAAAAGCATGCTGCCTGACGCTATCCGGACCGAAAAACTGAGGCTTCTCCCTGCTTTGGCTGAAGTTCTCCCATAGCCGTTTCCTGAGAGCAGTCTTAAAGATTTAGAAGAGGAAGTCTGGCAGGGAAAGTCTCAGAATGATGTGAAGGTGTAGATGATGGATTCCTCCCATCCTGTCAGTTTCAGTTTGCATTTACACAACGTGCCACCATCCCACAGGACTCGAGGAAGCCCACAAGGTGCTGGCCTCCCATCGAGTACACATACTAACTCCTGTTCTCATGGCAGCTGGCCTCATCTCCCTCCTCTCCCTCCTCTTTGCCTAGTACCTTGTAAAGTAGCTGATTACCTTCATTAGCTCAGAATGTATTAATCCAGGTTTTTTTGTTTTTTTTTTTTTAAAGAAAACCTGCAGGTCTTCTGGCAGCTGAAGGCTACTCTTGACTCTTGGCTCTGTGTCAGGATTCACATAATAAGCTCATTAGAGGAAAGTTCCCAGTCCCACAGTGACCAGATTAGTGGGTGCTCAGGATGTGTACTTTGAGGGAAGGAAGATATCTGAGCAAAGTCAGAATGTTAGAATCTCCCACTTTTTTTCTCCTGTAGTTAATACAGTTCCCATCCGAGAGGTGTCAAGAGCACTTACAGGAGAGACCTTCTCCTAATGCATTGGTTAAGAGTACTGCGTGTGAACTTATTCAGTCCACTTTTAGCTGTCTGTCCCCAAAATAGGTAACTTAACTTCTCTTAACTCCTCACTACATTCCCAGTCCTTCACCTGTTATGTGAGAATGATAATGAAGTTCTTGGGAAGACCTTGGAGATTATGGATTTTAAAAATGCTTAGGCAGTTACTCAACGAATCCTATTTAGTGCGGGGTCAGGATTAGGGTGCATTGAGGGAGGCAGTGTCATGCAGTGATTCCATATTTAACTTAAAAATTTGGATATTTTGTTCATGATGCATATTTCACAATGAATAATTGTGATTTTGTACAACATTACATTCAAATAAGGTGGCCGGGTGTGGTGGCTCATGCCTGTAATCCCAGCACTTCAGGAGGCCAACGTAGGTGGATCGATTGAGCTCGGGAGTTTGAGACCACACTGGGCAACAAAATGAGACCTCGTCTCTACAAAAAATAAAAATAAAAAAAAAATTAGTTGGGCATTATGGTGCATGCCTGTAGTCTCAGCTACTCGGGAGGCTGAGGTGGGAGGATGGCTTGAGTCTGGGAGGCGGAGGTTGCAGTGAGCTGAAATAGTGCCACCTCACTCCAGCCTGGGTGACAGAGCCAGACCCTGTCTCAAATAAATAAAAATAAGGTAACGTATCTTAATTGCTGAGCTCTCTGGTGCCCCCTTCAGTTGTGTTGCCTCATCCTCGTTCTGGCCCTAATTCTGAGTGTCAGCCATGTGTGAACCATTGTACTAATTGATGGGTATGCAATGTTGTGTCACTTGAGACTCTTTCAGTAGTCTGTCATAGATTTCCCACATACAGAAATGTCACACAATAAGGACACGTGTTATTTTATGTAATATAAAGTCCTTACAAGCCTGGGCAGCATAGCAAGACCCCATTTAAAAAAAATTAGATGGGCATGGTGGCATACACCTGTAGTTCCAGCTACTTGGGAGGCTGAGGCAGGAAGATGATTTGAGCCTAGGGGTTCAAGACTGAAGCGAGCTATGATGGTGTCACTGCATTCCAGCCTGGGCAACAGAACAAGACTCTGGGGGGAAAAAAATAAAAAAGAAAGAAACAAAAAACCCCAAAATCAAAAACCCATGAAAAACCAAAAAAAAAGTCTTAACAGAATAAGAAGGCAGGGTACTTTCAATGACCCAACAACATCATCACCTAGACTATTTCTGTCCTTTCATTTTCTCAGTATAGTGGTTTGACACTTAGGTTTGTCTTTTCTCAGTTGCAAGACAGGTAGTGCAGTTCCCTTAATGTTTCACTGACTTAGTCTGCTCAGGCTGCTACATCAAGATACCTTAGCCTGGGTAATGTATCAACAATGGGAGTACATTGCTCACAGTTCTGGAAGCTGGGCATTCTAAGATCAGAGACATCAGTAGATTCAGTGTCCGGTGAGGGCTGAGTCTCTGCCTTATAACTGGTGCCCTGGCGTTGTGTCTTCACATGGTGGAAGGGAAAAAGCACTCCCTCCTGCCTCTTTTGGAAGGGCACTAATCCCATTTGTGAGGGCTATGACCTCATGACGTAATCACCTTCTAAAAATCCTAGCTCTTAATACTATCATGTTGGATATTAGATTTCACCATATGAATTTGTGGGGACATATACATTCAGACCATAGCCCCCTTTAACCTGAATTGGGTCTTATGCCCTGTCTACAAAGGAGACTGGCAAAAGTGACTACTTGGAATATTCAGCATCAATAGAAGAAAGAAGGCTGTGCTAGTAAGAGACAACTGCAGTAAGGCTCAAAGACCTTTGTGCTGTGCTGTTCCATTTGTCTGAAACACATGCACACAGGTGCACGTGCATACCTACCCATTTCCTCCTGCCCTTATTTGATCATAGAATGTTTAACAGTTTCCTTCAACAGATATTTCTTGAGAACCATACTATCTAATCTGTCCAAGACATAATGATGAAAAGGACACATGCGTTTCCTGATTGGATGGTAGTTATAATCTAGCGGAGGAAGACAGACATTTGACAATTGAGTGGGTCTACTAATACATAGGAAGGAAATTATTGGGAAAAAGTATCCGCTATACAGAGATTTTAAAATATAGAAAGAGGTGTGCTAAAAGGCAGCTGAATTGTTATGGGGATGGGATTCTTCTGGAACACCTTGGGGATTCATATGTAAGCTGAGATAGGAAAGCGAGGACATGTCAGCCACAGAAACATCCATGGAAGAGCAATCCAGGCAGCAGGAACAGATGACTCAGCCTAAAGTGGGGAGTGTGTTTGCTTGTTTGGGGAGCAGAAAGGGAAGGGTGGTGTAAGATGGGTTTGGAGGGGTTGGCAGGGGTCCCGCAGTGCAGAGCTTTTCAGATTGCAATATGAAGAGAGAGAGAGAGAGAGAGTTGGTGTGTGTGTGTGTGTGTACCACTGGAGAATTTTGAGCAAAAGAAATGTGTTCCCAGTTTACATTATTAAAAGATCACCAGCTGTTACATGGAATATGGTGTACTGATTGGGGGCGGAGAATGGAGTCAAACATTCCAATTAGGAAGCCATTGCAATAGTCCTGGATAGAGATGACTGTTGTTGGGGTTAGGGTGTTGTTAGCAGACCTGTGGGAGTGTGGACGGATTGGGGACATCGTGGAGATGTCACTTAAGTGGAGTGTCCACAGTCCTGCTTCTGTTGGGTGTGGAGGGCGAGGGAAATAGGATTCAAGGCTAAGAGCAGAGAAGTGTCTGATGGAAGAGTCTAATTCCCTGCAGTGATCCGCTGGTACCCTTTACATCAGCAGCCTCAGTGGGGTGGTGAGATGGGAACTGGACCGACTTGAGATGCGGGAGAATGTGAATGAGCATGGAGTCCGTGCCACAGGCAATCCCTGCACGCAAGTTTTACTGTGAAGTGATATAGAAAGAAGAGGGGAACAGAGAGGGTCAAAGACTTTTGTTTCCTTAACAAAGAGATATATTACAGCATTTTTTTCCCATTGTGCTAAAAAGCACACAACATCTAACCATCTTAACCATTTGTAAGAATATAGTTCAGTAGTGTTCAGTATATTCACGTTGTTGTGATAGAGATCACGAAAGCTTTTTCATCCTCTAAATCTGAAACTCTGTATCTATTAACTCTGTAACTCCCCTTTCTCCCTCTCCCCAGCCCCTGGTAACTGTCATTCTACTTTTTGTCTCTATGATTGGGCTACGTTTGCTACCTTGTATCGGTGGAATTATACAGCGTTTCTCCTTTCGTGACTGGCTTATATCACTTAGCATAATGTCCTCAGGGTTCATCCATGGTGTAGGATGTTTCTTCGTTTTTCAAGGCTAAGTAATATTCCCTTATGTGGAATGGATACATTGTATTTATCCATTCATCTGTCAGTGGACATTTGGGTTGCCGCCACTTGTTGGTGTCTGAATAGTGCTGCTTTGAACATGGGGATACAAATATATTGCAGCAGATTTTTATACTGATTGGAATGTTCTGGGAGAAGTGGAGACATTGATGATGCAGGAGAACAAGCAGAAAATTTCAAGAGCAAATGCTTTGGGGACAGACAACCTGAGTGGAGGGCTGGCCTTGATAGAGATGGAGGCAGAGGTGGTCTCATGCGAAAGTATAAGTGGGAGACTCCAGGGGAAACACAAGGGAGGCTGGGTAGATTTGATGTCGAGTGGGTAAGAAAATTTCTGTTCAAATTCATATTTTTTTCAATAAAACCAGAGACAAGGGGCCGGATGCAGTGGTTCATGCCTGTTATCACAACACTTTGGGAGGCTGAAGTGGGTGGATCACTTGAGGTCAGGAGTTCGAGGCCAACTTGGCCAACATGGTGAAACCCCATCTCAACTAAAAATACAAATAAAAATAGTTAGCCCAGCACGGTGGTAGGCACCTGTAATCCCAGCTACTTGGGAGGCTGAGGAAGTAGAATCAGTTGAACCTGGGAGGTGGAGGCTGCAGTGAGCTGAGATTGCACTACTGCACTCCAGCCTGGGTGACGGAGCAAGACTCCATTGTCTAAATAAATTAAAAATTTAAAAATAGAGACAAGGCCATCAGCTTTGAGAGAGTGTGTGTGTGGTGGTGGGGGGCGGGGTTGGAGGATATCAGGGGTTCTTCCCCATTAATAGCATAAATGATTAACAGTAAGTACTTGGAATCAAGTTGATGCATTTTCTTATGTGCCATGCAGACAAAATAAAGCTCAGCTTTGTTGTCAGACAAAAGCAGCACTTATTACAATGGTTGGCATTTCAGAGATAATTCAACTATAAGAGATAATAACACATCAGTCAATCAGGAAGCATTCTTCCCAGTGATATCAACAGAATTACATGCAAGTAATAGACTGTTGTGGACCCAACTAGGAATTTTCTTTTGCTGAAATGCTCCTATTTCTAGGAGAAGCTCAACGTTGATTTTTCAGCTTCTGTTTGGAGAGTCTGTTTATTTCTTTCTTCCCGAGGGGATTGTAAATGGTGAGGACTTTTTATTGTTTTTGACAGTTATCAAAGAAACATTTTTTTTAAAGCTGGACCATTGACTGAAAAATAAACCCATTTGGGATTTTTCGAGTAAAGTGTGTTGAATCATGTTTGTGATACTCACTTTTAAGTTTTGGCGAGCATAACTGCACTGTGTTACCCATTAACCGGTAGTTTTTAATTTTTATTTTTTTAAGTTCCAGGGTACATGTGCAGGATGTGTAGGTTTGTTAAACAGGTAAACGTGTGCCATGGTGGTTTACTGTGCCTGTCAAGCTGTCATCAACGTATTAAGCCCAGCATACATTAGCTTTTATCCCTAATGCTCGTCCCCTCCATCTCCCAGCAGACCCCAGTGTGTGGTGTTCCCCTCCCTGTGTCCATGTGTTCTCATTGTTCAGCTCTCACTTTTAAGTAAGAACATATAGTATTTGGTTTTCTGTTCCTGTGTTAGTTTGCTGAGGATAATGGCTTCCAGCTGCATCCATGTCCCTGCAAAGGACATGATCTCATTCCTTTTTATGGCTGCATAGAATTCCGTGGTGTATATGTACCACATTTTTTTATTAATCCAGTCTATCATTGCTGAGCATTTGTTTTGATTCCATGTCTTTGCTTAATGGGGGATAGTTGTAACCCCTATGAATGCAGAGAGGCATGTGGTACAGTTTGAGTTGGTGTCATTTTAGTAAATAACAGTCCAGTTTGTGGTGATATAAATCACATTTTTTTCTTTTTCTTTTTTTTTTTTTTTTTTTTTTTTTTGCGATAGAGTCTTGCTTTGTTGCCCAGGCTGGAGTGCAATGGTACAATCTCAGTTCACTGCAACTTTCGCCTCCCAGGTTCAAGGAATTATCCTGCCTCAGCCTCCCAAGTAGCTGAGATAACAGGTGCGTGCCACCACGCCCAGCTAATTGTTGAATTTTTAGTAGAGATGAGGTTTCATCATATTGGCCAGGCTGGTCTTGATCTCCTGACCTCAGGTGATCTGCCCACCTCGGCCTCCCAAAGTGCTGGGATTACAGGCGTGAGTCACTGCACCTGGCCCATAAATCATATTCTTTATTTGCATTTCTGGAAGACCATCAGGAGGGTAGTAACATTTATTAAATGTCCCTTTCCATATTTTTCTTATCTCTTAACTGAAACTCACCAGAGGCAGGCACCAGAAAACCCCCTGTGTTTGCAAACCTTGATGAAGTTTGCCAGTCACTCCCTTGGCTTGTAGTCCTTTTACTTCCATTTTACTCGCATTCAGTGCTCCCTGGAAGGTGTTTCTTTCTGCAAATAGCTGCGTGAGAAATCCAGCATGTCCTGGACCCTCCCTCTTTTAAAACACTTTTTTAAAAGGATTGTTCTAAAAGAATCTTCCTCTGCTTCTGCTTCTAATTCTGGAAGAAAGGGTGGAGCTAGGTGTGTTCACATGGTAGTACTTTTTCTTTTGATCCAATTGTTTAAAAATATATGGCAGAATAAAGAGGACGGGAAAACCTCAACAACACCTCAGGAGTCAGAGAGCAGAGGAAGGTGTTTCACTCTGTGCAGATCCTGGACTAGCTCTGTGGGTTCCTGTGATGGTACTGAGGTAAAGAGAGTGAAGCATCTGCCCGACGCACAGAATTTAAGAGGCCACCACAATACTCAACCAAGAAGAAATCATGTCCTTTTTTTATTATTTTTTTTTTTGAGACAGGGTCTCATTCTGTCACCCAGGCTGGAGTGCAGTGGCACAATATCAGCTCACTGCAATCTCCGACTCCTGGGTTCAAGCGATTCTCCTGCCTCAGCCTCCCAAGTAGCTGGCGTTACAGGCACATACCACCATACCCAGTTAATTTCTGTATTTTTTAGTGGAGATGGGGTTTCACCATCTTGGCCAAGCTGGTCTCAAACTCCTGACCTCAAGTGATCTGCCTACCTTGGCCTCCCAAAGTGCTGGGATTACAGGCGTGAGCCACTGCACCTGGCCGCAAGTGCCCATATGTTGATAGCACCTGGGAGAAAATTGATCAGGTGTGTTTTTCCCACTTGACAGATGAAAAGACTGAGCCACATGATCAGAATTTCAGCCCAAGTTCATAAATATCTTCCCTTGGAACATCAATTTATGATTAGCACTGCTCATATGCTCATAGGCTGAAAGTTTTCTACTCCTATGACCCCTAAAGTGTACTTGGTGGGTAATTAGGAGCTTGCTGAGTGAATAAAGATAATGGTAATGGTAATAATAGTAATAAAAATAAAACTAGCTGGGTATGGTGGTGCACACCTGTAATCGCAGCACTTTGGGAGGCTGAGGTAGGTGGTCACTTGAGGTCAGGAGTTCCAGATCATGCTGGCCAACATGGTGAAACCCCATCTGTACTAAAAAATACAAAAATTAGCCAGGCATGGTGGTGGGCGCCTGTAATCTCAGCTATTTGAGAGGCTGAGGGAAGTGAATTGCTTGAACCCAGTAGGTGGAGGTTTCAATGAGCCAAGATCGTCCCACTGCAGTTCAGCCTGGGCGACAGAGTGAGACTCCGTCTCAAAAAGGAAAAAGAAACAAACAAAAAAACTAGCATTAACTGGTGCTTTGCTATGATTTCTACAGGAGTTACAAGAGTTCTTATATGAGCATTCTAATTATTACATAGGGGAAACTGAGGCACGGGGCAGTTAAGAAACTCACCTGTACTGAGAACAAGAATTTGAACACAGGCATTCTGGCTTTAGAGGCCACACTCTAAATTTCTCCTCTATCCTTGTTCTAGCATTCAGTCCTATCCATGAATACATGAAGCAAATATCATTTTCAGAATCCAGTTTCCAGAGGCGAGCATGTTTTATACATCTGTGGCTATTGGTTTTGTTCCAGGAAAGGGGTCCTGATTTAGAACCCAAGAGGGGGTTTTTAGATCTCACACCAGAAAGAATTTGGGGTGAGTCCACGGTGCAAACTAAAAAAGCAAGTTTATTAGGAAAGGCAAGTGGTGAAAGAACAGCTACTTCATAGACAGAGTAGGGCGTTCCCGAAAGTAAGAGGAAGAACGCATCCACCCTAGGTACAATGTTTATATATATATGATATATATATCATATATATCATACCTATAGCATACATATCATATAGCATACATATCATATATATCATGTATCATACATATATATCATGTCATACATATATATCGTATGACATATCAATATATTATATATATGATATATGAGATATAAATGATCTAGATCATATATAATGTACCTATCATATGATGTATATCACATATATATCACATATGTCATATCCATATCACATATATGGTGTATATCATATATATCACATATATTGTATATTATATATATCATATACTATATATCATATATATTAAATATCCTATATCACATATCATATATATCACATGCCATATATTGTATATCATATGTATCATGTATCATATATATCATATATATCATATATCATGTATGAGATATACTTTATCATATATGATCTATATTTTATATATATATCATATATATGATCTATATTATCATATATATGATATATATTATATATATCATATATATCATATATTATCATATATAGATCATATATATCACATATATATGTTTTATCATATATATTATCATATAATCATATATGATTTAAAAAGATCTTGGGCAGATTTGCTCTGCTACAAGGGTTTGTGATAAAGGATTAATTTTCTTAATTATTGTGTTTTGCAAGAATTGATATTATGATCTTTGAAGCAAAATTAGGAATGCCTTTGTTCTCTAGATACCGGGATATCTGGACACTCGCAAGTCTGGTTCTGTTTAGCAAACATTATTTACTTGTTCCCTTAACCATACACATCTAGAGGCCAGGAATGCCTGACTTCCTGAGAATGCAGCCCAGCAAGTCCCAGCCTCATTTTCCAGCCCTCACTCAAAATGGAGTCACTGTAGTTCGAAGACCTCTGACAATTGGACACACGTCTGTGGTTCCTAACTCAGGACAGATGGATTTCTGTGGACTCCAAGCTTCCAAACGGCAGGCCCCCGGCTGGTCATCTCTTTAGCTCTGGCACTAACCGAGTGCCAAGCACATTAGCACTTGGTGAATATTGATTGAAATGAATTGAAATTGTGGGTGGAGGAAGGCTGAATAAAGGCCATTTCTCTGAAGAAAAGAAAGAAAAAGAAAGTCATCTTATCCCGTAGTCAGTGTGGATTGCAGGCACCTTTGGCTTATTTGCAGTATCTTGAAAAGCTGCTTCCCAATCTGGTCTGAGAGAAACACGTGAGCTGAGGGGACTCTCTAGGGAGATCCCAAGAGGAAACTGCCTCTTCCAGCCTCCCCAGGGAAAAAAAAAAAAAAGGCAAACCTCCTTTCCCAATGTGGCTGAATGTGTCTTTGCAAGACACTCAGCATTCTTGTGTGTTTATTTTCTGGGTCCCCCAAGCCCCGCCCTCCCTCTAACCTGCCCCGTACCCCGCCCCCCTTCATGTGGGTGTCAATTACAGCTGACTTTGCAGGCTCCAGCCCTGAACACAACAGCCGGGCATGATGCCCTGGGCCCCATGGCATACGGCAGTGGAGGTAATTAGCCAGCCTTGACTGGGCCCTCGGTTGCAGTTCGAAATGCTTCTTGAAAAACAAGTTTCTAGCCTTGGAGAGCGTGGCTTTGTACTTGATAGATGTTCTGAATGTCTTTATTGTGGTACTATGCAAGAAATTGGGATTCTTTTATCCCGGTGCTCTATTTTGGGCTGGTCTTTATAATTAGATCTAATTACTCATACAGACGTCATGAGGACAATGACAGCTACCTCACCGAACACATGATATCTGGAAGAATAGTTATAAGCCCTTGGTGCATATTTACTTATTACGTTTTCATTACAGGTAGGTTGTATTATTATCTCCATTTTACAGAAAGGGAAGCTGAGGTTCATAGAAGTTAAAGTAACTCACTACAGTCATAGAGCCCCTTTCTCCTTTCTATATTCTGGGTATTACCAGGTTGGGTGCCTTCCACATATTTTCTCTTGTAATCGTTTTAATGTCCTCATGATGATTTTGTTGTCCCTTTCTTACCGACTTGGAAGCTGAGGTTTTGCCAATGTAATCAGGATGTGATAAATCTCAGAGTAAGTTTGGAAGAAGGATTCGAACCCCAGATTTGAACCCCAGTGGCCTGATTCTGGAGTTCATGCTCTGTGGCTACAATACATTGCCTATATCGGGTAACAAATGCCTTCAATCCCCTTCGCGCAGAGCTGCTTCATTGCATTTTTGCCCTGATGATGCTTTCGGATGCTGCAGAGTGCATTGGAAGGGCACAGAGGCCTGGGGACCACACCCATCTTGGTGGAGAGCCCCAGGCTGCCACCTGTGCTAAGGCAGGCAAACTGTTGACTCTTTCTGACATCCAGATACAACTTCTGAGGAGAGGAGATAATACAAAAGTTATTATGAAAGCTAGAGAGAATCTGTATAAAATAGCACCAATATGTTCAACATGATGATTATGGGCTCAGATAAAATTGTACCAAAAATCAGACCTGAATTCAAATCTTAGTTCTAGTGTTGATAGTATTCAGGAAGTTGAAAGGTTATTTAAATCCCCAAGTCTCAGTTTTCCCACCTGTAAGAGGTGAATAAGAGAAAAATACAGTTAAATAGTAAAAACCTTAGAGGATTCTATGGGGTCCTGTCTGATTAAACACGCAGGATATAATAGCATTCAGTTGAGGGTAGCTATTAGCTATCAGTGTAATTATGAAAACATTAGTTGAACCTGAGCACTTTCCATTGTGCGATAGACCCACTAAATTAAAGTTGAAGAAAGTCCTTTGAACAGAAGAAATTACAGTGATTTACAGCATCTGTTCTTCCCCCAGTACCTTTCTATTGATTGAAGGGCTGTATGTTGTAGTTAATTAAAATGAATATCTTCAATTGGATACAGCAATGCTTTTGCAAAAGAAGAGATAGCAGGATTGCAGCACAGTACAGGGGTGTGACTCTTTCATTCACAGTTTGGGGAGCTCAGAACTTTCTTTTGGGTTGCAGAAATAAGTTATGTTTCAATAGAATTCAAATAAATAAACATGTGAGGCGTTATTATGCTTATAAATTTGAAGGCTGTGATCATTCCTCCTAAACAGTGGATGAAGATTTTCTAAAAATGCAAAAATCATCTCAGTGGGTATTCCACCCTTTTCTCCTGCCTACAGAAATGCCAGATGCACTCAGGCTGGTGTTGGGCTCTGTGATGTGTTTGCTTTGTGAGCCTCCTGGGCATCTAGGTGTGGCCACAGGACAAGATCTTGTCAAAGAGATGGAACTGCCAGTTTCTGAGAGGTCTCTGGGGAAGCTTTCATTTTCCTGTTGGAGTGGGTACCTTCTAACACCGTTTCTCCTTCCCAGCCTTAATGGTGTCATTATAGTGTTAACGGTGGGGCTACAGAACTGGATATATAACCGCATGGCACCTTGACCCTGGTGTTAGAGTGTAGTAGAACAGTCACAGCACAGGCTGGACGTATGTCACCTGAGAACCTTAATCCCTCTTCAATTAAGCCTCCGCAGTTAGGATTTCTATTATTTGCATCCAAAAGCAATTCTAGCTGATATAACTTGAAAAATTACCGCAAAATTTTATTTCCTATACAAATGTGCTGTGTCAGGTGTGAGTGTGTGCGTTTATGATATGAACAATAGTTCTTCCGTTAAATATTACCTATTCGTTTTTTGTTCCAGATGAGGACTAACATGTAACCATTTCTTTTGTTTTCTAATCTTATCTTTTTCCTTCATGAGAGTTTACTTGCCATTTTCAAACACAGAAAGATATGTTTACAAAAGCAAAAAACTTGTCTTCTTATGTTGAAATTTTTCTGGTGTTTGTTTGCATTCCTAGGCCCACTGGTTATCCATGAACAGAAAAGTGTTTTCCAAGCTAACATTTGACATGAGAATCAAAAGCGAGTATTGAAAAACAGCTTTAATAAAATGGAGGTGGCAGGTTTTAGCTGAAAAACTCCAATTATCAGAAGGTGTTGGTATTTCTCAAGGAAGAACACAATACAGCTAAATTTCTGACTCTCCCGGAGATAATTTGGAGGGAGCAATGTCATCAAAGGAGGGCAGATTATATGTGGGAAGAAAATGTTCAGGAATGGAGCAGGTACAGTAGCTCATGCCTGTAATCCCAGCACTTTGGGAGGCCAAGGCAGGCGGATCACTTCAGGTCAGGAGTTCAAAACCAGTCTGGCTAACATGTTGAAACCCCATCTGTACTAAAAATACAAAAATTAGCTGGGCATGGTGGTGTGTGCTTGTAATCCCAATTAATCGGGAGTCTGAGGCATGAGAATCCCTTGAACCTGGGAAGTGGAGGTTGCAGTCTGCCGAGATCACGCCACTGCACTCCAGCCTGGGTGGCAGAGCAAGTCTCAGTCTCAAAAAAAAAAAAAAAAACACTAAAAAATTCAGGAGTGGTGAGATCCAGTACTTTTCCAATTAAGTAAACTCTTTTTTTATTTTTTTAATTTTAAATTTACAGGTACACTTGCAGGTTTGTTGCACAGATAAGCTTGTGTGATGGGGGTTTGTGGTACAGATTATTTCATCACCCAGGTATTAAGCCTAGTACTCATTCATTGTTTTTTGTGATTCTCCCCTCCTCCCACCATTCACCCTCCAAAAGGCCCCTGTGTTTTGTCCCCCTCTATGTGTCCATGTGTTCTCATTATTTAGCTCCTACTTTACTTTTCTGTTTCTGTGTTAATTTGCTAAGGATAATGGCCTCGAGGTCCATCCATGTCCCTGCAAAGGACATCATCTTATTCTTACTTTTGGATGCATAGTATTCCATGGTGTGTATAAACCACAGATTCTTTATCCAGTGTATTAGTCTGTTCTCATGCTGCTAATAAAGACGTACCTGAGACTGGGTAATTTATAAAGGAAGAAGATTAAATTGACTGACAGTTCCACGTGGCTGGGGAGGCCTCACAGTCATGATGGGAGGCAAAGGAGGAGAGAAGTCACATCTTACATAGTGGCAAGCCAGAGAATTTGTGTAGAGGAACTCCCTTTTATAAAACCATCTTGTCACATGAGAGTCAGTATCCTGAGAACAGCACATGAAAGACCAGCCCTCATGATTCAATTATTTCCCGCCTGGTTCCCCCAGGACATGTGGGAATTGTCAGAGCTACCAGTCAAGATGAGATTGGGGTGGGGACACAGCCAAGCCATATCATCCAGTCTACACTGATGACATTTAAGTTGATTCCACATCTTGGCTATTGTGAATAGTGCTGCAGTGAGTATACGCATGCATGGGTCTTTGTATTACAATAGAACTTTTTATTGGCACATGAAAATACAAATAAGCCTCCAAATAGTGTGTAATACAATTTCTTTGAACCCTCGTGTTTTACCTTACAAATTTATGTAAAATTTTCGTAGTTTTTCATGATATACTCATGTTGGTTTATATAACAAGAATGTGGCCCCCGCACCAATGACTAAACCAAATTAGTGATACGAAGAGTTATCCATGTTTATGGTATTGGATTGTGTATTCTCTGGCATCCAATTTGAGAAACCTGAGAATGGTCCTGTGGTTGGCTATCAGGTACCCGGGGAGAAATGTAGCTGCTTTCAATTTGAAAACCCTTTTCCAGGTAACAAAGATTGACCTACATTATTCCATTTTGATCTTTACAGAAACCCATTCCCATTGTTGGCCAGCATGTCATTTTGACTTTTGTTGGTTTTATTAGTGAGAACACTGAATATCATTCCAGAGTCAGGGCTCTGATCCTGGAGCATCAGTCATGTCTACTTAAGTCCTTTCATTGCAGCGAGCTCCTTCTCATTCGTTCATGAGAGTCGTTGACGAGGTGGATCCTGGAGTAGTCTCAGACGGCCTCGCCCTCTGTTCATCATCCTTTTGATGGAATCTCCCTGTTAGTAGTTCCAAATCATAGTTACCATGAGTTGAACAGTTGTTTGTACCAGGAGCTGAGCAAAGCCCTTTCTTGCACATTGTCACATTGAGTATTCACAGTAAATGTAAGAGGTAGATTTACTGTTATCTCATTTTGAAAGATGTGGAACTGGCCAGGTGCAGTGGCTCATGCCTGTAATCCCAACACTTTGGGAGGTCGAGGCAGGTGGATCACCTGAGGTCAGGAGTTCAAGACCAGCCTGGCCAACATGGCGGAGCCCTGTCTCTACTAAAAATACAAAAATTAGCTGGGCATGGTGGCGGATGCCTGTAATCCAAGATACTTGGGAGGCTGAGGCAGGGAGAACAACTTGAACCCAGGAGGTGGAGGTTGCAGTGAGATAACATCATGCCATTGTGCTCCAGCCTGGGTGACAAGAGTGAGACTCTGTCTAAAAAAAAAAAAAAAAAAAAAAAAGGAAAGGTGTCGAACTGAGGCTCGAGCATTTTGGTAAGTTATCTAACATCACATTACTGGGGAGTGGCCATGCTGAGACATGAGTTACAGTTTTCCAGATACCAAAACTCTTAGCTGTTCCATTGACAGCTTCCTAGCAGGGATAGCACACCAAGCCTCTACCCTTTCCTTGGGTAGTACTCATCCTCTGACTCTGTCACCCGCTTTATCCTCTTGGTGATGGCAGAGCTACTTGGAATCACTAGTAACTGCATTAGAATGATGTGCAGTTGTCTATCCAATGAGTTTTGTCCATTATTTCTTTAGCCGTAAATAAATGAGGAAAGTACAGAATTATTGGTGGGGGGTGGTCTTTGAAAAAGCTAGGGTGGGAGAATATCGAGAATGATATAATTATCTATTTGCTGCTTCTGGTCCGCCGACTTGCTGGCTTTTTTTTTTTTTAATAGGATTATGGAAGATGAAAAGGAAGCGCTTACTTCAGCTTATAAGAGCAATGTAAGCAATTTTGCATTGCACTCACTCCCCAGGGGTGGTGTGAACATGTTTCTAGTAAATTAAAGTATCATAAAAGCATTGGCAACATGGCAACTTTTATATTAATTTCTTAATTTTTCGCAGGCTTAATTATAAATCTCTTGGGAGAAGAGGCAAGGCCTGTCGGTTCCTGGGAAAACAGTGTTGCATCTCTAGGCTTGAAGGTCTGCTCTTCTGCTCAGAAGTATGTGTGCTGTGATGTAGGCTGGGTGGCTGCTGTAGGTTGCATGCACTACTTGTGCCTAGTGATGGTAGTGATGCCCTGTGGACAAGACATTAGGCTGGGAGGCCCATGCATGCAGCCAAGTGGAGAGAGTGCTCTTGGACAAGGTGTTGTGTGACTCTTAGCATGTAGTAATGTGTCATAAGAGCACAGTCTCTGCAGTTTACTAAGTGTAAAATCCTGGATCTGGCCTGGAGTGGTGGCTGAACCCTGTAATTCCAGCACTTTGGGAGGCCAAGGTGGGCAGATCACCTGAGGTCAGGAGTTCAAGACCTGTCTGATCAACATGGAGAAACCCTGTCTCTACTAAAAATACGAAATTAGCCGAGTATGATGGCAGGCGCTTGTAATCTCAGCAACTTGGGAGGCTGAGGCAGGACAATTGCTTGAACCCTGGAGGCAGAGGTTGCGGTGAGCCGAGATAGTGCCATTGCACTCCAGCCTACGCAACAAGAGTAAAACTCCATCTTAAACATAAAATAAAATAATCCTGGATCCTCCTGTACTACCTGTGTGACCTAGAGAAATTTGACCAGCCCTTTGATCTGTGAAATATGATGGTATCAATGTCACCTGGGATATGCATGAAAAAGCCTACATCCTACAGCACTACTGAGCATCCTCACCAGCCTAGGGGTATCTCCAGTGAGACGAACCATCAGGAAAACAATATATATCCCTATGGATGAAGCCACTGTTAGGCAGGTTTTGTTACTTGCAGCCTAAAGTCTCCTCACCTTTAGTAGTCACTAAATTAGAATGGTGCAGCAGCCCATTGAGTTCCGGATTCACTGAATGATGGCATATTTATGCTGGACAGAATCTTAGCTCTGCCCAGTGAGTTTACCACATGCCTTCTTTACTTAATATTTTTATTATTATTTTGAGATGGAGTCTCTGTTGACCAGGCTGGAGTGCAGTGGTGTGATCTCTTCTCACTGCAACCTCTGCCTCCCAGGTTCATGAAATTCTCCTGCCTCAGCCTCCTGAGTAGCTAAGATTAGAGGTGCATGCCACCACACCTGGCTAATTTTTGTATTTTTAGCAGAGATGGGGTTTCACCATATTGGTCAGGCTGGTCTTGAACTCCTGACCTCAGCTGATCCACCTGCCTCAGCCTCCCAAAGTGCTAGGATTACAGGTATGAGACATTGCACCCGGTACCTTCTTTACTTACAAATCTACTGTAAGGAAAGTGAAAAATCAGGAGGGAGGGCTCCTTGAAAAACCCAGGGGGAAATATCCTGGCTTTGCTGGCCAGATCCCAATGAGTTAGTTCCTCTGGATTTCATTTCTCAAGATTCTGGAATTTCCTCTCCCCTCTCCTTCCTTCCCCTACCCTACCCTACCCTACCCTACCCTCTTCTTTCCTCTGCCCTTCTGTAGCATAGTATGGTTTAAAATGTGATCACATTCTATTTTAATCATGGAAAGATTTTTTTCTCTGGCCTCTTGTCTTTTCTGGGCTACATGCCACATATTGGTAGGGAATATATCTTATGTTTTTACATGTCCTTCAATTAATTTTGAAATATTAATTTTATGATAGGTTAACTTATGCTGCACACACATACATACACAAAAGATATATGGTCTTATAAATAGGTATGGCTGGACAAGGTGACTCAGGAGGCTTAGGCAGGAAGATCACTTCAGCCCATGTGTTCTCAGTCTAGCCTGGGCAAAATAGCTAGTCCACATCTCTTAAAAAATTAATTAACTAAAGAACACTATGTGTGGAAAATACTGGATTAGAAAGATTAGACAGGGCTGGGAGCAGTGGCTCACGCCTGTAATCCCAGCACTTTGGGAGGCCAAGGTGGGTGGATCATTTGAGGTCAGGAGTTAGAGAACAGTCTGACCAGCGTGGCAAAACCCCATCTCTACAAAAAATACAAAAAAGAAAATTAGCCAGGCATGGTGTCAGGTGCCTATAATCTCAGCTACTCAAGAGGCTGAGGCATAAGAATTGCTTGAACCCAGGAGGCAGAGGTTGCAATGAGCTTAGTTGGTGCTACTGCACTCCGGCCTGGGCCACAGAGCGTGAGTTCATGTAAAAAAAAAAAAAAACAGAATTTTTTTTTCTTTTTTCTTTTTCTTTTCTTTTTTTGCAGGACTTCTTTGTATCTTTAATCTGCAAATGAATGTGAATTGTAAATCTCCATGGAGTGATATAGAATAAGGCACTTTCCAAACTTACCGGACGAGAGAAATTTTTTTTCATAAAACATCTTGCAGAAACTCACTTTAGAGAACCTGCATATCTCCAATTTTTAAATTTCATTTGTCTTTTTAAAAATGTGCAATATTTTTTCAACTTTTTATTTTGAAAAATTCTAAACATGAAAAAATGTAAGACTTGTACAATAACCCTTATATACGTCTACCAGAATCACCAATTTCTATTTTTATTTATTTATTTATTTATTTATTTATTTTCTGAGACAGAGTCTTGGTCTGTCACCCAGGCTGGAGTGCAATGGCATGATCTTGGCTCACTGCAACCTGTGCCTCCCGGGTTCAAGCGACTCTTGCCTCAGCCTCCCGAGTAGCTGGGATTGCAGGCGTCTGCCACCATGTCTGGCTAATTTTCCTGTTTCTAGTAGAGACGGGGTTTCACCATGTTGGCCAGGCTGGTCTGGAACTCCTGACCTCAAGTGATCCCCCTGCCTCAGCCTCCCAAAGTGCTGGTATTACAGGCGTGAGCCACCACGTCCAGCCCCAGGCTGGTTTTGAACTCATGGGCTCAACTGATTCACCTGCCTTGGCTTCCCAAAGTGCTGGGATTGTAGGCATGAGCTCCTGGGCCTGGCCCAGAATCACCAGTTTTTAATATTAAATATTTTTTACTGCATTTGCTCATCCTCTGTCTCCCTCTTTTCCTTCCCTTCCTCTCCCTCCCCTTCTCTCTCTCCTTCTCTCTGTCTTTTTGCAAATTCTTGATGGGTATCTTTTCGTGACAAGAAAGAAGGTGGTCTGGATGCCAGTTGCCTCCTCCACTTGCCTTTAAGAAAATAACTGAACACGCTGTAGGGCAGGTGCCTGTATGTTTCACTTGTCTTGGTTGATGATTTATTATAATCCCATCTTAGAATCCTAGAATCTCAAGTTGCAGAGGGACCTGAAAGGTTATCTAATCCACCCCTTGCTCACCTGCCCACCCCGCCTGCATTCCCTACCCATGCTTTCGAATGCCATTTATTGTGTTTGCCAGGGTTTGTTGGTTAGTCCATTCTGAGTGGAATGAAACTTGCAAATAAGGCCTTGTGGAGAGCCTGCCCTCTTCCTGGGCATCATCCAAGCGATCTATTAGCAGCTTCCATTTATCAGCGTCTTGTGTGGGTGTAGTGGGCCTAATAATGGGAGCTCAGTCAGAGAGCAGCATTTTGATAGAGGACTGAAGTGTTTTGCCAAGTCTTGATTACCCATAATAACAAGAATGAAAACTTTGGCCCTGGTTATGCACAGATTTATTGAATCATGGAATATTCATGCTGGATGGAATCTTAGGATCATCTGGTTCAGTCCCTGAAGTTTTCAAAGGAGGAAGTGAGTGGAGAACAAGAGAGAATGAGTAGTTTGCCTAAAATCTCATCACTACCATGGTTTCTGATTCCAGGCCCAGGTTATCTCCCGAGCCACTAGGCTTATCTCAGGACAGCAACAGAAAACTTTTCAGACACACACACACACACACACACACACACACACACACACACACACACACAGAGGCATGCCCCACACATTGCAAACATAATCATATACACGGGCACATCTATACATAAGCATAGGTGGGCACAGGTGCACAAACTTACCTGCAATCTCATTCATAAATGGAATTTCCATTCCGTTGAAATATAGCTCATGACTGGGGCCTCCACTGACCTGCAGTTCACAATCTAGAAGTGTGAACTTGGAAATAGAAACTCATCCAAATACATGACCACAGTTTATTCACCTGTGTGGTGCCTCTTGCAGATAGCAGAGGGGAGGAGAATAAGAACGAACATTGTAAGGCTGTTGGGATGACTGGTCCGTGGAGTGACAGAAGAGATTAGAAATCCAGGTTTATTGGGAGGGCATCTCAAAGCAGCCACATTTTATCCCTATTCGGGTCAGAAATGAAATGTTTATGATGGCTGGAATGAGATCCCACAGGAAACTTGAGTTTACTAAGTGCCAGCTAGGCAGTCTTTCCTTGCATAATCTTATATAGTCGTCATCATGGTTATGTTTCTGGTGAAAAAAAAATTAGATATGGAAATGCTATTAGTTACCCCACATTCCACAGCCAGTAAATGGTAAAACCAAGAATCAAATGTGGATCCAGAGAGCACTGAGAACATAGGAATACATAAAAAAGAAAACGCATTTCAAAGAGAAACACAGCAGAGTTTTAGAAGTGTCCTAATGGTAAATCTCCCCCTAAATTTTTGGAAACAAATTTGCATTTTCCTGCTGGTTTTTCCAGGCAGGACTTTCTCCTCTCAGCAAAGCCCTATAGACCTTTAGAGCAGTGTAGTCTATTGGAGTTTCCTGTGATGATGAAAGTGTTTATAATCTTACTGTCCACTGTAGTAGCTACTGTTTACTTATGGTTATTGAGTGAGTTAAGATATATGCTGGATTTCAAAGACTTAGTATATGAAAGTGTTTTAAATAGCTCATTGAGAGTTTTTAAAAAGTCGATTGCCTGTTGTGATAACATATTGGGCTAAATATATTTTTAAAATTAGTCTTACCTGTTTTATTTTTTCTTTTCCCTTTTTATTTTAATTTAACTTTATTTAATTTTATTTTATTTTATTTATTTGGGACCGAGTCTTGCTCTGTCCCCTAGGCTGGAGTGCAGTGGTGCGATCTCGGCTCACTACAACCTCTGCCTCAGCCTCAGCCTCAGCCTTAGCCTCCTGAGCAGCTGGGATTACAGGTGTGTGACATCACACCCAGCTAATTTTTTTTTTTGTTTGTTTGTTTTTTGTTTTTTGTTTTTTGTTTTTTGTTTTTGTTTTTAAGATGGAGTCTTGCTCATTGCCCAGGCTGGAGTGCAATGGCATAATCTCGGCTCACTGCATCCTCTCCCTCCTGGGTTCAGTGATTCTCCCTGCCTTAGCCTCCTAAGTAGCTGGGATTACAGGCGCCCACTACCATGCCTGGCTAATTTTTAGTTGAGATGGGTTTTCCCATGTTGGCTAGGCTGCTCTTGAACTCCTGGCCTGAGGTGATCCACCCCCCTCGGACTCCCAAAGTGCTGGGATTATAAGCGTGAGCCACCGCGCCCGGCTTTTTTGGTATTTTTAGTAGAGACGGGATTTCGCCATGTTGGGCAGGTTGGCCTAAACTCTTGACCTCAAGTGATCTGCCCGCCTCAGCCTTCCATAGTGCTGGGATTTCAGGCCTGAGCCACTGTGCTTGGCCTCTTTTTCCGTTTTAAAATGTGGCTATTAGAAAAATTTTAATTGCATGTATTGCTTGCATTATTTTTCTCTTGGGCAGTATGGATCTGGATAATTTGTCTATGAAGATATATTTACAATTATATGTGCTTCTCTCTGTCTATCTGTATCAGTCTGTCTTTTGAAGGACATTTTATTAAACAGCATTATATAGTGTATAATGAATTACAATTTGTTATTATTTAACGGTGCAATTAGAACTTTTTTTCCCCACATATTGGTACCTGTAAGTTAATATCATCCTCTGTAATTATTATATAGCAATCTTTAGATAAACTGATTTATTAGTTGCCTATCAATTTATACGTAGTACCAGGGATGGATATAAAGAATAGAAACAGGTACAGCTGTGGAGAATGCAACCATTTAAGAGTGGGACAGAAGTTATCTCTGCAGACTGTCTGGAGAATAAAGAAACAAAGGAACAGAAGCTACTTGGAACAGAGGTGTTGATGGAAATGAAGAAATAGAAGTCCCTAAAAGGGGTCAGGTGCTGTGGCTCACACCTGTAATTCCAGCACTTTGGGAGGCTAAGGCAGGTGGATCACCTGAGGTCAGGATTTCGAAACTAGCCTGGCTAACATGGTGAAATTCCATCTCTACTAAAAATACAAACATTAGCCAGGCCTGGTGATGGGCACCGTATAATCCCAGCTACTCGGGAGTCTGAGACGGGAGAATTGCTTGAATTCAGGAGGCAGAAGTTGCAGTGAACTGAGACCGCACCACCGCACTCCAGCCTGGGTGACAAGAGCGAGACTCTGTTTCACACAAAAAACTGAGAAAATGTCTGCAAACTACTTGAAATATGATTTAGCTCCCCTGTACTAGAATATACTCTTCAAGAGGTCAGATACTGCTTGTTTTTATGTGAACATATGTCACCAACAACTAGTAAACGTGCCCAACACACAGTAGGGATTCAGTAAGTATGTGTTGAAGAAATGAATGGAATGGCAACTCTCAATTTTGGATTTCTTTGCTTCGCATTTTAAAAATTCTGATAGTGGCCAGATAGCGGTAGCTCACGGCTGTAATCCCAGTACTTTGGGAGGCCGAGGCGGGTGGGTCACCTGAGGTCAGGAGTTCGAGACCAGCCTGGCCAACATGGTGAAACCCCATTTCTACTAAAAATACAAAAGTTAGCCGGTAGTGGTGGCGCATGCCTGTAATCCCAGCTATTCAGGAGTCGGAGGCAGGAGAATCGCTTGAACCTGGGAGTTGGAGTTTGCAGTGAGTTGAGATCTCGCCACTGCATTCCCACCTGGGCAACAAGAAAGAAACTCCATCTCAAAAAAATAAAAATTCTGTTAGTATTCACATAGAAGGATGATACTGTGTCCCATAAAATATATCCAAGTTTACCAAGTAGAAGTAGCATATATTACATTGGTGCAAAAGTAATTGTGCTTTTTGTCATTACTTTCAAAGGCAAAAGCCGTGATCAGTTTTGCACCGACCTAATAGTTGTGAATGTGAGCTTGGACAAGTTTCTTAAGCTTACTGGTCTTCCATGATCTTCCATGTCCATCTCAGGATAGTTCGAGCCCAAACTGCTTGTTAAGGTCCAGGAAGCTGATACATATCAGTGAGTGCTGATAACAGAAAACCATGCTATGTCTAGTTGCTAATTTTTTAAGATAAGATAAGGCTGTCATTTTTTATGATAGAAAAGTGACTCTCGCAATTTATTGCCAATGAGAACCACCACATTGTTCATTGATTGCATATTTTAAAGCTCTGTGTCCAGATATTCTAATTTACTACATCACAGTTGGCTATTTCTGGCCAGGCGTGGTGGCTCACACCTGTAATTCCAGTACGTTGGGAGGCCAAGGTGGGTGGCCTGCTTCAGCACAGAAGTTCGAGGCCATCCTAGGCAACGTAATAAAATTGTCTCTCCAAAAAAAAAAAAAAAAAAAAAAAAAAGACACGGTGGCGTGTACCTTTAGTTCCAGTTACAGAATGAGGCAGGAGAATTACTTGAGCCTGGGAGGCAGAGGTTGCAGTGAGTTGAGACCATGCCACGTCACTCCAGCCTGGGCAGTAGAGTGAGACCTTGTCTCAAAACAAAAGTTGGCTATTTCTGCATTTCTCCATTTCAGCTAATACATCTGTATGTACAGGCCCTGGACAGGATGCCTGGGAGACATTAATAAGCAACATTCCGTTTGGGCCTCAGGAAGCTCATATCCCATAGGGGAACTGACACAATGATTAGCACAAATACGTAGATAAGTCCTTTTGAAAAATGAATTCCCATGTGATTATTATCATCAACCCACTTCTCAAATGTTTTTTCTTTTTGTTGTTGTTGTTTTGAGATGGGGTCCCACTCTGTCACCCAGGCTGGAGTTCAGTGGTGCAATCTCAGCTCACTGCAACTTCCACCTCCCAGGCTCAAGCCATCCTCCTACCTCAGCTGTCCAAGTAGCTGGGACCACAGGCTTGTGCTGCCATTCCTGCCTGACTTTTGTAGTTTTGGTAGAGGTGGGGTTTCACCATGTTGCCCAGGCTGGTCTTGAACTCCTGAGCCCAAGCAATCTGCCTGCTTAGGCCTTCCAAAGTGCTGCTAGGATTACAGGTGTGACCCACCAGGCCCAGCCCACTTCTGAAATGTTAATGTGCATAGGAATCACTTCAGGGTTTTGTATCAAATTCAGTTTCTTAGATCCTACCCACAGAGTTTCTGATTCAATCAATAGGGTGGTGGGGGTGTCCCAGATCCTGTGTTGTTAACAGGACTCCCTGTGTTTCAGAAGCTGGTGCTATGAAAACTACACCTTGAAAACTATTGTCAGAGTGTGGTCCACCTCTAGAAAATATTGGCCTGTCTTTGCCAGAGTTTCACCCATTCCTTAGGGAGAACGGGTGTAGCTGTCTCTTCCTTTCCAGTCTGTGTAGGAAGCAGAACCAAGCTCATAGAGAAGCAATTTTTTGTTTTTTTTGAGATGGAGTCTCACTCTGTTGCACAGGCTGGAGTGCAGTGGTGCAATCTCGGCTTACTGCAGCCTCTGCCTCCCGGATTCAAGGGATTTTCCTGGTGCAATCTCGGCTCATTGCAGCCTCTGCCTCCCAGGTTCAAGCAATTCTCCTGCCTCAGCTTTCCCAGTAGCTGGGACTACAGGTACCCACCACCATGCCCAGCTAATTTTTGTATTTTTAGTAGAGACGGGGTTTCACCATGTTGGCCAGGCTGGTCTTGAACTCTTGATCTCACGTGATCTGCCTTGGCCTCCCAAAGTGCTGGGATTACAGGCGTGAGCTACTGCATCCAGCCTAGCAATTCCTTAAGTACCTTGTTCATCCCTTCCAAGGTCAGCTTGGGTTCCTCAGTAGTCGTGGTATTTCTCTGTGGTGTAAAATGCACATAAAGGACTTAAAAACTAGGTAAGAAGGCAGTTAAGGATAAAAGTTACACAACTTCAACCATATTCTGTTAGAGCCACAAAGGGCTTCAGAAACCAGCTAATGATTTTAGAGAAAAGATGGCATGAGTCCAAGAGGTCACATGATCTACCCAAGGTCACTTGTGTCTAGAGTTTTTGTGTATCATGACATGACCAATGGCCATGGCCCAGAAAGGCTGATTCCTTCCTTTTCCAAAAAAAAAAAAAAAAAGATTTGTGATACTTCAATATATTCAGTGCCCACCGCCCAAGCACGGTGTCATTCACAAGGAATTATAATGGATTTCATTGTAGAATGCAGACTCCTTCTTCCCAATTACTTCTTTGCTTTAAACATAAAGCCGAGAGCCTGACCCTGGGAATAGTTCTTGTCTGAATTTCTGATAGATTTTAATTTCGCAGCTGGAGCCTGGTCCTCACAGTCATTCCCTAATTTCTTTTGTTAGTCTACTGCATTCATCTTTGGTTCTGTGTAGGATCCATAGATGGACTGAACTGTAACACTGACTTTCTTTTCTTTGTCTCACTTGTCAAATAAAATCATTTGAGGCTGAATGGTATTGATAGCTGTGCAATGACTTGTTGCTACTGTAGAGGGGACCCTGCACACACCTTCCTGGGAGTCATGTTTGTTGTTCAAATGAGTCTTCTGAGAATCAGGATCTCTTGAAAAAGATAACACATCAGTAGTATTAAAAACTAACGAATAGGGCAAATCCTCATTTAGCTCCTTTCGGTAATAAATTCATTTGCTTGGGTTCAGGATTTGTAGAGCATATTCTAAATGCATTGCTGGCTGAGGGATCCATCAGAGTGGGAAGGGGAGATGGGGAAAGCCATCCTGTTGCATTGAAGAAACGGAATCTGTGATCAGGAAACCTGGTTAAAGGTCCTTTCCCCTTTGTAATTTTATTCTACATAGGGAGGCAAGAGTGGTGCTGCAACATATGGAGAGACTTGAGTTTAATTGTTAAAATTCCACTCAGCCGGGCCACTTCTTCACTGTGATTTGCACTATTTAGCATTTGTGTGCATTAGGTAATATATTTAATGTTTCTCCCTCCAATCCAATTTGCGTGTGTTTGGCAGCAGCCCAGCTCCATGGGCATGGGGCAGGGGAGATCATAAATCTGCCATCCTGGAGCATGGAAACTGTATTGCTGCATTTGATAGTATGCTTGCATGAACACTCCAAAATGCTTGTGAAGCAATACCACCTCTTCCCCGAACGTCTCTCAGGGACAACATTAATGTATCTCATATTGTATTGATTGTAGCCAATAAGTGCCTAAATGATTTGGTGCAAGGCAGAAAGATTATGCAGGGAAGAGGGGTGGAGGTGGCTTTAGAAGAAGTATGTGGTTTAATTACTGGCTGAATTTCCTCAATCCACCTCCCCCTCTGGGAGTTTAACAAACAGGCCTTAGTGCACTTTAGCTGTTGCTGACATCTGTTGAAATGATATCTGCCCGTGATGAGGGGAGTTTGGGAATTGCGCTTGGGGTATTGGCGGGATCAGGGAGCCACAGGAAGCTCCTTTCCAGTCTGCAAAATTAGAAGGAGGAAAACACTGCAGTAGTACTCTAAGGTTAAGCTATGGAGAGCACAGTTTTATCTAATGGAATTCTGCCTTCCGACTTAATGAAGCCATCTTCATCTTAAATGCAGGGTTGGATGTAAGTGTCTAGAGTCTAATGATCTTAAAGTCCCAGGTGTTGATAACAAACACAGAGTTGAGCTGAAAACATGAATAGTGCATGGGCAATGCTTCAGGCACCCAATTGTAAAAACCACCCCCAGCTCTCTCTTTTTAATGCCATGCTAAGAACTGTTAGGAAACTTCACAGTTTTTAGGTAAACAACAAGTGACCGATTTTCTTGCATTTTTTAATAGAAGCAAAAGAAGCCAAAACCTAGCTAAAATTTCATGTTGGGTCCAGCACCAGGAAGAATGATGCTGTGTATCTGCTAGTGTTTTGATTACATCAATAATTCAAAGAAAGTGCCATCCACTTAATCTCTTTTATGCCTCTCCACCCGAAAGGATCCTGGTTGTATTCTGAAAGTCCTGAAGCTATCATATTCCACAGCTTTTTCTGAAATGTGTTATTATGTTATGCTTGAAACATTTATATATGTTACCGACCAAATTGCATGGAAACGATTTGCTTTCAGAGACTGATAAAAATTCACTTTTGATGGTAGACACAAGGTGAGATGTTATCAAAACAAAATTCCAAATTAACTTGGATATCTCTATCAGAACATATCCCTGATTGGGCATGTGATTCTTGCATTATTTTGTGTGTGTGTGTGTGTGTGTGTGTGTGTTGGTCATTGTATTTAAAAATGTGTTTGCATACGTGTGTATATGGATATATATGTGCCAGGTATTAGGCTGGCTAATTATTGTGACTAAAACTCTCTGGGGTTAAGTGGAAAATTAAAAATTCAGAACAACCATAGTCTGTTATCTGTCACCTGTAATTTAGGCTAATATCTCAATTCTCTTGTTATGGACATTTCTCTTACAGTGTGGCTTTACATAATGGGAATTGGATGTAATGTGATCAATTAATTAGAGCATATGATTTACATTAGTCAAACCTGTATTGATTACAAAATGACTATGATCTGAAAGTAGCCTTGTGTGTGTGTGTGTGTGTGTGTGTGTGTGTGTGTGTGTGTTAGAAGTGGTGATCCTGCTTTGTATGTGGCCAACTTGGGGAGGGGGATGGATTTTTCACTTTATTATTGTGACGTGTGATAGACCTATGGGGTGTTTTAAAATTCCCAAGCAAATAATCTTGCTGGTGGTGACAGAAGAGGAAGGCTTTGAAGAGGGGTGTGGTGGCTCACGCATGTAATCCCACTACTTTGGGAGGCCAAGGAGGGTGGATCACCTTAGGTCAGGATCACCAGCATGGGCAACACACTGAAACCTTGTCTCTACTAAACATACAAAAATTAGCTGGACGTGGTGGTGCACGCTTGTAATCCCAGCTACTCAGAAGGCTGAGGCAGGAGAATCACTTGAACCTGGGAGCACAGAGGTTGCAGTGAGCCAAGATCATGCCACCGCACTGCAGCCTGGGCCATAGAGTGAGACTCCATCTTAAAAAAATAATAATAAAAAACAAAAAAAGGGAAAGGCTTTGAGGTAAAAGCTAGAGGTACTTACACTTGAGATTGGTTCAGATTTTATAACTCAACAGACAAGTATCTGATTCTCTGCATCCTCCTATGTTTGAACCATAAATTTATTAGAAAGCATATATAGGAAAAAACAACCCAGTTCCTTTGAGTCTGAAACTTTCTAGTCCCTAATTACTTTTTCCCATTGGAAGTATATTTATAGCATACAAATCTAAACTTCTCAACTTACCTTGATAACTGGTCCCCATGTTGATGGCCATGGGGCGTCTTGAAGACCATCAGTGATCCAAGTATATTCCATTAGTTTTCATGTCAAGAACATTTTATTGTATCCTAATTATCTGAAACTTGGTCATCTGAAATAACATGGCAGTTCCCGATAAATCATTGCCTTTTTGATTTCCTAGCCATCTTGAATACAGGAAGGCTTAGTTTAGCCTTTGCTTTTAAATTCATATAAATACAATGATATTGAGTATCTCTACTTTAGAATAACACTGAACTAGTACTGGGATTTTTAAATTTGATATTCGGACAGCTCTTTTTCTGTTCTGTGGTTTTGTGCATGTGTGTGTGTGCATATAAACATGTATGTGTGTGCATGTATAGGTATCTGGATACACATCTAGATGTGTTTATATCTAGATTGATACATACATGTGTATATATATCCATCCTCCTATCTGGACACGCATATTTGTTACTTGAAAATAAGTAGGGCTTGCATACATTGTAGTTACTATTGTAAGTGCTTTCCAAATATTTAACTCATTTACTAGCCCAACGACTTTATGCTTTAGGCACTGTATTTTCATTTAACCAATGGGGACAGTGACGCACAAAGAAGCTAATTAGTTTGTCTGAGGTCACAGAGGTAGTAAGTGGCAGGATTGGGATTCAATTGATAATGCAGTGCTTCATACAAATAATGCTTTGCAATTTTTGAGCACTTTTCTACATGTCAGATAGAGGGATTTAATTTTTTACTCATTTGATTTTTATGGCCAGTCTATGAGTTGATTTCCATCATTGCTAGTTTGCTGAATGGGACACAGAGGCTGAAAGAATAACACATCTGTAGTCACAGAGTTAGAAGCTGATGGAACTGAACTTTGCATCCAGGAAATCAGACTAGAGAATTTTTAATAAATTATCAAGAAAGTTTATAGGCAGCATTGAAGATTTCCTCATCAGCTTTATACATATGTATATGTATATATGTTTATATTTATATGCACGTATTTATAAGTACATTGTAGACAGATGAAAAATAATAAAAGCAGGAAGTACCTTTTGTTGTGTTGACTGTGTTTTGCCCCCAAACTTACAACTCTCAATAGTTGTCTTTTCTGTTAGCTGAAATTAAATAGAGAATTATCTTAGCATTTTCCCCCAATAACTTTAAGGTTTCTTAAGAGATGGTAAGTCCCTTTGAAGACTAGAGTGATTTGACTCAACTTCTCCTTCTAGTAAAAAAAAGTCTGCCACCAATACATGTTTATATTTGTTAAAATAACATACTTATCAGTATGAAGTGGCATCAGCAAAACCAATGACTTAAAGGTACAATTGTCAACCTATGTTGAAAATATGTTGAATTTCCAAGAGGGAAACGGCTGCTTGATCAGAGTTCATTTATATCCACGAGCATTGCACCAGCAATAAACTTTAAGTTAATGTTAACAATTTTAATTTGTATCTTTTAATTGTTGAAGTCTGAATTGCTTTCCAATTTCCCACAGAGTTTAATGTGTATGCAAATTGCACAGCCAGAAATTTAAGATACAAAAGATAGACTGCGTTTTGCAAACATACCATAATTATTGCTTAATTTTTAAAGGGTCTTTCTCTTTGTCAGGGTATTGTTCGGTTTCTTGAAACTGAACAGAAGAAAACTTTTGGTTAATGATTAGTATAAATCTTGTAATGGAACTTAATTGAATATTAACTTTGTTGTTCTCACAACTACAGACTACTCAATTCCCTGTTTCTCTGAGGTAGGGTTTCTTGCTCTGTTAGTGCAAATAATTTGTCTTCTAGTAATAGCAGGAAACAGTTATCAGAACACCAGTTTAATTGTCTGAAGGTTGTGCACTACATGTAAGCTCTTAGAAAAAGGTTAAAAGAATTCTCATGTCTATTTTAATATTATATTTCGTAATCATTTAAACAGCTTGGCAGTCCTAGCAAAGTAAAAAAAAACTAAAATTGAAGGTAAATGCCGTTCTTTTGTTAAAATTCAAGGTAGGAAATGCTGAGATTTAGAAAAAATATAGATATAAATATATGTACATTATATTTAGTGTACAATAGCATATGTAGTATATAATTATCTATTTATTTATTTACTTATTGAGTGTAAAATGAAAGCAGCCAAAGCAGTACATTTGGTGGATTAGTAGTGATTTAGCTATGAAGCATTTATATATTCAAATATTTGTTGCTAAATATTCCTAAAGCCTATGGGGTTCTAGAAACTGGCTTAGGAGAGGAGACTGAAGGATGAACAACACTCATTAGTGTCTTCCATTGTGTTCAAGTGTTTACACATGAATCCAAGAAATAATAAGATGCTACAG
Organism: Homo sapiens; assembly: GCF_000001405.40. NCBI lineage: Eukaryota > Metazoa > Chordata > Mammalia > Primates > Hominidae > Homo > Homo sapiens. The sequence continues at coordinate 6,998,379 of NC_000016.10, forward strand.
ATGGTGAAAACTAATCTGAAGGGGGCAAAATGAAGCCAGTGAGACACAGAATGGTTTGGGGATGGGGGCAGTTGTGTTAGACAAGGTTTTAGGGAAAAGATGATGTCAGAGCTCTTGGCAATGACTTGGCCCTACCAGAAGCAAGAGACAAAGTTCTAAATGAGAACAGCTGGTTGTATTGAAGAACCAAAATAGGATTTTAATTTGGTTATATCATTGTGATCGATGACTTTTGTTGCTTTTTGGTGTCTCCAAATTGCAATCCTGTTTCACATTTTGTGTTCCTTTCCCTCAGACTATTCCAAGAATGAAGGATGTTTGATGATGGCTACAGGTTGTCTTGTACAGAAAACTTAATATATCAGGCTCTCTTGAGAGAGTAGGAAGGGCATTTTATTACAGACTCCAGTCTAAAATTCCTTCTGAGTACTTTAAAATATACCCACAAATACTGGAGTCATGTTTCTTCTTTTTTTAATTAATTAAGTATTATTATTATTATTATTTTGCGACTGAGTTTCACTCTATCACCCAGGCTGGAGTGCAGTGGCACGATCTAGGCTCACTGTAACCTCCGCCTCCCAGGTTCAAGCGATTCTCGTGCCTCGGCATCCTGAGTAGCTGGAATTACAAGCATCCACTACCATGCCTGGCTAATTTTTGTATTATTAGTAGAGACAGGGTTTCACCATGTTGGCCAAGTTGGTCTTGAACTCCTGACTTCAGGTGATCCGCCCGCCTCTGCCTCCCAAAGTACAGGGATTACAGGTGTGAGCCACTGAGCCTGGCCTTTTTATTTTATTTTATTTTATTTTATTTTATTTTTTATTTTTATTTATTTTTTTTATTTATTTTTTTTTTTAGAGATCAGGTCTCACTTGTTGATCAGGCTGGTCCTGAACTCCTGGGTTCAAGCGGTCCACCTGCCTCGGCCTCCAAAAGTGATGGGATGACAGGCATGAGCCGTTGTGCCTGGCCAGGAGCTACATTTTTACTCCAGATTCATTGGTGGACCAGAGTGATTTGGTGATACTTAAACTCATTCTGATTTTTTTTAATTTTTATTTTTTATTTGAGACGGAGTCTTGCTCTGTCACCCAGGCTGGAGCATTCTCAGTTGTTTAATGGTGGTTTTAAAATGTTTTATTATGAAAAATTTCAAAAAAACACAAAAGTAGAATAGTATACTGATCCCTCATATGCTTTACAGCAGATTTCAACAACTACCAATATGTGGCCAAACTTGTTTTGTGCTTTAATCTTCTTCTCCCTTCCCCATCAATATTTTGAAGCAAATCCAAAATATACTATTATTATTAAATATATCAGTATGTATATTGGAAAAAATGAAACTTTTTAAAAAAAGAACTGTATTGTCATTAATGTTATTATGCCTTTAAAATTAGCAATAGGCCAGGCATGTTGGCTCATGCCTGTAATCCCAGTATTTTGGGAGGCTGAGGTGAGCGGATCACTTGAGGTCAGGAGTTTGAGAGCAGCCTGAGCAACATGGTGAAACCCTGTCTTTACTAAAAATACAGAAGTTAACCAGGTGTGGTGGCACACACTTGTAATTTCAGCTACTCCAGAGGCTGAGGCAGGAGAATTGCTTGGACCTAGCAGGCAGAGGTTGCAGTGAGCCAAGATCACACCACTGCACTCCAGCCTGGGCAACAGGGAGACTCTGTTTCAAAGAAAAAAAAAAAAAAAGATTATTTAAGTAGGTGTCCAAACATCATATTATTTTTAAAGTTTTCAGTACTTACAATTAGAATATGAGAATTCTTAAGGAAAAAAAAAGTACTGTCATTAGCGTTATTATGCCTTGAAAGTAGCAATAATCTGTTAATATAAGCAAGCATTCTATCATTGTTCAAGTCTACCTGATAATCTTACACATTTTTAAAGTTTTATTATCAGAAATTTAAACATGATCGATATGTCTCAAATTAAAATTAGTCGATACATCTCTCAAGTTTCTTTTATTAAACTGGTACCACCTCCAACTCAGTGTTTGCAATCTATTTGTTGAGGTCACCGGGTCATTTTTATGCAACAGTCTCTACATAGTCTGGTTTTGCTAATTGCATTCTTTCTTCTTTATATTTTCTGTTGACTGGTGGTTAAATTCAGAAGTTTGATGAGATTTTTGTTCAATTTTGCTTTTGGCAAAAACACATAATAAGTTTTCTTTTCTTTTTTTCTTTCTTTTTCTTTCTTTTTTTTTTTTTTTTTTTTTGAGACAGAGTCTCGCTCTCCTCTGTCGCCCAGGCTGGAGTGCAGTGGCATGATCTCGGCTCACTGCAACCTCTGCCTACCGGGTTCATGCCATTCTCCTGCCTCAGCCTCCCAAGTAGCTGGGACTACAGGTGTCCGCCATCATGCCTGGCTAACTTTCTATATTTTTAGTAGAGACGGTTTCACTGTGTTAGCCAGGATGCTCTCGATCTCCTGACCTTGTGATCCGCCCGCCTCGGCCTCCCAAAGTGCTGGGATTACAGGCGTGAGCCACCGCACCTGGGAAACACATAATAAATTTTCTTGTTTACTTCCATTAGGAACCACATAATGCTTTTCTTTATTGAAGTCCTTTTTGGAAATTTTTATCAGTCACTAGCAACCATTACCATCACTCCTTTTTCATTTATTAGATAGAATACTTGTACAGAGAAAAATCTTTTACTGATTCTTTGCTTACCCCAAGGTAGAGTTCATGTGAGAAAAATAGGGGCATCTGTATCTTCCTTCATTTTTTTCCAGTTTTCAAATCCGTTTGAGTTAGTTTGCTTGCATATTCCAAAGGAGACTAATGATCATTCTAAATGTCCATTCTGAAGCTCTGTTGTTGGCCAGTGGGAATGTCTTTCTGCTGTCTCCTTGTTCAGATGGATGGAGAGATTCCTTGCTTTGTGAGGTGACAAGGTGTTCCTGGTCAACTTATGTATTTCCTACCCTGGCCCTGACTCTGTGTGTGTGTGTTTGTGTGTATGTGTATGTGTATGTGTATGTGTATGTGTATTTGTATATGTATATGTATATGTATATGTATATGTATATGTATATGTATATGTATATGTATACGTGTATGTATATTTTGAGATGGAGTCTCGCTTTGTTGCCGAGGATGGAGTACAGTTGCATGATCTCAACTCGTTGCAACCTCCGCCTCCCGGGTTCAAGTGATGCTCCTACATCAGCCTCCCGAGTAGCTGGGATTACAGGCACGTGCCATCACACCCTGCTAATTTTTGTATTTTTAGTAGAGACAGGGTTTCACCATGTTGGCCAGGGTGGTCTCAAACTCCTGACCTGAAGTGATCCATCCTCCTTGGCCTCCCACGGTGCTGGGATCACAGGGATGCGTCAACACACTGGCCTCTATTATTTGTTTTTAGAAGCTTTTCAGAACCAGGAGGCAGCTCAATTTGGGAGATTTTGTGAACATCTTTATTATTATTACTTTAACTCTGTTCAGCACTTGTCTCAACTTTTCTTATTAAGTGGGGAGTCCCCATAGTAAGCGGGGGTCCCCAAAATAGAAGATCAGTTCTACTTTTTTTCTCCTGGAGTTTCTTCTTGTGCACACGATTGAGCACGTGAGTGAACTCCTGGTGTTTAGAGTGACAGTATCCCTGGGCATAGTTGATTCAGGGATGGGCATGTGATCAGGTGGACCACCGAGAGATTCCTGGGGGACTTTGCTCTTAGACGCTATGGAGAAATTTTTTTTTCTCATGGGGTTGTTGATCTTGTTAGGTGAGTCTAGGGTTATTGTGGCCATCCACCTCTCAGTGTACTGACATGCAATCTAAGAAATTAGGAAAGGGAAAAATCTTGATGCTGTCACTTGAGGCCCTGGATACAGCGGTGCATGAAGTTAATCTATCTACTTTGGAACTTTGCAAGCATGTGAGCCAGTGCATTTTCTTGTATCCTCTAAAGCTATTTTGTGTTTGTGTGAGCACATGTGTTTACACATGAAATTGCCCTGATATGAAGGTTTTCTGTTTATCCAGCAAGAAAGAGATTTAAAAAAGATCTTTTCAACTATTTTCGCTGGGCGCGATGGCTCATGTCTGTAATTCCAGCACTTGGGAAGCTGAGGCAGGCGGATCATGAGGTCAGGAGTTGGAGACCAGCCTGGCCAAAATGGTGAAACCCCGTCTCTACTAAAAATACAAAAATTTGCTGGGCGTGGTGGCATGCACATGTCATCCCAGCCACTCGGGAGGCTGAGGCAGGAGAATCGCTTGAACCTGGGAGGCAGAGGTTGCAGGGAGCCGAGATTGCGCCACTGCACTCCAGCCTGGTGATAGAGTGAGGGTCCAACTCAAAAACAAAGAAACAAACAAAAAACTATTTTCAAATAGCACTAAGTGGCTTAAAATACACTTCCTGAATGTCGGCTTTGTTTGAGGAATGTGTTGTGGTAGATGCTATATAATAAAGGGAAATTAGGCTGATAGGAGTTTCTCTCAACATCCCGATACACTCAGCGTGTTAAGATAAGGCTAGAAATCAGAATAACACAAGACAGAAACTTAGGAAGTTAGAAAGTGTAAGAATGTAGGAAAGGCGATGAGGTCAACATTTTATTACAGTTATTTTCTCCAAACTATGAGTGGATCTTGGTGGTCTTTTTTTTTCTTCTTCTTTTTTCTCTGTTGTGTTTGGTTTCCCAAAGAGAGGTTATACAATCAGGCCATGATTTACAAAGAATAGTCTTGCAGGAGCATTGCGTAAAATGGGTTTAAAGAAGAATGAAAGATGCTAGACAGATCGTTTAAAAAGGAGTTTCTGGGCCAGGCACGGTGGCTCACGCCTGTAATCCCAGCACTTTGGGAGGCCGAGGTGGGTGGATCACAAGGTCAGCAGATCAAGACCATCCTGGCCAACATGGTGAAACCCCCGTCTCTACTAAAAGTGCAAAAATTAGCTGGGCGTGATGGTGAGCACTTGTAGTCCCAGCTACTCAGGAGGCTGAGGCAAGAGAATCACTTAGACCTGGGAGGCGGAGGTTGCACTGAGCAGAGATTGCGCCACTGTACTGCAGCCTGGTGACAGAGCGAGACTCCATCTTAAAAAAAAAAAAAGAAAAAATTATAAAAGAAGGAGTAGTTTGTGAAGCCCTGTTAAATCCTGCTCTCAGGGATGCATATTTACACCCTTTAAAAATAAAATAAAACCAGAGGTTGAAACAAGGTATTAAAATACCTCTGGAGAAAAACTAACCTCTTCCAGGAAAGTTTTGTTAGCTATAAACTCAAAGGTTGATACATGTAGCATCAAAGGAACATAGGAAAGCTTAGTTGATGCTGTAATTATTAAACACAAACAATGTAATTAAGTTAGTATGTATTAGAAAAAAACATGATATGCACATCAAGTCTAATTTTATTAATAGAACTTTTTGGGATGAGACTAAAGGACAATTCCTTGTCCAGGTTCTACTTATAAATTGCAAAGACTCACTAATGGTTTTCAGATGATTGGTTATTTGGTAAATTGGCTTTCAGTGGGTCAATGAAATGGTCATTAGGAGAACTGTCAATAAATTTATCTGCTTTCTTTTAAAAAAACATCCCATTTTCCCAGGGTAGAAATGAGGGGTTTTTTTTTTTTTTTTTATAAAAAAAGTAACGCTTCACAAATTTGCGTGCCATCTTTGCACAGGTGCCATACCACCTTCTCTGTATCATTCTAGTTTTAGTATATGTGTTGCCAATGTGGACACTAGAAATCAGTTTTGTTTTGTACTTAATAGAGCATCTTTTTAAATCTTATGCACAGAAGAATGATGCATAGAAGAATCTGTAATGCATAAGAAGCATCTTATGCATTATCTTTTGAATCTTATGCATAGAAGAATATATAATGCATAAGAACAACGCATTATATATTAATTAGATTAAATTAACTCCATTCGGATACCTAAGGTTATATTTGTGTATTAAACTCCTCAACATCAGGGTAAAAGCAAAGACAACATGGCATCAGATTCTTTGTCCACCGGTTTTATTTAGTCTCAGAGACCCAAGCTGGTCAGCATTTGGCTCTGGTGGAGTCACCATAGCCTGGATTTGAAGGTTTGGAGCCCAGCCCAGGTTTGGAGGATCAGTAAGTTGGTATGCCAGCACTCCAAGAGAGAGACCATCTCTTTGTCATGGACACGTCCTAGCTATGTATCTAAGGTTTATTAGTACAATGAATTTCTATTTAATGGCTTTAATTTAGAACAGTTTTCTTGAAAGCCTCAACATTGGTATTCCATTGTCTGGGCATTTTTTCTATATAGGGAAAATATACAAAAGCCACATCATAACCAGGAAGATGTATGGTGAGCTGGTATTCAAGAAAGGAGAAGTAGCTGTGAGACACCAAGGATTGGCTGTACCAGATTAAGATAACCTAATCCACGTGTCTCTATAAGTGGCTGGGTCAGCTGTTGGAACCTGTTGGGACAGAACAGGTTGAATCCTTGAGCAAAGAGGCCAGGTGAGGTGACTCACACCTGTAATTCCAGGACTTTGTAAGGTGGGCCGATCACTTGAGGTCAGGAGTTCGAGACCAGCTTGGCCAACATGGTGAAACCCCATTTCTACCAAAAATACAAAAATTAGCAGAGCATGATGGTGCGTGCCTGTTATCCCAGCTACTTGGGAGGCTGAGGCAGGAGCATTCCTTGAATCCAGGAGGCAGAAGTTGCAGTCAGCTGAGATCGCGTCATTGCACTCCAGCCTGGGTGACAAGAGCGAGATTCCATCTCAAAAACAAAAAACGAAAAAAAACCCAAAACTAAACAAAATAAACACATATCCTCACCTTTTTGTGTGTGGGACATACAGTATGAAAAGATGAGTGCTAATAGCTTTCCCCTTACCTTTCAAGAGAACCTAAAGATACTTGCCTCCATTCCAGTCATCTTCCTCCCTTTCAATGAGACTGTGTTCTTGCTTGCTTTGGGGGAGAAAGACTAAGTTGACTTATAGAATAGAGGGATGGCAAGGAAACATCCCAATACAGTCAGTATTTCTTGTGGAAGGACAAAAAGAGAAAAGTTTCTGGGTTATGTCTAGAAAGATAATTGACAGGAATGGGGAGAAGGAACCCAGTAATGGCAGGTGAACGAGAAAATTGGTACAATGATAAGTGTTCTGTAATTTTTATCTTGAGAAATGGAAAAGCAGCTCCTGAAAGATCCTATTAGTGATGGCTTGGTGTTGGTAGGAGGTGGCTTGACACTCACAGATAGACTTTGGTGTTGCCTGTTGAACACAAACAATTTCATAGAATATCAGCATCAGACAAGGCCATCTCAGGACTGTGGTGGGTCAGGACAAGACAAGACCGCTAGGTGATCATGTCTGAACTCAGTCCAAAACATGGACCTTGCCTAAATCGCAAGATGACCATTCATCTTCTTTTTCTGGCTCACATGAGTGACTGCTGCTTCTTCACCGACTACAGCTTTCGCTTCACTAAATTCTTCCCTTCTTCTGGATAAGAACTATGAAGATACCCAGTGATATAATTGGTCTTTCTGACAGCATCCAATCCAGAGAAAAGCCCCAATTCTTTAACCCCTACTCAGGATCACGTAACAGAAAGGCAAATCCTCTAAGAAGCTGGACAGCATCTTACTGAGATACTCCGTGGTTCCTCATGGTATATGTTCTCCTTTGCAATAGGTAGTAAACCCTACTTTGTTCAAATACAGGTGTACATTTAAACATCTTTGGCTAGAGGACATACATAATGTCATTAAATTTATTTATTTATTTATTTTTTTTTGAGATGGAGTCTCACTCTGTTTGTTGCCAGGCTGGAGTGCAGTGGCACGATCTCGGTTCACTGCATCCTCTGCCTCCGAGGTCCAAGCGATTCTCCTGTCTCAGCCTCTCGAGTAGCTGGGATTACAGGTACACACCAGTATACCCAGCTAATTTTTGTATTTTTAGTAGGGACGGGGTTTTATCATGTTGGCCAGGATGGTCTCGATTTTCTGACCTTGTGATCCACCCGCTTTGGCCTCCCAAAGTGCTGGGATTACAGGCTTGAGCCACTGCGCCCGGCCAAACAAGTTTTTTTATGTAGAGACAGGGTGTCTATTGGTCAGGCTGGAATGGAGTGATATGATCACAGCTCACTGTAGCCTCGAACTCCTGGGCTCAAGCAGTCCTCCCACCTCACCTTCCTGAGTAGGTAGGACTAGAGTTGGGAACCACCACACCTGGCTTGGTTTCGGGTTTTATAGAGACAAGGTCTCCCTGTGATGCTCATTCTGATCTTGAACTCCTGGACTCAAGTGATCGTCCTTCCTTGGTCTCCCAATGTGCTGGGATTACGGACATGAGCCACCATGCCTGGCAATTAATTTGATTAAGAAAAAGTAAACCCTATGCAGAAGAGAACACTTAGCAAAGTTAAGTCACCTGCCCAAGAACCCTCAGCTCCCAAGCAGTGGAATCACACTTTGAACCCTGCCATTTTCTGTCTGAGCCTTTGTTCTGCCTTTAACATCACCTCCCCATATGGACGCACCGTCTTGTCTCTTCCATGTTTTCGTAGTCTTAGTTTTCTACCACTGCCAGAAGTACCACACATTTGGCACCTTGAAATAACAAATACATATGATCTCACGGTTCTATAGGTGAGAAATCTAGTTGGCTCATCTGGTTTCTACACTGTGAGTTTTTCTCAACGCTGATGTCAATGGTTGGCTGTATGGACTGATAAGGAGGCTCTGGGAAGAGTCCATTTTCAAACTCCTTCAGGTTGCCAGCAAAATTTATTTCCTTGCAGCTGTAAAGCTGAAGTCTCCATTTCTTTACTGGCTGGTAGCAGAAGGGCTTCTCTTAGATCCTGGGAGCTTTTTACGTCCTTTTGTGAAGTGTGGACTCTTCCAACTCATAGTCAGCAATGGTACGAATGCATCTCATCCTTGAAATCTCATTGACTTCTTCTGCCATATGTACCTCATTGCAGCTGGAGAAAGTCTTGTGTTTTAAAGTGCTTTTGTGATTAGATGGGATTTTCCCCAATAATCCAGAGTCATCTCCGTATTTTTAGGTGCATACTTTTGATAACATCTAGAAAATCCTATTTGTCATGTCACGCATCGTATTGACAGGTTCTGGGGATTAGGACATGGGTATCTTGGGGAAGTGGGGCATAAATTTGCCTACTGTACATTGTTAAACACCCTCCCATCCTCCAGCCATCTTTGACTGTTTTAGTCATTCTTTCAATGTAAATGTACGTTTCTACTCTTTCTTGTTTGGAAGCTCTTCTCTTTAACATGATTTTGCATGTACTTTTGCTGCTAATTTCTTGACTATACAGGGTAAACTCCCATGAAAATCATCTCATTTCCCTACATGCAGGTCCTTAGAAACTGTGAGGATGGGGTAAGGCTGCTGCCATTGAAGCCTGCACGCTCCTGTGCGTTTCTGTAGCCCACCTAGTGGACACCTCAGCATTAGGAAGTATCAACATGGACTTGTAAGAACCTTCATGCTGTCTCCTCAAGCTTGCTAGCTGGGGCCTCCTAGTACAACAGGTGCCGTGAGAAACACGTGAAATGGCAACAGATTTCAGAAATGGTAGCAAAATAAAACCAGTATAATGTTGGGCATTGTGTCTCTCACCCAACTTAGCATTATCTATATTCAGTTGAGAGCAAACTTGGATCCAGTTTTCAGCCACAGCTACTCCTCTTGCCCTTTATTGTTTCATGTACAAGTTCTCACTGAAAAAAATATATATCCACAGCATAATCAGAATAGTTGTTACCGAAGAAAATGTAACAGGATGATATTTTTGGCGAATTGGCTTTAATGAGTTTTGAATGAATAGCTTAAAGTATTAGAAAGTAAAATTCAGGCCAGGTGCGGTGGCTTATACCTGTAATCCCAGCACTTTGGGAGACTGAGGCAGGTGGATCACCTGAGGCCAGGAGTTTGAGACCATTCTGGCCAGTATGATGAAACCCTGTCTCTACTAAAAATACAAAAATTAGCCAGGCATGGTGGCGCATCTGTAATTCCAGACACTCAGAAGTCAGAGGCAGCAGAATCGCTTGAACCTAGGAAGCAAAGGTTGCAGTGATCTGAGATCATACCACTGCACTCCAGCCTGGGTGACAGGGCAAGACTTTGTCTCAAAAAAAAAGTAGAATTCAGTGAACAAGAGTAAATAATTCAAGAAATTCAAGGTTGATAGCTATAAAAATGAAATTCCCTCCCTCCCTCCCTTCCTCCCTCCCTTCCTTCCTCCTCCCTTCCTCCCTCCCTCCCTTCCTCCTCCCTTCCTCCCTCCCTCCCTTCCTCCCTCCCTCCCTTCCTCCCTCCCTCCCTTCCTCCCTCCCTCCCTTCCTCCTCCCTCCCTTCCTCCCTCCCTCCCTTCCTCCTCCCTTCCTCCCTCCCTCCCTTCCTCCCTCCCTCCCTTCCTCCCTCCCTCCCTCCCTCCCTCCCTCCCTCCCTTCCTCCCTCCCTCCCTTCCTCCCTCCCTTCCTCCCTCCCTCCCTCCCTCACTTCCTCCCTCCCTTCCTCCCTCCCTCCCTTCCTCCCTCCCTCCCTTCCTCCCTCCCTCCCTCCCTCCCTTCCTCCCTCCCTTCCTCCCTCCCTCCCTTCCTCCCTCCCTCCCTTCCTCCCTCCCTTCCTCCCTCCCTTCCTCCCTCCCTCCCTTCCTCCCTCCCTCCCTCCCTCCCTTCCTCCCTCCCTCCCTCCCTCCCTTCCTCCCTCCCTTCCTCCCTCCATCCCTCCCTCCCTCACTTCCTCCCTCCCTTCCTTCCTCTCTTGCTCTTTCTCTTTCTCTCTTCCTTTCCCTCTTTCTCTCTGTCCCTCTTTCTTTTTTCTTCTTGTCTACTTCCTCTCCTTCCTCTCCTTCCTCTTCTTCTCTCTTTTCTCTCTCACTCTCTGTCTCTTCCTTCTTTCTCTTTCTTTGTACATGTATAATTTGAAGACCCTGCGCCAAGCAGTCTCTTGGAATTAGAAGCACCTTAAAATGAAAAAAATGTCTCGCCACTGTGACAAATCCACAGGCCTTGCAAGAAACCCTGCAGATCACTAACACACGGCCATAGGAATATATTGACTGCAGCCCAAGCACAGGAGAAGATTAATCAATCCAACAGACTTGCATTAATTGTGAAATGGAAGGGATGATGCGATCAATGATAGGAATGAAAGTGCAGCAGTAACGATGCCACATCCAGCTAATCCAATAATGGAGAAGCTGATGTATAGCATATTGGAATTCTACCGTCTGGGCACTTGTCACCATAAAGAATATCCTAGAATTATAGGGAAAAATTGAGCAGGCAGCAGTTGAGCCAACCTAATCAGCCTGATACCACAGTAGTTCTCTTGATTAAACACTAAATTAAGTGGCATTCAGCTCTGTAACCTGCTTGCCTTGTGAAAAATAATACTAGAGCTAACGTGAAAAGTTTGTATTTTAATCAAAGCAAACTACGAATATTAAAATATTCCTGGGCTATTTTGGTGCCGTTTAGCTGTGAACAAGTTTAATAATTTATAAATGGTTCTTTTGCCATTGGCTACAAGGAAAAAGGGTCCAAAGCTATATTGGGAGGTAAGGCTTCCTGTGCTAAAAATCAATTAGACTTGATAGAAGCTCAGAGAACTCTTAAGAAAAAAAAAATGCACTCAAGAGGCCCTGGGAGAATTCAAATTTAGTTAACTTCTATAACGGTTTGCCTAAGGGCATGAACTCTATTCTTTGCTGCAAAGCACGTGATCATTCCAGGAGGGGTGAGACTTAATCAGCTGTGAATACTATGAGGGTCCCTTATACATATATGTCATTATTAAGTCCTGAAGCTCAAATACACAGACAACCTAGAGCTAAATGGCAAATTCTCCAGGACCAAGAGAAAACTGCTTTTCATGAACATTTAGAGAACACTAGAGAAAGAACTTACATTGTGAGCATCAAACCCAGTCTGGTTAGACTTTCTGTACAGACTCTTACGCTAGGACACACACTGGTGAGATCTTGGTGATTATTATATGCATTGGCCAGTGAGACCTCTTAGAGTTGACCGAGTCCGTGAGCATCCGAGGGGCTAGATCTCTGGTGGCCAGTGAAGGAGATGTGGGTTGGAAAAGGAGGGAGAGACACTGATCACATCTCCCCTTTTTTTTTTGTTTGTTTGTTTCTTTTTTTGAGACAGAGTTTTTCTCTGTCACCCAGGCTAGAGTGTGGTGGAGTGATCTTGGATGACTTAAACCAATGGCTCTCTGGTACCGCCTCCTGGGTTCAAGAGATTCTCCTGCCTCAGCCTACCAAGTAGCTGGGATTACACTTGCATGCCACCACTGCCCGGCTGATTTTTGTATTTTTAGTAGAGACATGGTTTCTCCATGTTGGCCAGGCTGGTCTCAAACTCCTGGCCTCAAGTGATCTACCCATCTCTGCCTCTGCCTCCGCCTCCCAAAGTGCTGGGATTATAGGCATGAGCCACTGCTCCCGGCCCACATCTCTTTTCTTGAGCAGAAGATAGTGTGCTGATAAAGTTCTCCCACCAAAGTGAGTCTTAGCAGGGCCTTGGGCAAGAGGATAAATTAACTACTTAGGCTGTTCTTTCCTGTTATATTTTGTTTGTTGTTTGTTTGTTTTTATTTCAAGTCAATTTGTGGCCTTGCCTTTTAATTGAAAGCAAATTCATTTTTTTTTTTTTCCTGGGTGGGAAAGGGTCACTGAAAGAAGAGAGGCCATCAGGCTGTGTCTTACATAGTTGAAAAGTCAAAAACTGCAGACAGATTTGGATTTATTTGATTTCAATAATTAGCAGTCATTCGTGGAGTCCTCATACCATTCCAGGGCTGGTTCTAAGGGCTTTTGCAACATTAACTTATGTAATTCTTTTAATGATTCTGAGGTCAAGATGCTATCATCATTTTCACTTTGCAGAAGGAGAAACTGAAGCCCAGAAAGCTTAAGCAATTTGCCAAGGTCTTAAAGAGTGCAAGTGTGGCAGATGGGGATTGAAACCAGGCGGGCTGTTTGTTGCTATGTGTTTTTAAAACAGGTTGGGCCTTCCAAGTTGGATTTTTGTTTGTTTGTTTTTGTTGTGTGTGTTTGTTTGTTTTTGTTGTGCGTTTGTTTTGTTTTGTTTTGTTTGTTTTTTGAGACGAAGTCTTGCTTTGTCGCACAGGCTGGAGTGCAGTGGCATGATCTCGGCTCACTGCAAGCTCCGCATCCCGGGTTCACGCCATTATCCAGCCTCAGCCTTCAAAGTACCTGGGACTACAGGTGCCTGCCACCATGCTCGGCTAATTTTTTGTATTTTTAGTAGAGATGGGAGTTTCACCATGTTAGTCAGGATGGTCTCGATCTCCTGACCTCGTGATCCGCCTGCCTTGGCCTTCCAAAGTGCTGGGATTACAGGCGTGAGCCGCCGCACCGTGCCCCAAGTTGTTTTTGGACAGTGATATCAGTCATGAGAAATGGGAAGGAGTGGGATGCCTTTGGATGATGTTAGCTCAAGTGGTATTGCATGCTCTTCCACCCCATCTTCTGCACATTTCTCTCTGGAAATACGCCCTTCATTAATCCTCTGACATTGGCTAAGTAGATCATGATGTGGTGTTCTGATCAATGAGGTCTAGTCCAGTCACTGTAGGTCAAATCAGATTATCCAGACCTCCAAAATAATAAGTGGACTTTAGGTCAGACGTATGGAGTCACCAATGAGAAACAGCTTCAGAATCCATCCAGCAAAGATCTAGAATAATCATAGGATGAGACTATGATCACTATCATTTATTGACCATCACTGAATGCTGGGAGCTCTTGCGGGTGTTTTTGTTCAACTTGCTTAACTCATAACATCAGCAAGATGAAAGAAATTTTCCCAGTTTTAAAGATACAGGATCTGAGGCTGACAGACCAAATGTCTGGCAGGTGAGATCTCATAACTACTAGTGACAGACCTGGGACTGAATCAGGTCTCTTCAATTCCATCACCTTTTGTCTATGAAAGTACTCATCCTTCAGGTTTCTGAGGCCACATGGGTGTGTCATAGGCAAGGAGCCTTCAATCATAGATGACATGGAAAGTCGCATCTGTCTCATTTCCCAAGCCATGTTAATAACTGCCTGGAACAGACAGTGAGAAAAACAAGGACATTGGAACACCTTATTTCTGGTTTCCTTTCTCTCTTGTACAGTGTGATTTTTAAATGCTGCTAACAAAACATTGGAACAGAATTGTGCTCCAGAAAAAAATGAGATCCAACAGACCTTTCTTTATTATGGGACAATTAATTTTAAGCTGACTTTATCAGCAAAGGGAGGCCAGAGTGACTTGCTTTGTAATTGTTGGGAAGCTGTGCACACTGGATTAGAGGAGAAGTAATGTTTCCTTTCAAGTTTTGACCCATTTTAACAAACTGATATCTTAGTGTGTTCAGGCTGCCATAACAAAATGCCGTAGACTGGGTGGCTTGAACAAGAGCTATTTATTTTCCCATAGCTGGGGAGGCTGGAAGTTCAAGATCAGGGTGCCAAGATGGTCAGGTCCTGGTGGAGGCTCTCTTTGTGGTTGGCAGATGGCCACCTTCTCAATGTGTCTTCAGTGGCGTTTCCTCAGTGTGTACAGGTGGAGAGAGAGAGAAAGCAAGCCCTCTCTTTCTCTCCTTTTAAGGGCAGTAATCCCCTTATGAGGATCTTACTTTTATGATGTTATCTTCTCAAAAGTCCCATCTCCAAATGTCTTTAGACTGAGGGTTAGGGATTTCACATACAAATTTGTGGTGTAATGCTCTGATACTCATTGGCTTTGTGACTGAGATTGAGCCATTTAGTTCTCTAAGCATCCTTTCTTTGGTGAAAAAATGCTTGTAGTCCCTACTCACATAGGACTGCTGAGGTAATTCAATGAAGTAAGGTATGCTAGGAGCTTAACTCAGTGTTCTGCTCATGTTATACGTGCAATAAACATAAACCAGTCCCTCTCACTTGAAGGAAAAATTGCCCACTTTCTGACCCAGAGAACATGTGACAATGTCTGGAGACATGTTTGGTTGCTACGACTGGGAAGAGGATGCTACTCGCATCTAGCAGATGGAGTGAAGGCATGCCTCTAAATATCCTGCATTACACAGGACAGTCCCCAAAGCAAAGAATTGTCTGTATCAAAATGTTAGCAGTGCTGATGTTGAGAAACTCTGGTATAACCTATCATTGCAACACAACTACTAATGTTATATTACCTGGAATCAGGGAGGAGGGAGGATGCCATTAACAAATTATATAAAGTCTGTTTTTTAAGAGAGACTGTTTTTCTCTGTTGCCCAGGCTGGAGTGCACTGGCACAATCACTGCTCACTGCAGCCTCAAACTCCCAGGCTCAAGCAATCCTCTTATCTTAGCCTCCCAAGGAGGTGGAACTACAGGTGTGCACCAACATGCCCAGTTAATTTTTTAAAAACTTGTAGAAATGGGGTCTCACCATGTTACCCAGGTCATTCTTGAGCTCTTGATCTCCAAAAATCTTCCTGCCTCAGCCTCCCAAAGGGCTGGGATTACAGATTTGAGCCACGGCGCTTGGCTAAAATGCTATATACTCTATTCCGTACGTCAGTATTCTCACTAAAAGAAGGAAGAGTAGGTTTCAAGGAACTTGAGGATGAAATATGTAACAGTATTCACTCAGTATATTAAAAATAAATACACAATGTCATTGGAATGGCCGATTTATTGGGACAGGCAATTGTGTATGCAGAATAAATGCTCAAAAAGAACTGTCCAAGGTGCTGAAACTTTGACAAATGAAAATAACCTGTTCAAAATGATGTGTAAACTGAAGGTTTTGTTTGTTTTTGAAGTGGAGTCTCGCTCTGTCGCCCAGGCTGGAGTGTGCAGTGGCATGATTTTGGCTCACTACAATGTTAGCCTCCTGGGTTCAAGCAATCCTCCCACGTCAGCCTCCCTAGTAGCCAGGATTACAGTCATGCATCACCACGCCTGGCTTTTTTTTATTTTTATTTTTTTGTTTTTATTTTATTTTATTTTTTTTTAAAGTAGGGGTGGGGTTTTACCATGTTGGCCAGGCTGATCTCGAACTCCTGACCTCAGGTGATCCACTCTCCTCCCACAGTGCTAGGATTACAGTGATAAGCCTCCCAAAGTGCTAGAATTACAGGAGTGAGACACTGCACCCCGTCTTAAACTGAATTTTAAAGGGGATAACTGTCTTTGCAAAAATACATTTAAAAGGTTGGGAAAATATATTTTGGATTTGATTCTCAGTCTTTCAAGGTAATGGGAATGGAATCTTGAGTGAGAGAGAGTGGATGATAAACTAGAAGCCAAGTTCTTTACCAGGTTGTTTTTTCGAGATGGAGTCTCGCTCTGTCACCCAGGCTGGAGTGCAGTGGCACTGTCTCGGCTCACTGCAACCTCCGTCTCCAGGATTCAAGCACTTCTCCTGCATTAGCCTCCTGAGTAGCTGAGATTACAGGCATGTGCCACCACACCCGGCTAATTTTTTTGTATTTTTACTAGAGGCACTTTTGAACATATTGGCCAGGCTGGTCTCAAACTGCTGACGTTGTGATATACCCGCCTGGACCTCCCAAAGGGCTGGAATTACAGGTGTGAGCCACCGTGCTTAGCTTCTTTACCAGGTTCTATGCTTCCTGAATGCAGGGATTCTGTTTATCTTTTTCTTGCATTATGGAATAGCATAAACTTGGGGTCTGAGACAGAGTTAAGGGTCAGTTCATGTTCTCTTTTTCCTTTCTTCTTAGTCACTCTCAGTAGTCTGGATTTGTTGTGGTGACAGCAGCAGATGCATCCAGTGGCATTGTGAAGGCATTAGTATCATTATAGGCGCTGAGGCTATGGGTGAGCATATGGCCTGGGACTGCAAATCAGAAACTGCTCGCATTCCTGGGATTGTTCTTCTAGACTATGGAGTAGATCTGGAGCTTGGCTTCTTAGCCTTTTCTGGGCATCAGAACCACCTCAGAGTTGGCAAAAACAAAGAAACTTGAGCCGTATTATAGACTTATGGAATCTGAATCTTCTGGAGTATAAGGCACTGAGCAGGAAGTTTTGCTCATCAGTGTTCAGACAGAGGCTGGGGAGAGGAAAAAGTGTTTTTCCCTTCCCAAATCAAGCATCAATTAATTCTCAGGACTGCTTTGGATAGAAGGTTGTTCACATTATTCTGAGATTTTGGCTTATTTAAGAGCCTATTAGACACCATTTGTGGTTCATCTCCTCTTGTTTAAAAGGCTCTTTTGAGCAAACAAGAAGTATTTGAAATTTTTTTATGACTAGCGGTCTAGTTATTCACATTTCTATTATGTTCCATTCCATTCCCAATAATTCATTTTAATAACATTTTCTTTTTTTTTCTTAAAGATTTTTTTTTTCTGACTAATAACATTTTCTGATTTGGGTAGAAAGAAATATTATTCCACAATAAGCAATTGTGAAATACTAAATTTACTTGGCTTTAATTACATCTATAGAGGTAAGCAACGTGTTTCAGGGAAATCTAACTTCTCTTTGAAGGGTAAAGACCCAGTTAATTCATCATTTACCCATTATTTGGTGTGATAGGCAACACCAGTAGTTATTGCTGTGTGGTGATAGGGTTTCTTTCTTGGAAAGACTACACTTCCTAGTCACTCATTGCAGTTAAGTGAGACCATAAGGCTTGTTCTTGCCAATGAATTGTAGGCTTAGTAAAGTTCATCACTTCTGGGACAAAGCATGGAAGAGTGAGACACCACCAGACATGACCATCCCTTGCCGCGGTGAATTTGAAGTCCTTTGTTGAGATCAGGAAATCGCCATCAACATGTATCCCCAAGTAATTATGTGGAACGGGACCTGCCTCATCCCCAAGATCTGTCTCGGACATGTGGTAGATCCTTCTGCCATACTATTCAAACTGAAGACTGGGAGTTAATATGGTGTCATGGTATAAACTAGCCTATAGAGTTGAGTTTTAGAAGAAGCCTTTCGGATACTGAAAACAAGGCACTGAACTTAAATTCTGCAGACTGGATTTAAATCTGGGCTCATGTTTCTCACTTGTTTCGGGACGTAACCTAAGTCACTGAACTGCCGTGATAACAGACACAGCCACAGTGTATTCAGCACACCTATGTGCCAAGCATTGCACACAGCGTTTTGCATATATCATCTCACGTAATTCCTCCAGCCACACTTCCACTTGGGTAGACACGCCTCACTTGGTGGATGTGGAAACAGGCGTGATACACGATGCAAAACCAGAAAGTGGAAATGCTGAACTTGAAGTCACATGTGACTGATGCCTATTCCCGTATTTTTCTTTTTTCTAAAGTGGAGTTGATTAAACTGTCTACTTCACTGGGCCGTTTTAGGATGCTGTGAGCAGGGTAGGTGACAGGACGTGGTTACCCGCCAGGTGAGGTTATTGTGATTTGGTTTCGGCCAGCACTTGCTGCAGAGAACTTAAGACTGTTTCTTTTCTGGCTGTCACTTGACCCTGTGTACCAACCTTGAAATCCCTCACTGGCATTTTGGTAAATTTGTTTCATGTTTTTGTCCCATCAGTAGTAAAGGTTTCACCATTATTTTCATTTCCTGGTTGAGCGACCCTCTTTCTTTCATGACTTTTGGCTTCATCCTTCAGCCTCTTTCTCTTTTTTTATTGTTCCATGTTGCTGTGAGCAGAACTCATTTTTCAAAAGACAGATGGTGGCAACCCTGTTCTCTCTAAATAAAAAAGCAAAACAGCTGTTAAGGTGCAAACAGAGTCGCGGCCAGCAAATCGTATCTGCTTCAAGTGTTGGCGAAGTTTCCCTTCAGGGAATGGGAGCTATCTAAACAAAATGTGCAGCCTCGGCTGTGCTCTGCCAAGGCCCAAGTATAGAATGATGGCAAATAATGGAAATTTATAGTGTACTATAGATCCAGCACCTTTCTATCTTGGCGGGTGCATATTTAAATGCAGTGCTAACGGAGCTGAAATTTATGGCTCTCTAATAACGATAAAATGCCATCAGAGAATGAGATAAATCTTGGCCCCAAACCTTAGCATGCAACGCACACACTGACGCGCGCACACATGCTTGTAAAATATAGCCAGATACTGCTAACTCAGGAGTCTGCGTTTGGAAGAAGCCAACGGAACAGAGAAAGTAGAGGAAGTGTTTTATAGACGACTGCAAATTGTTGTTTTCATGAGGCTGGGGTCAAGGTACATTGTGGCCTCAGGTTGAAATGAGTGTTGCTTTGTCTCATGGCTGATACATGCTTGACCTTGGTGAGGGAAGCTTTTCCTTTTCTAGATGTTCAATAGCTTTTCTCTTCACGTTTTCACAACCCTGTGACAGGCCAACTTCCAAACAAACACTGATGAATTATCACCCTCTGGGAAAAGAACATCGTGGTGTGCTTAAGCGTTTTCTTCTGTTTGTTTATTTATTTATTTGTGCATTCATTCATTCAGAGAGAATTGGAGTCTTCGAGGCTTAGCAACAACAGAGAGATGAAAGACATTTACCAAAATGCTATATTTGCAAACTGTCGGCGACGTGTGAATTAGGTGTGCCCCCTTTCTCTACGGGCAGTTGTGGTCTTCAGGGAATGGAATTTTACAAAATATCATTTAGGAGGTTGTCATTCACGTTTGAAAACAGGCGTGGCCAGCTCCTCCAGCCAACCTGCATGTACACCCAGCTGTTTTCTCTCTGTGGAGCATCTAGGTCTTAGGAAGGGAAGCCCATCTGGAAATCTGTCTTAAGCCCTTGCTGAATTTCCACGAGCCGTGCATTCGTGGATCCTGCAAGTTAGTAACTACCTGAAGAAGGGGGCATTCTCTACTGGCTTGCATTCTAGGTGTTTCCTCCAGCTTCTCCTTATGCAAGGGGACTTCTAATATTTTGGGCGAGATGTTTAGTTTCAGTGAGAAGCCTAACCTCCGGGAGTTGTTTCAGGCCACCTCCATTAAGAGTTAGATACTTCTTTCTAGATGCTTCTTTATGCATAATTGTGTGTGCGTGGGTGTTCATGAATATTGTCTTAATTGCTCCTGTTTTTGAAATACAACGTCTAATCCAGTCTATCATTGATGGACATTTGGATTGGTTCCATGTCTTTGCTATTGTGATTAGTGCCGCAGTAAACATACATGTGCATGTGTCCTTATAGCAGCATAATTTATAATCCTTTGGGTATTTACCCAGTAATGGGATGACTGGGTCAAATGTTATTTCTAGTTCTAGATCCTTGAGGAATTGCCACACTGTGTTCCACAACATTAGGAGATATACCTAATGTAAATGACATGTTAATGGGTGCAGCACACCAACATGGCACCTGTATACACATGTAACAAACCTGCACGTTGTGCACATGTACCCTATACCTTAAAGTATTAAAAAAAAAAAAGAAGAAATACAACGTCTACAGATTAAAACCCACTCTAGGCCAGGTGCAGTGGCTGACGACTGTAATCTCAGCACATTGGGAGGCCAAAGTGGGAGGATCTCTTGAGCTCAGGAGTTCAAGACCAGCCTGGGCAACACAGTGAGACCTCGTCTCTACAAAAAAATTAAAAAGCAATAAATAAATAAATAAGCAAAGAAGAAGCAAAAAGAAAGCGTTCTTGTTCAGAACTGAAAAAAACTGTTCCTGGTTTCCTAGTTTTTAGAAGTGTGTGTGTGTGAGTGTGTGTATGTCTGTGTGTGTATGTGTAAAGACTGAGAGGTAATGATACTGATTGAGTTGAAAATAACCATTCCTTTGTAATATTTCTAAAATTTTTTAGGACACTAAATTATTTTATATAAAATTATATAATATTAGGTGGTTTGGTGTGTTTGCCTTGTTTAGGTTTTGTTAGGTTGGTGCTTGAGAAAAAAACAGGTAGATTTGGAAAATGCTGATGTTTAGGATGAAAAGGGATCCAATTTTTCATATAAAATGAATTCTTTGGAGTAAGACCTTTTAGCTGAGATTCATGGACTTCATGAAAGTATGTGTGTGTTTGTGTGAGTGGGAGAGAGAGAGTGGGAGAGTGCATTCATGCTGTTGTAGGTTTTGCTAAGAGATTTTGTACTTTTTGTTAAGTTGTCAAAAGCTCTCTTGTCTGAACCCCTGAGCCCATGGTCCTCTCTCTCCTCTTGTTTGTGCTGTGGATTTGCAGTTACTTTACAGTTCGAATGAATGATCTGTTCTGTGAATACGTAGTTTCATTTTACAGTTAGAATGATGTGATCAGGGCTGTGATTCCTAGGCTAGGCCATTACTGGGAAAGGTGTGACTTGGACCAGAAAAAAAGTAAGGAAGTGAATCTCATGCTAAAGAGAACAAGCTTGGTTTCAAACACTGCATGTTTATGGGCTTTGCCCACCAGGTTTAGCTTGTACAAGGAAATACCCACGCCCCAATTCCCATTAATCCTGAACATATGATTCTCTCTAGCTGTTCCACACCTCCCAATCTGTGGTCCAGCAATACTGACATTTTTGCGTGTGTTCCAACTAAACCCTGCTCTCTTTTACCTCCCAGCCTTTCCACATTTTGTTCTCTCCACCTGAAACTATATTCCCTTTCTTCTGGCTCTCTCTTTTTTTTTTTTTTCTCTGATGAAGTGCTGCTACCCTCAGGAAGGCGTCTGTAGTGTTTTCTAGATCAGCTTAGGTGAACCTTTCATGTCTTCCTGTAGCCTCCCCACTTCCATTGTCAAGGTATTTACTACAATTGTCATGTCTCAGGCCAGGTGCGGCGTACCCGGGGACTCTTTTATGCCATCTTTATACCTCTGTGTAAATCTAAAATATTTTCTTTTTTTTCTTTGTTTCTTTGTTTCTTTCTTTATTTCCTCTTTTTTTAGACAGAATCTTGCCCTGTTACCCAGGCTGGAGTGCAGAGGCACAGTCTTGGCTCACTGCAACCTCTGTCCGCCAGGTTCAAGTGATTCTCCTGCCTCAGCCTACGGAGTAGCTGGGATTACAGGCTGCCATGCCCAGCTACTTTTTTGTAGTTTTAGTAGAGATGAGGTTTCACCATGCTGGTGAGGCTGGTCTTGAACTCCTGATCTTGTCATCCACCTGCCTCAACCTCCCAAAGTGCTGGGATTTCAGGCGTCAGCCACCGCGCCCAGCCAATCTAAAATATTTTCAAAATATAATGTTTATGAAAATTAAATAAAATAAGGAATCTAGGTCAATATCTGTGTTTTATCAAAGCAACCAGAAGATCAGACATGTCCACATAAAGAGTGATGAACTTGTATTAACAGAAAAGGAAATGACATTGGACACTGTCTGTGTCATCACACTGCAGAGGGAAGAGGAAGAGGAGGAGGGAAATGTCCTTCCCTCTGAGAACCATGAGCTCAGTGAAATCCCTGCATTCCCACCCACATCCTTAATGTTCCCAGTATCCACCACCCTGACCGGCTTAAGTGAGCACTTAAGAATTTTTCTCGAGGCCAGTCTTGAAGGCTCATGCCTGTAATCCCAGAACTTTGCGATGCTAAGACAGGCAAATCGCTTGAGGCCAGGAGTTCTAGACCAGCATGGCCAACATGGTGAAATCCTGTCTCTACTTAAAAATACAAAAATTAGTTGGGCATAGTGGCAGGCATCTGTAATCCCAGCTACTGGGGAGGCTGAGGCAGGAGAATCGGTTGAACCTGGGAGGCAGAGGCTGCAGTGAGCCCAGGTCGTGCTACTGCACTCCAGCATGAGTGAGAGAGCAAGACTCTTTTTCAAAAAAATTGTTTTTTGTTGAATAAATGAATAAACGAAGCATCACAGGACAAGGGAAACTTGTCTCTTCTCAGTTAGTTGCTGAGTAAATTGTTGTTTCTTATGTGTTGCGTCGGCCCCCACCTCATTTGGTTACTACTTGAGTCCTCTTGGTTTCATTTTATTTTCTCTCTCTCTCTATATATATATATTTACTTTTTAATATTTAAAAACATTTTTGAATATTTTAGTATTTATGTTCTTATATATTTTAAAATATTTTTATTTTTAAATTTGTTTTATGTATGTTTTTTATATATTTGTATATATGTTTTATATATCAGTATTAATTTTTAATATAATTTATATTGTATATATTTTATATTAATATTTTATATAAATATTATATTTTATAAAATTTATAAAATTTTATAAAATTTTTATATTTATAAAATATATTATATTTTATAAAATATATAAAAGTAAAATATTTTATTTTTTATAAAATATAATATTTTATAAATTATATAAAAATTTTATTAAAATTTTTATTTCCCTCAGCCTATTTGCACAGACTGGATTAAGTGTCCATCATAGTATTTACCAAGCTTTTTGCACATAACAAAAATGACCCTAAAAACAAGAGTAACAGTTTTTATTTATTGAGCATGTACTATATACCAGGCATGCTTGAAAAGCCTTTATAGATTTATTTCTAATTCTTGAAGGTAGTTGGTATTATCTTCATTCTAAATTGCCAGAACCTTCTTTCTCTCTCTTTCTTTCTTTCTTTTCTTTCTTTCTTTCTTTTCTTTCTTTCTTTATTTTCTTTTCTTTCTTTCTTTTCTTTCTCTCTCTCTCTCCCTCCCCTTCCCCCTCCCCTTCCCCCTCCCCCTCTCCCTCCCCTTCCCTTCCCCCTCCCCTTCCCCTCCCCTTCCCCCTCCCCTTCCCCCTCCCCTTTCCTTTCCTTTCCTTTCCACAGGGTCTCACTGTGTCACCCAGATTGGAGTGTGGTGGAGCAATCTCCACTCACTGCAACCTCTGCCTCCTGGGTTATAAATGATCCTCCCACCTCAGCCTCCTGAGTAGCTGGGACTACAGACACACCCCTAATTTTTGTATTCTTTGGTAGAGACGGGATTTCACCATGTTGGCCAGGTTCGTCTTGAACTCAAGACATTAAGTGATCCACCCACCTCAGCCTCCCAAAGTGCTGGGATTGCAGGCATGAACCACCACTGCACCTGGCCGTGAACCCCATATTCTTAAAGATGGTAGAGCTGGGATTCGAAGTCAGGTCTGCTTAAACCCAGAGCATATCTTCATGCCCCACATTTCCCTCTGTCTCTCTGAGTTTATGGAGTTGGTTAGAAATGTCGTATTTCTTTTTCTTTCTTTATACTCCAGATTCCCTGTGAGGTCAGGAACTAGGCCTTTTTCATGATAACCCTAGTGAAGATCCTAATTTTGAAAACTTATCTAATATTTATTGGGAAGCTGTTGTGAGCCAAGCACTGCAGTAGGCTCTGGATATATTAGGCCCATCCCCGTATAGAGCTGACATGTAGCAGATGAAAGCAGAAAAAGAGAAAAAAAGGTAAGTAGGCAAAATGAGGAAAAACGAAGTCTTAGTATGGGCCAAACAGTTTCCTAATGTTTGGTATATTAGCTCATTTTATCCATGAGACAAGTTCTATTCTTATTGACCTGATTTTATATCCAAGGAAGCTGAGGGGCAGAGAATTTGAACAACTGCCTCCAATGTTCACACAGCTAGAATGCTGCAGAACTAGGGCTTGCACCCCATTGTCTCACTCTTGAGTCTTCATTCTTTATCACTAAATAGACACAGCCAGGAAGGAGGCAGAATGGGCAGTGAAATGCTTTTGCAGAAGTTGGCATTTAATGTGAAGGTTGAAAAATAAGAAGGAATGACCATTTGAAGTGTAGAGATAAGAGAATCCTATGCAAAAAGCCCAGCCAGTGCAAAGGCACTGAGGTAGGAGAGAGCTGAGTAAATTCAAAGAAAATAAAACACATAGTGGGAGGCTGCAGAAGGAGGGAGGTAATGACCATTATGAAATGAATGGGCTGGGCATGGTAGCTCATGACTATAATCCTATCACTTTGGGAGGCCAAGGCGGGTGGATTGCCTGAGGTCAGGAGTCCAAGACCAGACCGCATCTCTACTAAAAATACAAAAAGTTAGCTGGGAGTGGTGGTGCATGCCTGTAATCCCAGCTACTTGGGAGGCTGAGACAGGAGAATTGCTTGAACCCAGGAGGCAGAGGTTGCAGTGAGCCGAGATCATGTCATTGAATTCTAGCCTGGATGACAGAGTGAGACTCCATCTCAAAAAAAAAAAGAGAGAAATGAATGATGGGCTTGAGTTGGGTGGAGCACTTGATGCCAGGGCTTTAAGAACAGCCTGGCCAACATGGTGAAACTTCGTCTGTACTAAAAAAAAAAAAAAAAAAAAAAAAAAAAAATTAGCTTGCCATAGTGGTACATGACTATAATTTCAGCACTGGGAAGGCCCCAGTATACCTTGGAACTCCTCTGCCTAGGTTATCTCCCTTGTCTTAAATCAGAGATGGGTGTTACTTACTCTACAGTACACAGAAACAGGTATCACTTATCAATCCCTGTGTTCTTTTCCACTTAGCTCAAATACAGCCTCGGCATCCTTCTGAACACTCTGGAGTAGGCTGCCATTTTTAATCACCCAGATGTTAAATTTATTCATCATCCCTATATATATTTCCCACAGGATCAAAGTATATCGAGTTTGGAAAGGGAGTTGAAAACAAGGAAGACTCCCTGCTTTTGATTCCCATGAGGGCAATAGCTGTCACTCTCCTAGGGGATGTTTTGATAAGACAGCCACTTAGGTTTCTATATCCTCCTGATAACCGTATGTTGAAAAAGGATTTAAGAGGAAGGTCATAAAACCAGGGATTTCTTAACAGCAGGGTGTGGCTTGGCTTACTAAGAATATACTTGTGATGCATTTTAATGACATGCTTTATGTTATCATATTAAAGATTGTAAAAGCATCTAGTAATCATTTAATAAATATTAATGAAGCATTTACAAATTGCACCTTAATTTACAGCATTGGCACTCATATCGTGCTCTGGACATGAATGCACAGAGACATGGTGGCTTTGACAAAGACTACCATGGAGAGCCTGGTTCTGTGACATTGTGCCATCCTGGTACCATAAGTGATTTTTTAAAATAATAATTCTTGGAGGGCAGTTGAGTGCAATGAAGCTTGATGCCTAAAGCAGTTTTAGCAATTATTTTTCTGTTTGGGGAACATTAAAACATAATCTACCATGAATTTATAATCCATAGCTTCTCTCTCATGCACTTCTTAATAATAAGCAGTAGTTATAGGCCCTTGTGCAAAAATTCTTTGTAGATGTTAGGAGATACTTCCTCATTGTGTAAACACTGGGGCAGGTAAGGGATATATTGCAAGCGATAACTGTGGGGTCGCCACTCCCCTGCCACCATCTTTGTTTGATGCTTAGGGAGATCTCCTGTTCTTTGCAGGCACTTAGATACGAATGGAGGAGCCCCAGGCACAAATTCCTCAGCACTCTGTCCTGCTCTTGTTGCTGGACTTGATTGTCTTTCAGACAGTGCATTCAATGTTGAGTTCAGAGCCATTCCCTGCAATTCCCTCTGGACCCTGTTGGATGTTAACCACGATGGTTCTCACACGGGGCTGGGTGTCACGTGGCTCACAGAAAACTACAGATGGAAGGGCCTTAGAAGTCACCTGCTGCACTCCTCACTTTATAGAGGAGGACACTGAGGCCCAGAGAGGAACAGGACATTCACAGGCCACACACCAGGCAAGAAGCAGAGATGAAACTGTTACAGGCAAGGGGCTGGATCCCGACCCCAAGAGAGCGTTCTCAGATCTCCCGCAAGACAAGAGTTGAGGGCGTGTCTGTAGAGTGAAGCGAAAGTATGTTTATTAAGAATGTAGAGGAATAAAAGAATGTCCACTCCATAGACAGAACAGCCCTGAAGGCTGCTGCCTGCCCATTTTTATGGTTATTTCTTGATGATATGCTAAACAAGGGGTGAATTACTCATGTCTCCCCTTTTTAGACCATATAGGGTAACTCTGTGATGTTGCCATGGTGTTTGGAAACTATCATGGCGCTCGTGAGTATAGCAGTGAGGACGACCAGAGGTCCCTCTCAGGGCCATCTGGGTTTTGATGGGTTTTGGCTGGCTTCTTTACTGCAAACTGTTTTTATCAGCAAGGTCCTTATGACCTGTATTTTGTGCTGACCTCCTATTTTATCGTATGACTTAGAATGCCTAACCTTCTGGGAATGCATCCTAGTAGGTCTCAGCCTTGTTGTACCCAGCCCCTATGGAAGATGGAGTTGCTCTGGTTCAAACACCTCTGACAAAACCGGATCCCAAGACATAAGATTGTGCAGTGTGCATTTGCATGCTTCTCAGCCTCAGAGCTAAGGAGACCTGGGCATGTCCTGGGGGGGTTTTGGATAGAGGGGGGCACCTCTTCATCAGGGGTGCTGGAGAAGGCCTGGCCTGGCCTCTGGAGCCTGCCGCACTGCCAGTCAGGACATCCTAGCTGAGCAGGAGCCATGGGCGTCCCGGGGAATCCTAGGTACTGAGAGGAGATGGCCAGCAGATGGCGCTGCAGGGATTCAAACTGGAGCAGCCATATCTGACAGCAACCCCAGGTCAGGGATTCAAAGCTCCAGCAACCAGGATGAGCTGCTTAATAGTACAGGCCTGGACTTCAGGGATGCCTAGACCCCTCTCGGGAGCTCCCACCTGGCCTGGAAAGAGAGCCAGGTCTAGAATGGGCTGGTGCAGGTATCTGTAGACTGGTCATACTGGGTTTGGGATCAGACCCCAGACCAAGAAGGAACAAAGGGAAAACAAAAGGACTAGCGCAGCTGCTGTGTCCAGGCTGGGGTGCTTGCTATGTGGGCAGGACTATGGTCACAGGCCAGGGTGGAAATGGCAGCCAGAAGGCCTCCCTCTGCGTGGGGTCTCCCTTAAACCCAACTTCTTGGGGCCTACTCTGAGGACATCAAGACCGTCTCTTCTAGGAAGGCAAGAGGCCAACACCCATGAAGCTGCTGTTTTTCCTTTCCTGCTCCTGACTTGGAGGCGTGGAGATTGCCACCAGGCCATGTTTAATGTCTTTTAATTAACGGTTTAACTCGGGTATCCATGATGCAAGGGTTTTGCAAAGGAATTCAATCTAGTTTTCAAAATTGCAGAATTAAGTGGGTAAAGAACAGTTGAGGGCAGCACTTACATTTCTGAATATTTAGACTCTTTTTTTCTTCTTCTTTCATTTTTTTCACACTTCCAATCTGCCTCTTTTCTTCTTCTCTCTGTTTCTATCTCTCTCACACACATACACAATCACAGCTGCTTCATACGGCTTCTCCCCGTCCCCTCTCCTGGCAGCTGTGGCGTTTCTGCACAGAGGTGCAGGGAAGGAGGAAAGGCCTTGGGTCCCCTGGTCAGGATCCAGCTGAAACAACCAGAAATACTGTCCCTGTACCTCTCAGGTCGGGTGACTTACTGTGCCTCTGAACCCTCTTTCTTCCATACCTCCCCTACCCAATTCCGAGGCCTCAACTTTGTGCTGCCAGAGGGCACTATGCCACCTTTAAATGAGATTTAGAAAAAGTTTACACATGGCACCTGCTGATCTGGACATTCCAGTCGGCTTGCTGTATCTCCTAGTTGCAAGGGAGGGCTTTGCTTAGAGCAGCCTGTGCCCCGTAGGGTAATACCGGAGCTGGCGGCCTCCCAGGAAGGCTGCAAAGTGCTTGGGTGCTTTGCCCTCTCTGAAGCATACATCAGCACCCCTAAGGTTTAGCTGTGCTGCAGCCACAGCCCACACACTCCTCCATTCTCCCTGAACAATAGGACCCTTGCTGAGATAGTCTGGTAGGAGAGGGGAGGCTCTTTCCTGAACCCGTCTCTCCTAAACGCTTTCTATGCCTTAGAGTGCTAAGAACAGTCTACCCTCCTTACGAGACTGAGTGTTTCCTGAAGGCAGGAGCTGTATCTTATTGAACTCTCCAGCGCACAGAAAAAACTCATAAATATTTGTTCAACTAATAAACAAGTAAATGAATAGAGAGGATGAATAATCTTTTAGGGTAAGTTAATTACATCTATTTTATTTAAAATGCATTATAGAATTTTGTCTCTGTGCCAGGAACTGCTTAAAGTATTTTTTAGATATAATCTCATAGATGCCTAACAAAAACCCTGTAAGTTAGACACCCTTAACATCTCCTTTTTTCAGGTGGAATAGGAGAGGTACAGATTGGGTAGGTAACTTGCCCAAGGTCAGGCAGAGCCAGGATTCAAACTCAAGCAGTCTGGCTTCAGGGCTTTTTTTTCTAAATCACTCCCTGTGGTTTCTCTTAGTCTTAGACCAAGACTAATGTACTTAGAAATACCCAGCCAGGGAACAAGAATGCATAGAATTTAATCCCCCAAGCCCAACTTTCATTATTCAGCTTTCAAAAGACATGGCAGGGAAGGTTTCCAGACAGAAGAGGAATAGTCAGTTTGTTTTTAATTCACCAGTAAAACAAATAGACTTCTTTCCTTTTATATTTGTAACATACAGCTTGCATTTTTTTTTATTTTAAACAAGAAAAGGAAGAAATAAATGAGAAAGAAGGGAAGGAAGGTGGAGGAGGTGGGAGAGAGAAAGGAGAGGGAGGAGAGGGAAACCGGGAGAAAAAAAGAAGGGAGAAGAGAAGGGAGGAAGAAAAGAAGGGAAAAGAGAAGGAAGGAGGGAGAGAAGGGGAAGGAAAAGGAAGGAAGAAACAAGGGTGGAAGGACGAAAGGCAAGAAGGAAGGGAAGAAGGAGAAGGAAAGAAAGGAAGCCTTATTTAATCTCCAGCACAGAAAGTGTTCGCAGCCCTGAGAAACGTGGTTTCTCATTTGCCTGTTACTTGGCACAGTTTGACTGCCTAGAAGCCTGCAGAAATATTGGAAGTCAAGGTCCAATATAATAATTGGCTTACAGATTTGAAGAAGGATAGATAGACTCTTCCATTTCCAAGATTCATTAGTCCAGCTTTCTCCGTAATAGACAGGGCTTGCTCTACGTGTAAGCCATTTTCTAATCAAATTGGCACACAGTTCATGCTCTGACTTGGTATAAATGGGCTTCTGTGAAATTGCTCTGCCTGGGCTCAGGGCTGGAGTTAGATGGGATGGATTTTATCTCTCTGATGCTTGATCATCTTGGGCTCTGCATGGAGGAAACCTGTCTCTACTAAAAATATAAAATTAGCTGGGCGTGGTGGCTCATGCCTGTAATCCCAGCTCCTTGGGAGGCTGAGGCAGGAGAATCGCTTGAACCCGGGAGGCGGAGGTTGCAGTGAGCTGAGGTTGAAGCATTGCACTCCAACCTGGGCAATAAGAGTGAAACTCCCTCACACACACACACACACACACACACAAAAAAAAAAAAAAAAAAAAAAAAAATTGAACCACACATCATTGTGACTTCTATTTGTGAAATGTTCCCAAAGGATATTTGAAAATGTGAACCAACTGTGAATTATTGCAGGACTTGATATGCACAGGAAATGTAATAGGGACGTGGAGGTTCGTAATGTGAGTTTGGAAACCATGGAACATCCAAACATTGGCGATCAACAAAGCCAGCAGTATGTGGACAGCTTATGAGAAAAGGTGTGGGCATCGCTTGGATCTGAGTGGGAATCCAAGCTCTGCCACTCAGCTATGTGTTGCTAGGAAAGTTTGCAAGCATCTATGAAATAATGAAAGTTTAAATGACCATAGCAGCAAGCATGCTGTTTGGAAGACCAATCTCCAGATGAACTTAACTAACGGTTTCTAGTAATGCTAAGCATAAAACAGAAAAAAAAAAGCTATATATATATATATATATATATATATATATATATACACACACACACACACACACACACACACACACACACACACATATACGTATATATATATGTGTATATATGTATATATATACACATATATATACGTATACGTGTATATATACACATATGTATACGTATACGTATATATATACACACATATATATACGTATACGTATATATATACACACATATATATACGTATACGTATATATATACACATATATATATACGTATATGTATATATATATAAAATCAAGAAGAGCCAGAAGAGATTGGAAAGCTCTTTGGCCCTGATAGAAGAAAGCTGATGCGTCACACAGAAGAAACATGAGTCTTCAGTTCTTCTTTTGCTCTTGTCTTCTCTGTCAAGAAAAATCATCTTCAGTCAGGATGGAATAGAGTTTGGTTTAGGTGACAAAGTCAGTGTTGGTGAAGCAGAATGAAGAGAGTGCTAGCTCTTAAGAAATCTAATATTTTACCTGGACTAATATCTCCAAACAGGAGAGTAACTTGGACATGAGATCATTAAGTATCATTGACAATTTGTGGCAAAAAGCAGAAGGGTATGAGATTTGAAATGCGGAAATAGGATATTCTAATTTTCAAAACAGATGAAAGAAGCTGGGAGACTCTATAATTATAGGGTGGTAGCATCTCATGGTGTAACCACTATTAATGGTTCACTTGTTCAATGATTAAAGTCCCATGTGATCTGATCTTCACATGAATCTGGACATTATGAAAAGCATGGCTTGTGGATTTCTTGAAGATGAAAGAATGATAACTTGATTCTTATGTCCATTCATTGGGAATAATGAAGACCCAGCAAATGCCATTTCTTCTCACTAGAATGGGAGATTTGGAGAATGGGGTAGACACATGATGTGTGAATTCCAGCAAGACAGTCAACAAGGACACACTTTTCGGTCACGTGTGTGTGATCCCTTTATGGGAAAAGTGGAGGATGGTGGGATAGATAGTCAGAAAAGTATGTGGGAAAGTAAAACATTATTACAAATTGGTGCCAAAAATTATAATGAGTAGATTGGCCCATAACCCTGGTGGTTTTAATTGTAGTGATGTCATTGAGCTTTGTTCTGAGATATGTCCTGATGGCATTTTTTCTAAATGGTTGGATCATGATAGAGAAGGCTGTTCTTCAGTGACACAGATGGGATGGAGTGGAGTGCCTCTGTTTAATGGAGTCAGGACTTTCATACCCATTTTACAGATGAGGAAATGAGGCATATGAAATGTATTCATTTCCTAGCATTGCCATAAGTTAACGCCAACTGGATGGCTTTAAAACAACAGAAGTTTATTCATTCAAGGTTCTGGAGGCCACAAGTCTGAAATCAAAATGTCAGCAAGGCCAAGTTCCTTCTGAAGGCTCTAGGGTAGAATCCTTCCTTCCTTCTCCCACCTTCCAGTGGCTCCAGGCGTTCCTTGGTTTGTGGCCACATCACTCTAGTCTCTGCCTCTGTCTTCACATGCTATTGTCTTTGTTTCTCTGTGTGTTCTTTGCTATTTCGTATGTGGACACTCCCTTTGGATCTAGGACCTACTCTAATCTACTATGATTTTCTCTTGATCCTTACCTTATTTACATCTGTAAAGACTGTATTTCCAAATAAGGCCACATTCTGAGGTTCTGGGTGGACCTGAATTTGAAGAGACACTATTCAACCCATTATACAAAGTTATGGGGTCTAATTAAGGCCCTCAAATAAGAGGCAGGTCCAGGACTTGACTTCATCCGTGTCTGACTCTAAACCACACATTTTTTCTTTTGTCTTAGGGGAGATAAGGATAGGGAAATGAATCCAATCCTTGTCATTTGACAAAGAGTGGAAGGGAATGTGGGTATTTATCTTGGAAATAAAATGATCAAGAAAGGACATGGGGTGTGTGGAGCAGAATGATCCTGCAGAAAGAGGACCTTTATGACCTAGTTGGTTTGGGATGGGAGATGGTGTATGATGCTGATGCTGCTTCTTCCAAGGAGGGTAGCCAGGGTTGTAAGTAAGACTGTAGACTGGGTGGAGAGGAAGCAACTGCAGGTATGCTGCAGGATAGTGGCTACAGCTTTGCATGTAGAGAGTCAGCAATGCCTTACAGTTAAGAAAATAAAGCTAAGCTTGGCTGCCTGGCCTGGAATCCTGACTCCTCTATTTACTCATGATGTCAACTTTGGCAGGTTGTTTAACCTTTGTGACTACACTGTAGAGATAAAAGCAGTATCATGGCTGGGTGCTATGGCTCATACCTGTAATCTCAGCACTTTGGGAGGCCGAGGCAGGTGGATCACTTGAGGTCAGGATTTCAAGACCAGCCTGGCTAACATGGTGAAACCCCGTCTCTACTAAAAATACAAAAATTAGCTAGGCATGGTGGCACATGCCTGTAGTTCTGGCTACTTGGGAGGCTGAGGCAGGAGAATCACTTGAACCCGTAAGGTGGAGGCTGCAGTGAGCCAAGCCAAGATCATGCCACTGCACTCCAGCCGAGGCAACAGAGTGAGACCCTGCCTAAAAAAAAAAGAAAGAAAAGAAAAGAAAGGCAATGTCAACGACATCGGGCAGATGTGATGAATAATTTTGATGGGATTGGCGAGATAATCCAGTACTTTATAAATGCTACCTATTGTGATTTTTAAAATACTATACTCTGTGCCCTCAAACAACATCCCGTGTTTTACCCACTGCAGAGAAGATGCAGATGGCTTGTGTCTCATGGGGCCTGGCTCACATGTAAGCCAACGTGGTCCTTGCTGGCCTGCTGGACACACAGGGAGCTCCACTACCTTGCCTTCTAACTGATCTCTCCCTGATCAGTATAATTACGGAGGCCCTGCTTTCTTCCAGCAGCCAAATTGTTGGGATGGACTTCCTCGTTATTTGAAGCATTTGTTACTGAAGTTAGTATGGCCTCCTGGCTTTGCTCACATCTGGGAAAGAAAGTCGATTCTCCTTTGTATTTAGTGGCTTGGAAGCTGCCAGCAACTTTCGGATGGCCGTAGTGTCCCCTCTTGAGAATCAGAGAATTTCATTATTATTTTTAAAAATCTTATCTTGGCGGGGTGCGGTGGCCCACACCTGTAATCCCAGTTCTTTGGGAGGCCAAGGCGGGCGGATCGCTTGAGGTCAGGAGTTCGAGACCAGACTGACCAACATGGTGAAACCCCATCTCTACTAAAAAAACAAAAACAAAAACAAAACAAAAAAATTTAGCTGGGTGTGGTGGGAGGAGCCTGTAGTCCTAGCTACTTGGGAGGCTGAG
Organism: Homo sapiens; assembly: GCF_000001405.40. NCBI lineage: Eukaryota > Metazoa > Chordata > Mammalia > Primates > Hominidae > Homo > Homo sapiens. The sequence goes on from NC_000016.10 coordinate 7,032,349, forward strand.
GCACAAGAATTGCTTGAACCCAGGAGGTGGAGGTTGCAGTGAGCTGAGATCCCAGTGCACTCCAATCTGGGCAATAGAGCAAGACTTCATCTCAAAAAACAAACAAATAAATAAATAAATAATAAAAATCCCATCTTAATTTTTTAAAGGAAAAAAATAAAACCTATGGTCATGAGCAAATTACAGATCAGCTAAATCTTATGTGGGAACATCTCCCCATCTACAGCTATTTCTGTTTGTTTGTTTGTTTGTTTGTTTGTTTTGCTAGACGAGTATTTTCCCTCCTCAAGCTAATTGCTTGATGGAATTAAAGACGATAATCTCTAATAATTCCAGTGAACACATGGTTCATTTTCAGGTAGTTTTATCCTCGAATTTCACTTGTTATTTTGTTGTCGGTGGCAAATTTTCCTTTTACCCTCTATGAGACACCCCCGCCTTGGGTCTACCTGAACTAAAAATGCGTTTGGTGTCTCCAGGCTCATGGCATAGCCACTCTGGGAAACTTGTCTAACTTCCAGATTCTCAAATTTCTGCAGCTGAGAGCATGTCTCTCTTTTGGGAAGGAGGCTTTTCCTGGCTGGTGGGAGAACAGCTTCAATTTGGGAGACAGTGTGAGTCAGCAGGAATAACGCTAAATGGCTGGAAATCAGCTCAGCAAAAATAGCAGGAGCACCTACTGTGTAGAGACTGTCCACTAGCCCTGTCTTCAGAAGGCAAGAAAGGAATGCCAACTCTCTCCTCTTGGGCTGAGTGGGGAGATGAGACAGGGCAGGGAAGAAGGAAAGTGCAGTAAGCAGGTTCTGATGACGAGGCGGTAAAGGTGTTGATTTTAGGGATTATAGGGAGACCACCCGTGCCTTACCTCCTCCTTAAAAGTCCAAAAACAGGACGGGCACAGTGGGTCACGCCTGTAATCCTAGAACTTTGGGAGGCCGAGGCGGGCAGATCACCCGAGGCCAGGAGTTTGAGACCAGCCTGGCTGACATGGTGAAACCCCGTCTCTACTAAAAATACAAAAATTAGCCAGATGTGATGGCACATGCCTGTAATCCCAGCTACTTGGGAGGCTGAGGCAGGAGATTCGCTTGATCCCGGGAGGCGGAGGTTGCAGTGAGCCAAGATTGCGCCACTGCAGTCCAGCCTAGGGGATAGAGGGAGACTCAGTCTCAAAAACTGAAAACAATGGTGAATGTGAACGTCCTTTAAGAGGACAGAGCTGATCATCATGGGTGATATGCTTAGGATAACTTTAAAGACACAGAATGGCTCCCTGTGGGGCAACTTAACAGAAACAAAAGCAGATGAGGAAGGGAGGCTGGGATGGGGCTTGGTTCCCTATTGAACAGTAGAAAGACATTTTGTCCGGGCGTGGCGACTTATGCCTGTAATCCCAGCACTTTGGGAGCGTGAGCTGGGGACCAGCCTGAGTAACATAGCAAAACCTCATCTCTACTAAAAATAAAACAAATTAGCCCACTAGAGTGGCATCTGCCTGTGGGCCCAGCTACTCAGGAGGCTGGGGCAGGAGGATTATTTGAGCCTGGGAAGTTCAAGCTGCAGTGAGCTATGATTGCACTGCTGCATTTCAGGCTGGGTGACCAAGCAAGACCCTGTCTAAAATGTCTAAAATAAAATAATAAAGGCATTTAATTCAATACTTAGTGAATACTTGGATTTCTCTCCATTGCGGAGATGAGGTAGGTATGGCAGGGGATGGGGACGCGGTGGTGCAGGTGTCCATGCCATGGCTTAAGTGCCATCCCTGGAGCAACAGGACGTTGTCTGAGTGATTCTCATTGCTGGTTCTGGATTCAAATAGCCTGGGTTTGACTCCTGGCTCTGGTTTTTCCTAACTTGGGGCACCTTGTTTAGCCTCTCTCCATCTCAGTGCTCTCATCTGTTCAAGGGGATAATGATAATGACAGTATCTACTGGGTAAGGTCCCTGTAAGAAGTCACTGTAGGATGAAGGCAGAAAGCTAGATCATGCCTGGTAATGACCAGGTTGGTGCTGGAGGAGAGGGGGCTGAGGTTGGAGATCATCAATGCACCAGGGGTCTCGGGATGATGAAGAGAGTCGCTGCCCTCTGCTTCTTCCCCCTTCTTCCTTGCTGGGCTCCAGCTGGCTGAAAGTGTATGACCATCTATCTCTAGGGCACTTCAGAAAGATGGATGGGAAGTGGGAAGAGGGGATGAGGCTGCCTAGAGAGCCTTGAAATTTTAACTTCTGTGAAATATCCAGAGAAGATCCCTGGCAATGTTTTTGTGTCTATCTCATTGAAGACACATCAGTGAGGCTAGCAGAGGGCCCTCTTTATTGGGGAGCAGAACAGGAGACATTCGCCTTTCAGTGAGGACACCTCACATCAGTGCCCCTGTAGATTTATTGTGAATTACCTGGGGTTTGGGGGAGGGGTCTCAGAAAATGCAATTTCTAATTCACTTGGTCTGGGGTGGAGTCTAAGATATTGCATTACTTTTTTTTTTTTTCTTTTTTCTTTTTTTTTTTTTTTTTTGAGATGGAGTCCTGCTCTGTTGCCCAGGCTGGAGTGCAGTGGCGTGATCTCTGTTCACTGCAACCTCTGCCTCCCCGGTTCTATCGATTCTCATTCCTCAGCCTCTGAGTAGCTGGGCCTACAGGTGCCCACCACCATGCCTGGCTAATTTTTGTATTTTTATTAGAGACAGGGTTTTACATTGTTGGCCAGGGTGGTCTCAAACTTGTGGCCTCAGGTGATCCACCCGTCTTGGCCTCCCAAAGTGCTGGGATTACAGGTGTGAGCCGCTGCACCGGGCCTCTGAGACAGTGCATTTGTAATGAGTTTCCAGGTGATGCCAACGCTGTTGGTCCTCAGTCTCACTTTGAGTGTTAAGATCCTGCAGGATACTCCAAGTGAGAACTGTACTTGGGATTCCGCACCCTCCCCTTCATTCCTCACCCAGGCTTGCCCATTTGACTGTGGTGCTGGCCCATTTATCCTAGTTAAAGGGTTCCACAGTTCCCTGTGATTATCCCTCATGATACGGATCACGTTATACACTTAAATTAAATAAAATGCACCCTATCGAATGCACTGCACACAAAAAGAATATTTATTTGAATATTAAGTACAGATAAGACTTCCCCTGGGATTATTTCAGAGCGCATTTGCAGAATTTAATTGCAATATTTTCCCACTCAGTTTCTTTCTGAACGCTACTTGTGAAAATATTTTCTTTCTGAAGGTAAAGCTCTGCGTTGTTGGTTTATTATTATTATTATTTTAAATCTGAAGAGCTCTCTGAGCTCGGTCATTACTTCCAGTGTCTAATTAATCCTGATGATGATAAAGTAAACAGCCAGGTGACCTAGATTTTCCTTTTAAATTGCTAGCAATTAACATGAATGCCTGCTCATTGTTGCAGAACTTTTGGGAATCTAGTCCTTCCAGTTAGGATTCCTTAAGTTGGGGGTTTTAAGAGTTCATTTTGTGTGAAGCATATGTCTTCCAGCACTCCTTCCATTAAGCTTTCCAGGAAGAATGTGAACACAGACACACACACACACACATATACAGAGCAACAGTCACCACCACCACCCAGCCAACCCTTTCAGACAACTGAACTGGAAAATTAGAAAATGAATACTCCTCAAGTTTCTCAAGCTACAGAATCCTTCCCATTTCTTAAATAATGACATTTTGTAAAGTCATAGAAATCAGCAATAGAAAAGACCTCTTGTGTAAAGATCTCTTCAGATGCGAAAGTCAGAATAGCATGGAAAGACAGCCTGGGGATGTCCACCTTGGGTGCCTTCTATCCCTATTTCCTTGTCTGGAGAATTGGTCCCATGGGACTTAGTTCACCTTGACATTTTTTTTTTTTTCCATGACAGCCTTGTAGTTGTTACATGATTTATTTCTTTTGACATTCTCTACAATGTGTAGATGTGGATTTACAGTGTCCCATCCTAAAACTTTCAGAAGCAGTAGCCAATTTTTCACAATCTTGGTTTTCTACCGCTGTGTTATAGGAAAGGGGTCCCAATGCAGATCCCCAGATAGGGTTCTTGGATCTCCCTCAAGAAAGAATTCAGGGCGGCCGGGCGTGGTGGCTCACGCTTGTAATCTCAATACTTTGGGAGGCTGAGGCAGGCGGATTACAAGGGCAGGAGTTTGAGACCAGCCTGGGTGTCTGTACTAAAATTAGAAAAATTAGCTGGATACTGTGGCGGCTGCCCATAATCCCAACTATTCGGGAGGCTGAGGCTGGAGAATCGCTTGAAACCGTAAGGCGGAGGTTGCAGTGAACCGAAATCGTGCCACTGCACTCCAGCCTCGTCGAAAGAGCAAAACTCCGTCTCAAAAACAAACAAACAAACAAAAAAAACAAAAAACAAACAAAGAAAAAAAAAAAGAAAGAATTCAGGGAAGTCCATAGAGTAAAGTGAAAGCAAGTTTATTAAGAAAGTAGGGGAATAAGAATGGCTAGTTCATAGACAGAGTGGATGAAGGGCAGAGGAGCCCCTCATCAGAGTGGATGATGAGCCCCTTGGGGCTGCTTGTTTCCCATTTTTATGGTTATTTCTTGATGACATGCTAAACAAGGAGTAGATTATTCATGCTTCCCCTTTTTAGATCATACAGGGTAACTTCCTGACGTTGCCATGGCATTTATAAACTGTCATGGTGCCAGTGGGAGTGTGGCAGTGAGGACAACCAGAGGTCACCTTCGTCACCATCTTGGTTTTGGTGGGTTTTGGCTGGCTTCTTTACTGCAAACTGTTCTATCAGCAAGGTCCTTACGACCTGTATCTTGTCTTGTGCTGACCTCCTATCTTATCCTGTGACTTAGAATGCCTTAGCCATCTGGGAATGCAGCCCAGTAGGTCTTAGCCTCTTTTTTTTTTTTTTTTTTTTTTTTTTTTGAGATGGAGTTTTGCTCTTGTTGCCCAGGCTGGAGTGTGCACCGGCACAATCTTGGCTCACCATAACCTCCACTTCCCAGGTTCAAGAGCTTCTCCTGCCTCAGCCTCCCAAGTAGCTGGGATTATAGGCATACACCACCATGCCAGAGGTCTTAGCTTCATTTTACCCAGCCCCTATTCAAGATGGAGTTGCTCTGGTTCATAAACCTCTGACAATTGTGATGCTGTCTGCTAAATATCTAAGGAAACAGTGAGGCACGTCCAGTCCACTGTCAACTTATGAAAAGAAGAAATCACAACAACAACAACAAATGGACTACTGAATTCAGTTTACTTTCTTGTAGTGAAAAGGCACGTTATATAGTGCTTTCCGTGTGATAGGCACTCTTCTAATTGCTTTGCAAATATTAACTCATTCAAATCATGTGATGACCCTGTGGGGCACATGGGTAGACCCAGGCAAGGAATTTGTTCAAGGTCTGTAAGCTAATAAGGAGTTGAGTTGAGCTTTGAACCTTGGAAGTCTGGCTTTCGATTTTGTTCTCTGAACCACTGCATTTTAGATGCCTCTCAAATGTCTCTCAGTTAATATGATCAAGATGACTGCCCAGATAAGGCCATGGCCTGTGTGTCTCTGCTGAATCTATTTAATTGGGATGCAGATTATAAAATTATCAACTTCTGATAAAATTATTATTAGAGCTCTGTAATATCCAATGAGAAAGAAAAAAAATTACAGTTAAAACATCTTAACTTGAAAATGTCTTGAGAACATATATTCTATCCCAGTAGAGAGATTCAAATGGTATGTAAATCCCCCACTTGCCCTCCCCTCCACACTCTTTCCCACCTCTGGATGTAGAGAGGGGGATGATGGGAAAATCTTCGCTGAGATGCTCATTCTACACAGAGTTTCCTGGCTATAGGGTAACGATGGTCCCAGGAGACCGGTTCAGGGAAGCATGCCAAGCCCTTTTAGTTACCCAGGACATTTTGGTGAGTATTGCTTGAATTTTCTTAGACTGAGCAAGGGTTTGGGATGGGATGGGGTTGAAGGAGGGCAATTATAACCCTTGATCATGAGGGAAAGAAATGGTGATTGCTTTCGCTGCTGAAACAAATAGAAATCATCTTTGTAATAACTGCAATTGTTTTCTCCAGCCCTCCTCTGCCTTGGTTCACAAAATACCTTATTAAATCTGGAGAATAAAAATGTACCTGGGGTAATGGTTTATTATTAGAATAAATAATAGGCAATATGTTTCTTCCACCCTGCAAGGTATCAGATGCCAAGACATTTCGTGGTTTAGCTTGTAAAGGTGCTTACATGTGTCAGACCAGCCAGGCTCTTCATGGCCAGGGGCTGCCCTTTCATTTCAAGACCAGCATCAAGCCTGAAGTGAACAACTCCACGAGACTGCATTCTTGCAGAAAGCAGATGTGGGAGGCCGAAGGGGATATTGGCCACGTGCTGCCTGGGGCTGCCATGTCTTGCTCAATGTTTGTCTGTCTGATTAATCTGTCTGGACCTGGGGGACTTCTTTTGTTGATAATGGGGTCTTTACCAAGAGGGTGCATGGCAGAGCAAGTGTGAAAAGCACTTCCTCCCAAGAAAACACCTCATTAAAACGTGTAATTTGAGGTTTGTTCAAATTCTGTGGGCATCCTGACCTCTGACATCCCTTTAATCAGATAACCAACACTTGAATCTCTCCAGTGACTTATAGCCAGAGCAGTGACTCTCTTGATATAAGTACCATTATTACCAAACAATATGATGTTTAAAGGAATATCAGAAGTGCTCACTAAATGTGTTGTCCTGCCTGGGAGATAGCACCCCATAGGTCATTCGAGTGCTAAGAATACTAAGTGTTTTGAGATTTTAGGATATGCTCCATAAAGTATTCCCGAGGACTCTTAGCCATAAATTAAATATGTTAGAGCTTTCAGCATTTGGGTTTATTGTGCAAGTTTACGTATAACAACAAATCCATTATTATTTTTTCTACTTAGTACTTAGCCTTGACAAGCTCTTTCGTCCGTCTCCCTTGACCCTCCAAAGCTGGCATCCTTTCAAAACCAGACAAGATTTTTACAGCAGATAATGGTCTTCCCCAAGGTTAAGAGGAAAACATCGTGGGAGAGCTGGGTGTGTTCTCCAAGCTATTTTCTCAAGTGTATTTTGTTCGTTTATGCAACATGAGACAGAATCAAGTTCATTAATCATGGCTGACTTGAGTCATTGTTGTGACTTTTTGTTTTTACTTTTTTAATTGATTATTTCTCACCTCCTTTCCTGAAACCTAAGCATTTACTAGTGTAACACACTTTTGTTCTTCCTTGTGACAAAAAGTAACAACCGCCATGACCGGTGGTGGGATCTGTATTTGCTTATCTGACATAAACTATCCTGTCTTCTTAGAATCAGAGGACACACTTTATTGTGTGATACACTTGCAAGAAGCAGTGGGTATGATTACAACCATACGTCGGATTATAGGACTGTATTATGTTCAAAGATTTCAGGCCTTTATAAACTCAGGTATCTAATAAACATTACACATGAGACCCTAGAAGCAGACGAGGCAAAGCGACCTCTCTCTTTTTATTTTCTGTTTGTACTTTTACTTTCCTACTGAAGAGAATCCACACAAAAATACTTATGTCCCTGCAGAATTGGAGCTTTTGTTTTGTTTTTCAAGATAGCCACCCTACATTTACTCTTTTGGTGCTATGGGGAGTTATTTTATTATTATTATTATTATCATTATTATTATTATTTTGAGACAAAGTCTTGCTCTGTCACCAGGTTGGAGTGCAGTGACATGATCTCAGCTCACTGCAACCTCTGCCTCCCAGGTTCAAGCAATTCTCCTGCCTCAGCCTCCCGAGTAGCTGGGACTACAGGTGCCCGCCACCATGCTAGCTAGTTTTCTGTATTTTTAGTAGAGACGGGGTTTCACCATGTTGGCCAGGATGGTCTCGATCTCTTGACCTCATGGTCCTCCTGCCTCAGCCTCCCAAAGTGCTGGGATTGCAGGTGTGAGCCACCGTGCCCGGCTGAGTTATTTTATAGCCACCATTAATCACATACTTACTATGTGCCAGGCCAGATTTGGCTTTGATGCTCTACAAATAACATCTCATTTAATTATTACAATAACCATATAACTCAGGCATTTAAATTATATTATTATTGCTGCTCTTAGTATGAATTTATAAAACTGATGCATGCTCATTGCAATAAGTTGAAGTGATATAACAGAATCCAAGATTAAAAATGAGAAAACCTGCTTCTCTGTCCCTTCTTCTCCACTATTGGTCTGGTTCCCAGGACATCATTTTTCTGCTTTTGTCTGAAGTTTGTTGTTTATCATTCCAGACTTTTTTCCAGGTATAAATGGATATTTTTCTGTGTGTGTACCTTGTGTGTGTGCATAGTTTTTTATACACAAATGGATTATAGGTTAAAAATGATTTTAACTTGCTTTTGTTTTATTTTGTCATAGACATCATTCCTGAAATCATTCATTTTCTAATGGATTCATAATATTCCGTAGTATAGGTCAAAGTTTGGCAAATTGTGGCCATGGGCCAAAGACAGCTCACTGCGTGATTCTGTAAATAAAGTTTTTTTTTTGTTTTGTTTTTTTGTTTTTTTGTTTTTTTGCTGGGGGGGGAAGGAGTCTTGCTCTGTCCCCCAGGCTGGAGTGCAATGATGCAATCTCTGCTCATTGCAACGTCCACCTCCTGGGTTCAAGCGATTCTCCTGCCTCAGCCCCCTGAGTAGCTGGGATTACAGGCAAGTGCCAACACGCCCAGCTAATTTTTTTTTTTTTTTTTTTTTTTTTGTATTTTTAGTAAATACGGGGTTTCACCATGTTGGTCAGGCTGGTGTCGAACATCTGACCTCATGATCCACCCGCCTTGTCCTCCCAAAGTGCTGGGATTACAGGTGTGAGCCACCACATCCAACCCTGTAAATAAAATTTTATTGGAACACAGTGGCACCCATTTGTTTACACGTTGTCAGTGGCTGCTTTTCCACCATAATGGGAGAACCGAGTAGCTGCAACAAAGACAAGAGAGTCTGTGGCTCTCAAAGGGCAATGCATTTCCTATTTGGCTCTTAGGAGAAAAAGTTTTTCAATTCCTAATGTAGATGAACCACAATTCTTTTAACCATTTCATTACTTGTGGACATTGGCATTCTTCTCAGTTCTGGGTCTGTTCTGTGACAAGCGCTGTCCTTACTTCCTCATTCGCCGTTGCACTCTGGTAAAGTGATTCCTAGAATACTAACCATTGAATTAAAGGAAATGGAAGTTCTACATAGTGATAACTGCCAGCTGCCCCCTCGAAACAGTCAGTACCAATTTACCACCCTTCTTAAAAAGATAATATCAAACCTTTCGAAAGGAATCTGATGCTACAAAAGTGTCATTAATTTAGCCAAATTCACAAGGCCTCTTGGGGAACAAAGCCAGGATTTGGACCCAAGTCATTTGACCCAGTGCTTCTTGTGAAAACCTCCTGTGTCATTAATTTGAATACCAATTGCTGGTATTTGCTGAATTTTTAAATGTGTTAAGTGCTTTGCTTAGTAATTCTTATAGATTATGCTCACAATAAAATTAGACACTTTGCAGGTACCATATTATCTCTATGGTACAAATGGGGAAATTGCCTGCAGAGATTATATAATATGGCTAACGTTACTTAGGAGATGTTCAAGGACTGGACTTCCTTAGTCTGATTCCTTAACCTCCAGTCTCCATTGGGGAGAAAACTGGATCTACAGAAGGGCCCAGTGCTTTGATATCAGAGAAATCTAATTTGGTGGAAATTATACTGGTTCTTACCTCAATAAGCCAAGTTTGGAAATTTATGTGTTTTATGGAACTAGACAACACTAGCTAGTCGGTGCATGTCTTGTTTTAGAGAAACACAAGTGTGTAAACAGCATCTTGTCAGGGCACAGTAGCTAATGAGCACCTGCTAAGGACAAGTGAGGCGCAGATTGGGGAGGAGGGCTAACAGTGTAGGTATCCATGGTTTTGTTTGGTTTACCTGACCCTGGAAACTGTGTACAATGGTGATTCAGAGAGGAAACCTAGTCAACCCATCCAGATGGTAATTCCCTCTTGAATATTTCCTATCTTTACGGTTTTAGGAATTCACTCACTCTGTGCCTCAGTTTTTCCACCTGTAAAATGGAGCTAAAATCAAATCAGCTAATGAAATCAATTGTCAGCTGCTTACAAAGTTCTGAGAATTAACTAAGCTTATAACTAGGAACTGTTTAGCACATTTTATGACATATTACAAACATTGGATACATTTTAACGAATGTTAGTGTGCAATTTATTTCAGCAAAAAGTGATTAAGGCCAGGTGCAGTGGCTTGCGCCTGTAATGCCAGCAGTTTGGGAGGCCCAGGCGGGCGGATCATTTGAGGTCAGGAGTTCAAGACCAGCCTGGCCAACATGGCAAAACTCCATCTCTGCTACAAATGCAAAAATTAGCCGGGTGTGGTGGCGCTCACCTGGAATCCCAGGTACTCGGGAGGCTGAGGCAGGAGAATCACTTGAACCTGGGAGGTGGAGGTTTCAGTGAGCTGAGATTGCGCCACTGCACTCCAGCCTGGGTGACAGAGGAAGACTTTGTTTCAAAAATAAATAAATAAATAAAGTGATTAAAACAATTACTTTCCTAGCAGCATAGTTAAAATTGAGCAAAACCTAAATATTTTGCAATCCCAAAGTTCCTTCGCTTCCATCCTCCACCCCCCACAATCTCCCTGACTTTATCCTGCTTTTGACTGTGCCATTCACGGTATCTTGTTTCTGTATCCTTGGGGAGGTCCTCCCGCCCAACTCCTATTTACTCAGTAAGGGTTAGATCAAGGGTCTCAGCTCCAGAAACAACTGACTGATGTCTCCTCCACTGCTTCCCGTCCTTCAGCAGGCTGGGTTGGTGCATCTCCTTTGAGCACCCCTGGAACCCTGTTTTTTCTTTTCTATCACATACGACCCTGTATCATCATCATTATTTTATTCATCACTCCTCCCCTGTCTTTTTTAAATAAAATGTACAATGTGTCATTTAGATACACACCCCCTTTCATTAGCACAGCGCTAGGCAGTTAGTACCCTGAGTACATATGTCAAATGTGTATCATAGTCCTGAAATGCATCAAGGAAAACGCAAACTCCAGGGCTCACCCTAGGTACTTGGAGACGTGCGTTTATAGGAAAATGCCATCTTGTTTCAGAAGAGTTTATAATGATTACAAAAACAGCAACGCTGAGAAATAAAGCTACCAATTGATTTGATATATTGAGTTCTATGCTGGTAAACTTGTCCAGTGTTTTCCTTCTAAGTGATTCATAATTGTCCTGAAAACTGGATTTTCCAACATTCTATTATTGTGGACATGAAAACATGAACATCTATTTATCCATTCATTTATTGTGTGTCTTCTGTTTCTTTGGACTCCTACTTTCCCCAGTTCAAGTTAATCTCTCACCAGTTCCCTCTTGCACTTGACTCTTGTGTCATATTCAATTACTGCACTTCCATAATCTCACTGAGCTTTCCACACATCCTCCTGCCTTTCCTCTGAATATATTTTTTTCATTCTTTACCTGGATACATTGTCTAAAAGACAAAACAAAAACAAACAAAATACACTAATACCTTTTTCAATTCTCCAAGACAAGTTGGGCCACCTCCTATGCACTGCAAGCACCTCTTACACTTTCACTGTACAAATGTTCTCTGTATTGTAATTATCCATAGACTCATCTTTTTCCCCACCTAGACAATAGCTCCAGTAGCCTTCTTTGCTGTTGTATTCCTGGCACTTAGGACAGTGTCTGACATCCAGAAGGTGCTTGAGATATGTGTATGTATATGTGCATGTGTGGGTATGGGTGTGTATGTGTGTGAGTAAATATATATGAAAGGATGGATGAGTAAACAAGTGGATTCCAAACATCGTACTCATCTCTAGAAAAGGAAAGCCACCTAAGGCTCAGTTCTAGTTCTTGCAGAGCCAGTCTGATGTGTGGGAGAGAAAAATCAGACTGAAAACAGGGTCAGAATAAAGCAGGAAGAACTGATAAGAGAGAACTCAAAGTCAGGAGAAGGATGAAAAAGGCTGAGTGAGAAAGCGTCTTTGGCCCTGTTGGCTAAATGAAGATAGGAGACGGGGAAGATGAATCCCTGCTATTAAACATCTCGTTCAACCGGGAGAGCAAAGGGTCTCATGCTGAAGTTTATTGCTTCAGTTTCTAACCTTTCATAAGTGCTTACTTGGCAGCCCTTTCAAGAGTGGTATTTGATTCTGGAAGCATCTTAAAGGAACAGCGCCCGACCTTCCACTTTACTTTTTTTCATTTAGGCCATAAAATATATTGGTTTTGTGCATTACTGCCATGGGAGAAAAAAAATATCACATGTTAGTTTCCAAATGAAATGACATTTGATAAAGTGTACATTTAAGATATTTTTCAAGGCTAGCTTTTAAAGAATGCACAGGCAGGGTCTTTCTTCATCACAGACTGTAGGGAGTTACAGGTGCCTTTTTTTCCACCTCCCCTCTCCCCACCCGGAGCCTCTCCCATAATGGTTATGGAGAAAATTTTTTAAGAGCCTCATTAGTTGCAGCAATAACTTACTGAGTCTTCCAAGAATCATTACACCCTGTTTGGGGTGCTGTTTGATGAGCAAGGTTGCAGCCGAAACACACAACTCATGATGGGATTCTGCCGTTTTGTGCAATGGACAGCTCTTTCTTCACGGAAGATGTGAGGAAAGCATGGATCTGCATTCGATGATCCCTACTTAAAGGAGGGGAGGTCACTGGCCACCTAACTCATGAGATGTGTATGTCACTGGATTGACTCAAATTGGCCAGGGACTCCCACTTCCAAACAAAGGGGTTGGCAGTAGGTGGAGTATGGTGGTGGTGGTGGCAACCAGTTTACTAATAATTTATGAAATGGAACAGGTGCATGACCCAAAAAAAGAAGCAGGATATTGTCACTAGAATATAAGCAAAATAATATGGGATGCTGTGCAGGGAAAAATAAACACAACAAAAACAAACATGTCTACTATAGAGATTACTTGAAATATCCTTTTTCTTATTCCCAAATCTCATTTTCCTTATTTGGCTTCATTTGAAGGACAGCATGGCTATTTCCTTGGCTACTGTTGGATTTTGCATTGTCTGCAATAGGAATATGATAATGTGGTGCCACTTCACATGGCACAAGTCAGAGGTCAGTAGGCCCCCTGGTTCCTTCAGTGTCGTCATTGTGCTTTTGTGAGTCTGGCAAATCCTTGTGATATTTGAAGGCAGATGTTAAAAATATTAATCTTGTTATATACTTTTTTTTTTTCAATAGAGCGAGACATTGTCTCGCTTTGTTGCCCAGGCTGGAGTGCAGTGGCTTGATCTTCATTCACTGCCTACCTCTGCCACCCAGGTTCAAGCAGTTCTCTTGCCTCAGCCTCCTGAGTAGCTGGGACTACAGGCGCATTCCACCACGTGTGGCTAATTTTTTTGTATTTTTAGTAGAGACAGAGTTTTACCATGTTGGCCAGGTTCTTCTGGAACTCCTGACCTCAGATGATCTGCCCACCTCGGCCTCCCAAAGTGCTGGGATTACAGGTGTGAGCCACCATGCCCGGCCAAGATAAACTTTTTATTAATTAACGAAAATCAATGCTATCACTATTACTATACATTTTTAAAAACACTTGTATTTCTGCAAGGTACTGATATTAAAATACTTGCTGATTATAAATGCCCTGTATGTCACAAAGGATAGTTTGAAAACTACAGAAAGCATTAAGAAGGAAGCATTGCCCTCAGTCTTTAATTGCATCAGCCATTTAGTTTATATTTTACATGTAGACAGGTGTTCCATTTTGACTTAATTTTTGTATAAAGTGTGAGGTTTAGGTAAAGGGGTGTGTGTGTGTGTGTGTGTGTGTGTGTGTACACATCCAGTTACTCTATCATTATTTGTTCTGGATGTTTCACTTTTTTCGGTTTTCTTAAAGGTTGTGTTATAGGGATTATCACACACATATTTCTCTCAGTCTACAAGACTCAGTATTTTGCCTCTTTAGTTGGAATGCAGAAACCTTATCACCCATGTTAATTAGCTTGACTTCGGTGATTGTTTTTACAATTTATACATACATTAAAATATCAAGTTCAATACGTTAAATATATGTAATTTTTATTTTTTAATTGTGCCTCAATAAAGATGGGAGATAATAAAGTTTATCACCACGTATGCCTCTTTGTTTCTGTAGTCTTTGTGTTTTATCTTTTTTTTTTTTTTTTTTTTTTTGGAGTTGGGGAGTACAGAGTCTCAGTCTGTGTGCAATGGCATGATCTCGGCTCACTGCAACCTCCGTCTCCTGGGTTCAAACGATTCTCCTGCCTCAGCCTCCCAAATAGCTGGGATTACAAGCACGCGCCATCATGCCCAGCTAATTTTTGTATTTTTAATAGAGACGGGGTTTTGCTGTGTTGACCAGACTGGTCTTGAACTCCTAACCTCAGGTGATCTGCGAGCCTCGGTCTTTCAAAGTTCTGGAATTACAGGCGTGAGCCCCTGCGCCTGGCCTATATTTTGTTTAACTTCCGTATTGTATATCCATAAATTAAAAAGCTCTTCATGCACTTCCCTCCCCCCCAGTTTTTTGCTTTAAGCCATTAAACATATTTTAATGAACTCAAGAGTATAGAAAGCTCTTCATGCAATTTCCTTTTTTTTTTTTTTTGCTTTAAGCCATTAAACATATTTTAATGAACTCAAGAGTCCAGTCACCTATTAACATTTACTCATATGTTTACCATTTCCATTTCCAGCTCTTCCTTTCTTGTTGTTTGAAGTTTCCTTCAGGTATCCTATTTCCTTTATCTGGAAAACTTCCTATAGCGATTATTTTAGGGCAGGTCTGTCTGCAGTGAATTTTCTTAGTTACTTTCATATTTCACCTTCATTTCTAAAGGATATTTTCATTGGATGTAGTATTCTCAGTTGACAATTATTTTTTCAGTATTTCAATAACTGTGTGTTATTTTCTGCTGACCTCTCTGGATTTTTGTTTGTTTAGTTTGGATTTTGTTTTAAATCCATAGTTCTTTGAATTGTTGGGCCCTTACAAGCATTGCATTGTTTGTCTCTGGTTGTTTTCAGTGTTTTAATTTTAGGCTTTACCAATATGACTGTGATATATGTGGTTGTGGATTTCGTTGATTTTAACTCTTTTAGTTCCTTGAAATTGTTTATATCTTTTGTCAAATGTAGGAAGTTTTCAGCCATTATTTCTTAATTTTTTTTTTTGCAGTGAACTCTTTATCCTTATATTCTAGAATTTCAGTAACATGAAATATTGTACGTTTTGATATTTGTTCCACAGGTCCTGCATTTCTTTTTTTTTTTTTTTTTTTTTTTTTTTTTGTCTTCAATTTTTTTTTCCCCTATGTTGTTTAGAATGGATACTTTTTATGTACTCAAGTTTACTTCTTTTTCTTCTGTTGTCTTCATTCTGTGTTTGGACACCTTCAGTGAGATTTTATTTTATTCCGTTTTAATTAATTAATTATTTTTTTTGAGACGTCTCACTCTTGTCACCCAGGCTGGAGTGCAGTGGTGCAGTCTTTACTCACTGCAACCTCCCCCTGCCGGGTTCAAGCGATTCTCCTGTCTCAGCCGTCTGAGTAGCTGGGAATAAAGGTGCCTGCCACAACGCCTGGCTAATTTTTGTATTTTTAGTAGAGAAGGGGTTTCACCATGTTGGCCAGGCTGGTCTCAAATTCCTGACCTCAGGTGATCCGACCCGCTTGGCTTCCCAAAATTCTGGGATTACAGGTGTGAGCCACCGTGCCCAGCCCAATATTTTATTTTTATTTTTTTAAAAAAATTTAGTTATTTTTATGGTTGTAAAATTTCCTTTTGATTTTTTTGTTTTGTTTTGTTTGTTTGTTTGTTTTCGATGGAGTCTTGCTCTGTCTCCCAGGCTAGAGTGCAGTGGCACAATCTTGGCTCACTGCAACCTCTGCCTCCCAGGTTCAAGCAATTTTCCTGCCTCAGCCTCCCTAGTAGCTGGGACTACAGTCGCGTGTCGCCACACCCAGCTAATTTTTTGTATTTTTAGTAGAGACAGGGTTTCATCGTATTAGCCAGGATGGTCTCGATCTCCTGACCTCATGATCCACCCGCCTCAGCCTTCCAAAGTGCTGGGATTACAGGCGTGAGCCACCGCGCCCAGCTCCTTTTGGTTCTTTATTATCTTTTGTTTCTTTGCTAATGCTGTCAATTTTTTTCTCAGTTATTTTCAGTGTGTTTTTTCTTACCGTTTGGAGTCGTTTTATAACAGCTGCTTTAAAGTTTTTATTTGATAATTCCAACATCTTTGCTATGTTGATGTTGGTGTCTGTGAATGTCTTTTCCCATGCAAATTTAGATTTTCTTGGTTCCTAGTATGCTAAGTCATTTTGGTTTGTATTCTGGGTATATTGAATATTGTGTTAGGAGACTCTAGGTCTTGTTTAAAATCCCATGGAAGTTGTTGATATTTTTGTTTTAATAAGCAATCAATCTTGTTGCATTCAGGCTGAAAGCTCTTGCTTTTCTTCTGTGGATTTGTTTCCAATATCAGTTCTGTTGGGTGTCTCCCATATATATATCAAGTCTGGGACATGGGCAGTAGTCTATTCCTTAGTTCAATTCTCAAAGCTTATGGAAACATTTTAGGGTCAGATACAGACATGAGCACAGAGGTCAGTGCAGGAGTTTATAAAAATACTGTTTGGGGGTGATTTTCCCAAATTATTTTCTCTCCGGGATCCTCAAAGTAATATTTGTTTTCTAGGGTTCCCTGTTTGTTGTCCTCCACCCAGAAAGCTGGTGGTTTTTTGTTTGTTTTTAATTTTTCTGTTCACCTGCTTCTCATCTGAGTCTGCATTTAGGGCAAAGTGTCAAGAGAAGAGAGGAAATAAAGAAAAGCAATGGGAGGTGGGAGTTGTTTGCCCAACCTCTTGAGACCACAGTCCTAGATGTTAAGTGTCTGCAGCCACCCCTGTTGCCACTGTTGTTTATACATGAACACTACCCTGAGATTGCCTGGAGACTGCAGCATAAGAGGACACACAAACTTTTAAAAAGAAAGAACAGTAATAAAAAAAAAAGAACAATGGGGATTTTCCCTATTCTCTTAGTGTTAAGACTCATCTGTCTTGTTTTTCAAGACAAAACCAGAGTGCTTCTCCTGAGTCTTTATATGGCTGGGTGTCTGATTTTCAGCCCTTGGCTACCTTGCACCCACACTAAGGGGTATTGGTGGTGGGAGGTGGTAATTCACCACTTATGTGGCGGTACTTTAAATTTTGGTCGTTTTGTTCCCCCCTCCACTTGCTGCTTTTTAATTTTCAGAGATCTCAAATAGCTCCCCCATGCATTCTATACAGATTTCCTTGCTGCATTCAGTGGGGGAAACAGGATGAAGTGTTTTCGCTCCATCTTGTCAAGAACCGAAACCTCACCACCCACTTCATTTATTTTGTGTTAAAATACACATAAAATAAAATTTACCTTTTTTATCATTTTAAAGTATACATTTTACTGGCATTTAAGTACATTCACAATGTTGTGCAAATATCCAGTTTGAGAACATTTTATTCACCCCAAATAGAAACCTCATACCCATTAAGCAGTCACTCCTCCTTTTCCATTAACCCAGTCCTCTGGCAACATTTAATTTGTTCTCTGTCTCAATGAATTTTCCCTACTTCATCTTTTAACAGTTTATGGAGACATAATTTACATAATATAAAGTCACCTATTTCAGGTGTATAATTCAATGTGGGCTTTTTTTTTTTGGATATTTATAGAATTGTACCAGTTTCTTTTTTAATTTTTTGGAATATTTCTCCCAGTCTTTTCCTCTTTAGCTTCTTTTTTTTTCCTTTATTTTTATCTTTTTTTTTTTTTCTTTTGAGATGGAGTTTCACTCTTGTTGCCCAGGATGGAGTATAATGGTGGGAACTCAGCTCACTGCAACCTCTGCCTCCCAGGTTCAAGTGATTCTCCTGCTTCAGCCAACTGAGTAGCTGGGATTACAGATGCCCACCACCATGCCCAGCTAATTTTTGTATTTTTAGTAGAGAAGAGGTTTCACCATATTGGCCAGGTTTGTCTCGAATTCCTGACCTCACATGATCCACCCGCCTTGGCCTCCCAAAGTGCTGGGATTACAGGCATGAGCAACCGTGCCTGGCCTTCCTTCATTTTCTTTAATGATCTGTTTCACTGTATTTTTAACCCAAGATAGGAACCATAATATTGTATATTTCTGTGGTTTCTTTTCTTAACAACTAAATGGTGTCTTTTGAACATTTTTCATATCTCTATATTTAAAACTATGTTTCTAAATGGTACATGTTATGCCATACTATCAGTATACTATATTTTTTAATTTTTCCATTATCACACATAATGTTTATAATTTCTTTTTTCATACATAATGTTGTTGTTAATTGACATGGAAATAAACATTTGTGTGCCTCTGCATATTTTTTTAAGAGCTAATCTTAGTGGTAATATTTCTGGGTAAAAGGGCATAGAAAAGCACTGATTTATAGATTTGGGGCTCTGGTGCATCCTTAAGTAAATATTCTTCCTTTTTTGTTTTTAGAGAAAGTCAAAACAAACTTTGTATACAAAATGCGTAAAATATACATCAAAAGTTGGTTCCTAAACCTTCATATCCCTTAGTAAAAGTTTCAAAAACTTACAGTATATTGTCTGGTCCTGGAAGTCGGGAGTTGTTTCACTGGTTAAAAAAAAATACTGGAAAGATATAGAATAAAGGTGAATGAAGACCTAAATTTTATTTCAGCTTAACTATTTTAGTTGACAGTGGAGTCTACCAGCTCCTGATGACAGAATGACCATATATCTCAAAATTCCTTCTATGTGTTCCTTTTTATTTGTGTCCTTAGCATAATCATGTAATACGACTCCACCCATCCCCTTAACCCACCTATGTTTTCTTGTTTGGATAATAAATTATATGGCCACTCCAAAGAAGCGTCCTTGGACATTAAGTAAAACATGTCAGTAGGGCAAAGATAATTAATGCATGGCATATGTATTGCTAATACCCACTTTCCTATCTGATGGCCGATACCAGAAACCTATCAGGATCTCTTTCTGTGATTGAAGGATTGGCTTCACAATTCTCCCCAGCACAATCCTATGGGGACTTACTACCATCTGATTAGAACTGGACCATAAAATGTAACCCAGTTGCCAAGGCATGACAACTGACACTACTGGCCCTAAACATTGGAGAAGACTTTGTGTGTTTTCCACTGACTTATCATGACCATCTGGAGTGGGCCTTTATGGAGGAATTCTTGCACCTGTGATATAGGGCAAGCTGGGGTTTTCAGGGAAAAGGGTGGGGAGTTTCATGACAAGAGGGGAGGTGCCCTCATCCCAGGCAGATGCTGCCTCCCACACATACTCCTGCACGTCTCTCCTCTTCCCCTTTCCAGTCTCTGACTTATCCTAGCTGTGCTTCTGAATCACACAATTGAACTCCAAGTGAAGCTTGAGCTATGTAGACCTAAAGAAAAATTAAATACATAATTAATTAATTATGGGTTTTCTTTGAGCTGAGTAATTAAAAGTAACTTTCTGTTTTCTTTCATGTTTTTCTGATCCGGAGCCTTCTGACTTTTCCCCTTCATTTTCTTTTCTTTCTAGGTTTCAAGACAACAGATGAATTGTGAAAGAGAGCAGCTAAGGGTAGGTGCACCTGCTTGTAAAATGCTTCCTGATTCTCATTTTTGTGTGATAAGCAAAAATTTCCTTGTCTCTCCCAAGACACGGGTTCTAAATAACAGGCTTCATCTTAAGACTGGTAGAGTTGAAAATATTTATCCCAGCTTATTTAGTATTGATTGAGCTGTTAAATACAGTATATCTTCTTTGGAAGTGCCGTTATAGTAGATATGGATTTTTTGATTTAGATTCAGCAATAAATACTTTTCTTCTGGAATTTGTTTGACATCATTGTACTCTTTTTATGTACAACACGAGGTCTAAGTAATAACAAAGGTCAAAAGGATGGCTGGCTGCCTTCTTAATATGAATACCAGGCTGTTTGCTGAGTGGCTAAAATGCTCTTTGGCTGTTGACTGGGGTGGGTGAGCAAGGAATATGTCAAGGGCGTTTTCTGGGAGAATTTGTGTTATCTATAGACCTCTTGGTTTTAGTGACATTTGTGTATATGGGAGAGGGAGACAAAATTTTAAACCTTATATTCTGTTTCCCCACTTAAAAATGAAACTGTCTTGGTGCTCAGGCATATCGGTGTAAGAAGTATTCCCTAGATGTGCAGGGAGTGTTTGGTTATAAATGGAGCTTGGTGACATTGTTCTGCTTTCATTGTGTCAGAGTGGACATTCTTCTTGGTATGGGGATGGCATTTTAAGAAACTTTGGGATTTCTTCCCATTTGTTTTCTTCTAAATGAATTCGTGTTTTCAGTGGATGAGATTTAGATTATGATTGGTGTATTTTTCATGTCACTAATGGAAGTTGGCAGTTTTTACTGGACAATGTGCCTTATAGCCATGTTTTCAAATTGTTATAAAAATCAGAGAAATATGCTGCTTTTAAAACCACAACAGTGGGATTTGGCGTTAGGAAACTCCTGTGCCCAAAGGTGTCTAATAAATAAGCATAATGTATTTAACAGGCCTAATGCCTTCATACACTGCCCTGTAACTTTTCAGAGCATTTACCTAATGATAGTCTCATGATGGCAATAATTTGTAGAGTTGCTTCCATTTCACAGTTGCTGTTGGCATCAGGTTTGTGAAGTACTTGGGTAAAATAAACAACAGAATCCAGGTGCATGAAACCGAGAAAGTGAGACAAGGTTTTCTGTTTCTTTTATGCATATTTGTTTTATGCAGTATCTCAGTATGGCCCTCTCTACCCACTTTCCTCCAAGTACCTGTGCCGACATTCGTTGTGACCCTTTCCTTCATGGAACAGACTTCAAGATTTTTAAGCTTTTCTGAACTGTCTTACTGCTTTTTTCCTGTAGTCTGAATTACTGGTTCATCCTGTTAAATAATGTATTACAACTTTAGATTTCTCTTGCTGTTTGGATGGGGACGATGGTCAGAACTAGGTCAGAGCTAGATAAAGAGAAATATGTGCCTTTGTCTCCAGGAGTCCCTGATAAATGCCTGAGAATTAAGATAATATTGAAATCTCTATTGCAAATGACACTTGCTTGGCAAGTTAAGGACGCAGTAGGTAATGAAGGACCTGTTTGCATTTTGAGGGATTATTTCCCATTTATGAGTCCATTGTCGACAGGAGTGTGGTTTAGGTTCAAGAATGGAGTCTTCCCCTCTCTGTTACATAAATGCAGGGAGTGGCTTGATATTAACATAATGGTTCATTTAGTTTAGTCCCAAGTATGGCTCCAATAGCCCCATCTCTAACATCACGAACCAGTGCTTTGTTTGTTGTTACTTTTATGGTCACTGTTCTTGCTTTTTAAATGAATTTATGTTTTGAATTGATAGATGGCACATTTGATTGGATAGAGCACACATATATAGGGTTCAAAATTTAAATAGTACCAAAGAGAGTGCAATGGAGTTTTCCCTTCCCACGTGACTTAGGCGTCTAGTTCCCTCTGGGAGACCCCTAGTGTGATTAAGTACTGGTAGCTATCTCATCTGTAGATATTTTCTTCTGCCCTCTTCATTTTTGTTCTCTGTCTTTCCATCTCTTTCTTCTTCCTTTCCTCCCTCCCTCTTTTCCTTTCACACCTGTGTCTGTAAGAGCCCTTCCATCACCTCAAAAGAAAACTTCCCTTATTAAGGTGATTTTTTTTTTCGGGGGGGGGGGGCGGGGAGCTTTTTTTTTTTTTTTTTTTTTTTTTTAGAGAGAGTCTCTTTCTTTCATCATGCTGGAGTGCCGTGGCGCAATCTCAGTTCACCGCAACCTCTGACTCCCTGGTTTAAGCAATTCTCGTGCCTCAGCCTCCAGAGTCGCTGGGATTACAGGCACGCGCCACCACGCCCAGCTAATTTTTTTTGTACTTTTAGCAGAGATGGGGTTTCACCATGTTGGCCAGGATGGTCTCGATCTCCTGACCTCGTGATCCGCCAGCCTCGGCCCCCCAAGGTGATGGGATTACAGGTGTGAGCCACTGCGCCAAACCTGGGTGGGGGGGCATTTTTTAAGGGTTTCTGAAAGGAATTTAGAACTGGAAGGTAAATACCTGTCCATCTCAATGAAATGCATTTTCCTCAATCTCATTTTGCTTTCTTAGAAAGAGAGTGGAAGAAAATTAGAAATCTGTTTAGTTACCACATCGTTGAAGGGTAACTGTCTGCAAGCCACAATAAAAATGTGTCCTAAGTGCAGCAGTCAAAATGCATTTCCAGATTTGCTATCCAGGATGACTGGACTGTGGCCGTGTTATCATGTCGAGGGTCCTTCATTAGTGCATTCTGTTGTCAGAATTCAGGGATATAAGTGGATAGTTGTCAAATTTATTCCTTTTCCTTGGCCTCCTGGAAATAGCAGATGATTTAGAAAGATAAAGCTGCGCTTTCTGTTTTGTGCCCCATCGAGGCTGTGTAGGAATTGGCGTATCCAATACTTGGTGTTAGGATCTCCTTTCTTTTTCTCACGAAGCCTAAATTAATTTTTCCAAAACAGACACTGTGAAGTGCTTAATATCTTGAAGATATTAAGGAGTCTTTAAAATGATCATATGATTAATTTTAGGAAATACCATGTTAAAAAAAGCTAAACAGTTTTTATTTTTTAACTGCAGGTCTTCTCATAGCCTTTAATTTGCAAAAATGAAATACAAAGAGTTGGATATAATATACAACGTTTTTCTAACTCAGCTGACTACGCAACACTTTTGTTTATAGAACATACTCTTGAGATCATATCAGTATTATCAGTTAAGATGCTATTATCTGTGAGTTATAGACAAGCTAAGAGTTATGGAAAAGCTAAGAGTTATTTACAAAAATAAATAACTCTCCACCTCCCAGTTCCAGGGTTGATTCAGAGGCTTTTTGGTATCAGGGCAGTGGTTTGCAATCCCTGTGCTTCCGTTGGCCTTTCTTTCCTTCTTCCAAGATGTCTGCCATCTACCCCATATCACGTTCTCACAGGGCAGCACTCTCATCAGAAGGAAGGAGAAGAGGAGTTTCTCCTTCACACGTCTTGCATTTTACTGCAGGAAAATAATTCCCAGAATTCGTCACTGCAGTCGTTTTCTTAGATGTCATTGGCCAATCTCTACATCAATCACTGGCAAGGTGAACTGGAATCTCAGCGATTGGCTACAGCAGTTATGATTCATTTGCAGCATCAGGCACATTGTTACCTGCACAAAAGTAGGATTTACTTAAACTGGAGGAAGCAGAAAATGCACTCCAGTGTTGTTACCCAATGGAGTCTGCTACAAAAGGAATTCACAGGGGTCCACTCTGTTTGTCAGGGTGCTGGTTTCCTGTCATTAGTTTTCATTACTCTCTTTCATCCTACATGTGTGGGCTCAGCAACTTTGTGAATTCTGGTTTGTGGAATTTGACACAGATGATTTCTCTGCCAACATTGAATCTCACAGGTCACATCTTCCATCCTAACCTATATCCTAACTTTTCTACCCATCTTGGCATTGTCTTTGTATTTTGCCTTGTGTAATTTGGACTGCACTGGATATAGTCTTTGGTCATATCCCCTCAGCATTAGGTGTGGGCAGCAGGCATGGGGCATCGTGCATTAGTAACCAGCTCAGCCCACAGATGCTGTCCATGAGCTTCCTGTCCCCTACCCTTCCCCAAAGAAGGGCATCAGCCAGTTACTCCCAACAGTAGGGTCACTCTTCTCAGAGAACTATTGGGATTACTTACATCGCTCGGTTGTTACGCACACTACACAACAGGGAAACTTGTTCATTCCTCCGTCCCAAGGTTTGTCAATCTAGAGTAGACTGAGTGTTCTTCTGAGCTTGCAATTCACATTATTGGCTGGATTCTTCTGGGGACATGGTCAGAGGAGCTCACTATGGAATCTGTGCATTAACCACTCCTGATCCTATAGGCTGTATTTACCAGCTTGTTCTAGCATCAGCACAGGTTATGGTGATAGTCGTACAGTGACCATATCCAATTATCAACATTTACCTCTCCAGCATCTGCACCAACAGATGGACAAATAAACAACTAAGAGAGAAATAAAATGATCCTGGGGGCCTGTTGTTTCCCTGAACTATCTACCAGTTGAGGGAGATTGTATGTTCATAGGGTGGGAGATTCCAAAGCCCACCTTTCTGAGCACTCATAAAATATTTGATTACAAAGGGATCTTTGTGCTTGAGTGGTAGATGTTGGTTTGGGGGCTGATTAACGAGCTTAGTTAGAAAACTACTAGGTAGCCAAATGCATGACTGCCAGATTCTGTTCTGTGGATTCAAATACTGATCTGCAATATGGCAATGTGACTCTATAGTCAGCATACTAGGAAGGGTGGTTAGGGCTGGTGAAGCACTGGTATGGACTTAGGTTCAGATCCCACTTCTAAATGCTCCTTAGTGTCTCAAAGCTTTACTTTACCTATACGTAAAATAAGAATAGCTTTCTCATAGGATTGGTGACTGGATAAAACAACTTCGTTAAAGCACTGAAAAAAAAAAAAAATGCAGGCCTGATACTCAACAAGGTGAGCTACTGTTAATACAGTGTTATTCCCAATAATTATTTCACTTCTCTTCCTCCTAGAAATACCAGGCATGAGAATACAGAGAACACATATCTACTGCCACCAAACTCCCCACAAGGAAAGACAACATAAAGGGCAGGCTCTGTATTTGATTTCATGGTGAAGTATTTAGGAGATAACTCCCTCTCAGTTAAGGTTGTTTGGAATGCAAACAATAGAGACAGATTCCAGCTATCTTAAGCAGAAAAGGCATGCAACCAGGCCTCCCAGGAATCAGAGCTTAGAATGGGAAAGCTGCCTGAACTCAACGTATGTCTTGCTCATCTCCTGTCTTTGTTTCTGTTTATGGGTCCACTCTGGATTTTTCTTTTGATAAAGACTCCCTCTACCTTTATGCACACATCACACCTTCTAGCCCCTAAGATGTATGTTGCATCGCTTTCCACCGGTATAGGGACTAACCATCAGTGCATCCTCGTTACAAATTCCTGGAAAAGGAGCCTGATTGGCTTAGTCTGGATCAGTTGTTCACTCTGGGCCAGTTGGATCTGTCCAGGGAAGTGGTATGAAGCAACACAGTTGCCCAGGGCCAACTCTTGAGGGAAGACTTCATTACTGGGGAAAAGGAGCCATTGCTAGCTGAGTAAATAACACCATAGATGCCGGGTGCAGTGACTCACACCTGTCATCCCAGCACTTTGGGAGGCCAAGGTGGGTGGATCACCTGAGATCAGGAGTTGGAGACTAGCCTAGCCAACATGGTGAAACCCCGTCTCTGCTAAAAATACAAAAATTAGCCAGGCATGGTGGCGGGCGCCTGTAGTCCCAGCTACTCCGGAGGCTGAGGCAGGAGAATTGCTTGACCCCGGGAGGTGGAGGTTGCAGTGAGCAGAGATCATGCCACTGCACTCCAGTCTGGTCGACAGAGGGAGACTGTGGGGAAAAAAAAAAAAAAAACACGAAAACCACCAGATATAGATCTCTGCTATGCTTTCAAAATGTGGATATCAGCTGAACAAAGGATCCTGGAAAATACATGTGCTACCACCAACTGCTAGCTCTGTATTTCTCAAAATATAGGACACCTACCGCACGTCTTACTCACAGCTTTCAGGCGAACACTAACTCATTAAGAAAGGGGGAATCACTTAGAAAGTTACTCCCCTTTCCATTGTCTCTCTGTGGTTTTTATGCCAATCAGAAATGCTCAGTTTAAACTAAAGTATCTTTAGCAGGGCTGTAACACTTTCTAAGCTTTCTTTTTTAAGGGAAAGGGAGTGTGCCTCAGGATGAGAGCCTCCAGCCCCAGAGCATCTCTTTGCACTTTGAAAACATTGTTTGCAAAATACACTATTAAGAATCAGGGGCCTGGAGCTACGCCTACTGAGATAAAATCTAGACTTTGCAACTTAGCACTTTGTAGCCTTGTACATGTTACTTCAATCCTCTCTATGTCAAATTCCTCACCTGTATAGTGGAGATAATCATTGCACAGATTTCATAAGTTTGTGTGTGTGTGTGTGTGCATGCGCATGTGTCTTCGTGTTTGTATTTTTGCATGCAAAAAAAGATTAAACTAATTAATGCATATGAGGTTGTTAGAAAAGTGTCTGGAATAAAAAAGGTTCTTAATTATTGTTGGATATTAATGGATTTTTTTCATTAACTTTTATGTGTGACTGTTGATATTGGTTTTTCATTTACCGTGGCAATACAAAGTTTCCTTGGCACACATCGTATTTTATGTTCCATTTATTGTTCCACTTATTTAAGTTAAAAATGGGTTGCTTTAAAGATAAATATTAACTTCATAATGTTACATATTGCCCGCAGTTATGACAAAGATTGTGATACTGGAATGCAAATGACTGAGTTTTTTAGAAATACTGAAATCATGGTACCCGCCTTGTGAAAGAGGTTGTAGAGCAGATCTGCATTATCAATATTTAATTTGCCAGTTACAAGCGAGTTTCTCATTTCTGCTAGATATGAGAGTGATGTGGATTGCATAATGAAAATTGCTAATGATCTTCTTGGCTTAAACCCATCGCCTTCATCTGGACATCAGATAATGAAACTTCCCAACTGCCTTGCAATTGAGCTATCAGAATCAGAGATACCTTCTCCCGCTGTGTCTCACCCCTCTCCACTTTTTAAAGCCCAGCTTTTCATTCCTTAGTGGCTCTTACGATAGCACGGAAGAAAATGTAAGCCCCCCTTCTCCCCACCCCTTGGTGAGACCTCACAGGATCCATGAGTTCTTCCTGACTATAATTTTAGGATGGTTCGTTGTAGAAATGCCTGCTTCTGTTCAGTTATTTATTCAAGAAATATTTTTTGAGCAGAAACCGTATGCCAATCACTGTGCTAGGCAGTAGAGGTATAATAATATACTAAAACTTGCACCACTCTTATTCTCTTATACCTCACAGCCTAGTGGAAAAGACATGCATTTGTCAAATAATCATTGACAACCATTGGCAAAAAATGTTCAATGTGAAACTGATGAATATGAGAAACAAGAGATGCTGTGTAAAAGGGTATGAATAGAAGAAGCTTACCTGATTGACCTTCACTTATCAAACGTACCAGATTAATACATACTGTCCCATCTCTTTATAAAGCATATTGGCAGATGTGCACAGCATCCTATGTAGTGACTGTTTGGTACAAATTTACCTTTCTCTTCACCCGTTGCAGTGTCTGCTTGCCAAGAGTCAGTTGTATTTGTTCCCAGGGCTGCTTCTGCCAGCTGCACTTTTCATTGTAATTACATTAGTTAGTGGAATATTATGTAAACTGATGAAAAATGAGTGCAGTAAGAAAAAGAGCTGTTTCTATGAAAACTAAATGCTTTGGAAACATTGTATGAAAACACGATTCAAAAATTATTTTGCTTAGCTGTGGGTGAGAAGACTGTAAAATATTAGTGGAAAAAAGCCCTCAGAAATGTGGAAAGATTCTGCAGTCAGATTCTTTTCAATGTGTCTTGACATTCTCATTCCACTTTAATCAAACCCAGAATTGATACCATAGAGTTAACAAACTTTAAACTTTTTCTGAAAAAAGCCAGATTGTGACTATTTTAGGACCTGAAGGCCATAGGGTCTCCATTGCCCCCACTCGACACTGCCATAATAGCACAAAAGCAGCCATAGATAAAATGAATGATTGAGGCTATGTCTCAATAAAACTTTATTTACAAGAACAGGCAGTGGGCCATAGTTAGCCAACCCCTGCTGGTGACTGAAATGTTAGTGAGGTGTATGTGGGAAGGTTAATGAGGGATTTTTATCAACAGAGAAATCATTCAAAGAAAAGGCCTTAGACTCACATCAAAGATCAATAAATGCATGCACGTTCATATGTTTTACATTAAAACAAAAGCCTGAAGTTATTTCTATATCACTTTAAAAGTGATTTCTTGCTTTAAAGGCTTCCAGTTAAATACCTTCTGCCATTCTCAAATGAAATGGCTTTTAAAGAACAGAATAGCTACAATTAGGGCTGGAAACACAAAATAAAATTATGCTTATTTTTATGTTCCAACCCTAATGACTCAGAACCCCATCTGTCTATAATGGAAGAACAAATTTATCCTTTTTTATTGGATCCCCCAGCAAGTAATTTCTGGGACTCCCCAAGGAGGGTGACATTTCCACGTATACATCCTGGTGCTTGTCCTATGCAAATTGTTGTTCGGCTGTTCCAGAATTCTCCCCTCACTTAAGAAAAGTCTGGTAAGTTCCCTCTCTGGATTGTTCTGTCCTCAAAAGCATTCCTCTGTAAGCATGAATACCATTCTTTGCATTAACTTTCCAAATGATCAGCTAAAGCCAGACTTCAGTGATTAGCTCAGGGGTTAGCAGAAATCCCAGGTAGGTGGTGACTTACAGAGAACCCTCAGGATTCAGGCCTGAGATCTTCATGGTTGATGAGATTTCATGTATGTTCTCCTGTGTGTGTGTGTGTGTACGTGCACGTGCACACATACAAGGAAAAAACTGGCAGAAGTTTGCTTGCTTTAATCTTACATAACGAATGGTCCCAACTTTGTGATTTTCTCCAAGCAAAGGGAGTTTGCCCCAAAGTAATTAGTTCTCTACTTCTAGAAGCTGCAGGAACTCAGGCAAATGATCCCCAGGGGCAGCTTCTCTAGTAAAATAAGAAACTCATAAGTACATTTAAAATGTTTTTTAAAATGTTTTTTAAATGTCATCTTCACAAGACCTGTTCCATACAGAGCTTGTATGTTCTCCAGTCTTTGCAAGAACATTAATTGATGAACGCAAGGAAATCAACTTCTTGATTGATTCTGATCAAGAAATCAGCCAACTAGTCACAGATTTTAATTTCTCCAACTTCATTGTGAAATATGATTAAATAAAGAAGTGTACAGGTGTCCACTTTTCTTCATTTTTGATGCTGAATCTTATAATTCACATATATGTTAATTAATTCTTTGAGTCTCCCCAGGCATTTGAACACTTTATTTGGAGAAGACTCAAAAAAAAGTTCACACATTTAGGATATTTGGCCTAATATTCATTCTCCCTTTCCCTTGCTTTAATTTAGCCTATTATCCCCAGTCCTCATGCCCCTTTCCAGGGAAAATCTATTCCCATTTCTTGCTTTATCATTAAATCTGTATCAAACAGCTCCAAGCAAATCGCTAATAATGCTGACATTTTAATTTGTCATAGCTACTCTTCATTTCTATGACTGATGCCTCAGCAAGGACTTGTCTTCCTGCTCTGTTCCTTTGAGGTCTAAATACCATTTCAGGAGAAAAAAAAATACGTGATAGGCAAGGGAAATAGGGCAGGAAGCAAATAAATAGGGCATCTCTAGTTCCCTCCAGTTGGGGGTAGGAAGGGGCAAGTTTCAGTGGGAATGAGTAAGGAGCAAGAAACTCTCCTTTCCTGATGATGCAGACAAACCTGAGATGGTCCCAGGAAAAATGGCAACGAGGCCGGGTGTGGTGGCTCACACCTGTAATCCCAGCACTTTGGGAGGCTGAGGTGGGCTGATCAGCAGGTCAGGAGATCGAGACTATCCTGGCTAACACGGTGAAACCCCATCTCTACTAAAAACACACAAAAAATTAGCTGGGCATGGTGGCGGGTGCCTGCAGTTCCAGCTACTCAGGAGGCTGAGGCAGGAGAATGCCGTGAACCGAGATCATGAGGTTGCAGTGAGCCGAGATCATGCCACTGCACTCCAGTCTGAGAGACAGAGTGAGACTCCATCTCAAAAAAAAAAAAAAAAAAAAAGAAAAGAAAAAAGGAAAAATGGTAATGAGATATAAAAGCTTTCTGTCTTCCTTCATGGCCATAGTTAAACCTTATTTACCCTGTGCTTGTATGTGGATGAATCATGGGTACAGCAAGCATGTGCTTCCTTGTTGTCTGCAGTATATGCTTCCTTGTTGTCTGCATCCAACAGACATTTCTGCCTATGGTAGCTAGTACTTTATTATTCTATTTGGGTTAAATTTCCTCTTTCACGTGTGCAGTCTTGGAGAGAGGATAAATCACAACACCTGTCCCTAGCCAACAGATGTGGATATGGCCAAGGCAGGACAGTTGAATTCTTTCTCCTGAGACTCTGAATATTGAGTAGGGTAATGCTAAATATGGTGAAGAAAACAAGCATGATTGAAAACCTGGAGTTCATTCATTTCGGTAGTGATATTCTGGTGAAATTGAGTGAAGAGACGGTTCCCAGGGCTAGACCTCAGATTCACCCTGATTCCTGCCTTTATGTTTAACCCTGGTTATCCATCTATCCGTCCCTTAAGCTACCTCATCTCATTCAAATGATCGCCATTTTTTTTTTTTTTTTTTTTTTTTTTTTTTTTTTTGCTGAAGTTAGTCAGACCTATTCCTTTTTTCTGTGATCGAAGAATCCCTACTGATACACTGGGGAAATGTGCTAAACTTGGAGAACTGCAGAGCCAAGAGTTTGGTTAAAGGTTTGCTAAAAGCCAACTCTTCATCATACCCTGCAATGCCTCCCTGATGCCTCTGTGAATCGGCGCTGACTTTATGTATTGACAGCTAAGAGAAAGGAGCTCTTGGTTTAGGGCACACGCAGGGCTAGATGCTTACCTGAATTTGTACATCTTTTTGGGTCAGTTCTCAGTCATCAAGAGCAGGTAGGCACAGGAAGAGAGGTCTGTGCTTCAGGGTCTTTGGAACTCTGTCCTTCCCTGTAGGAGTAAGATATTCCCCCCAACCCCAGGGGACCACCCCCGTGCCCACAGATAAAGGATCTGTATCAGTATCAAAGATATATCAGTATCAGAGGAACTTGTGATGTTACGGGATCATCACATGTCTCTCTGCCAACTTCTTCCTTCTCAGAGTACCCTTCAAAGGCCACTGAGAATGTTTATAACAAGTGCCATTTCCTCAGCTCTACCCCAGACCTACTGGATCAGATTCTGGAGATGGACCCAAGGGACTATTTTTAAGCCATTTCTCAAGTGGGAATGAGAGTTGAGAATAGTACTTTTCAAATTTAGCTGGTAAAATGTTTTGATGTCTCAGCCTTATCCTAGGAATGCTATTGGCCCTTCATATCTGTAGGTTTCATATTTGCAGATTCAACCAACTGTGCTTCAAATATATTTAGGGGGAAAAAAAACCCAACACACACCTGGGTCTGCACGGAACATGTGCAGACTTTTTGTCATCATTCCCTAAACATTCTGGATAATAACTGCTTACATAGCATTCGCATTGCATCAGGTATTCAAGTAATATAGAGATGTTTTAAAGTATGTGGGTGGATGTGCATAGGTTATATGCAAATATCACTCCATTTTATATCAGAGACCTCATTTTATATCAGCATCCATGGACTTTGGTATTCGCAGGAAGTCTTGACACCAAGGTCCATGGATATGGAGGAACAACTATACTAAATTATCATGTTATATGGGCTGAGTTGTGTCCTGACAAAAGTCATACATGGAAGTTCTAGCCTCTAGTAACTCAGAATGTGACTGTACTTGAAGCTAAGGTCTTTAAAAAGATAAGTAAGATAAAATGAGTCCATAAGCGTGGGCCCTAATCCAGTATGACTGGTGTTCTTTTTTTTTTTTTTTTTTTTTTTCTGAGGTGGAGTCTCACTATGTGGCCTAGGCTGGAGTGCAGTGGCGTGATCTCTGCTCACTGCAACTTCCGCCTCCCAGGTTCAAGTAATTGTCTTGCCTCAGCCTCCTGAGTAGCTGGGCCTACAGGCACCCGCCACCATACCCAGCTAATTTTTGTATTTTTAGTAGAGATGGGGTTTCACCATGTTGCCCAGGCTGGTCTTGAACCCCTGACCTCAGGTGAGCTGCCTGCCTCAGCCTCCCAAAGTGTTGGGTTTACAGGTGTGAGCCACCATGCCTGGCTGGGTGGTGTTCTTATAAGAAGAGGAGATTAGGACATAGACACGCACAAAGGGCAAACTACATGACCCAAAGGGAGATGATCACCTACCAGTCAAAGGAGGATGATCTGAGAAGAAACCAACCCCCCTGACACCTGAGTCGCAGACTTCTGGCCTCCAGCACTGTGGGGAAGTAAATTTCTGTTGTTTGATTTCCCTGGTCCACGGTACTTTGTTACGGTAGCCCTAGCAAACGCACATCTAAACCTCGTGAGAATCAAATACATTGCTACTAAAATCAAAAGCAAATGAACAACCAACTAACCAACAAAAAGCCCCCCGAACTTGATAGTTCATCCTGATGTGTATTGGTACCTCTGATTTAATTACATATTCTAAATCCTATTGCCCTTTTGAAATGCAATTTTAAACTAGCTGTGGTATGATACTCCCTCTGTATGTGCATTTTCTTGTTTACTTAAAAAATAGTGGACTCCCTTGGGGGATAGAGATGATGTCCTTGGCTCCCTGTGTGTCACCACCACATACAACAAATCAGATGGACGCAGCAATCCTCTATTGTTCGATATGGATGGAGAAAGGAACAGATGAGTATGTGAGTCACAGCGTGTTACTTGGTTTCATCTCTGGAGTTTACAGCCTCCTGTGAGACCAATTCTGTATGGAGACGCATTTGTAACCTTACCTAAATGAGCAAGCAACTGGTGTTTGGAAGAATGCATTCTAATATTTCATGGTTTAGTGCCCCTAGCTTACTTAGAAATTTTGCTTCTATCTAGCTTTCTTGTAGCGAAGGTAGAAGGTGCCCGTGTGGTCCTTTTAGGGATGATCTGATGGAGCCGTGTAATCTGCTTTCTTCAGGTGCACGTCTCATCTTGAATGCCACCTTTCCCCTGATACACTCCACCTGCCCACTCGTGTTCAGCATCATCTCCAAGCACCCTGCCTCGTTCCTCTGTCCACATGCTCCATGGTTTTGCATGGGTTTTTCTGAACCTGCTTCTGCAGCAAAGCTGCCATCTATCTAAGACGCTGACCCTTTTTAATACCATTTTTCTAAAATTGACAAATTAAAATGGTATATCCTTATTGTATACAGCATGGTGTTTTAGTATGTGTACATTGTGAAATGGCTAAATTGAACTAATTAGCATTGCATGACCTCACATACTTACCTTATTTTTTAGGGTAAGAATACTTAAAATTTACGCTCTCAGCAGTTTTGGGGAATATAATACGCTGTGATTACCTGTAGCCGCCATGTTGCACAGTAGATCTGATGAACTCATTCCTCCTGTCTAAGTGAAAGTTTGTATTATTTGACCAATATCTCCTAAATCCTCCAGCCTCCAAGCCTCTGGTAATCACCATTCTACTCTTGCTTTTATGAGTTTAATTTTTTTAGACGCTACATGGAAGTGAGTTCATGGGGTACATGTCTTTCTGTGTAAGGCCCTGATCCTTATGTGTTTTTCCCCCACAGTAACTTGTGTAAAACCCTATACCCAGAGAATAACAAATAAATAACAACAAAAAAAAACTATTACCAATTGAAATGGTTTAATTCACTCCAAGGGGGAAAAAAGTTTTGCAAACATCTAAGTCACTTCAGAGTGTTTTGATAGTATTTGCATGAGAATCTTAAAGCCTATAGTCATTAGGCACAAACAAATGCTAAGCAATGCACATATTAGTCCAGAGATTCTCTTTAATTCACACTTAGAGAAAAAGGGAGGTTAAGAGTTAGAACCATAGCTAATTGTGGAGCTGGGAATTGAACCCAGGTCTATATTCACTTGTTTTGACAAACATGGTACGTTACCTTGATGTCTATTGAGATTGCCTTAGCTCAAGGTAAGAATGCATTTGCTTTTTAGAAAGGAGCTAAAATGATCAGTCCCATTGTGAGGCTAAGATACGAGAAGGGTATGGTTTTCTTTATTGATTTGGACTTTGGGGTTAGACCTAGCATTGAGGCCCAACCTTTGTAGGATCCAACTATGACAGGTGGAAAATGCCTCCCCTGGTTAGTTAGAAATTTAAATAGCTACCAAATGAGCTGAGTATTTTATGTGCAAAGTTTTAGGTGCTACCAGTTAAATTATTTAACATCTACCTTCTTGACCCTGACTCATAAAGCGGGGGGTGTTTTTGTTAAAAGTGTAGACAATTTCCCAAAACTATAGCAGCAATTATAGAAATCTATGTGTTCTAATTTAAGGTCCTTCCACAGTCAGGACTGAAGTCACTGAGTGGATTGGTGGTTGAAATCATTTCTTCTTTGTATGCCAGGGTTTTCCAGGGAGAAAAGTGAAAGAAAACACAAAGGTTTGGTTCAATAAGAGGAGCACTTGATGTCAACTCTGTCTTCCCAGCCAGTGAGTGGCAGAATCCTTCTATTTCTAGCCATTTACTTATTTTGAACCCAGACCATTTATTTTCTAAAAACAGATTACTCATGTGGTAGTTTATATACCAAACTGTAGAATTTTTCATTCCAAAGACACATGGAAATGCCTCTTTATGCTCCTAACAAACAGTAACAGATTATGCACACAGAGCATCTACTGTAAGTAAATAATAATAAGTTAAGCTGAAGGGACACACACAGAATCTATACCAGGCATATCTGAAGGGGAACTCATATGCCAGCGGCAGCCTTCCATGCTTGTGACATGGGCCCGGAGAACTGAACAGGTGATCCTTTCACCAAACCCAGAGGGTGATCTTGAAAACTTAATTAAAGCAGAGTTCTTCCAGGCAGCCGAAATTATTAGTTCAGAGTTGGTACTCATGTTGAAATCTGTGTTAGTTTTTTATTGTGGCCCTAACAAATTACCACAAAAAAAATAGTGGTTTATAGAACACAAATTTACTATTCTGCAGTTCTTTAGGTCAGAATTTCAACAAGAATCTCACTGAAGTAAAACTGAAATGTCGCCAAGGCTGTGTTTCTTTTGGAGGCTCTAGGAGAGAATCCTTTTTTTTTTTTTTATCATTCTGATTGCAGTCAGAGTCCAATTCCCTGTAGTTGTAGAACTGAGGTCCCTGTTTTCTTTTTTTGTTTTCTTTTTTTATTTTATTATATTTTAAGTTTTAGGGTACATGTGCACAATGTTTAGGTTAGTTACGTATGTATACATGTGCCATGTTGGTGTGGTGCACCCATTAACTCATCATTTAGCATTAGGTATATCTCCCAAAGCTATCCCTCCCCCGTCCCCCCACCCCACAACAATCCCCAGAGTGTGATGTTCCCCTTCCTGTGTCCATGTGTTCTCATTGTTCAATTCCTACCTATGAGTGAGAATATGTGTTGTTTGATTTTTTGTCCTTGCGATAGTTTACTGAGAATGATGATTTCCAATTTCATCCATGTCCCTACAAAGGACATGAACTCATCATTTTTTATGGCTGCATAGTATTCCATGGTGTATTTTACTGGGTGTGAGCTGAGGGTCATTCCTAGTGTCTAGAGGGCGCCATTTTTTTTTTTTTTTTTTGTAATTCATGGCTCCTTCCTTCATCTTTAAAGCCAGCCATGGTTTCATGAATCACTCTCATGGTTTGACTCTCTCGTGCCTCTTCTTCTGTTGTATCTGTCGGACTGGTTTCTCTCCTGCTTTTAAGGGTTCATGTGATTACGTTGGGTCCACCCAGATTATCCAGGATAATCTCCCTATTTTAAGATCCGTAATTATAATTCCATTGGCAAAATCCTGTTTGCCATGTACCATAGCATACATAGATCTAAGATCAGCCAGCCAAGATTGTCGGTCCAAAATCATGCCACACTAGTTATGTAGTATCCCCACTCTAAGTAGACTGATTCTCCATGTGTATTCAAACACTGCAGACATTTGATTTGTGTTCTGGGATGGTCCACCTCCATTTTCATATAAAATATAGAAAGTCAGAGACCAGAGCATTCAGAACTACCATCCAAGGTAGCCCAGGGTGGCCATTGGCCCAGGACTCACCTCTACCTGCCTTTTGAACTTCTTCTTTTGCAGTCCCTACTGGCATTCATTGCTTCACCATTTAAGTCCAGCTGTTACAAAAGAAGCATTGTTAGAATGTCTACCATAATAGTACTGACTCTTTGATACTATTATTATTATTATTATTTATTATTTTGAGACAGAGTTTCACTCTTGTTTCCCAGGCTGGAGTGCAATGGTGCAATCTCAGTTCATTGCAACCTCTGCCCCTCCGGGTTCAGGAGATTCTCCTGTCTCAGCCTCCCAAGTAGCTGGGATTACAGGTCCCTGCCACCACACCCAGCTAATTTTTTGTATTTTTAGCAGAGATGGAGTTTCACCATGTTGGCCAGGCTGGTCTCGAACTCCAGACCTCAAGTGGTCCACCTGCCATGGCCTCCCAATGTGCTGGGGTTTCAGGCATGAGCCACCGCGCCCGGCCTGATACTATTTTATTACTTGATAGTTCTGTTGATTTCTACTCACGAAGTGTGTCAAGTAAGGTAATGAGAATGTAGAAATGTAAAATTATTAAAACCAGAAGCATTTGTATGTGTCACTTAAGTGCTAAGTAAAACACATGAATGAATGAGTGAATGGATGTTTCTAAAGACTCTAGGAGATGTCTGTAGCAGATGGCATCAGATCCCTGACATTATTTTATCACCCACTCCTTTATGTCAAAAGCTGGCTATGAAAAACACCTATGAACCTATATATTTTTTAATCCTTTAATTTATTTATTTTTTAATTATTGTTTTTTAAGTTCCAGGATACATGTGCAGGATGTGCAGGTTTGTTACATAGGTAAACATGTGCCATGGTGTTTTGCTGCACCTGTCATCCCACCATCTAGGTATTAAGCCCTGCGTGCATTAGCTGTTTTCCCTAATGCTCTCCCTCCCATCAGTCTCCCCAAAGAGGCCCGGTGTGTGTGGTTCCCCTTCATGTTTCTGTGTGTTCGTTGTTCAGCTCCTACTTACAAGTGAGAGCATGCGGTGTTCAGTTTTCTGTTCCTGTTTTCGTTCACTGAGGATAATGGCTTCCAGCTTCATCTATGTCCTTGCAAAAGACATGATAGTGTGCTTTTACACTGAACCTCTTCATAAGGGCTATTTTTCTGGCTATGGGACACATTCCTTTCACGGCCTGGGTAAGCAAGAAGCATCATGGAATTAACAACCCTGGAAAAAGCACTCAACTGAGGATAAATGGGGACTTAGTGGATCGTGCCCCAGCTTCCTCATGCGCTAGAGTAAGTGGGGCAGCATCGAGGTGTGTTCTGCCATCTCCCAGAGCTCTACAATGGGATTAAGCCCCAGTTGCCCATAGTGGGCACTTGCTCGTTAACAAAAATTGTGTTCCTCCTATCCATGTCTCAATTTCCATTCCCCATTGATGTTCCCTTACATCACTCCAAAATGTAGAATTTGCGCTTGAATTTTACCCCAGCTCTGCTTTCAGGGAAACGGAAACTAAAATAGTACATTCGCCATAATGAGAAACACCATAGCCTAATAATTCCATCAAGTAAGGTTTTCTGATCAGTGGATATTCTCATCATCATCCTTTTGCCATCAGTCTTTTATCCCTCCTCCTCTTTTTCCTCTCTTGCACAGTACATCACTGCTGTTGTAGGATGTGGATTCTTGGATTATTGAATAGGTTTGCAAGCAACTGCCGCTGTGCTCATGGTGCATTTCCCAAAAGTTAAAAAACTTGAGTTTGGCTCACTGAGCGATCAGAGCACGAGGTTTTGATGGCACAGTGTCTTGCTCACATATGAGGAGACTGATGTATTTGCTGCCACATTCCACTCATTTATACTTGCCTCAGTGTGGTTTCTTATTTGCAGGTTGCTTTTAACAATATAGATGCTTTCCTGGATAGAGAACATGGAGGCATGATTTTGGAAAACTTGTCTGCCTCAGATGCACCCACGCATACACAGATATATGCATATACCGAGTATTCTGATAACAACTTAGAGATTTAAATATTTTTGGCAATTTTGTGGTGTTATTTTCAGGGGTTGTATATTCTTAATCTTGATTGCATATGTGTCTTGACATCTTTACGCCAAAGGCATGTTTTTATAGATGTCTGAATTAAACACTGAACTCTTTTCAAGATAGCTGAGTTTACGTTTAAGTGGTTTTGATTAACCTGGGTTTGCTTATTTGCTCCTAAATGTTCTAATGCAGAGCCATCTCCCTTGGCATGAAGTGATTTGGGAGCACAGCTTTAGTAATAATACTTTTCTAAGTAGGCAAGAGCATCCTGCCCTGAATGTTTCCCAAAACTGGCCTTAAACTGAAGAATTGAGGTTTAGCCATCCCCCTTCCCCTTAGCCATTCAGGTGGTGCGGATTGGGAAACTGGAACCTAACTGCACAGACACCAAATTGACCAAGGGTGACAAAACCAGCACTGACAAGACTGTGGTTGTTGGGTAGGTGAAGGGTTCATGAGCTAGTAAGCAGGACTCAGCTTGGAATTTGGAAAATCCTTAGTGCAAGCAATTTTGCCCAGAGTGGCATGTTGTCAAGTTGTCCTCAAGCTACATTTGCCATTAAGAGAAATGAACTTCAAAAAACAGCATAGCCCTTCACAAGCCTATCTTTACTCAAAGCCTGAGAAAGGAGGGTCCCATCTGGCTTAACACATTACAATTTCTTCACAAGTGGAGCTTCTCGGCTGCTACCCTGAAGCTTCCGTTTTGACTAGTATTGGTTCTTAGGTATCACAGAGGAATTAGATTATTCTAAAAGCTTTTATTGAGCATATACTACATACACCACTAGGAGAATAGTAATGTCTTGCTCTCAAGGGCTGTGCATTCTGGTAGGTGGTGTGAAAAGGTAGGTATATGTAATTATAATGCCAGGAAAAAGAAAATGCGATTTGTTAGTCATGAAATTAGGTGTTAGAAAAGCGCAGAGGAGAGTATTATTACCCCTCCTAGCCTCCTAGCTGCAGGAAGTGTGGCAGATCATTTAAAGGATATATATGTATTACATACATATTATATTTTATGTATCTGCTAATTCTTGGATTTTTGAATAGATTTGAAAGCAACTACAACTTGATCACAAATTGTTGTTGGGGTCACAACTGACCCCAACACTAATTTGCCCAGATATGTGTGTGTGTGTGTGTGTGTGTGTGTGTGTTTGTCTGTATACATAACCTGGGTAATTTATACATACATACATACATACATATATATATATTTTCCCAGTATTGAAATACTACCTGAATTCTAGGTCCCTATACACAAAAAGTTACTGTTTATTTTAACTTAAATATCACTTAGACATCTTAAACTTCATATACCCAAATTCACACTCATCATCTGTGTCTTCTACACACACACACCTGCCCATTAATCTGCTCTTCCTCCCTTATCATGTCTTTTTACAACAGCTCCTAATTCAGTTGTTGAGACCAGAAGCTCAGCTGTTGCTCTTCACTACTACATCTTTTTCAGCTCTACCTTCTCCTTTAGATTTGTGATTCCTAATATCTCTTAAGTCTATGAATTCCTCTCAAAATTCACTCTCGCAAACCTACTCGAAGTCATAACGATTTCTAAACTAGATTATTTCAATAGCATTCCAACTTTCTGACCCGTTCTCTAGTCTTTGTTCCTTTTACGGTAAACATGTATCTTGAGCTGCCTGGAACAATAGTAGTTACAACTGTTGTCCTGGTATAATTATTAATAGCACTTTCTTCTTTCCCCAGAAAGTCCTGGTTTGGAGAATAAATTATGATCACTGAACCTTCTATTCACTCCTTAGGGCCAGAATGACCTTTAAAGAGCTTAATTAATGCTACTCTTATTCTTCATTCATCACTTTCATTACAGTGCTTATCACCTTCCTTACGCTTACCCACAATCTGTTATTCCCTCGTTTGTTTTGTGGTTTACTTGGTCATGGTTTCTCGTTCTCCTGTCTTCTTACTCCCTTTAGATTGACTCCTCTTAAGGGTAAGAGAATGCTTATTTTGTTCTTAACTCTACTCTCTACTGCCTATAACATAGTAGAAACTAAATATTAATACATGTTTGCAAATACCAGTGGCTATTGTTTTTTGTTGTTAATACAATGAAAGAATCAGTATGCACCAATAACATAATCTGGCTACAAGATAACCGTTATTCTAGAAAGCTGCCCTAGGAAGAGATTTCAGAATATTTCAGAGGATCTTCTGTTTTTTGCCATGTTAGAATAACTTGTACCATAAACAACTTTAATACTGGACAAAATATATGAAGCATCATTTTCAGGCAATGGGTACAAAGCAGCACAGAGCTGTGATCCTTCAGAGAATCGGAGACATGTGAGATGAAGCTACCGTTGGCCCAGTTTTATTCCTGGGAGGAACGTCTTGAACATAAGTGCTCTGAGATGAAGAATTTACAAGTTGGGGATGAGGAAGTAGCTGGAATTTGTGGAACCGGTTGCTACAGAAAGGACAGATCTGTGTGGGAAGGAGAAGTCTCCATGCCCTGAGTTCTTGGCTGAGGAATAAGCCACTTATGTGCAGGGTCAGGCTTTGTGAGTCCTCACAGGGAGGGTTAACTGTGACACAGAGGCCAGGGTAGAGGTAGTACAGGTTGTAGGTATTCAGTTGAGACTCCAGAAAGATCAGACTTTAGGAGTAAAGTGTGTATCTTAGGGCAAGGGTCAGCAAATTATGCTCTGCAGGCAACATCTGGCTATGGGCTGTCTTTGTAGTCTGTGATCAACTAAAATGGGTTTTAGATGATTAAAACTTAATAATATGTGACTGAGACTATTTTACCTGCAAAGCCTAAAATTTCTACTATTTGGCTCTTTTCAGAAAATGTCAGCCAATCCCTTCCCTATATGAAGGGGCATGGCCCATGACTGTAGACAAATCCTAAGAAGATCTTCCCAACAAAGCATGAAAATGAGCTTTACAGGGTCAAGAGCATGCATGAGTTAGCCGAGCGCTGCCAGAACAAAACTCAACCACCATTTAAAGAAAGACGATATAATTCAGACCCCCTACAATTCGTTCTATGTATTGAAATCCACACAATTGAAATGTCCAATGGTAAATGTCCAGTAATGATAAATACCATGGCTGGTGTGGAGGCTCACACGTGTAATCCCAGCCCCTTTGGGAGGTCGAGGTGAGTGGAGCACTTGAGCCCAAGACTTCAAGACCGGCCTGGGCACCATGGCAAAACCCCTTCTCTACAAAATAATAAAAAAAAATATATACAAAAAAAAATTACACAGGAACGGTGGCACATGCCCTTGGTACCAGTTACTCAGGGGGCTGAGGCAGGAGGATTGTTTGAGCCCAAGAGGTCAGAGTGAGCTGTGATTTCATGACTGCACTCCAGCCTGGGTGACAGAGCAAGGCATTGTCTCATAAAAATAACAAATAAATAAATACTAGATGTGTAGAAAAGAAAAAAAAATTGACTGACAATCCAGAGCAGTGTTTGGCAAGCCACAGTTTATGAGACAGCTCCCTGTTTCTGTAAATATTCTTATTTCATTGGAATATAGTCATTCCTATTTGTTTCCATTTTGCCTATGGCTTCTTTTGTTTTGTAACAAGAAGGTTGGACAGTTTCAACGGAGACCATATGGCCCACAGAGCCTACAATATTTGTTTTCTGTCTCTTTTAAGGAAATGTTTTGTCCACTGATTAGGAGAAAAAACAGTCAGTAGAAAGGGACTACAAGATGACCCAAATGTTAGGATTGAAGTAGACAAGGACTTTGAAATAACTGTTTGAAATATTGTAGGGTTTATAGGAAAAGATGGACATGATGAGTTCGCAGATGGGAAGTCTCAGAAATCGAATGAAAACCATAAGCAAGAACCAAACTGAGATTCTGTTAGGTTGATGCAAAAGTAATTACGGCTTTTGCCATTAAAATGATAATAATTAAAATAATGGCAAAAGCTGCAATTATTTTGCATCAACCTAATAAAATTGACAGTACAGTATCTGAAATGTAAACATCAGATTGTAAAATGCTGAATACAGAAATCTGTTAACTTGAAGACAGTGAAGAATAGAACTAAGGAACAGGAAGAAGAAAAATATTGAAAAAAATTGAAAAAAGCCTCAGTGATTTATGGGAAATATCAAGCATTTAAATACATATAATTGGATTTCTGAATGGAGAGAAGAGACAGACAATGGGACAAAAAACCATTTTAAGGAATAAAAGCTAAGATTTTCCAAATTTGGTGAAAACATCAGCTTATACTCCAGAGAGCATGGGGAAAAACAAGCAGTATAAGCATAAGAAAAAATTATACCTGAAAACATTATAAAGAAATGCTTAAAACCAAAGATAAACAGATGCATTTTCTTTTGGAAAAGAGATCTATATTTGTCTATTGCGCAACATATCTCTGTAATGAGTACAGGTAACTAAGTTCTCTAAAGCCATCCCCCAGTGAGACATTGTGAAAACTTCTGGGATTGGAAATGGTGAGGTTGGGAAGAGGTAGGGGAGCTCATTGAGAGTAGAATCAAAGGGAAGTCAAAGGGTGAGAATTAAAGAAAAAGAGAAAAAAGGGGCAAAGGAACTCCCCAAAGCGTAAAAGCAACATACGGCAAATTCGATAGTAGCCAAGATGAAGTTCTGTGTTATTTGAAATGTGTACTCATGGGGCTGAGGCTGTGCAGTTGATCTTACTACAGACAAGTTGGTTTTGTTCTGTTGCATAGGTACAGACTGCAGTGATGTTGCATATATAGGGAATCCACTTCTGGGTACCAACAGTAAAAGTGCTTCATTGCTCAGTGATGATCAAACCGTCTTCAAATGCAAGCAGTTATTGGTTTTAGTTAACAATTATTTATAGAGCACTGAGAGGTTGCCCAAAAGAACTCTAGGAGAAGAGTTGGGAAGTCAAAAACTTTCAGTTGC
This sequence comes from Homo sapiens, assembly GCF_000001405.40. NCBI lineage: Eukaryota > Metazoa > Chordata > Mammalia > Primates > Hominidae > Homo > Homo sapiens. Next base: position 7,075,381 of record NC_000016.10, read on the forward strand.
TGTGTTGCCTTGTAACAGTGTTTGTTAGCATACATGATTAGGGGAAAGAAGGATAAAACAGTTGCAAGTATTTAATAATCTGGAAGTTTTACAGAAATATCTAGATTTTTTTTGGCTTCTCTTTAAAACAATAAGTATTAAAAAATAAAAGCCCACACAACTTTGGGTTTGCATTTCTTTTTATTTTTTCTTTTTTTTATTTATTTTTCTTTTTTTATGAGACGGAGTCTCGCTCTGTTGCGCAGGCTGGAGTGCAGTGGTGCGATCTTGGCTCACTGCAAGGTCCGCCTCTCAGGTTCACACCATTCTCCTGCCTCAGTCTCCCGAGTAGCTGGGACTACAGGTGCCTGCCACCACGCTCGGCTAATTTTTTTTATTTTTAGTAGAGACGGGATTTCACCGTTTTAGCCAGGATGGTCTTGATCTCCTGACCTCGTGATCTGCCTGCCTCAGCTTCCCAAAGTGCTGGGATTACAGGCGTGAGCCACCGCGCCCGGCCTGGGCTTGCATTTCAACATGTAAACAATTTCCTGTAACTGAATAACCATGGCTTTATTTGAATGAGGCATACTACACTTTGCCACCGTCCTTGCACTTCCCTATTAGTCCCCTAAACTGACACCAGTTGTCAGTTTCTATTTATCCTCACACTTGGGCTTTTTTTTTTTTTCTTTTTTTTTCGAGACGAGTCTTGTTCTATTGCCAGGCTGGACTGCCATGGCGCGATCTCGGCTCACTGCAACCTCTGCCTCCCGGGTTCAAGTGATTCCCCTGCCTCAGCCTCTCGAGTACCTAGAACTACAGGTGCACTACCTGCTAATTTTTTGTATTTTAGTAGAGATGGGGTTTCACCATGTTGGCCAGGATGGTCTTGATCTCCTGACCTCATGATCTACCTGCCTTGGCCTCTCAAAGTGCTGGGATTTCAGGCGTGAACCACCACTCCCGGCCATTTTTTTCTTTATGGTAGAATTAAGTAGAAATGAAATCATTTATTTTACCCGAGTCTTTGTCAAAACCAGCAAAAGAAAAGACCAAGAAGAGTCCCATGCTTGAGAAAAAAGTTAAGAAAATAGGATATACCAGATTTCTTGGTGGAAGTGTAAAATATTTTCATATGCCTAATATACAAAAAATAATGCCATATCCCTTCTCACTTGACTCAAATGGAACACCTGTGGGATGCCTGCAGATACTTGAATTTCTTCAAATTACTGCTTTAGCAAAACTTTATTTTTGCACATGAAATTTTTTTCCTCCCAATAATATACCATCATACTAACAAAGGTTAACAACACAAAGTGTAAACAATTCTAAATACCACCTTCCCATTTCTAACCAAGATGTTCACTCGTAACAGTGTATGCATAATATGAAATGACCAGTTTAAACTTCCATTCCAATGTCATGGTTTATATGCCCACTCATATACCTCCTGTGAGCCCTGGGGATAATGACACAGTTTCTTGTACAATTTAAGTGGTGTCACCTCTCTGGAGACCAGTGAACAGACTGCTGGTTGTTGTCTTAGTTAAACACTTACTTTCTAACAATTTTCTAACATTGCATTTCTGAAACAGCTTGGAAATGTGCAGTGTTATTGGGTGTACGCGAGAGAGGTGGGCAAAGACATCCATCTGATTTCTTGGAACAGGGCCATTTAGTTAGTGGACGAGACCTCAGAGGTTTTCTTTGCACAGACTTCTCCTGATGCACTTATAATTTTCTGCCCAGAAATCTCTTCAAGGCCTGTGGAGTTTTAGCTCTGGGGGAATTATTCCTCTGAATAAGCGGTTTCCCAGCTGCGCACATAATGCTCCAATCAGGCTAGTCTTTGTTCAGACAATCCATGAGGGGAAATGTTGGCATTGGTGGGCAAGGTACTGTTAGCCCCACTGTCTCAAAGTACATCGGTGATGTCCATGTGTAACTGACCAAAGTAAATGCAGTTTTGCAAACTGCAATGAGTTTTACGTGATGAATTTTCCTACAAAAGTCAAAATGGGAAATTCAGGTTAGTGTAGGTGGTGAAGCTACTACATTTATTAGCATCAAAAGCACAGAGTCTCAAAGACGAACTAATCTGTGAATAACTGTGCCATTAGTAAGATCATAAACATGGACTAATGGGGATATGGTACAGTGAAATGCTGGTATTTGCAGCCTGTCATCATATTAGTACAATGATGAAATTTGCTGCTAAGTTCCTCAGCAAATGTTCAGTATCATGTTTGTGCCTTTTTGTTATAATTTGTACCGTATTAGTAGCAACTTACCATATTAGTGACTTTAAAATGTTTTTAAAATTATATCTGTCGGGTTGATAGAAATGGAATGTTCTGGGGTTGTGCAAGTATTAGTCGTATTAAACTTGTCCTGTTAGCAGCTTTCCCTTGAACTGATACTTAAATGAGGTTTTGATATAAACAAAATGTGCTTCTGAGATGTGCTTCCAGCTACAACCAATTTCTCCCAGTCCATTAGCTACTTTGTATCCCTTTTAAGCAACTTGAGATTGTGCTTTTATTGAGGAGCCAAAATGTTTGCTCAACTCATTAGGCCAAACAGAGAGAAAGTAAACTCAAGGGCTGTGCTGTCTCCTGAGTTACTCTGGGGCCCGGTGAATGGAGCATTACCTCCATCACTGCTAAGACAGACAAACACCTTTTGAGATTTTCCTGCCTTTGCCTCTCTCTACCACTTGCTCCTCCTCCTCTTTGGCTCATGAGAAAGGCTGGTAACTCCACTGTTCATTCTTTCTCATCTTTAGTCTCTGGATTTCAAAAGTCATCGTTTTCCTGCAGAAGAAGGAGAAAGGAGCATTGAATAGGCAAACCAGCTGATGTCCACTATACAGAGTTTTTTGGTGTTAGAAAAGCTGGTTTAGAAACCACCTTAGGAAGTGACCTAACCCAGAAATGGTTTATCTTTGTAAAATGGCTTTCTCTTGTTTATAACCAACCCCATATACTTTATTTATTTATTTAGATGGAGTGTCACTCTATCATCCAGTCTGGAGTGCAGTGGCACGATCTTGGCTCACTGAAACCTCCGCCTCCCGGATTCAAGCGGTTCTCCTACCTCAGTCTCCCGAGTAGCTGGGATTATAGGTGCCTGCCATCACGCCTGGCTAATTTTTGTATTTTTAGGAGAGTCAGGGTTTTGCCGTGTTGGCCAGGCTGGTCTCGAAACCCTGGCCTCAAGTGATCCACCCACTTTGGCCTCCTGATGTGTTGAGATTACAGGCATGAGCCACCACACCCAGCCCGACCCTATTTTTTATTTTATCTTATTTTATTTATTTTATTTTATTTTTTTTTGAGACAGGCTCTCGCTCTGTCACCCAGGCTGGAGTGCAATGGCATGATCTAGGCTCACTGCAACCTCCACTTCCCGAGTTCAAGCGATTCTCCTGCCTCATCCTCCCGAGTAGCTGGGATTAGAGTAATGTGCCACCACGCCCAGCTAATTTATATATATACCTTTTTTTTTTTTTTTTTTTTTTTTTTAGTGAAGATGGGGTTTTACCATGTTGTCCAGGCTGGTCTTGAGCTCCTGACCTCGTGATCCACCCACCTTGGCCTCCCAACAAGACCCTATTTTCAAATGAGGTCATATTGTGAGGCACTGGGAGTTAGGGTTTCAAAATATCTTTTTTGGGGGGAAACATGGTTCAACTCATGACAGCCTGAAGTCTTTATTTACGTGTATCTATCCCATATGGTGTACCATTCTCAATCAGCAGGAGCCATACATTGTCTGTTGCTGTAGGATTATAATCAGACTCACTGACTTCACTTCCTATCTCTGCACCATCCAGGCGCGGGACTGCATATGTTTATTGGCCAAACCCAGTTTTACTTGCTCATCATACATCTGGCTCTGCCCCAACTGGAGCTTGCAAACTGAGGGTTGGGCAGGGGAGGTTTGTTAAGAGGAGACCAGTGCATGTTCCTAAAAGAAGGGGAGCAGAGGAAAGGTATGCTGAGCAGGTACAACAAAGAAAACACAGAATGCTTCATATGGAAAGTTCTGCCTGAGCAGAACCACAGTTTACACTGTGTACCTGCATTTTGTCATGCAGCACAAGCAAGAATAGAGGGAGCTATTCAGCAACTCACAGTCCTTCTTTGTCAAGTTCAGATTGTAAATTCTTGGAGTATTTAGAGGTGGTGTCACATCTGTTTCTCTCCCTCTGTATAAAGAAAAATAAAATGCCATATTGAATAAGTACCTCATAAAGCCTTTTGCGTTATGATGGAGAGACAGCCAGGAAGATGAGAGTGAAAAGTAAACATTTTCCTGCATGGCAAATGGAGGCTTTTGAGGGTGCTTGAGATGTTTAAGCTCTTGTCTTGATCTAGGTGGTGGTTACACAGGGTGGTGTTTGTGTGTGTTTGTCAAACTGTACACTTAAGATTTGTGTGCTTTAACCCCATGGTTGCTAGTGGCTGTAGGGTGATAATGGGAAGTTATTATTAAGTGAGTGTAGAATTCCAGTTTTGCAAGATAAGAAAAAGTTCTGTGGGTGGATGGTGGTGATGGTTGCCCAACAATGTGAATGTACTTAATGCAGCTGAACTATGCATTTAAATTAGTTAAAATATTAAATTCATTGTGTATATATATATACATATATATACGTATATATGTATATAGATGTATATATATATACATATTATATATATACATATATACATATGTATATATGTATATATATATAAAACCACAATTTAAAAAAGACTAGTATACTTTACTATATCAATATTATTCCTCAGCCAAAAAGTAAAAGTAAATAAAATGTCCCATTCCCATTTGTTTTTGGGAGTCACAAGAAGGGTTGAACTGACCTCTGATTTCATGCAGCGTGGACAGGCAATTTTAGGGATCTTTACTGCAATATCTCAGCAGATAGCTGAACACTGGCATAAATAGATTATTTCCTCCAATGCCTTGCCTATCATTCTGTACCTTCTTCGGCTTCCTAAATCCTAGCAACAAGTAACCTGTCTTTATCCTGGCAGAACGGTCTTCACTATGATTTCAGTGCCAAAGTAATGACTGTTTGTACTGAATACATGTAACAGAGCCTCATTCCTTAGGGAATGTGTGTTTTTCCCCTTCATGTTTGTTATAAAGTTTGCAGATCACCATCCCTGTAGTCACTTAAGCTCTCTGACCTGTTCAGAGATTCCTCAGCAATTTGCTCTCTGGGTATCCTTTTTTCATGGTCCATGTTCTCTTGGGGTACACTCACAACTTTATTTTTCTAGCTGCATGCTGCCATTTTGGGATTGGCTGCCATATGAACCCTGGGTGTTAGGGTATGCTTCCCATCACAGATGACATTGAATAGTTCAACCCTCTCCATCTCTCCTCTTGCAAGGTATCATCATCATTCATTGCGTGGAAGACCACAACAAACTCTTGACTGGCCTTTTCGCTGTCACTTTGCCTCAAGGCCACAATCCATCCTCAGGACCAAGGGAGCCTTTGAAATAAGTCATTCCCTCCTTGACGTTCGTTAGCAGTTTCTCATTGCTTGTGGAGCAAAACACAGATAGCACCTTTAGTAACTAAAGCTCTGCATGAACTGGTCTTTACCTCACTTCCCCTCCTCAGCCCTTGCGAGTTGCTGGCCGTAGCCACACTGGCTTTATTTTACTTTTTTTGAGGCAGAGTCTCACTCTGTCACCAAGGCTGGAGTGCAGTGGCACGATGTTGGCTCACTGCAACCTCCACCTCCCAGGTTGAAGCGATTCTCCTGCCTCAGCCTCCCAAGTAGCTGAGATTACAGGTGCACACCACCACACCCAGCTAATGTTTGTATTTTTAGTGGAGGCAGGGTTTCGCCATGTTGGCTGGGCTGGTCTTGAACTGCTGACCTCAAGTGATCCACCAGCCTTGGCCTCCCAAAGTGCTGGGATTATAGGTGTGAGCCACCACGCCCGGCCCACACTGGCCTTATTAACATGCAGAACATGGTAATAGTGTTCATTCTACTAAACCTGTTTGTGTGTTTGTGTCCTAAACTTTAGCTATTATAACTTGGCCACTCCTCATGGGGGAATCAAAGGGAAGCTGTTCTTGGCTTTAGAGAAATTCACCTCCCAAGGCTAGAAAAATAGAAGCACTCATTTCTCACTAATGATGGGAATGAGAGTAGTGGGAGTTTTTATATGGAGGACATTATTTATGTACTTTTTAAATTAATTTGTTCATTGACTCAGTACAAATTGATCATCTCACTACACCTGTGTTGTATATCTCAAGAGTTGGGTAGTCAAGTGATAGTTTTATTATTGTCTATATTTCATAATTATTTATTTTAAATATTTCATAATGAGTAATTTTTTAAAATTATACTGATCACCCTGGCCTTGGTAACATGGATGATTTGAACACCTGCCTGGAGAATCCAATAATAGGATTGCTCTTATTGATGAACTAATATGTTTAACCATCTTCCTGTTGAGGTCAGTCTTTTTAGTGGCATAAATATTCCTTCCAGGCAGTGGAGTTTGGGATAATGTAGTAGAAATTGCTGGAGTTTCTCCTAAAGGAGAAGAATCTGTGCTTGCTCCTGTGGCCACAGAGATCACAACTGGAAATGAGCAGCCACGTGGCTGAAAGTGGAAGAAGCGATTGAATTCCTCCCATCCTCTCTGGTTCATAGTGATGGTCGGTGGTAACCACCCCAATTTGCAGGATCTGGGAGAACCACTCTGGAGATCACTCCTTGGTATCCTAATTCCCTGTTATCTATCTTGGTAAACTCCAGCCTTCTGGTTGGATATTTTAGCTACTGCAACATTGAAGACCTATGGTTCAGGATGAATCTACCTTCTCAGGAGCTTCAGTTGTACAGAATACATTGTCAAGTGATGTCCTGTAAACACATATTAAATGAAGGTTCCAGGCTGGGCGTGGTCGTTTCTGCCTGTAATCCCAGCACTTTGGGAGGCCGAGGTGGGTGGATCATTTGAGGCCAGGAGTTTGAGACCAGCTTGGGAAACATGGCACAACCCTGCATCTACCAAAAATATCAAAAATTAGCTGGATGTGGTGGCATGCACCTGTGGTCCCAGCTACTTGGGAGGCTGAGATGGGAGGATCGCTTGAGCCTGGGAGGTGGAGGTTGATCAAACCTCCACCTGGGTGACAGAGTGAGACCATGTCTCAAAAAAAAAAAAATAAAAATTAAAAAAAGAAGGTTTCAGCACTGATTCAGTTGAGTTTATCAAGTCATTTTTCACATTTCGTTCAGTGTTTAGTAACACAACTGTTTAATGAAGGCTTGCAGACTTTCTTTCATAAAGTTTAAAGTTGTATGCTGATTGCTGTATATAATTAATGTATCACAATGGCATTCAATTTCTGTAGCAGATCAGAAGCCACTGAAACAGAGAGGCCACCAGTAGCTTAATCAGTGTTGGTTTCAGGCTATTGCTTTGCAGTTGATTAATTATTGTGTTGAGTTGATAACTGATAACTGGATTAATTATTTTAAAATAATTTCTCTTGAAGCTTGACAACAAGAGTTGTAAATGTTTCCACTGTGAAAGCAGCTCTGGACCTACCAGCCTGCTTGTAAATATGGAAAAAAATGGTTTTGAATTGAATATTTGAATATATTTACTTTGTTATTAAAATGATTTAAAATGGAAGGTTTTGGGAGTGACAATAAATAGAAAATGTCACTCTGCTCATTTCAAGGAACAAGGTTTGAGGAATTGATTGAATCATCAATTTGGTTATGAGCAGAATTTAAAACATAGAAATAATTTGCTGACACCCCCCGAGGGGACAGTCCACGGAATGTTCCATTCCGTCTGTTTAACCTCTGGACTCCAGAGTACAGGGATTGTAACACCTCCCACACTTGATTAATGGGAAACAGCTGTCTCCTGCTTGTGTCACAGTGATAAAATGTTTCTCCATCTTAGGGCGAATCTCATTCCTTGCAGAGGGACCACATGTTCAAGCAGGTGGGAGAATGAATGGGTGCAAACTGAGCAGAGGCAGGAAGAGCATAACCAGGGGACTCATTTAGGCTCACAGAAGCTTAAGATTAAATATAAAAAAACAAGAAATGACACATACCAATCCACTGGTGTATCAGAGGCCATGAAGTATAGCCTGTGTACACCCCTCACCGTGGATCAAATGGGTTTCTTTGTTGGCTTTCTCAGAGCTTGTAAGAGAACTCAGTCTGCTAACTCAGATGCACAAGAAACAACTTATTACATTATTCATTTTTAATCAGTTTAATTTTAAATCCAGATTCTTATCCCTATCAGGCAAAATGTTCACTTTCAGCTATTTCACTCCTTTCCCTTTTCCTAGAGATGGGCAAGAGCCTGGGAGAAGGTAGTGCCCAGAAGGCACCGTGCATGGGTCAGTTGTTAGTGGTTGCCATGGTGACATTTGCTTTCAGGTACACATAGTGCATCTTGGCTTGGTGGCTCCCTTGGTTCTCTACCATCCTGAGGAATGGTGACTCTGTGGTGAAGCTAGGAACCCTATCACTTAGCATCCTGCCCACCTAGAGGTACCATGCAGCTGTTTTTTTCCTGGGACCCAGAGCTGTTTGCCCCGCTCACAGTCTTGATACCCTGTGACCTGTTAAAGGCCCTAACACTCTCCTGATCATCTTTCAGGTCATTTACCCTAATCCCACCCGGGGGCTTCTGATCAAACGTCTGCAAAGCATGGGCAAATAAATGTGTGGGACAGACCTGGTATAATACAATCAAAATATGGAAGGACTGTGGTAAACAGGAGAGCATGATTCAGGTCCAAAGGCATTCAGATGCAATTAAATATAACAGAACACTGTGCTGGTCAAATGGACTATATATGTATATATGTGTGTGTGTGTATAGAGGTATGAACTAATATATATGTATGAAATACATATATACACACACACTTATATGTGAGGGAGTAGTGGAGGAGGGAAGAAAGAAAAAAATGTGGATAGAAAAAAGCATATTAATATTTGAACAAATAATCTTGCTATGTACACCTCGAAGAGGAAAAAAGAAAATGTGAATTTGCATGGACCTAGTAATGTCTTACTTAGAGAGATCCATTCTTTCCTTTAGCTGATTTCAGAAGGCCACTTGTGAGAAATAGTGCCCCATGCAGCAATGCCCCAAAAGAAAGGGGAATGTCAAGGTGCTGCCTCATAACTGACTTCAGTGACTATGTGAGAGGTATAAAGGATTTCAGAGGTGGTGATACATTTCTTCAAATTGAGCTTCAAAGACCAGAGGCTGATTGGTCTCCTGTGCTCACTTGCCCTAAGTGAAATGAGGTTTCTCCGTAATGTAGAATAGGTGACCTGTAACTCTCATTGCAGAAAATGAGCATTGAGTGAATGTAAAATGTACACACAACCATGATGTGTTCATATTCCCCCCTCTCTCATGTCTGTCTGTATCTGGCAATCTTGTCTGTCTGTCTGTCTTTCTGTCTATCTATCTATCCATCTATCTATCTTCTATCCGTTTGTCCAACCAGCCATTCAGCCATCCATCCATTTGTCCATCCATGCATCTATTCATCTATCTATGTATCTGTCTGTCTGTCTGTCCATCCGTCCATCCATCCATGCATCCCACTAATATGTCAGTGTCTTACTCAGAATGGAAATACTGAAGATAAAGTAGGTATTATATTGTAAAAGTTCTATATGAACGCCGTATCTAAAGTTGTGTGTGTGTGTGTGTTTGTGTGTGTACTTACATCTCAGATCAAATAAAGAGGCTACAAACATAAATGCCTCCAAGGGCCAGGCCTATAAAGGAAAATTGGTTATTCTACTTGCCAAATAACATCTGATTCCATGGATTGATGCAAACTAGAGAACTGGAACATGTTTGTCACCTAAAGAGAACAGCTGCCACTCAGCACCGGCTCATGGTTATCACTTTGAAAATGTAGACCTTACCTTGCTGGATCAGCCAGTACTTCAAAAAAAAATATATATGTGCAAGTTATTTGAAATCTCTTGGTTTTTAAATATTGGCAAATAAGTTATGTTTCAAAAAAGTATCGATATATTGGCCAAATGAACTGCACCGTCAGGGTATTTGCTGGCATGGATTTGACCGATTCACCACCACTGCATCCCGGGTGCCTCCACAGAGATAGATACAGAGCACGTGTTCAGTAGAATATTTGTGGAATCAATGAATGAACATATGCCTGCAAAATTTTAAAGAGTAGGGTGCTTAGTTATTTTTCCCTAAGTTTTCCTATCAGAAAGGGCACATTTTGTCCCTGTGCAAATTGAGAATTTGTGGGGATCATGTCCGGAGGTGATCTCTGTCACCGGAAACCATAAGAAAGATGAATTTTCGGTTTTTTCTTCACTGTAATGACAGAGTGTGTTCAGAACTTCTCCCAAGTAGGAGAAAGCAATCAATCCTGGTTTGTTCAGATGGTCCTGGTTTTAGCACTGAAAATCCTGCATCCCAGGAAACCGTTCTGCCCCATCAAACCAGGATGGTTGGTGATTCGGTTCTTGATGCTCTGTGCTGTGATTCATGGGCTCTAAAATGTACTAAGCAGATTGGTCAGTGTATGTGCCTGATTGAGAACTTGTCAGTTGAGGGCTGTGTTGTTATTTTCTTACCTCTCTGAGATAGCCAGCTCTGAGGCTGTCTCCATCACTGCTTGTTTTATGGCATGGCTTGGTGGTGATTCTCTCCATCATGCTTAGCCAGTATGCATCTTGATGGGACTACCTATAGGCTATTTTAACAGGTTACTCGCCACCCGTCTCATGCTGCCAATGATTCCACAGTTTACCTAATGCTTTTTAATTGTTTAGGTTGACATTTTGCCATGCGCAGTTGTAGGTAAAAATTTAAATCAACAAGGGGCTCGGTTAAGCAGTTTTCTCTGTGTGCCATGTAAAAATATCACTAATGGTCAAAACTCAGACCTGAGCAAGAGATAATATTTCCCCCTCTCCCCTTCTGTACATTGTATGTTTTAATATTAATTTCTTCTTTATCCATATATCAATAATTGAACACTGCATCAATTAATATGCTGGGCAAATTGCATTCCCCATCCTCTCATTCATGATGTGTTTCAGTAATGGAGATAATTTTCAAGATAAAGCATACAATTTAAAATGGATTAAAAAGAAAAACTAATAAAGGAAAAGTGATTTATAGAAAAAAATTATGGATACTTTCAGGAAATCTTAGCTGTGCTTCCAAGCCGATGGATTTTGTAAGGAGAGCCTATTGAAACGATCAAGTTTTATGCCTGCTGCAAAATTTCCTAGGTCTGCGATTGCAAAGAGAGGGAGGGAAGAATGTATACACACACACACACACACACTTTAAAATTTGGTCTTCTAATGAGGGCGTGTGTATCATCTTCATCCTTAGATTAGGAAGCCACAGATTCATGCTAGCAAGTCTTCTTGAAGCTTTCCATTTGCTGGGCTTAGTTGGTGGGGCTTGGTTTTTTGCTTTTGATTTGCTGAATTGGCACACAGGCTTCTGACGGCCCATCCCCCGGCCCTCCTTCCCTTTTCCCGGTCCACACCCTGGCTGAGAGCCCTGCACAGAGATGGGCAGGCGGCAGCTGCAGCGATGGGCAGGACCGCAGCCTCTGAGCCCGCAATGACACCGTGGCGTCGGTAGATGGCTGTAGACAAGTGTGCTGAGCTGTGCGGTGTGAAGAGTAATGAGTCTGGGGAGGCCTTGACCTGACTGGATGCTGCTTTTATCTGAAGTACATTTAAAGAGATAAAGGGGAAGCCGGGTTGCTGCACATGTTCTTTTCTCTGCGGCTGGAGCTTTACTTTGAGTTTAAAAAAATTCTCAGATGCTGGCCTCCCAGAGTCACCGGCTCTGTGCAGATGGGCTTGCCTCAAGAGGATCGGCCGCCTTCCTGTAAATTCCACCAGTGGGGCTTCCGTGAATCTCCCACCCGCCATCAGGAAATGGTGTAGTGCCTGTCTGTTGATGATCAACACCATCGCTAGTATTATGAATATTGCTAGTATCATCAGTTTTTGTTTTCGCCACTGTGGCTGGCCGCCTAAAGTGTCTGGATTTGCTCATTAAACAGCCAAACCAAGAATTTGTTACCTAAGCAGGCTTGACAGAAAAGAGAAGAAGGGCAAGAGTTAGGAAGGGAAAAGAGAGAGAGAGAAGGAGGGAGAGAGGGAGGGAGGGAGGGGGAGAGAGAGGGAGAGAGAGAGAGGCAGCCAGAAGCAAGTCACATCACATACAGTGCCACTGAAGGAATGTTATCCTCATAAACTCATAAACAAGCACACCAAATCTTGTGTAAGGAAAGAAGAGGGTCTCTAAGGACTTGACAGGAAAAGGCAAGATTTTCTACCCACTGCTTTCAGTTTTTCTTCCAGATACTCTTGGTGAAGTAAGGAGACTTCTGTTTGCTGACAGAGCCCTTGATTTCTCTTTCAAGATGATGATGTATTTGTGGGTAGGTAGTGTCTCTTCCTCTGTCTCTCTTTCTCTTTCTCTCTCTCTCTCGCTCTCTCTTTCTCTCTGATTAATAAATTGACTTTGGGGATAAAGATTGCAGCCCAGAGTAATCGCATTTTGTGTAAGGTGATTATACTTGTGGCAGAATAATCTTGCACTGGTATAGTACATGTGCTCGCATTTCCAGTGGGAGTTCAGGCAAGACCTGGTTCATTAGCATTAAGCTGCAATTTTATTTTCAGTTGCAAAAAGGAATGACAAAAAAATGTGTATGTGTATGGGGTTTGGGGGGATGTACGGTTTTCTGTTTTTTGAAAACATTGATGGTGGTGAATTCAGAAAAAAGGTCTAGGGAAGTCGGGTTAGACATGAAGCAAATCCTACATCACTTGTAGCTGTGAGGTATTTCATTTAATTACCAAGAATGAACTGCTCTGAGTAGTGATGGCTTTGTTTATTTGTTTTGTTTTTGTTTCTGTTTCTCTCTCACAAGTGACTACTTATTTGTCATTTTGGGGTTGAGTGCTGTAGAGGAGAGTAGCGTCTTTCATTTGCTTTAACCAGATGTGTGTCCGTATGTGTGTATGTGAGAGTATATTTTACAAGATTGGTCTTGAAAAAGGTAGATTTACATGCACTTATTCTGGCTTTCTGATAAATACTCTGTAGTTGTTTTTTGTTGTTTTTTTTTCTGGAGATCGTATTAAAATAAGAGCAATGAAGTGGTAACCCGTAGTTATGAATTACAATATTTAACTCTTGAAGCAAGAAAAAAATAGTAATCTAGCATGAATGGTTTAGAAAAAATTACTTATTATGTTTTGGGAGACAAATATATATCCTAGTGTAGTTTAGCCAATAAAGAGCATGTGTGAATTTCTTATGCCAGTAACCAAAGTCCTTGCTCTGTGATTTCAGGTTTAGAGCAGGTGTTCCCTGCTTTGCCAAGGGAGGGAGGCGTTTTCGAGGTTCAACTCAACCTCTGTCTTTCATCAGCATCATCATCACTGTTGTTTTTCGTTGCTCGGCAGGCTTAGAAAATCCTCTTTATCCGCTTCCCTCCAGTCCCTGCTCTGGTTCAACTCAGATCTATGAACTCTCTTTGCTGTAAAGGAAGAAGGCCTTTTTGTTGAATTCTTTGTTAATCACATTGGTTCTTTGACCTCTGCTGGTCTCTAGGTCTGCCTTGCCCCTCAGTGAGCCTTGTCATTTACACCCTTGCCCCCTTTCTTTGGGACATTTTCCTTTGTAGCGACTTTAGCTCCATTTCCACCCGGTTTAGTTTTGCACAATTTAGTACAATGAATTCTGGCAGCTGGAGACAGAGTTTATTATTATTTTGTCTTCATTTCAGGGCAAGTTTTCTCTTCGAGCTTGCGTATCACGAAAGAGGTATTTTGAAATATAAAATCACTAGTTAAAACTGCATGAACTTAATAGAGAGTTCTATCTAACAACACTGAATTCTCATAACATTTATTTTTGACAGTGGAGGTTGAAGCAATTAAAATTTTGAATGTTTACAAATGCTGATTTTTAAGCATTAAAAAAAAGTAGTCACGTGGGATTGTCGCCTCAATAATTAAGGAAAAAACTATACTAGCATTTCATGGAAAGGAGCCTTTTTGGCTTTTATTTTGTGAACAGATTCTGGTTAATTATAAACAAATATCAATAATTCCTTTAGGCTGTGGTGAGTTGGTTGCTAGTCACACTCTTTCTCTGAGTTGTTAAGTAGTGTCTGTGATATTATTTATGAAGTTTGTTAGCTCTTACATATGTACATATTTGCAACTCAAAGCAGAGGAAAAATGATGCGTGTCCCAGACCCCCTTCCACATCCGAAAAACTTGCTGATTTGTTTCCTAGTAATTAATCTTGACTTAAAAGCAGCATCCCTCAATTTCTATTTTCTTCTCTCAGACCAATGCATTTTAGGGCTACATGGCTTTATTAACTGCATTTATCACATTGAAAAATGGGCACTACCTTCCTTTCCTGTGCTCAAGTATTCTGTTTACATCTTTAATTCAGATTTTTTTTCTGCATTCAAAAAAAAAATGGCAGAGACTTTAAATTGGAACAGCTGGATGCAGGCTGTTTAAGGAGATATGAATTAGCAAGCTAGCATTAACACTGTGAGGTTGGAGGGGTTTTCCATTCTTTTCTTCTTCTTCTTTTTTAATGCAGAGGTTCTGCTCTTGCCTTCTAGTCTGTAAATAAAGATAGTCTAAATGTGGTTGATATCTCTGTTTAAGAGCTCATCTTGCTTTAGGAAAATGAGCCTCAGCTACATTGATGTGTGAAAATAGTGGTTGCTACTGTCTCATGGATATAAAAGTGAAAATGAAGAGACAAGGAGAGACAATAAAATAGAATCCATATTCAGTTTACTCCTGTCATTGTTTCTTAAATTTGTAAAGTAACCTCTTTATATGCACCTATCTGTGTTAATAGCACACGATTTCAGTATGTTTTTACTAAGATGGAAAACTTTTTGCTGGGGGGAGGTGTGGGGTAGATGGTATAGTCTCCCTTCTCTAGACTGACTTTGTCATTTTAGTCTATAAGGATGGTCCTGTGTATTTGAAAGGTAAAGAAATGCTTTGGAATCGTATCAATTAAAAATAGTGTGGCCCCATTAAGCCAGTCCAATTAAATAGTTACAGATGCTTAATATGTCCATCATTTGGTGTCATCTCAGATTTATACATTTTTTTCCCTTAAATTTCTTTAAGAAGGTTTTCCTATCAAAAATAAATTTTGTAGTTTTCGTTGTATTTTATTTTCCCTGAGTGAGTACAGGTTGCTGTACAGGGGAAAGAAAGTTGAGTTCTCTGCAACCATTGGCTGACTTCCGGGCGGTTTTGATTCACCAAACTTGGCCACGGTAGGAGGGGGAAACAGCCTTCCCTACGGACTTCTTGGAAAAGCAGGGAAGTCACGTTTACTGAGGATGTGATCTGAGCTGAGCACCAGGCTACACTTGCCGTAGAATGAAGTAAAACCCTCTTGACCAGCACAACCTCCCTTGACCAGCACAAACTCCTGCTCTCCTGTGGTTATTTAATTCCGCCAGGATTAGAGGTTCTTTGGAATACAATTGAGCTGTTTCTCCTAGGGCTGGAAAGTAGGCAATTGGCACCTACTCATCTAATTCACAAACAGGATACAAATTCCTCTGCCACTCAAGTCTTGGACCAAATGGTCCCCGCTTAAACTCTACTACAATAGGTATTTGTTTGACTTTATAACCTTTTCGTTTCTCTTTACTTTTTAGTTGGTTGAAACAAATAACTCTTTCCATTTTATTATTTTTACTCACATTTTCTCATTTACATTCCAAGTACACTTCCTCTGTTTTTACTTTAAGTTAAAATACTGCAATTTTTAATTTTAACTTTACTTTTTTTTTTTGTTACAAATTTGGTGTTCCATTTATTCACTGAAAATAACTTTTCTTCACTTTATCGTTTCACACTTCATCCTCACCTTTTAAAAACTTTTTTTTTTTAGAAATATCATTTTATACAAACATACCTGGGTTTAAAATGGGAGAAGAGCAACAAGTCAAGTCAAGAATTTCTGAGGGATGTTGAAAAGACGGGGAGAGAGTTATGCCAGGCGGCAGCATCTCTCCTTTTACCAATGTAGTTCAGTCACTTAAAAAAAAAAAGAAGAAAACGAAAATGCATCATTTTTTCTACAGGATCCTGAGAGTCCTCTACCTCCCAGAGTGTGTTACACTTGGCAGAAACTCCACCACCCAGACAGCTCCAGTTCTCAGCCTGCTGTAAGCAAACTTGTGAAGTAGCTGCCTGTGGCTTATCTCTGCTCTTTCACCCCATCCTCAGTACTGGGGGAGCCTCCTCTGAATTCTGCATTTTCTTTCCTGAATGCTAAAGCTTTTTCTGATCTGTACTCTACATTCTAGAGCTTCGTTATTAACTGAGTATAGAGATGGCCTGATTTGTAGATTCTATGTGGATCAGAGATTATGCAGAAGTTGCAGATATAGAGTTGCTTTATTGTCTTGGATCATCATGCCAGTTTAATTTAAGGTCTTTCAGGACAGAAACAACATCTGCCCATTTTGTTTGACATTCTCTTTTCCCCTTTATTTCAAACAATACACGTGCCCTTTGTAGTAAAATTAGTCAATGAGAAAAAAAATAAATAGCACCACCTCTTCTAGCACCTAAGATATATGCTGGAACACTGGTTAAACTCTTAAAGATATTTAAAGACATCTTAAAGATGTTTTTATAACATGCACACACACCCTTCTTTTCTCAATTTGAATATAGCATTGATTACAAAGTTACAAGGTATACCACTGTTTTATTAGTAGGGTTTGTTGTTGTTTGTTTCTCTTGTTTGTTTCTGCTTTAGTGTGTGTTTGTGGAGAGCCAGAAATGCTATCGCATTAAAAGCCTGTATCAATTGTAAAACACATCTCCATTTCAGATACATTAAAATGTGAAGAAGGAAAAACAAAGCCTCTGAGAGGAAATACTCTGTTTCAAAAAATGAGATCACACTGCTTTAGAACTTACTGTTTTGTAACCTGCTTTTATCACTTAACATTTTGTACCATTCAATATTTTTCCACAACAGCCTCTTTAATACTGTATAGACAGTGTTCCAGCGAATGGCGATTCCAGAACTTATTTAACCAATTCTTTGATTATCAGTTGTTTCTGCTTATAAAAATCCTTGCTAGTTCCTGGTATGGTGTGAATGCATTCACTAATCATATATGTATTTGTTCAGTGGGTTGGTTATTGACAGAGCCTTTACGGACTTGGGCACTGTCTATGGTACTGCGCCTTGGGGGACGCACAGTTAAGTTAAAAGTATGTTAAAAGGTATGAAGAGCTGAAAACAGAGGATTGCTTGTTAATATTAATCACCTGTTGATTGCAGTTCACAAGTTTGGTAATTATTTTTTCTTCAAGTATTCTGTCCCCTTTACCAAATCGAAGGCTGGGACATCCGCCTTTTCACAGTGATTCTTCTTTCCGCCTTGGTGCACTGGAGGCCTAAGTGTCATCTGTTTTTTTCCAAGTTAGTTGACGCATTCGTTGAATGGTTCCTTTTCGTAGGAACTTGTGCTGGAAATTGCCTCTGGCAGTCAAAGGAAACATTTTTGTTTTGGAGAGAGAAATTTTCGTTTTTTATTCCAAAGTTCAGCATTTCTGTGTTTCCTATGAGTGCAGTGCTTTACAGCAAAATGCCTCAGGAATACAAAGATGACTTCTTTTACCCCAGTGAATTCTGATTCAGAAATTCGTTTCTGTTGACCTGGCAAGTTCATTCAGCACCCATACTGGTCACCGTGTATCTCAGTTAGGGGGCTGAGAAAATGGCCCAGCAGACTCTGATTACTGTGATGAAGGTGTTCATTATATTATCCCTTATCTTTCTTGACTGTGATGTATACTGAGCTTGCCTCTCTTGTCTGTGTCACCAGGAGATAGTTCAGAGCCCTGAATGTTCTCTGTTGTCTCGAATATTCCAGCCGCCATGTTTTTCTTGCATACCCAGCCCACTTCTTCTTTGACACTCTGACATAGTCACATCTTTAATGTTGCTTAAAGATGTTTTTGAACATTTGGAAAGGGCTAGTTTCCCAGCATCTTTAAGTCAGAGGTACCCACTTATCCAGATACTCTTCAGGCAGAGGAATGATGATGGACCCTCATGAACATCTCAAACTTCTCGTTGATTAGAGGGAAACTGGATGGATCGAAAGTTAATGAATGGGAGCTCATTTGTGACTTACATCTTCCCCCTCTAGCTTAACCATTCATGGCCTCCCCACTCACTGCAGACTTTGTCTGGCAGAGGGAGTAATACGCTATTTTCCGCTTGAGCACCCAGAAGCTGTTGATGTAAATTGATCAGTACTTTTTTGTGTTTTCCTGAAATTCTGTTTACATGCACATTTCCTCTTTGTCTGTAAAGTGATTTGTATCATAAAGCCACATCCATTTTTTCCCACTGTAATAATGACACAAAACTCATTGAATATTTGTGTTTAAAGATTCTTGGAAAACATAATGGTGTGACTATATAAGGCGTATATAATTTTTTTAAACAAAACCTGGTGAGTATTAATAAAAACAATGATGTTGTCTTTATGATTGTGTTTTAAACATAGTAATTGGTCAAGTGGATGTTGCTTAGTGCCAGAGGATCAGAGCAAAACATACTAGATGTGAAATAGCCCTTCTCTTCTTCATTTTACATTTTGAGTGGTGTTTCACTTACCTTTAGAAAATTTTCCAAACCTTCAGACAAATACTTGATCAAATGATGCGGGTTTGAAAGACATAAGCAAATTAGTTTCTGTGCAAACTTGTGTCCCCATTCAGAGAAGAACAAATTGAAAAATTGATATTCAATACCAACAAGATAATTTCGGGAAGCAATAGAGCATTGTTTTGACCACTAAGGAACATGAAGCTTTTAGGAGAAGTAGAGAGAGCTTTGCCCATTGTCTTCCATTTATTATCCGAAGACATTCCAGGTGAAAAAAAACATGGGAAGGAAAGGTAGGAAGAGAAAGCTTTGAAAATGATTTGGAGACATGCAATGCTATTTCAAGTGGTTCTGGGGACTGGATAGAATACATCATTGCTTTCTTTGCATTCCTATGTCATCTTCTCCTGATGTTATCATTCGAAGTCAGACTGTCAAATCCTGTGTATTGGGAAACACTCTTTGTTCCCTTGACTTGGGGACTCCTGCATTTCTTTTGAAGTTTTTTTTTTTTTTTTTTAAATCATTACATTGTTCACCCTACTCCAATGTCTTGTTAGTGGTTGGGTGGTATGGCTAAGATGGCTGATGAACTGAAATAAGGGCAGACTGTACAGCTGTGTGTGTGTGTGTGTGTGTGTGTGTGTGTGGGTGTGTGTGTGTGTTGAGAGAGAGAGAGATTGAGACAGAGGGTAAGAGAATTTTTCTGCTTACATTTAAATAACTCACTTATGGATAACATTTGGATAACGTGTTCTCTTTAATCACACAGACTTTTGCCCCGTCTCTTAATACCTGTAGAACAAATATTGTATCTGTAAACATCTATTGTAAACATCAGTGTAAACATCAAAGGTAAACATCAATTGTGGAATAACCTTTTTACTCTTACAGAGTGATTTGCAATTCTGTTATTTGCAAATCTGTCTATATTTTGTTGATGATATTAGTAATTTGTTTTAACTAGAATGTTCTTTCTTTCTTTCTTTTTTCTTTTTCTTTTGAGATGGAGACCCACTCTGTTGCCCAGGCTGGAGTTTCACTCTGTCGCCCACGCTGGAGTGCAGTGGCACGATCTCAGCTCACTGCAACCTCCGCCTCCCAGGTTCAAACGATTCTCCTGCCTCAGCCTACCCAAGTAGCTGAGATTACAGGCTGTCACCACTGTGCCTGGTTCATTTTTGTATTTTTAGTAGAGACTGGGTTTCACTATATTGGCCAGGCTGGTCTCGAACTCCTGACCTCAGGTAATCGACCTGCCTCAGCCTCCCACAGTGCTGGGATTACAGTCATGAGTCACTGCGGCCAGCTTAGAATGTTCTTCCTTAATAGAACTCATGACAAAATGAAAACATGCTTAATTTTTATCTGTGATGTGGAGTTGTGTGTCCTCTTTTCCACTTGGTTGTTTCTTTTCTCTTACTTTGAGTTACATTGTGAGCCCTTTCACACAAAGAAGGGTCTGAGCTTTCTCTATACTTGGATGTCATGATACATACCAGGTGGGAGCTTGGAATGTGTTTACAGATGATAATCATGTTGGTAAGGTCTTGGTTGATCACTCGATAAGTAGCAATTTGTTTTTTAATTCATTTCCTTGTTAAGAAAATATGGAGCTGGGCATGGTGGCTCACGCCTGTAATCCCAGCACTTCGGGAGACCGATCATGAGGTCAGGAGATCGAGACCATCCTGGCTAACACGGTGAAACACCTTCTGTACTAAAAATACAAAAAAATTAGCCAGGCGTGGTGGCGGGTGTCTGTAATCCCAGCTACTTGGGAGGCTGAGGCAGGAGAATGGCATGAACCCAGGAGGCGGAGCTTGCAGTGAGCTGAGATCGCACCACTGCACTCCAGCCTGGGCAACAGAGTGAGACTCTGTCTCAAAAAAAAAAAAAAAAAGAAAAGAAAAGAAAAAATAAAACATGGAGAGCATCTAATGCATGAGATATTGTGTGTGCTAAGTTCTGACGACCCAGGAGACATGATATGATCCCAATCTTCATATAACTTACATGTAGTGAAGGAGACAGATAAAACACAACACAATAACAAAACTGGTAACCATCGAGCAAAAGTAGTCGATAAAAGTGTTATTGCTAAAACTCATGGTTGCAGAGCTAAGTGGAGACTCAAAGGGGATATGTAGGCTGAGATATCTGAGAAGTCCAAAGATGACAGGCAGTCAGAACCAGGTGGATGCAGATCATCTCACCATGTCATGGAAACTCTGACTCAATTTCTCGGACCTATTTTTCTCCGTGTCCCCCAGCAGGATGTCTGAGGCAACCACTAGTAGCTTCTGGCTGACATGCCACTGTTAACAGCAGCCCTGGTGGGTGGACCACACTCATCCAAGAAGTAGTAGGCTCTAGGAAAAGTTTTGAGGCCAATTTTCTTGCACCTGGATTGAATTCCTTACCTACCCCTGAACCCATCCCTGATACTCAACATCCAACCCTGTGTAAAATATTTGCTGTTTGGATCTAGGAGTGGACTTAGCCCCAGTAAAACGGGGACTGAGTTGAGCAGGTTGGCTCATGCCTGTAATCCCAGCACTTTGGGAGGCTGACGCAGGTATATCACCTGAGGTCAGGTGTTTGAGACCAGCCTGGCTAACATGGTGAAAATCTATCTCTAGTAAAAATACAAAAATTAGTTGGGAGTGATGGCTCTCCCCTGTAATCCCAGCTACGTAGGGGGCTGAGGTAAGAGAATCACTTGAACCCGGGAGGCGGAGGTTGCAGTTGGCCGAGATCGTACCACTGCACTCTAGCTTGGGTGACAGAGCGAGACTCCATCTCAAAAAAAAAAAAAAAAAAAAAGGACTGAGAATAGGGAAGTGGTGGTTTCCCAGGAAATATTAAAGAGCTGTTACCAGAAAGCGAAATGAATCCTGGTTTGGTAAAAACAACAGATGCCTCCTATACAAATAAACACATGTGATCATTTGCAAGGAGATCTAGGACAAAAACAAAAAATGTGCTTGGGAAATGCAACCGCGAGAGAGGTATTGTGAATGGTGACTTCGAGCAAGACTTTTCCAAGAAGGTGTCTTCTCAGCTAGGACCTGAGAGTTAGGAAACTGCTATGAGGTAGGAGGATGCTAGGGAGGTGTGGTGGTTAGAAGGCCATTGTGTACGTGGAAATTCCAGGAGGCTAGGCTGGCTCAGCCTCAGATGTGAGGAGTATGGTCAGAGAGAGAGAGAGTTCTGAGACAGGCAGGAATCAGAGCCTGGTAGATTAGAGTTGCTTGCATCAACCCCAGTATCAAAGATCCCCATCTCCCATGCAACACCCTGGCATTAAAGCAGGGAAAGAGAGAAGAACCCTACAGAGGAGGACAGTAAGAGAGTGAGTGGAGTTTTCTTTTCTGTTTTAATTGAGAAGTGTTAGAGAATTGTGGAATCATTTCTTTCTAGGATTTTAAGCACCTCTCCATCTGCCTCAAATAATCAAATTCCATCCAATTAGATGCTGTTGCCACTCATAATATGCAAGTCTACATATGTACTAAACCCAGGGCCTCTCTGCATCTGGTTTTGATCTATATTTTCAAAGAAACCTGCTCCCCAAACTTGCACAATGATTCCTTCACAGATGCTGAGTCAGCAGAGAGCTAGTGCATATTTATCCAGAGATTCTGATGAAAAGAGGGAGAAAGAAAAATCTAAAAGCAGAAAAATACGAAGTATATGGAAATTTTGAGGTTTCCTGCTGAGTTAGGGAGAAGGGGTTGGGGAATCCTTGAATAAATCATAGTGCCTCACACAATGGCCTGCTTTGTCTAGTAAAAGCACTTTTGGTTGAGGATCAGAAATACAAAACAGTTTAATAATAGTGAGTGTTGTGAGGAGTTTCAAGAATCTTCGAGGGCATTTGACTTAAATGAGCTCAGTGATGGAGTATTCAAGTAAAGCCAGTGTTGTCAATATGCTAACTTAAAAGGCTAATCAAACAGGCAAGTGGTACAAGTGAGGAAAGGAACACAATTAGTTAATGGAAGATGGAGGGTAATATGGAAGGGACAAAAAGTTTTTTATTTTTATTTATTTATTTAGAGACAGAGTCTAGCTCTGTCATCCAAGCTAGAGTGCAGTGGCACGATCTTGGCCCATTACAACCTCCGCCTTCCTGGTTCAAGCCATTCTCCTCTCTCAGCCACCAGAGTAGCTGAGATTACAGGTGTGCATCGCCATGCCTGGCTAATTTTTATATTTTTAGTGGAGATGGGGTTTCGCCATTTTAGCCAGGCTGGCCTCAAACTCCTGACCTCAAGTGATCCACCTGCCTAGGCCTCCCAAAGTGCTGAGATTACAGGCATGAGCTACTGTGCCAGGTAGGCAAAAACTCTTATTCTATTCATTCATTTGTAAAATTAAGCCAAAGATAGCATACTTTACTTTATTGAAATGTAACACACACACATCAGCACCCTTAAACATATACATTCGGTTATAATGTATTGGTAATAACACAGGAAATTCATTGGTTTCTTATGGGGATATAGGACATTAGAGTGGTTAAAATAGTGATGATCTTGGCTGGGTGGTGGCTCATGCCTGTAATCCTGGCAGTTTTGGAAACTGAGGCAGGAGGATCATTTGAGCTCAGGAGTTTGAGACCAGCCTGGGCAACATAGTGAGACCCTGTGTCTATCTTTAAAATAAATAAATAAATAATAATTAAAATCGTGGTCTTTCTAGTGAGGCACAGCTATATTCAAAATTTGGTCCTTATCCTATTTTTTGCAGTAACCCTCAGTTTCTTCATCTTTAAAATGGGACTGTTACTAGTGCCTGAGGTTGTTTTTCAACTGATATTGAGCTGGTTGCTTATAGCCATTGGTCTTTTTGATTGATGGCTGCCTCTTTTTGGTGGGTCAGTGTCCAAACTCTCTCTTGTTAAATAGTTCACAAACTATCCTTGCATAGTATCTTTCTCAAACAGTTATGGTGAAAGTTTATATT
This sequence comes from Homo sapiens, assembly GCF_000001405.40. Lineage (NCBI taxonomy): Eukaryota > Metazoa > Chordata > Mammalia > Primates > Hominidae > Homo > Homo sapiens. Next base: position 7,099,098 of record NC_000016.10, read on the forward strand.
GCAAAAATAGTACTTAGAATCAGAGATGGCAGATAGTAGCTGTTTACTAAAAGTTAGTTGTAACCATCAATACTGTTGTCATTACAAAAAAACTGAGTACAAACAATGTCTTCTGCATACGTGTGGATGTAGAATGAGGGAGGGTAGATACAGGGCAGGAGAGATCACTCTAGCTGCAGTGGGAAATGGCTCAAAAACCAAGGAATTTCGTAATTCCTGGCTGGTGTAAACTCATTTTGTACCAGCTTCTCCTCGTAGGATCTTTCTTGGGTGTTTTATTTAACCCCTCTTTAAAATGGGGCTAATACCAGAAGGGGAATGGGATGAAATAATAGAACCATATTTAGTGTCTAGCTGAGTGGTTTGCACTGGTATGTGAGACTTTATATTCTTCTCTTCTCCTATTACTTATAAACCAACAAGTATCTGAGACAAGTCTCAGTCAACTTAGAAAGGTTATTTTGCTGAGGTTAAGGTTGCACCCTTGACACAGCCTCAGGAGGTCCTGAGGACACGTGCCCAAGGTGGTTGGGGTATAGCTTGCTTTTATACATTTAGGGAGACATGAGACATCAATCAATACATGTAAGATTTGCATTGGTTCTACCTGGAAGGGAGGGACACTTCAAGGAGGAAGGTGTTTCCAGGTCATAGGTAGATTTACACATATTCTGATGGGCAAGTGGTTCGTAGAGTTACCGGGAGAAAAGAATGTGTGGGTTTCAATAAAGGGTTATGGAGACCTAGGTTTTATCGTGCGGTTACAGCCTCTAAGTAGCAGGTTTTAGGGAGAATAGACTGTAAATGTTTCTTATCAGACTTAAAGTTTGTGTTGATGGTAATGGTGGAGAGGGGTATAATGAGGCATGTTCACCCCTCAGTTCTCATCATGGTCTGAACCAGTCTTTCAGGTTAAACTTTAGATTGCCCTGGTCGAGGAGGGGGTCCTTTCACATGATGGGGGGTGAGGGTGGTCACCTTCAAATTTTATTTTTGATTTACATACTAAATAAAGCTCTCTGGTGAAGGGAACAAAAAAAAAAGCTTTAGAGAGGGATGCAGAGAAAACAAAATTGAAGTTGAAAGGAATTTCGAAATTTGTGTGTTAAAGGAATGACTATTCAGTGCTGATATCAGTGTTGTGAAAAATGGTTAGAATAAAATGCTCATGAAAATTTCTCTTTTTAAAAAGAACCCTGACTCTTTCTGAAAATAAAAGTCATATTTGGACATTATGAAAAAATTTGCTATATGAAGTAGAATCTGACTCCCCCCAGCCTATCACTCATCACTCAACATTTTTGACGTATTTCCTCCTCTTTTAAAATATCAGTATATTTGAATTTTCATAGATACCCATTTTCCTCCAAAACAGAATCATACTATAAACATATTTTCATACAAATTATCTCATAAACATTTTCTAGTGTTACTGATGGTTTGGGAAAACATGGGTTTTTAAAGGTTGTTTTTTTTTTTTTTTTTTTTAGCATATGGCTATACTGTAGCTTATTTACCCATTTGCCTACTGTTGGATGTCAGGTTTTTCTTGACATAGCCTGTGATAAATATTAATGAAATGAACAATAACAACTTTAAAAATGTACAAAATGGACAAGGGAGAGTGAACAGAGGACTCAGAGGGGGAAAAAAGATCCAATGGCCGTAAATATAGGACACTGTGTTCACCCTCTCCAATGTCAGATGAATGCAAACTAAAAATGTGTTGTCAAATTGAGAAATGTTTTGCAAAGGGCAATACTATACTGAATGCTTGTGAAGTTAAACTGCTAAACATTTTTAGAGGTTGCTTTGCAAGTACAAGGGATTTTTTTTAAGTGAAAGTGATTGTACTTTATAGCCTCATCAAGGATTATTTTTTGAGGAAACACTCAGAGATATAGTGAAAAAATGTTGCATACAAGGATATATGGTACAAAGTTACCTATATACACTAAAACATCTCTCAAGTTTTCATTCAAAGAATAAAAGCTAGTATTCTCATGCTATGGTACTTTTAAGGCACTAAACGATGCCTGCCGTTGGTTGCTGAGTATTAATTTAGTCAGAGCTATGCATGCAGGCAGAGCTGGCCTATGCAGGCCCCATTTTTGTGACTAGGAATTTATTCTGCACCAGCGTGGCATAGAGAGAAACCGAGTGAGTGCAGTGCCAGCTCGCCGCTAGCTTGGATGAATACATGACACACCATTGCGCTTGGAGAAAATGCTATTCATTGAAAATAAAAGGGAATTTAGGAAGAAATGTAATACTCATCAGTAATTGCAAGGAAACTCTTGGATTTCGTTCCAGAGTCTTGGTAATAGTGGTTACATAATATAGCAGTGAATGTATGCGTGAGATTAGAGAATTTTAGAAGGAAGAAACTGAGATTCAGAAAGAGACCGGCTGTACCAAAGTGTATCCAACCAAAAGCATTCACAGAGAGGGGGCAGATCACATATTGAACAGTGGTGCTTTTGGAAAAGATCATATGACAGCTATAAAGACTCTGATGAAAGGTTACTAGCAGGTTATTCAAAGGTACTTTTTTTGAAGGCAAGATTTTAAGGCATGTTAGGGTAGGCATTCAAGTAGGGTGATTTTTTAAAAATGTATTTGCTTGCCGCAGAAGACAAGTACAGGTTCTGCTCTGATGCCTGTCCTGGTCCTCTTTCCCTTTTAATGTTAGAATGTGGCAAATGCTCAGTAATCACTGAGCTAGGGATTTCCAAGGCTCTTGTCTTTGTCTGCATCCCAGGTCCAGGGATTGTACAGTTGGTAAACTGTACCAAAGCATGGAGACCAGGTGTTTACGAGGATTGAAGCATAGTTGGTGCTCCTTTCACCAAGCCTTGTACCACAAGCCTAGTGCTGTATCCATCCAGAGACAAGGGTGCCGTTTTCCTTACTCCAAATTTACATAAGCTACCAGTGTTTGCACCCATGCTGGGCTGGCCCCACCCAGAGGAGGGTGCTTTTTCTAACTCACAACCAAACATACAGGCAGAAATGGTCCTGCCTGTGCCTACTTCTCTGTTAGAAAAGAAACACTCCTCTTACTCACACTCATCGGATTCCAGTTAAGCCACTGTTTGCAGGGGCATTCCCTGAGGAAATTCGGGCTGGAGAAGAGAGATGAAAATATCTTTCTCAATTCTACCTTTGTATAGGAACTCCATTCTTTGTCTATCCATAGACTATTGGATTCCCTTAGCCTATATGTGAAGAAGGATCTGATACAGAGCCTAAGTCTTACTGAGAGCCTTAGAATTGTCTTTAGTGAAGTGTTAAATAGTCGCTTTCAAGCATTCACTTTTGTAGATGTCTTCGCAGGATTTAAAGAAAGAATAAAACATGCCAGGATATTTATGAATCATGAGATTTAATAGAGACCAAAGTAGATCTTATTACTGATGTGCTTACTGCTTCATTAAATTCCCTTTAAGGTTTGCGGCTTGGATATGGATCATTTGCAATAATAATTAGGCAGTGATCGATTGATTGGGTCTGACATTGCACTTGTCACCTTGAAATGCAAAATCCATCTATTTTCAACAGTGAACATTTCTCGCTAATCTTGCACACCAGCATGTGATAGTTTATTTTATGGAGAAAGTACAATTTATAAAGTTTGGAGACTTAACATTAACCTTTTACTAAGAATGAAGTATCACTTGTCATTTTACAAAGAAATGAAAATCATCCAACCAGCAATTTTTTTGAGATTAGAAAACACAGCCTAATTTCAAAAGAATTTTTCAAATCCAAAACGCATGCACTTCAATTGAGTGCTACAAGTATATTGTGAGTATTGGAGTTTACTAAACCTTCACATGGAGTATAAATGATAAAATTGTGAGCTTGAGACTAGCTCTGCTGTGTGTACAGACACACACACACACATTTAGACACACACACGTCTATTTGTCTATCTATTTCCACATTTAATTCCCTAATTCTATCTTTGCCTCAAAAAAAAAAAATGCAACACTCTGTTTCTGAAAAGTGTGGGTGCTTTCCAAGCTGTCGGACCAAAGTATTACTGAAAGTTATTCCATTTGAGGATTTGCACATTTCTTTCCAAGTTGTGATTTTTAAAGAGGGGATAAAAAACCAATGACCTCATTCTTTTGCATTTGTATCAACTTTGATTTCCAGAACTTTAACTGTTTTGAGTTTATGACGTGTCCAGTCTCAAGTCAGTATAGCAATGAGTAATCATTGTAGAATTGCCTATTAAGGGGCAGGCATCGTTCCTGATGCTGGAATAAAATAGCAAATGAAGCTGGCCTGGCCCATTTCTACACAGAACCTACATACTAGCTAGGAAGCAGAAGGCCACCTTCAGTCCTGCTGAATTTAGAAATACAGTATATGAATTGGTATGAAAAGACGTTCACAATGTATTGGTATGTTAAGAGATGATCAGTGACAAAAGCTGTGTATCAAATGTATAGATAGATTGATAATCTACACACCAAGATGCTAAAAGTGATTAGTTTGAATGATTTCTCTTCTTCACCTCTCTGCAGTTTATAGTTTTTTGTTAAGTACATGTCTTGTTTACATAATAAAAATGACTTAAAGAAACGTAAATAATAACGAATATGCCTCATACAGGACAAACTAAGCAACAAGTCTGGTGGTATCAGAATTTGTACAGAAAAACCTCTAAGGTACCCAGCAATATGTCAGAAATTACCAGACTCGTGACTTCAAGTGCCTTTAACTCTTAGTCATGAGAAAGTACTATTACCTAGTGATACCATTTGCAAAAGAACACACAAACAGATGTTTCTGTTGTTTAGCTGAGTCTCTCTTTCAAACATCCATGGACAATTGAAATCTTCCAAGTATCCGTTGGTTTACACAACTTGCTCCCTATTATTAACAACAAGAGTAAAATAGAATTTAAATTTTGTTTTGTGTTTTTCCACATATAAAATCTAAAATAGTTCGTTACTAAAAGCAATCCTGCAATCCCACAGATGTCAGAATAGTAATTTAAGAAATATGTACCTATCTGTATCTGTATGGAAATTAAGGCCAAGATAAGTAATAACAAAGTAGCATTGATTTGTTAAATGTCTTTGCTAGTGACTGCTGTCTGGAACTACTGAAAACTGCAGTATTAACCTCTAAATTGTATCCCTGAGACCCTCTTCACACTCACACCCATTCACTGGAATTGAGGATATAAGACAGTCCTGTTAGTTGATGTAACTTCTCCTAAGGGGGACCAGTGTAGCTTGAACATCTACTTAATCAGTCTGGTACCTCATCCCCATCAGGACAGTATGCCCCTCTGATTAAAACAGACTATTGTCATCCTGAGATGGAGGGAAATTGATTCTAATTCATGGACAAGGAAAGAGTAAAATTTAAAAACATAATCTATTCAAGATCCTGACTTTAAAAGCAATGGCTTACCTAAGATTACGCAAATAATTTATGATAAAGGTGGGCTGAAAATGTTGGGCTTCTATAGTCAAGTCAGGACCTCTTGCTGTGATATTGCTAACTCCTCAGCCTGGGTATTTACATCGGGACACCAGAAAGACACATGTTTTCCTGTTGGTTACATATTCATGGTCAGTGGAGTTAAGGACAATTAACCAAGGAACTCTAATGTTCATTTTCTTCAACCACTTCATCCTTTCTTGAGTATTGCTCTACCTTTTTTGTTGTGACTTGCAAAAATAACCAACACAAAGAGGCTCAGACAAAACACATTCTTCAAGGGAGAACTCACTGGTGTACAAAACAGAAAAGTCCAAGAGATGGATCTCAGGTACAGCCCCAACCATATTCAGAAAATATACTCAGAAATCTCTGTGCTTGTGTGTGTGTGCACGTGCTTCTGTGCTTGTGTGTGTGTCTTTATGTTTCTCAGCTCTGCTTTCTTTGATTCAGTCACAGAAAAGCCCTTCTTGGCACCTACAGATCTCCACTTACATTCTTCTAGCTGAGCCCTTTGAGCTGAAAGAGAGCACCTCTGCCACTAAAGCTTGGATGTTTAAGCAAAAGTCTCAGGACTGCCTGTCATTGCTTCAGCTTAAAGTATAGGCCCATCCATTAACCAGTCACATTGGCTTGGCAGTAGTCTATGGAGATTGGCCAGGTCTGGGTCACATGGCAACCTATGGAGGCCAATCCTTAATCTTTTTCTCTGGAACCATATGGTCTGATTTTTTTTTTTTTTTTTTGGCTTCACCTATTTTCTTTTTTCTTAGTTTTTTATTTTCATAGGTTTCGGGGAACGGGTGGTGTTTGGTTACATGAATAAGTTCTTCAGTGGTGATTTGTGAGATTTTGGTACACCCATCACTCAAGCAGTATACACTGCACCCAATTTGTAGTCTTTTATCCCTTACTGCACTTCCACCCTTTCCCCTGAGTCCACAAAGTCCATTGTGTCATTCTTATGCCTTTGCTTCCTCATAGCTTAGCTCCCACTTACGAGTGAGAACATACAACGTTTGGTTTTGCATTCCTGAGTTAGTCTGCAATCTCATCCAGGTTGCTGCGAATGCCATTGACCCATTCCTTTTTATGGCTGAGTCATATTCCATCATATCTATCTGTCTATCTCTCTATATATATCTATCTATATATGGAGATATATAGGTAGATATATAGATTCAGTCACAGAGATATATATCTATATATCTATGTAGATGTATATAGAGATAGATAGATAGAGATATCACAGGTTCTTTATCCACTCATTTGATTGATGGGCATTTGCGTTGGAGGAACCATCTGATCTGAGAATGGAGGAGGTATTGTTTCACTCAGGAGAGGTATACGTAGACAATAGATGCTAAGGAAGGAAAGCAATTGTTCTTTGTCCAGTCTTTGTCTGTGCTAATGACAACTCTATGAAACTACTCAGTCCAGGAGGATTTCTTACAGCACAACTCTCTGGTGTTCATGGGACTGACAGTTCTGGAATATTTAAAACTATTCAGTACCCCCACCTCCTGTCTTGAATTCCTCCTTGTCCTTTGAAACTCCTTTACCGTGAATCTATAGCAGCATCATGACCTGTGAAGACACAGTGCACTTTGAGTTCATTTTTCCTGTGGGCTCTTTTTTGTTTTCGTGTGTCAGGTTCATAATGACTGTGTGTGCATGAATGTGTGCATGAGCATGTGTGTAAACACATACGTGAGTTTCCATCTCTAGAAATTACTGTCATTCATCCTGGTCAGAGAATGTACAGCTTTGTTTAATTAAATGGTGAAGCTAGTTGAGAATTGGCAAATGGAGTCAGATTGAAAAATATTTTACAGCTCTTTATTCTTCATTTTGTATTTCTTGTGTTAAACAGAGAAAGAAAAAAACACCCTTGGGATTGTAAGTGATGAACTTAAGTCTTTGGGATTCCTTTATAATTCAGTAGGTCATTAATTCTGCACTACTTGTTGCCTTTTGGCTTAAACATTTGTGTTTTCTATGTGCTTAGGGACTTCTTTTTAATCTTTTAGATATCTGTCTATCTCAAGGTCCTGGCATAATAATAATAATTTTATTTCTTGTGTAATGATTTGATTTAATTCAAACATTGTGGAAATCCTACGATGTGTGAGCTCCATGCTAGGTGCTTGAGATATGAATTCATGACACATAATCCCTGCCACCAAGAAGCACAAAATTTTTAAGGAGAATTAGAGAGTGACGTGACCAGATGCCCTAAAAGGTGTCTGCTGGACAGCATTAAACAGATACACAAGCAAACAAAATAGTATATTAATTAATTCATGAAACAAGTATTTATCATGCACCAGACACTATTCTTGGCAGTGGGCATGCAACAAGGAGGACATGGACACGTCCCTAATCCTACGAAGCTTGCATTCCCATGTAAGCCACACAGTTAAAACACACACACACACACACACACACTAAATGAACAAATGCATAATTGCAGCCTGTGGTAAGTGCTATGATGTCAGGAAATACTTCTATAAGGAACTGATATTTAAGCCTGTTTCGAAAGTTGGGAGGACCAACTATGCAAAGAGTCAGAATGCAAGAACATTGTATCCAGGGAGAACAGAAAGTGCAAAGCCATCGAGGCTGAGAGAGATTGCTGGGTTCAAAGACTGAGTGGCTGGTGGGTATTAAACCTGTGGGAGATCAGCACACTGTGAGCTGGAGAGCAATGTGGAAACCTTTATTCAGGGATGTAAATGCCTTCTGGGGCAGACAGACAGTAGATATTCTCATCTAATGCAGCATATTCTGGGGTATTATTAGCTCAAACTGGAAGGGGGCCACTCTAGGGTGGAGGCTGGACCTCACCTTAGGATTCCTCGATTCTTGTACAACACTCCTCTCCTTACTCAGGAGGCTTTATTTTCTTAAACACAGCTTTATTGAGGAAGGATTAACTGTACATATGTAAAGTGTACATTTTGATAACTTGACTTCTGTGCATACCTGACAAACTTGACTGTAATCAAGGTAGTGAACATCTGTCACCCCAGAAGCTTCTTCCTACGTCGCTGACATCCTTCTTTCCGCTCCTCCCCTTCCACCCTCCCCAAAACAACCACCAATCCACTTTCTATTTCTACACACTAGTTTGCCTTTTCTAGAATTTTATATAAATGGAATCATAGAGGAGGTGGAGTTACTTTTTATAGCTTTTAAGCCCACACAGAATAAAAGTATTCTAATCTTTTTTCCATATGTCTTTTTGTGTCTGAAAAGGATCTTAAACATCTCTAACAATAACCTCCTTGTTTTCTCTACCCGTGGTCTAAAACCTGTGTTTGCTTGATGCTAAACGGTGGAGGGATTTTTCTGACTTGAAAAAGGCAGAGTTTACCTCTCCTTTTCTTATCTCCATTATTATTTTGAAAAATGCAATTGACCTAGGAAAGAAAAAGGGGGATGACAGTGACATAAGATTGGGGGGGAGAGGGTAGAGAGGTGAAAGGATGAATCAAGCAAAGATGCTGCTTCATCGTTCTGATCCCAGAAATTAGATGTGTGGATGACCAATTTTCAGCTAATTAGCATAAAACAAAATACATTTCAGGAAAATTGTGCTCGACACAATTTAATCTCTGATGGTTCAGAACAGTCTCTGGGTCATCATGAGCATCAGCTCTGGAATCAGAAGCACTGGGGAGAAGGATTAATGGGGAACTGGTATTCAGGGAGCTCAACATATATGCTCACAATCTCCCCATTAACAAACAAGAACTTCTTTCTATTTTATTTCAGTACAGCTTGTCCTTTGTTTGCTTCCTGAATAATTTGAAAACATGTACAAGTTGAAGTGTAATGCAATATAAGACTTTCAGATATTAAACATTACATAGTTTAGGTATACAATTGATTCATCCATTCATTGATCTGGTAAACATTTATTAAACATGTACTGTCTCCAGGATATGTTTCTAGGTACTGAGTATATGGTGGTGCAGAAGGTGATTCTGTATGTGCCTGTAATTGTTTGTGTTTGCGTATGGTTCAGTGGGATTTGTTAGAGATATGATTAATTGCTTGTAAAATAGGAAAGTCTACCCTGAGCATAGGAGTTTAAAGCAATGCAACAATTTTGCAACATCCACCACAGTTAAAAGTGTCCATACTCTTTGATCCTCTGATAGCACTAGTGGAAATTTATCTTGGAGATACACTCACCCCTGTGCTCAAAGATGCATGTATTACGAGGCTCATGAAGGCTTGTTTGTTGTACCTAAATCCCCGTCAAGGATGGACTAGTGAAACGAGTCATGATATATATTTATGGTTGAATACTATGCATCTGTGAAAAGAAGGAGGTTGGTTTGTCTGTACTGACATTCAACAAACTCAGACATATGGTCAAGGAGGAGAAAAGCATGAAGCATAACGTTATGTGTGGTAGGTTTGCATTTGTCAATGGGATGGAAAAGAGGGCAGTATACGTGCAGCATAGGAAAATACAAGACACTGCTAACTTCTGAAAATTTATTGATGAGCAGGGGAGTGAGGATGGAAAAAGAGCCACCTCTTTGAATTACTTTAAATATTTCCAAGGTGAATGTACTGGATTTTCAGTTTTGGAAAGCTAATCTTAAAAGTGGAAAAATAGATAAAACAAGTATAAAGGATACCAGTAGATTTTCTAATGTTAACCTTGGGACCTCATATATTATTGGATGCAAACGTCTACAAAGGTTGCTATTCTGTCCCCCTTCTCCCTTGACCATGCCGTGAAACAAAGAGAAAATGAACAAATCCCTGCAACCAAACCCTCTCACCAGATTTGACTACTGCCAATGAGATTATTGAGTTACCAACTGCCTCTCAGAACCCTAAGGCAATTTGGAGCCCAGAAGGAAAGTGAGGCCCCCAGGTGGATGTATGGAAGGAAGGTGGTGCACCTTTGGGCCCTTGTGATCCAGGTGAGTGACAGAGTGACTCACCTAAAAAGAGAGGGAGGTCTCTGCAGTTGGAAGCTGCAAATGATGATGGTAGAATTTTGCACAACCCAGGGATCACAAGCCCAGTTTTAGGGGAAAGGGCTCTAAGAGTAGAGACATCCATATAGGCGCAGATAGTCCTCCTTTATTTAAATACACCAGCAGCTGCAAGGAGTAAAGGGTCTTGAGGTGGAAAAGAAGAGGGGTCATTCCAGATCCAAAAAATCGAGATGACTCCTTTGAGCAATTTCATTCACTCGTTTGCTGAACAAACCTGAATTGACACCTTCTTGGCACAGCCTTGCACTACGTGATGAGGTGAGGTGCTAGGACCAGGTCACTAGCATTCACTGAACTTTTCATTTCATGCAAGGGAAAGAGCCCCCTATCAGGTAATCTCACAGACAAATATACAATTAAAAACTGTGATAGGGGTTATTAAGGACACTGCAGAGTAAAACAAACAAGCCTGATTATCTTACAGGGAGGAGGAGTTATAATTCACCTGTTTATTTAGAAACCTGCTAATACTAATCACTAAGAATCTCTGTGTGGTGGCTCAGGCATGTATTCCCAGCACATTGGGAGGCTTTGGAAGGAGGATTGTTTGAGGCCAGGAGTGTGAGACCAGCCTGGGCAACATAGCGAGACCCCCCGTGTCTCAAAAAAAAAAAAAAAAAGAAAAAATAGCCAGGTGTGGCACCACCCTCGTGTAGTCCCAGCTTCTCGGGGAGGCTGAGGCAGAAGGATCCCCGGAACCTAGGAGTTTCAGGCTGTGGTGAACTATGATCATGCCACTGCACTCCAGCTTGGGTGACAGAGCAAGATCCTGACTCTTAAAAAAAAGATCGTTCCCACTTTACAGTTGACTACATTGAGGGGTTGAAAGATGAATTTGCTTGCAAAACACAGCAAATATGAGTGGAGACAAGACTTCAGCCAATTAACACAGGGCTCCGGCTTAAGGAGAGCCTGAGCACAGTAGTTGCATAGTTGGTTATTTTAACAATAAAATCTAAGAACTTCGAGTACACAGTGGCTAATAGCTAGGAGGGATCTCTGGGCACGAAGATTAGTGTAGTTGCTCTGGTGACATTTGGCATATTAACATGAGACATGAAGAAACCTAAACCATATTCATTCACCATAGTTAAATGAGGCAGGAGTCAACAAAATACAGCCTGGCATTAATAGCCTAAAAACAAGATTTTTGAGTTTTTCTTAAAATTGTGCACGTAATATTACAAAGTGGTCATGTCACAGGAGAAAATTTTAGTGACTAAAGGCTGGAATGTCTGTCTATATTTATTCTAGTATATAACTGGTAAAGAATATGTGTTCCCTCCCATCCCAGGGTCAGCTGTGATATAGAATTAAGATTTTTAACTTTGGGTAGTAAAAGGACACCAGGGCATCCATGCTCTCCCTGAAATTGTGTATCGTACAGTATTTCTGGAAAGAAGTCTTCATTTGTTTGTTGTTTTTTTCTCCTAGAAGGGCATGGCACACACACACATAAAGGTTAAGAAAAAATACTGTTTTTGAAAAGCCAAATAACTGTGGTTCACTATGTCGAGACATGTGGCCAATCTCATTTTCCTACAGATGTTGTTGGACATAAATTGATGATTTCAAGAAGCAAAAAGAATATTCTGCAATGCTCAGTATTAAGGAGTTCAGTGTGATCAGATGGGCCTTTGTCAAACTGAAGTATTTTAATTAACTTACACCGTAAAAGTGAAAGTGTAAAGCTTTGCTTTTCTTCCTAGCTAATCAATGAAGATTAATATTCTATGGGAACCCGACTTTGCAGACGGAGCTGAGCGGCACTGTTTTCCCTACCATTTTTTCCTCATAGTAAATAAATCATTTTTATTATACTGTATGAATTTACTTAGCTCTTTTAATAGCCTTTGTAAGAATAATGCTTCCTTTGATTATATTACATTTTTAAATGAGTGCAGTGTGGAATACAGTTCTGCTGTTGGGGGAAGGGTGGTGAGAAAAGGAAAGAGATACTGATTATATCAGTTTTATCAGCTTATCCTGTGTGTTTTAAACCAGATAAAGCAGTGTCTGAGTATCCTGGGAGTCTTAGGAGTAAATTACTAAGTATTTGCTAGGATTGAAATGGCTCATACCTGTGCCTTGTATAAAACTACTTCTGGGGAAGATGAGGTTAGTCTGAAAGGACCTGGTCTTTATAAAATTATTCTGATTGTTATTTTGTACTTTTTTTTTTTTATCTTCAAGGTTCTGGCCAATCTATTTGATTTTTTTTCCCCCAAAGGAGAGAAGTAAACTTTATAATTCCAGGGCTAACATCCACTTGTATAAATTGATCAGTTGAATTGAAAAGCTGCTGACTGGCTGATTTAGCATGTTCTTCAAGTGGTCTCATTCACAATTGATAAGCTGACTTGTCACCCTGAATTATTGGAGGCTTAACCCTTGAAGGACAGATACAGTTTGGCCTATACAGATTGTACTTTTCATGAGACAGGAAAAGGGAGGAAGGGAGGTAAGTGTGTGTGTGAGAGAGATAAATTAATTTCATTAGAAACAAAAATATCCTGTGATCTTATGCGTTAGACCAAGTGTTGAAATATTAAAGTTCCTGATGAGAAAATTCAGAATCATACAAACTTTGTTTTTCTATGTCATCCATCTTGTACATAGTCAGCAAACCAATTCATTTTTTTGAGATGGGGTCTGTCTTCCAGGCTGGAGTGCAGTGGTGCAATCTCGGCTCACTGCAACCTCCACCTTTTGGGTTCAAGTGATCCTCCAGCCTCAGACTCCAAAGTATCTGGGACTACAGGCACATGCCACCACACCTGGCTAATTTTTTGTATTTTTTTTTTTTTTTGTAGAGACGTGGTTTCGCCATGTTGGCCAGGCTGAACTCCTGGCCTCAAGTTGTCCGCCCGCCTCAGCCTCCCAAAGATTTGGGATTACAGGCATGAGCCACCGTGCCCAGCCTAACAAACATTCTTTTAACATATATTGTCCATCAAGTCAGAACCTTTAATAGCTCCTATTCAGAACCTATAATAGCTCCACACTGTTTATGGAAAATAAATAATGGCTGAGGCTGAAAATTTAAGGTTATCTTAAATGCAGCCTCAATATGTAAACTCTGTGTGTGTGTGTGGGTGTGGGTGTGTCTCTCTGTCTGTCTGTCCGCAAATGGGTCAAAGTGAAAAGCTCTTGTGACCTTGATTCACAAGACTCAGGTTTGAGCTTCATTTCTGCAGTTTGTTAGTTGTGTGCTTACTCATCTGTTCTAGGCCTCTGTTTTATGATTTGGGTAACAGGAATATTAGTAATGACAGCAATAATGGGGATGACTGGGCTATAATGCTACTTACCTAATTTAACTGATGTTTTCTGGAAAGAATGAAATCAGAAAGCATATCTGCAAGTGCTGGCACCCTCTGTAAGGCGCTGCCGAATTGGTTGGTTGTTCTTACATGAATTCAGGGGTGAGTCAGACCCATCGAACTGGAGTCAGAGAAAGCCTTGCAACCTGGACAGAATGGAAAATTAATTTTTCCTATTGCTTCAGGCACATGTTGAACCACGGTCAATTCAAGTTTGAGATCTCTGCAGATATATACGTTTTTAATTTGTCAACTAAATAAATACACAGATACATAAATACATTGAGCTTTCTGAGGAGACCTGGAGTCTGCATATTCTGTGGAGTTGATTTGAATGGAGACCCAAGAGTGTACCTCTGAGTCATTTTGGGTAAGAGTAATGCTCTATAGTTTTTTATCTTTTTTTGGACTTTGAGGACTTATACAATATAATGAAAAACACTGTTTTTAAGTCTTTCCGCAGTAAAGATTCTTACAAAGCAAAAGATAAAAAGTTTCCCTTCTTTCTCATCTACTTGCCATGTTCTCCTCCTGTTGACAATATCCTCCCACTTCCCTTTCGATCTTGTTATGTATTTGGTTGAATCAGATTCCATTGCTGATATTTGACTACTTAGATGTATTGTAACAGGAATATATTATGCAATTATGCACCCGCACCATTGGAGCCACATGATGAATGTATGCAAATTATTATGTTAGCATAGAGTGCAATACTACACAGTGTCTTCTGACTCAATATCCTTCCACCCAAGAAACACATCTTGGAGATTGTTGCATGTCAACATGTGGAGATCTATTTTGTTCTTTGCAAGGCTGCATAATGTCCTATGTTATAGATGTGTTCTCTTTTTTTTGTATATTTGCTCCCTTATTGATGATGGGCATTAAAGTTCCCTCCCGTGCTGATGGACATTAAAGTGGCCTCCCACTACCAAGTTTTCACAGTTACTCACAATGGCACTCTCGGGTCATGCATCTCAGTGTGTGCATGGGTGATTTCTTTTTATAGGATATATTCCTAGAAGTAGAATACTTGAGCTTTAAAAAAAATCACTTGTGCCTTTTGCATCGTGAGTGCTTAGTGAATTTATAATTATTTGATCAATAATGAATGTGCAATGAATTTTATGAGCAAAGAACTGTCACCTCATATTTGGCAAAATTTTCTCTCACCTCAGACTTGGGCTATTTTAAGAAAAAAGAAACCTGAAACCTCTTGAGTTTTTAACTTTCAGTTGTACTTAAGAGATCAGAGTTGGTGTTCAGAGGCAGATCAGTCTTTACGTGGAGGTGCTAAGGTTGCAAATTACAAAATAATTAGGAAAGTGATTGTGTGTGCACATGAGTGTACTTGTGTACACATTTTGGAGATTTTATATTCAAACTGCAATGAAAAAAATATGAATACCTGGGTAGCTGCCATTTTGCTATGGAGGTCCAAGGTCACATATTTAATAGTTCTAAATTTATACCCCTGGGAAGGAAGTATATGCTCACTGTACCCTTTAATAAAGGCACAGAAATGTACCGTGCAGTCTGCATGAAAGCATGAGTGAGTGCTATTCATTTTAAGAAGCACTCAAGCACTGTGAAAATTAGCAGTGGAACATGGTTCCAAATGAAAGTGACACCATGAGCCTAATGAGAAATTGAATACCATCTATTTATCTCCTCTAGCCCAAGATCTTTCTCTTCTGTCATTTGAATGTTTCTGAAACGCCTTTTCTTCCTGGGCTGAGAAGTGCCTCATGCCTTCTTCCCCTGCCTCTCTGGAAATGAGAGTCCTTGTGCTGTTTTCCTTTCTACGCTCATGAAGAGTCCTGCTAGGTGCATGGAAACTTTGCTTTCTGTTTACATGTGCTTCTCTGTCTTGCTAACTCGTTGTCCTAAGTTTTAGGTGTGATAGCTGTAGTGGTTTTCATGAAGCCAAATCGTAAAGGTCTGAGAAATACACACTGTGTGTTGCTTGGCTTGTCTTAGAGCAAACCAAAATTTGGAAAATTGTCTGGGAAGGGTAAGATCACTTAGCTGTGAAGCCTCTGCTTTTAGGAACTGGAGAAGTGATTTGAGGGTGAAAATAGGGTAAGCGTATTTACTCTTTAGCTCCTTAAGGAATGCTTCTTCACCTTCTTCAACTCACTGAGTTTGTGTTTGAAAAATATTCCAAAGCCTTTGCTTAAAAATAATGTATTATATAATATCCTTCGATTAAGTTTCCAACGTGTAGATTCTTGTTAGCACTTAGTGGTGCAACTTTTATAAAGAAACCTGGTATTTTTTTAATTAACTGATGAAAATGGATGTAAGTAAGGGGTGGACATTCCCATGTCAATGAATCTTGATGGTGGCCTCCGGTCACTCATGGAAAAATGTATTTTTGATTACTTGTGTGCCAGCAACGTTGCTAGGCTTTGGATGCATGGAAGCGAATAAGAAATATGAAAGTCCTACCTACATAGAGCTTATATTCTAATGGAAAACAGAAACTAATTCTTTTGCCTTAGTTACCTATTGCTATGTAATTACCACCTCATAGTTGCTGTGGACTGAGAGTCCGAAAGCATGTTTGCTGAGTAGTTTTGGCAGGTGTTGGCAGGAGCTAAAATAGTGTCAAGGCTCTCTTTGAGGGGGACCTTCACTGAGCTCTCTCACCTGGCTGTTAGCAGGCTGGAAGTTTGCTGCCCACAGATTTACCTCTGGAAAGGTGTCTTGGGACAAAGTACATAGCTCCTCCAGAATAAGCAATTCAAGAGAGAATGAAAGAGGGGACACCCAAGACAGAGAATCCAGTCGCTTTTATTGCTGATTTAGGAGGTGACATTCCATTTCTCATGCTGCATTCTTTTCATCCCTATAATTAATTAATCTAGCCTGCCCCGAAGGGGAGGGAGTTACACATGAACAGGGATCACTGGGGACCATGTTACAGGCTTTATACCACATTTATTAAATGCCTACGCTGGGGAGCACTGAGAAAAGCATAAAATAGCAGTGATGCGTATAATAGGCAATGACACTTATTGGGGGCTTCATATTGTATCAGCTGTGTACCAAGGGTAAGGATAATGAAAGCTCACATATATGGAGTAACCATTGTGCCAGGCACTGTACTAAGTGGCCATGTGCCCTTTCTCATTTGGTTTTCATAACAGCCCTTTCTCAGTGGGTACCGATCAGTACCCATTTTACAGATAAGGAAACTGAGGCACAGACAACAATGGCTTCTGAAATTCTCTTCTCCGTGTCATGCACTGCATTTTTCTCCCGTTCACCAGTTGCATCTTAGGTCTCAGTTCATTTTCACCACCTTCCTGAATATATAGAGAGAAAGCCCATGCAGTAAACCAATCAAATCCTGGCTATCCGAGCTGCTCTATCTGCCTCTGAAAGCCTAGGAGTAAAGGAAAATTGTCCTCATGAGCAGTTCATGAGGTGTCATTCAAAGCACTTTTGAGGCAAAGTATTATGTTTCACAGCCATGGTTCCCAGTAGGGACAGCAATATTGCAGTGAAATGCACCAACATCTCTGCCCATCCCAAACTCTCCTCTCAAACCAGTTTATTGAAATGAGGCCTCACTTCACAAGTAAATAAGTAGTCAAGCTCTGGATTTGTCTCTGCTCCAGCTTACTGTATATTTCCACTAAATGAGTCCATTAAAGCTTAAACTAAACCTTTTGGAAAAGAAAAACAAAGCCCACAGCAGCTGTCCAGGGCTGCGGGAGTTAGAAAATGCAATTCATGTGACTTGGTGGAATGCCAGTGAAGCTACCATTAGATTATTCTGTTTACTGTTAAGGTACGTGGAGACAGACAGGCTCTGGAGATGTCCGACCTGCATTTGGATGACAGGTATTGACCACCTCCTTGATGCCAGGCATGGTGCTATGCAGAGGCATATAACAGCACACACAGGACACAGACCATCCCCTCAAGGGTTTTGCAGTCTCGTGGGAGTCATCAACACAAGATTTAAATAATGTGTCATGTGTGCTAGGGAGAGGAAGTTTGGGGTTCTTTGGGAGGATATAACCTTGAGAAGAATCAGGTAGGGAAAGTCCATAGAGAAGGGTTTGTTTCCTCTGAGATACGTAGGCCAAGAAAGAGTTAGGGAAGTGAAGACAAGAGGGGACAGTTTTGTCAAACATCAGCTATAAATACTCAAAAGCAGCTAAAATAATGATATATCTGCAAAACTGGAAGCAGTTCAGTAGGGTTGAAGAAAAGATAGTAAAGTGAGGGCTGGAATGGGAGGGCAGAGAGGTGGCAGGTTGGAAGACTAGCTAAGCATTTTGGGCTTTGTAACAAGGGCATTGACACATGTTAAACTCGGGAAAAACTGATCGTTTCATTGTACGAACAGCCTAGCTTATAAAGTTATTTAATTAGAAAATTTTCAGAATACTTTTGATTCGGTGGTAATGTGTCAACAACCCTAAAATGTTATGTGTTTTTCTGTAAAGTATGTGGATGTGAAGGGAAGCAACATGGGGCATGATTATTAAGAGTACAGCTTCTGGAATCAGAGATCATGTAAGTTGGAATTCTAGCTTATCCAATTACTTAATGTGTGAGTTTAGGAAAATATCTATTAACTTACCACCAATTACTTAATGTGTGAGTTTAGGAAAATCTATTAACTTACCACAATCTATAGTACCTCATCTGAAAAATGGGAATAATTAATTAATACTGAGCTCATAGAGCTTTTGGAAGAATCAGGTTAGGTTTTTACGCTGCATAGCACATTACCACCTGCAGAAGCTTAACACAACACTCTTTTGTTATCTAACAGTTTCTGTGTATCAGAAATTTGAGCATGGCTTAGCTGGGTTCTCTGCTTAAAATCTAATAGACTGCAGTCAGGGTATCAGCCAGGACTGGGTTCTCATTAGAGACTCATCTCGAACAGGATCTGCTTTCAAGCTCCCTCAGGTTGCTGGCAGGATTCATTTTGTTGTAGCTGCAGGATTCGTGGCTGCTTGCTTCTGCACATCCAGAAATGGGTGGAGAGAGAGACAGAGACAGAGAGGGAGAGAGATCCAGCAAGAGAGTTGCTATAATCTTATGCAATCACTTAGGTTGATTTCCTCTCTTTGCAATTGTGAATTGTGCTGCATTAAGCATGCACATGCAGGTGTGTTTTTTTATACAGTGACTTGTATTCCTTTGGGTAGATAACCAGTAGTGGGATTAACTGGATCAAATGGTAGATCTATTTTTAGCTCTTTGAGAAATCTGCATACTGTTGCATACTGTTTGCCATAGAGGTTGTGCTAATTTACATTCCCACCAGCAGCATATAAGAGTCCCCATTTCACCACATCCATGCTAACATCTATTGTTGTTTCACTTTTTAACAGTGGTCATTCTGGCTGGGTAAGGTGGTAGCTCATTATGGTTTTAATTTGCATTTCCCTGATGATTAGTGATAAGCATTTTTTTCATGTTTCTTGGCCATTTGTTGGCTATTCTCATCTTCTGAGAAATGCCTGTTCAAGTCAGAGACTCAGAAGGAGGGAGGCAAGGAGGAGGGTAAAGGATGGAAAATTACCTATCGGGTACAAGGTATGCAATTCAGTTGACAGGTACACTCAAAGCCAAGCCTTCCCCACTATACAATTCATCCATGTAAGCAAAAGCCACCTGTGCCCCCAAAGCTACTGAAATTAAAATAAACCTTATATAATCACATACATGTAATCACACTTATCTTATCACCTCTGTCATATTCCATTGGTTAGAAACAAGTTGTGGGTCCTGCTCACATTCAAGGAGGGATTAGTAAAGGCGTGAATGTTAGGATGTGGGGATCATGGTGAGAAGAATCCTCAAGGATGCACACCACAAGAATTTGGTAAAATTGTACACATAAGGACAGAATAGAAGCATTTAGCCTTGTGAAGAATTACCAGGGCACCGAAAGAGAGAATGGAAGCATATACCAAATAGAGCACATAGAGAACTTGCTCAGATCTCTTAACTGTTGTTGTTCTGGTTATGATATGATTTTTAGGAACATGTGGCAGAGTGTTTCTGTGAGTTTGGTAGCAAATACATATTGGATGTACTTGCTTAGTCAGTTCTGTGTGCCAGAGGACACTCATGGGGAGAGATCAAGGTTACTTTTTGCAGGTGGGGCATTTTGTAACTGAATAAAACCCAGTCAGTAAAAGTAAGCAACATGCGGAATCTAGGCAAGTGTTGCAATGTATGTGTGCTCTTGATCTGAGGAAGACCATGCATTTGACTCAGACTAGAAACCTACACCACAGAAATCCCACCCACAAGCAATGCTCTATTACTGTAGGTACAAGGCAGTAATTTTTTTGTGTCCATTCACATATGCATGTGTGTTTGTGTGTACATAATTGACCAACTATCCTCAGGTTTCCCTATGGTGAATGATTTATTGAGTCATCAGACTTGTGGAACACCTACTCTGTGGTGGCCATGATGCCAGCCTCTAGAGATAAAAAGTACAATAAACGAGCTATCTTAAGGAAACTCAAATTACTTTGGCAGACAGAACTAGTAAACTGACCACTGACAATTCAAAAATCCATGGGGGGAGTTCCATTTCGAGTTAGATGGGATATATTTAGGGCAATTCCCATCCTGTTTCACTTAGATATGTTTCACTACATATCAAAGTAAACTTCAGAGGAAAAACAACAACAAAAAACCACCCAGACATACAGGAGGACATTATATAAGGATAAGAGGGCCAAGTCACCAAAAAGACAAAACAATCTTAAACAATCATGATTATTTATGCACAAACTATGGGACTTTTAAAATAAAGCCAAAACTGATAGAACTGAAAAGAGAAATGGAGAGTCTACAAACATAAGTGAAGTCTGTCTCACTATTTGATAAAATTAATATTGAGAAAATTAACGAGGCTGTAGAAGTACTGAACAACACCATCAGCCAACAAAACATAGTTAAAATGTGTAATCAACACCATCCAACAGCAGCAGGATGTCCGTTCTGTTCAAGTCCACATGAGATATTTACCAAGATAAACCATATTCTGTATTATAAAAAACTTAACAAATTTAAAATAATTGAAATCATATAGTTGCTTTCCTCTGACAAAATTGAGTTAAGCTGGAAATCAGTAACATAAAATAAACTGGAAAAAATCTAAAAGCACTTGGAAATTAAACCGCAAAGTCTAAATCACCCATAGTTCAAAGAGGAAGTCTCAAGGGGAATTATAGAACTTAAATGAAAATACATTTTACAAAATATATGGTGGGAAGCGAAAGCAGTGCTTAGAGGGAAATACATAATGCTAAGTGCTTCTATTAGAGAATAAGAACGTTCTCAAATCAACAATGTAAGTGCATATCATAAGAGACTATTAAAAAAAGCAAATCAAAAACTAATACATGCAAAGAGAAAGAAGGGAATAGTAAATGTAAGATTAAAAAAATGAATTTGAAAATCAAAAAGCAATCAAACCTAAATCTGGCTCTTTCAAAGCATAGAAGTGATGAATCTATTCTAGCAAGACTGACAAAAAGCAGAGATGACAAAAATTACAAACATCACATAAATTAAAAAGATTATAAGGAAATAATCAAATAATCTATGCACATGTAGTCAACAACTTACATGAAATAGACTAATTCCTTGACAACCATTACCAAAACTTATTCAAAACAAACAGGATAAGCTAAATGGTTCAATAGACTTATTTAAAATATCCTGCCAAAATAAAAATTTTCAGACACAAATGGTTTCATTGGCTATTCCACCAAACATTTAATGTTGGGAAAAAAAAAAAAAAACTATACACAGTCTCTTACAGAAAATAGAAGTGGAAGATATACTTCTCAACTCAATTTATGAGTCTAACATTAATCTGATACGAAAACCAGGCTATATGTAATATTTTATATATGTATATATACACACACACACACACACACACACACACATACGTAAACATATATCATGGAATACATATAATACAGAAAAATAATAACATAGCATGACCACATAGTATTAGTCCCAGGAGTCCAAGGCTGGTTTCATATTGAAAAAAATCAATGTTATGTACCATATTAACACAATAAAGAAGAAAACTAACACATGACCCTGTAAAATAGTCCTGAACAGTATTGGAAAACAAAAGCTAATCTACATTGATGATAAAAACTCTCAACTAACTAGAAATAGAAGGCACCTTCTGCAACCTGGTAGAGGATGTCAACAAACAACCCCACAGCTAATATCATACTTATTGGTGAAAAAGTGACTGCTATCTCCATTAGAGCAGGAACAAGGGAGGAGCTCCACTCTCACCAAACTTATGCCACATAGTACTGGAAATCTTACTCACTACAATAAGGAAGAAAAAGAATTATAGAGCATATCGGTTGGAAATTAATATATAAGGGCATCTTTAATCACAGATAATAGAATTGTCTATTTATAAAATCCCAAGGAACTCTAAAACCTCTTAGGTGAAAACATAAATATCAATCATATATCTATATACTAGGAAAGAACATTTGGAAGTCAAAACTTAAAAACAAACCATTTACAATAGCTCCAAAAAATGCAATACTTAGCTATAAATATAACAAACATATAAGAGATCTTTATGCTGAAAACTATAAAGTATTTGTGAAATTAAAAAAGCAAATCTAAATATATACATAGATTCAAAGACTCATTGTAGTAAAAGTATTAATTCTGTACAAATTGGTGTATAAGTTTAACACAATACAAATCAAAATTCTAGCAGGTATTTTTGTAGCTATAAACGTGAAGATTCTAAAAATTATAAGGAAAAACAAAAACTAGAATATCCAAAATAAAGAAGAATAAAATTAGGTGAATATATCTAATTTATTTTATATAAGCCTATAGAAGTAAAGATAGTGCAAACCAGTAAAGGAGAAGACACATTAATCAACTGGACAAAATAGAGACTCCAGAAATAGACCCACAAAATATACTTAATTAAATCTTAGAAAAGGTACAAAATCAAAGGAGAAATGATTTTGTTTTCAACAACTGGTGTTGGAATAATTGCAAACACATTTGCCAAATCATATGCTTTACAAAAAAATTAACTCAAAATGGATCATAGATCTAAATATAAAACGTAGAACTGTAAAGTTTTAGAAGAACACATGGGTAAAATATTCACGTCCAAAGGAGTTAAAATAAGAATTTTTGGCCATGACACCAAATGCACAATCTCACCTCCCCAAAAAGGTTTAATTTGACTTAACAAAATTGTTAATAAATTATATGTGAAGGTCTCTATTAAAAGAAAGAAAATACAAGAATCTGTAAAGAAATATTTGTAAACCACTCTTGACAAATGTTCAGTATCTAGAATATATTTTGAACTCTCAAAACATAAAAGTAAGAAAGCAAACAAACTATCTTAATAATGGGAAAAAGACTTGAATAGTCACTTCACTTAGAGTATATTCATACTCCTTTCTTATTGGGTCCTGAGTGGGGGGAAAAGAAGAGAAGAGGATATTCATCAGGCAAAAACCTAAAAAAGAAACAAAAAACCGTGAAAAGGTATTTAACATCATTAGCTATTCAGCAAGTGCAAATGAAAACTAGGATGGAATACCATTAAACACCTAGTAGAGGCATAAGATAAAAAAAATTGACAAGACTTAGTGCTGTGGAGGATTCAGAGAAACTGGATTTCTCCTGTACTGCTGGTAGGAACATAGAACAATGCAGACATTCTTAAAACATTTTGACAGTCCGTTACAAAGTTAAGTATATGCTTATCATAGAGCCTAGCAATCCTACTCCTGGGTTCCTTACCCAAAGATATTGTATATTTATAAAAAACATGTACATGTCTGTGTATAGCAACTCTACCATAGCCCCCTAGAAACAAGCCATATGTCTTCAAATAGATGAATTTGAAGCATTACATGTACACGTGGAATACTACTGAACAATAAAAAGGAGCAACTATTGATATATGTGACAACTTGGATCTATTTCAAAAGCATTATGCTAAGAGAAGGAAGCCAGTCTCAAACGATGACATAGTGTATAAATCCATTCCTATGACATCTGCAAGAAAGAAAGCTGTAGGTTTGGGGAGAAAAGATCAGGGGCTGCCAGGGATTAGGGGTTGGGGGGAGGGTAGTTGCAAATGAATAGCACAAGAGAGTTTTTGGGGTGATGGAACTCTTCTGCTTCCTAATTGCACAGCCGTTATAAGAATCTGTAAATTATGTTAACATTTATGAAATTGTACATCCAAACTTTCAAATTTATGGTATATTAATTCCAAATAAATGCAAGCCCATAGATTATATGAGGATAAAGTCTCTGCATATTTTTGTTGTTATATCTCCAGCCCATAGCATCATTCCTGGCAAACATTACACATTTAAAAATATTTGTGGATGGAATAAATGAAAAAGTGTAGAATTACCATTGTTATTATTATTTATTTATTATTTTTTGAGACAGCGGCTTCCTCTCTTGCCCAGGCTGGAGTACAGTGGTGCCAATACAGCTCACTGTAACCTTGACCTCCTGGGCTCAGGTGATCCTCCTGCCTTAGCTTCCTGAGTAGCTGAGACTACAGGTGCACCTCAACATAATTGGCTAATTCTTTTAATTTTAGTAGAGATGGGGTTTTGACATATTGTCCAGGTTGGTCTCAAATTCCTGGCCTCAAGCAATCCTCCTGCCTCAACTTCTCAGAGTGCTGGGACTGGAGGAGTGAGCCACCCCACCTGGCAAAAATTATCTTTTAAAAGCCATATGTTAGGAGCTAGTTTAGGGGAAATATGGTGACTACTTGGACATATATATTTATATTGTATGATGATACTTTACAGCTATAGATTACTAATAATTTATAAAGTACATTGTTTTATATTTAGAATTTGCAATATAAGAAGAAGGGTTTTGCACGAGGGTGGGGCTGTGGTCATTTGATCCAGTTTCTGTTTTAAGAACATGCCACAGTCTGCAGTGGAGAAGAGAAAGGAGAGAGGGAAAGTGGAATCTCTAAGTTGTATTAATGCTACATCAGTGACTATTCTTCTACATAGGTCTTTGTGCATATGATGTCTATTTAATTCTAAAAATGGAATTACTAGGTCAAAGGTTATGTATATTTAGAAATATTACACATATATTACATGACCCTCCCAAATGCCCAGTGTTTTATACTTTTACCAAGTCTCAGGAGAGTTTTCAACGAACTTGTACATAAAATAAAAGCTGGTGGCATGGTGGCTCACATCTGTAATGACAGCACTTCGGGAGGCCAAGGCAGGAGGACTGCTTGATCTCAGGAGTTGAAGACTAGCCTGGGCAAAAATATTTTTTAAAAAATTGCCAGGTGTAGTGGTGTGTGCCTTTGGTTCTAGCTACTCAGGAGACTGAGGTGGGAGGATCCCTTGAGTTCAGGAGGTTGAGGCTGCAGTAAGCCAAGATCACAGCACTGCACGCTAGCCCAGGTGACAGAATGAAACTCTGTCATAAATAAATAGATAAAGCTGATACAGTATCTGTAATTTGAAATATGTACTGTACACTTCTGAACCAACCATCCTCCCTCCCTTCCTCGCTCCCCCTCCCCTCCCCTCCCCTCCCCTCCTTCCTTCCCTCTCTCCCTCCCTCCCTCCCTCCCTTCCTTCCTTCCTTCCTTCCTGTAATAAGTTGTGAGTTTTCTCATAATGTCTTCACCAATAGGGCAACACATGATAGCCCTCATTTCACATTCTACCTAAAAACGTGAACCTCACAATACTCGAAAATCTCCCCACATACACAAAAAGACTCTATATCACATACGGAAAAGGTAGCTGGCTTTAGTTCAGTGATTTTTCAATGAGGAATGCTGCACTTCCAATGAAAACAGACAGCCAGTGTAGAGACAGTCCGTATCCTGTTTCTACTGTATGACTCTGATTCATAAATTACTAAAGTGTATTCCTGACAAATAAATATTTCACCAGCCAGTGACAGCGTTATGAGCTAATTAAAATCTGAGCCCTGGAAGAAGTGGTGCCATTAGCTCAATTCACAGGACTGGAAAGTATGTGTCTGCTCACGGACTGAGAGGTAGACATTTACATATGGGAAGGAGGGGGCCGGCTTATTAAGAGCAACATTGAGGTTTGGATGAAGAGAGCACTCTGTCAAAGCTGAGATATTTAAAGAAAAGCCAAAATGACAATATGAGAGGTTTCTTTTGCCCTTGGGAAGAAAGAGGTAACACTGCATGGTGGTGTTAAGTGTAAGGGCTTGGGGGACGGGCCACACTGTCTTGAGTTCAGATCCCAGATCTGCCATTTAGCAGAGATAGAACTTTGGGGTTGTCGTTCAGCCTTTCTAACCTGCAGCATCCTCATTTGTGCAGTGGGCATAGAAATCCACATAGTGGCAAGGGTATAAAATCAGATACTACTTTTAGATCCTCAGCAGAGTGCCAGGCAAATCAATAGATGGTTGATACCTTGTCACTAGCGTCAACTCTTGTATCCACAAGAAGTCATGTTTAAACGTCCAGTTTTCTGTTAAAAATTTCAAACCTGTCGGATGCTAAGCAGTTTTCTAGTTTGAAGTTTGTTCCTTCAGAAAATATGGTTAACACACATTTTTTGATAACTTATGATGTGCCAAGTCATGGATGGTTCTAAGCATTTTACGGTCAACATCTCATTTCATCATCGCAATAATATAGAAGATGGATATCGTTAACTCTACAGAGGAAGCTGAGGAACAGCAGCAATGAGTTATTTGCTCTAAAATTTAACACTTTTTTTTTTTAGACAGATGCCTAAACTCCCTTTGTTTCACACAACTATGCAAATTGTGAGGCCAAGGATATGACTGCAAACGATTAAGGTTTAATTTACATGAATAGCCAGGCGAAGTGCCTCACACCTGTAATCCCAGCACTTTGGGAGGCTGCGGTGGGTGGATTACCTGAGGTCAGGAGTTCAAGACCATCCTGGCCAACATGGCAAAACTCCATCTCTACTAAAAATACAAAAATTACCTGTGCGTGGTGGCACACACCCGTAATCCCAGCTGCTCGGGAGGCTGAGGCAGGAGAATCACTTGAACCTGGGAGGCGGAGGTTGCAGTGAGCTGAGATCGCACCATTGCACTGCAGCATGGGCGACAGAGCCGGACTCCATCTCCCCCCACCAAAAGAATAAAAAATAAAAAAGTTTACATGAATGAGCTTTCTTCCCCATGAAAATAACTGTGTCACTTCTCCCTTGGTCTAACCCACACAAAATCCCCACCCTGTCTGGCACAGATACACTTAACATGCAATATTAAGTACAATTTCCATTTTATTTTTCTCCAGAGTATCGTGTGTCTTCAGTCTTGAAGGACTCAGCTCCTTACATGGGCTTTGGTGGGGGTCATGGGGCAGCACCCGCAGGTCTAAATCGAGGTGGGGGTTTTTGGTCCCTGTGGGGTTCACAAGATCAATTCCTGACTACTTTACTGTGAACTGTGCAGCTCACACAGTAACGTGGCTTCACATACAGCTTGGGAAGCACAAAGGCATCGAAGACGCTTGCTTCAGAAACATCCCTGACTGCTGTGGCCTCTACTATGTTTTGAATACAAATTTCTTAATGGCCTTGTCTTTGGGCACGCGCTGGGCACAGTTCGTGCAGCAAATAGGCTGCATGTGGCTGCAGCCCTTTTTGGCATGACTGTTGTTCTTCCTTTTCTTAGTCATCTTGGAGGCAAGGACCGGAGATCCTAAGTTGTTCTTTTAAATATATATGTATATATATATAATATTCGTCTGGGTACATTGGCTCACGCCTGTAATCCCAGCATTTCGAGAGGCTGAGGCGGGCAGATCACCTGAGGTTGGGAGTTTGAGATCAGCCAAAGATTTTCTTTTAGCCTGGCCAATACGGTGAAACCTCATCTCTACTAAACATACAAAAAAATGAGCTGGATGTGGTGGCAGGCACCTGTAATCCCAGCTACTTGGGAGGCTGAGGCAGGAGAATAGCTTAAACCCGGGAGGCAGAGGTTGCAGTGAGCCAAGATCGCGCCACTACACTGCAGCCTGGGCGTGACAGAGCGAGAATCCGTCTCAAAAAAAAAAAAAAAAAAATTATTGCAGACCTAAGAGAAAATCTGGTTGGTCCTTCCTAGACCCCTTTTGTTTAAACAGCTATGACTGAGGGGAGCACTTCATGTGGTCATAAATGGTGGCTGGTGTTCTACCCCTGACTGTGATTATAATTTCAGAGAAAGAAAAGTCTCTGTGAACTAGCCACAAATGCCTCCGAAAGCATAAAATCGTTATTCAGCATTCTCCATACTTTCCTGTATCCATGGTGTTGTCAGCAATATGTAATATTATCCATAGTACTTATGATACTGTGTTTGCTTGGTCTCAAGAGAGAAGGTTAAAAGTAACAATCTCAGGTCTGGTTATAAGCATTTTGTAAATAATAACTTATTTGATACTTATTATCACCCTATGCACTTAGCCACTATTATCCCCATCTTATATATACTGTTATGTCAAGGTAGGGAGAAATAAATATGTTAAGAAATAAATAGAGCAGTTTTTGATGACAGGGATTTACTTACAGGTCTTTTGGTATATGGTGTGTACTGTATGTGTATGCACGAGCGTGCATGTGTGTGGGGAATGTGTACATTCTGTATCATGGTG
This sequence comes from Homo sapiens, assembly GCF_000001405.40. Lineage (NCBI taxonomy): Eukaryota > Metazoa > Chordata > Mammalia > Primates > Hominidae > Homo > Homo sapiens. The sequence goes on from NC_000016.10 coordinate 7,127,600, forward strand.
TGAATAAGTTGAGAGTGAGAGTCGGGAGTAAGGGAGATGACAATTGTGTGGTGATGATTTCAAGTTAAGAGTATAAATGTGGAATGAATGAGTTTCTTTCAGAGGACTTTGGGTTGTATATGCTTCAAAACGAGCTTTTATCTTCTGCATTCTTCCTCATAGCCCCGTGGAGGCAGGCTGAAGCCTTGGCACATCTTGGTAGGATGACCTGACTGAGAGCAAAGGTCGTTTGCAAGCATATAAGGACTTTATTAAGCAGCATATTAATCAGGCACTGTTGGTTGCAAGCAACAGAGTCACAATGCACCTGGTCTTTTGTTTAGAAGAGGGAGTTCATTGGCTTACACAACTGCAAAGGTCCGAAAGAGGCTGGGTTCAGATGCACAAATACACGGTTTGAAATCTGGTTCTTTGCTGTTTCTTGGCTCAGCTTTTCAGTCTTGACATCGTCCTCTGGCAAATTCTTCCTTAATGGGGGCTCAAGTGATGCAGCAGCTCCAGGCTTACTTTCTATGAAATGGACAGCCCTGGTGAAAAGCAAATGTCTCCTTCCTAACCATTCTGACAAGAACAATAAAATCCTCAAAGATTTTCTTTCAAAGAATAATAGCATGTATTAAGTGCCAGACACTAAGTCCTTTTTGTATATGAACTCTGTTATTTCCTTGAATCCTCACAATAATTCTGCAAGATAGGTACTATACTTAACCCCATTTTAATATGGTAAAACTTAGTTACAGAACAGTTCTGTCACTTAGCTATTGCTGTGTAATGAGCTAGTCCAAAGCCTAGTGGCTTGAAAGAGTGACCATGAGTCTGATAAATTGGCAAACCAAGAGAGCCTGAATCCTCCAGGGTGACATCAGCGGGGATAGTTCGGTTCTGTACGTGTGTGTCTCTGATATCCCCAGCAAGCTAGCCTGGTTCACTTAGTGAGGTAGAGATACAGCAGTGAGCTGGCACAATTGTACATGCAGAAGGGGCAAAGGTACTCAAAGCCTGGAGAGGCTCATGCTAGGAACTGACACATTCTCATTTCTACCCTATTGTTACCAGAATATGTTACAAGTCCAGTTTGGATTCAGAGGGTGGGGAACTAAACTCTACCACTTGATGGGAGGATGTTCATGGTCATATCACAAAGGGCTAGAACTGGGGAAGAATCGGAGGCTATTTTGGTAATCTGTCTGACATAATGGTAACTTTTTTTTCTTTTTACTTTTTTTTTTTTTTTTTTTTTAAGACGGAGTCTCACTTTGTCGCCAGGCTGGAGTGCAGTGGTGCAATCTCGGCTCACTGCAACCTCCGCCTCCTGGGTTCAAGCCATTCTCCTGCCTCAACCTCCCAAGTAGCTGGGACTACAGGTGCATGACACCACGCCCAGTTAATTTTTGTATTTTTAGTAGAGATGAGGTTTCACCATGTTGGCCAGGATGGTCTTGACACCTTAACCTCGTGATCCGCCCACCTCAGCCTCCCAAAGTGCTGGGATTACAGGTGTGAGCCACGGCACGCAGTCATAAAGGTAATTAAACTTGCCCAAAGTTAGATTTTTAGCAGGATTCAAACCAGGAAAGTCTGGCTCCAGAGTACAAGTTCTTCCTCATTGCAATGTTCTTTATATAGTTTTTATTGATTCGGCTTGGATAGTAACCCCACAATTGAACCAATCATTTTGGCCAGGAAAACAAAGTGTTTCATCGGTTTGGTTAGATTTGGGTCCTGTCTTCATTTCTAAGATGAGGTACAGGAGTCAGCCCTACCTAAACCATGGGTACTGGAAGTGGCATAGGAACAGTAGCTCAAAGGAAAGTTATTTTCAGAAGAAGTAATGGATAGAGATCAGGTGACAAAATAATATCCCCCACTGATAGGGATATGGTAGGGGCAATTGGGTAAATTTCAAGGATAAGACCTTGCCATGATACTCTTGGATTACAATGGAGAGACACATTTGCCCTATCTCCTGGGGAAAAAAATTGAGGAATTACAGTTGGCTTTAAGTGTATGCATCTGATTGTTGACTAGATCATGAGGAGGATAATGTGGACATTAGGAAGAGGGGCCTTGCAGAAAGGGGCAGAAATAGCAAATTTCAAGTGCCTGGGAGCCCCCAAATCGGGTTGTGTGTGCTATTTTTAAAGTACCAGGAGACACGACAACTCCTAGCTGCAAAGAGACATTTATCACACTGAAAAAAAAAATGAGTGAATGGTTAGACAGATAGATGGATGATGGATGGGTGGGTGGGTGGGTGCATGGATAGATGGTGGATGAAAAAATAAGCAATGAATGACCCTCTAGATGATAAGTGGAACCCTGCTTTGTTTTCCATTTCCTGCTTCAAATCTCATTTGCCAGCAATACCAAATAGGATATATACTCCTCTACTTCCATCTATACCTGGCCTCTAATCTTCTTCATTTTTGAAGATTTTTTTTTTTTTTTTTTGAGACAGAGCCTAGCTCTGTCGCCCAGGCTGGGGTGCAATGGCGAGATCTTGGCCCACTGCAACCTCTGCCTCCTGGGTTCAAGCAATTCTCCTGCCTCAGCCTTCCAAGTAGTTGGAATTAACAGGCACGTGCCACCATGCCCAGCTAATTTTTGTATTTTTGGTAGAGGTGGAGTTTCGCCATATTTGGCCAGGCTGGTCTTGAACTCCTGACCTCAGGTGATCTACCCACATCAGCTTCCCAAAGTGCTGAGATTGTAGGCATGAAGCCACCACGCCAGGCCTGAAGACTGATTATTTTTAAGCCAGCTGAATGGGTTAAGTGTTTGTCCATTGTGCTCTGGAAATTCTCTGAGCGTATTCACATTATTACACTTAACACTTTTGTGAACCACATCCTTTTAGGCAAAAGTGATCATCTCTGTCTCACTCATTGCAGTACTCTAATGCCTAACACAGAGCCTGACCCAGAGAGAGTGCACTGCAAGTATATTCTGAATGATGGAGTGAAACAGTGAGTCAGTGTGCAAATAATGTGTGTTGATAAGCATATGTAGGGTCTGCAGTGGTGATGTAGGTTTTATAGCCAATGACATCTCCAGTGCCTTTTTACTTGATAAATATAAGACTATAATTTTCTTAAAAGCATAAATAATAGGAAGTGTTCTCGAAGCCCATTCCTGGCCAAATTCTTTGCCTTTAATATCGTGCTTAAATTTTGTCAACGCATTTCTTTTAAAAAATGGAGGAAAACTGAGTGGGGAACAAGAACACTTTCTCATCTCATTCATAATCTATCAGGCAATCCTGGGGTGCCATCAAGAAGAGATGATGAGGCGACAGTGACACAGCAATGACTGCCTTCAGTTTTATCATCAGTCCTGGATAGAGAAGGTGCACCACCTATAAGTGAAGGTGATCAGTTTTTCCATTTCCAAAGAGATGGGTATCTTAAAAGTTAGAAATTTGTGACTTTGAATTGCCTTTTTAATCATAAGAATCATAGCTTCTGGCCGGGCATGGTGGATCATGCCTGTAATCCCAGCATTTTGGGAAGCCAAGGCGGGCAGATCACATGAGGCCAGGAGTTCGAAACAAGCCTGGTCAACATGGTGAAACCACATCTCTACTAAAAATACAAAAAGTTAGCCAGGTGTGGTATCGCACACCTGTAGTCTCAGCTACTCTGGAGGCTGAGGCAGGAGAATTGCTTCGACCTGGGAAGCGGAGGTTGCAGTGAGCCAAGACCACACCATTGCACTGCAGCGTGGGCATTGCAGCGAGACTGTCTTTTTTTTTTTTTTTTTTTTTTTAAAAAAAAAAAAAAAGAATCATAGGTTCTGCTTAGTCAGTGCCTACTTATGTTTTAAGTTATAGTTGGCCACTTTACATCTCTTGCTTCTGCTCCGGTAGGTTTCATAATCTCCATTTTATAGTTGAGGGAATGAGTACCTGAAAGGATGGAATAAACTCACCATAATCAACCTAGCTGGCAAGTGATTGGAACTGAGGTTTGAACCATGTTCATTTGACTCTGAACACTGCAGTCTTTCCTGAATACCATCCCTCAAGCAGAGAGTTGGGCCCAGATGAGATAGGCAGAGCTTCCTTAGCATAAAGTCAATATTGTCTTTTTGCCAGACAGTAAGCCAAGCATAACCGCATACATCTGACCAGAGGCTCTTGTACAAATTGGCCACTCAGGTTCTCTGAAGGAGCTTGATTTGGGGCCTGTGAATAGTCCTGTGAATATTGGGATACATGAGATTAATTTTTCCCTACATCTAAACATCCAAATGGCTTAACTTCCAGAGGGGCACATCTTAGCTTCTAGGGGGTGAGAGGCTTCCCAGTATCTTAAAGAAGTGGTTCTTAATCTCACTGGCAAGTTAGAATCACCTGGAGAACTTTAAAAAACATTGATGACTAGAGTCCTTTTTTTCTTTCTTTTTTTTTTTTTTTTTGAGTGTCATTCTGTTACCCAGACTAGAGCGAAGTGGCACAATATCAGGTCACTGCAACCTCTGCCGCCCGGGCTGAAGCAATTCTCCTGACTCAGGCTGGAATTACAGGCACCTTCCACCATGCCCAGCTAATTTTTGTATTGTTAATGGAGATGGGGTTTTCCCATGTCAGCCAGGCTGGCCTCAAACTCCTGACTTCGACTGATCTGCCTGTCTCGGCCTCCCAAAGTGCTGGGATTACAGTCATGAGATACCCTGTCCGGCCAGAGTCCAAGTTCATCATTGCAATGTTCTTTATCTGTATATATTTTTAATTGAACTCCTATGTTCACTGCAGCATTATTTATAATAGCTGAGAGATGGAAGCAACCTAAAGGTCCATTGATGGGTGAAAGGTTGAAGAAATTGTGATACACAGACACACACACACACACACACACACACACACACACACACACACACACACAGTCACTTTATCTTGAATAACATAAGACAAATGTATTCAGGTATAAGTATTAATTCATGGTGCCTTGCATAATGGTGAGAGGCACACATGTTTATGAAGGCAGAAGTAAACTATTTGTAAAGCTGAAAAAAAAAAACCACACACACACAATGGAATAGTATTCAGCCCTGAAAAATAAGGGCAGCCTGACGCACACTTCAGCATGGATATTCCTTGAGGAAATTATGCTAAGCGAAATCAACCAGTCACAAGAAGACAAATACTGCATGATTTCACTTATATAGCTATTTCAAATACTGAAACTCTTAGAAACAGTGGGCTTATCAAAATTGAAAAAAAAAGATACATCTTTCAGTAACTGCCATAAAGCAAGAGAATGCTGCCACGTGGTGATAAATAGGTCCCCTGACATATGTGCATAAAAATTGTGCCCATTTTAACAGGATACATTTTTTCACTTGTGATTCTGATGAAACTGCAAACTAGAGTCAGAAAACAAACCGTTATACCAGGAAATAAACCAGAAAATAAATAAATAACCAGAAAATAAATCATGTGCCTTGGTATTTTCTTGCGTTTCAGAAGTGACCTTATTATGGCAAAACTATTTTTTGATATTATGGTTTGTATGCATCAAAAATGCAGGTTTTAATACCAAGATCCATGACCTAGAAAGAGGTTTTAGTATCAGATTCTCAATGTTTTTGATGAAGAGGGAAAGAGAAAACATATCATTTAAAAAATTATTTTCAATATATGACAGAATTTTATATTTTGAACAAGATATTGTTTTGTATATAAGCCATGGAGAGTACACTTGAAAAGCTTTGGCTTTTGAGATATTTGGTTTCTGGACTCTTGTTTCTGTAAATTAGAACATTCCGATGTGAGATGAACATATTGGTTGAAGATCATTGCAATGGTCATGTTTTTCCAAAGAGAAGTAGTTGAAATCATTTAGTAGCATGTGAATAAAAGCAAGGTTTTTAGAGGCAATTCAGTAATTTTGGTAGCTTTTGTTGCAACCAACAGAGAATCAATGACAAGACAAGGAGAAGAGAGAGAGCAGCTCTTGTCTTAATTTAAAGCTGAAAGATACACACATGATTAATACCAAAGAAACTTTCCATTTTATTGGTGGAATGAAAGTAACCTTGTAGAGCTTTTCTGTATTGGTAGAAAGCAAAAGCAAAAAAATTAATTGTTTATTTAATAAGTGGTATTTTTCTGAGTTCTGCTTATAGTTTCTTTAGACGTAGAATAACACATCATTAAGAAAAATAATAATTGATCTGCCATGAAAAAAAAAGAATGACTGACACAGCTTCTTTGCTGTCAGCCCTTTTGTACTCCAAAACGTAATGCCCATTTTGAAATATCATGGCTAATCCAAAAAATATACAGCTAAACAGAAAAACAACATCAGTTCCAAATATGAATACATGATCTGCTACTTAATATGTCAGGGTATTTGTCAGGTTGATAACATTAGGCTCTGCGGCATTCAATTCTAAGCCTTGCAATATTTGAAGTGTGATACTGTGCTTCAGTAAATTTAATACGTGGGCCTCAGTAATGGAGGGAATCACGTTAGCACTTGGCAGTTTGTTATGCTGTATAAAATTGACTGCCCTGCAAATACAATAGCGATCATAAAAACGGTGGTCAGCAGAGAGGGGTGTAATGCATTTTTGAGGTTTCAGTAAAGGTCCAGATGAAATTTATTGAGATTTTTGCCATTTGGATGGTGATCAATAGAGCTGTGCTAATAATTTGTTGTGAGGATGTTCTCTGGGGATATGACATTTTGCTGTGAAACTTTGGAAATTCAGAAAGTAGACTAAGTGATGATACTGCTCCAGTATATATAACCGTCAAAGACTTTAACATCGCTCTGGGAGAGGATTTATAGTGATGGTGATTACTTCTTCAGGCATTGAGGATGTGATGCATCCAATTATTGATATGTTTTCATGCATTTTCCAGTTTGGACTCACAGTCATTTGATCGTATTGCTGTTTCAGCCCAGAGTTTTGTGATAGGTTTGTTTTTAATTTCATTCACAGTTTCCAAATTGCTAGCCTATTTTCTTAATTATATCATTGATTTCCCCTGCCTCCTCTCCCTTCACCCTGCCCACATCCAGAAAATGATCGTTGAAGAAAAGAATTCCGTCAGCTTTCATTCACATCAACAGAGGCTACTTAGAAATCCTGACTGTGAAAACTACTTTTGTTGTGTTGTAGTTGCTGTTGCTGCTGCTGTAGATGGCTTGTGTGCTGTACCGAATTTGCAAACAGGCTTCTGAGTTAATGTTAAAGGAGTACATAGCATGCAGATAATGTTTGTGATGGTTACAGTTTTAATGCACATATGTCAGTGGACCTGTTAAATCACTGTGAGGCAGCATTCTTTGGCTTTATGGTGGTTGCCGTTGAATTTATCTTTTTTTTTTTTCAATTTTGATTAGCCGCGTTCCAAGAGAGAGAGATGAATTATCCAATCTTTGCAAAGTGGGATTCCACACTGACAATACAGAGATATCATTCTGAGAAAAATAAAATAAAACAAAATAAAGAAGGTTTTAAAACTTCACATTTGGTAAAACTGACTTATCCTGAGGCTGTTTTTATGTCTGTTCTGTATGTTAGAAAAGGAATTTCTGAGTTCGTGTTTATTTCCCTGTTACATTGTTCTGTTTCCTCAGTGTATTTCATGAACCTGACCAATTAAGTTTCAGCCCTGTCTAGGAATTTTTTTGTTGTTGCTGTTGGATTAAAGCAACTAAGTAACTCTGCAGTGGACAGAGGCTTAGAGAGACTCCACATTATTTGTTTGCAAGAGGAAATTTGTCAGCACTTTGCAGAAAGAACACTGAGACTAGGCACAGCAGAACAATTTATTTTCAATGAGCATGCACAAAGTAAGATTTATGACTTTGCATCTTCGATGACATTTCTTACATTGTTACCAAGCTACAGCAAATTAAAGGGATCCGTGAATACTAAGGGGTGTGTTTTTGTAATGAGGAAAAAGAGACAGAGCAATAAGAAGATAATTAAGGTAACAACTTGTGAAAAATTAAAGTGTTTCCATCTTTCATTTTTGAATCTCTGAGCATAAACTTTGTAGTTGTTAATTTAATTGCCGCTGTTCGCGGCATCCCTGAAGAATATTGAGGATTAATCGTCTGGTTCATTCCAACAAGAGATAAGGCCTAAGTGAATTGAAATTTTACCAATTTAACCCTGTCTTCCTCCTAATATGACATGATTAACATTTTTCAATTAACCACATGTAATTATTCTGAAGGCCTCATTCCACTTATTTCTAGTCTTTTTGACTGCAGATTGGCCTTTTCAGGTAGTTTGGATCTAGAATAATTCAAAGAAAGCTCTGTTTGTTCTATTTTGCATCTGGCACACAGGTTCATCTGCATTGTCTTTGGAGTTGCCATTTCATCGGAAAATAAAGATCCATAACAGTTGCATTCATTTTTGCCTAGGTGCTCTTCCTGTAAAGCACAGTGCTGCTCATTGAAGCCTGAAGGAGTAATGTGGTATTGTTGGAGCATATTTGTAACTGAGCAGAGTGAAAGACTAAACACCTTGCAGGCAAGAATGTCAAAGGAAGAGATTGGCTGGAAATGGTTTTCCACAGTAAATGGAAAGACCTCAAGATTCGGGAGAGTTTGGCATTTCCAAGGAACAGAATAAAGGCTAGTTCTTTGTGTTCGTCCATATGGTAGCCAGTAATCACAGTGGATATTGAAATGTAAATTAATTAAAGTTTAATGAAATCAACAGTTCAGTTTGTCTCATATTAGCCACATCTCAAGTGTCCAATGACCCCCCTGTGACTAGTAGCTGTCATATTGGAGCCAATACCTAGTAGAGATACAGAACATCTCTATCATCTTGGGATTTTTTTTTTTTTTTTTTTTTTGACAGGGTCTTGTTCTGTTATCCAGGCTGGAGGGCAGTGGTGCAATGATGGTGCAATACAGCCTTAAACTCCTGGGCTAAAGTGATTTTCTAACCTCATCCGCTCGAGTAGCTGGGATTACAGGTGCACGCCACCACACCTAGCTAATTAATTTGTTTGTTTGTTTGTTGTGTAGAGGCTGGGTCTCATAATGTTGCCCAGGCTGATCTTGAACTCCTGGCCTCAAACAATCCTCCTGCCTTGGCCTCCCAAAGTGTTGGGATTACGGGTGTGAGTCACTTCACCTGGCCCCATCTAGGGAAAATTATCGGATAGTGCTAGGCCAGAGCACAGTCATCAGGTGGATAGTGGTTAGTATTAACCAGGGCATTCTAAATTCTGATATGGCAACAAAAATCTCTGTACCAGAGGGGTTAATGCTACATGGGTTTATTTCTCTCATACACAAAATCTACTGCATGCCTGGGCAGGAAGGAGGCATCTAGAAGTTTGCGCTGGGGCCCTTTCATTCCTCGTCATGGCCCATGGGCCAGGACTGGATGCCCATGCCCTGCCTCCCTGCAACAGGACTTTTATTTCAGTCTTTTGTTTGCCAACTGGACACTAAGTTCCTATTTGTATCACCAAACACTATTATTATTTCTATTCTATAAAGGAGAAACTGAGGCCCAGAGAAGTTAGATAGTCTAAAATAAATACCTAAAGAATGATGCAGTGGGTTTCTAGGTACATCTGAGTCCAGCTGCAAAGTCTAATCTTTACTGAGCTAGCTGGACTCTTCTGGTGCACACTAGGAAGTCATCAGAGGCTTTCCAGCTTTAGAAAACCTATTCTGACCAGCACAGGTGATACGGTTTGGCTGTGTCCCCAGCCAAATGTCATCTTGAACTGTAGCTCCTGTAATTCCCACATGTTGTGGGAGGGAACTGGTGGGAGATAATCGAATTGTGGGGGTAGTTTCCCCCATACTGTTCTCGTGGTAGCGAGTAAGTCTGATGAGATCTGATGGTTTTATAAGGGGAAACCCCTTCACTTGGTTGTCATTCTCTCTCTTGCCCGCTGCCAATGTAAGGAGTACCTTTCACCTTCCGCCATGATTGTGAGGCTTCCCCAGCCACGTGGAACTGTGAGTCCATTAAACCTCCTTTTCTTTATACATTACCCAGTCTCAGGTATGTCTTTATCAGCAGCCTGAAAACGGACTAATACAAAAGGAAACTTAGAAGGGAACCTCAGATTAGGGGCAAGCTCCTTGGTTAGAAGCCTGATACGTGACAACAGCAACTTAACTCAAAGGAATAATGGTGGTAAACTCGAACACATAACATTATGCAACAGTCCCTACCTGGTCCTGGAGTAGAAACTCCAAAAGGGGAAGGTTGTAGTTCATCTGCAAATGTATGTGCACAGGCTCACTACATGTTTTGGCTGATTTTTATTGAGCATCTGTGATTTGCCAGATATTGTTTTAACTTTTTAGCTTGATGTACATTAGCTAATTAAATACTCAATATTTCAGTGAGTTAGCCTCTATTTTCATGGTTTTACAGATGAGAAAATGCACGTAGAGAGAGGTTAGGTAACTTGCCCGAGGTGACACAGCAGAGGAGCTGGAATTTTAGTCACCATCTTAAGAATGAAGCAATGTTTGGAGAGAATGGTGACTCAGAGATTCGTATCACAGCCAAATCATACAGAAAGCGCTGTTGACTCAAATAGGGTAAACAGATAATGCAAATCCAAAGCTTTGGGTGTGAGGATCAGATGGGGCAATGAGGATGGCGAAAGGAATACCTGAAGTCATGAGAGATGGTAAGATTGCTGAGAGGGTGCAGATATAAAGGGAGAAAAATAAGAGGCCACACATGAGATCTTCAGCAACATGACTCATTAAATAAGACCAAGGGTTTCAGTGTTAAACGGACTTCTGTAAATCTTGGCTTTGGCACTATGTCACATGGGCAAGTCATGTAACTTTCTGGGACAAGATTTCCTTATTGGCAACGTGGAGGCAAGGATGCTCAAAGCACCAGACCCAACCAGGACAAAGAAGAGAATGAGCATGCACATCTCTGCCCACAAACTCAGTCTTGGAATAAGAAGCACAGTTTTGTGTTATTGTGAAACAACGTTAATTTTATCCTCATCCCCACTTTTCCTTCATGGCCAGGAAATGTAACCCCCCATTATGCAAAAGATAATAATTCTCACCTGGGGCCTACAAAGGTGAAGGGGATGGGGAGGACCTGCCTAATCATCTACCTTCATCATCTCCCAGATATATAGGCTGCATTTCTGCAGGCCGTATGCTTGAGACTTGAATATTTCACTAAAACAAGGAACACACATCCATTTCCCTTTGGAGAGCTCTGCTGCTGGATAAACTCAGACTTTTTTTATAAGATGGAGTCTGGCTCTGCTGCCTAGCCTGGAGTGCAATGGTGTGATTTAGGCTCAGTGCAAGCTCCGCCTCCCGGGTTCAAGTAATTCTTGTGCCTCAGCCTCCCAAGTAGCTAAGATTACAGCCTCCTACCACCTAGTTAATTTTTATATTTTTAGTAGAGACAGGTTTTTACCATTTTGAGCAGGCTGGTCTCAAACTCCTGGCCCCAAGTGATCTGCCTTCCTTGCCCTCCCAAAGTGCTGGGATTACAGGCATGAGCCACCATGCATGGTCAACTTACAGATTTTGATATTCTTACCAGTGTCTGGACATCTCTTTTATAATGCAGATGAAATCAATCTCTCTCTGTGTGTGTGTGTGTGTGTGTATGTGTGTGTGTTTGTGTGTGTGTGTGTCTGCTCCTCCTCTCTTCTCTTTCTTTTTCTATTTTCATTATAGCTACTCTGTCACTCCCCATGCAGAACATCCAACATAATCACTTCAACAACCAGCTTTTGGAAAAGCAAAAGCTTCTTACAGACAGAATTGTCTTTCTGCCATGCTTGGCTTCATCCCTCCACTAACTCTATTCCTTTTCCTTCTTGAGTTCAGAGACAAAGAGGGTCCTATATACCTACCTGTTTGAGTGATGGAAGAGAGGAGGAAAATCCTAACTAAATAGCCCCAGATAGTTTGCAACCAGGTTTTTAAAATGCTTAACATGGTTCCTGGCATATTATCTGTGCTGGATCAAGGGTAAGGGTAACTTCTACTACTACTACTTTTATCAGCAATGGTGAGGAAAGGATCAGAGACCTGAGTCCACCCTCGACAGTTTCAGTTTTTGGTAAAGAGGCAAGGGAGAGGAGAATGTTTCAAGAATGTTGGGTTGGTGAATAAAACCAAAGGCCATGAAGAGGTTGAAGACTGAGAAATACATTGATTGGATTCTTTTTTTTTTAAGTTCATCGGTGAGCTTTCAGGGGGCAGTTTTAGTTGCTGTGGACAGAAGACAAGCATTCATGTCTTAAGGAATGAGGAATTGAGGAGGAAGCTAAGACCCTTAGGATGGGGTGAGCTTGTAAAATGTTGGCTGTGGAGGAGGAAGAAGGTAAAGACATAAGCCTGGAAGGAAGAACTGACATGAGTTTTAGTTGCTGACTTGATATCCAAGTCAAGACTGCAGTGGATCCCAGGACACCTGGAAAAAGATAGCTGTCTGGGCATTAGGGGATTAGGAATATTAGCCAAAGAATGGTAGGCTCTGTCTAGGTATTTATGGACTGTTCTCTCTTTCTCTCTGCATGAAACTAATTCATTCTCATTCTCTTATTCTCTCCTTCTCTCCCTCTCTCTCTCTCTCTCTCTCTCTCTCTCTCTCTCTCCCTCCTTCTCCCTCCCAATTTGTCCATTTTCTGAATGGACAAATAAATTTTGTCCATTTTTTTTTAAATGGCTTTTTTTTTTTTTTTTTTTTTTAGTTTTTTAAAGGTCACCTTCTCTTGGTTATTTTTCTGACCACACAAAGTTTCTTTTCCCCACTCTGAGTCTGTATGATAGGATTTTCTTCATTTTCTGTGCCACTTCGCTCAGTTTGCACTTATGTTTTCATGGCTATATTGTCTAACTTCCCAAATATGTAGTTTTGTAAGGAGAGAAATGATTTCTTCAATTTATTGTTGGATACCCAGGACCTAGCATATAGTATGAGTTTAATAAATACATCTTTTAAGTGCATAAATGAATGCATTGATGAATTTGGGGGCATCTTTCTATTTTTTTAAAGGAATGAATAAAAGAATGTGGCATATTTCTAGGCAGAGCTCATCAATATCTGAACCAACAATTCCTGTGTGAAACGCTGAAAGCAGAACCTCTCAGAGTGATATCCTGTGCAATAATTATTGGAACTGGGAGTGAGAGACGGAGACTTGAATGAGGAAATATTTATGGGGAAGGTAGCGTTAAACTTTCCAGGATGTTTCCTTGGTATGCTCATAATGGATTTCAAAGATCCACACCTCTTGGCGGACTCCAGGAGCAGGATTTCATGAAGCTCTTTTGTGAAATGCTTCCATTAGGCGTTGGCATCTTTCCCAAAGGGATTCAAGCATGGTTTCTAAGTGTCTCAGAGCCTAACGTGGAATTGGGAGAGAGAAGGAGGGAGTGAAGAGGAACCCTCGTTGGAAGTAATAATGAAGCCTCCTCCAGCTTTGCAGAGCTCTGCCAGGAAGCCACCCTCAGCAAACCAGGGAACCTCCTGACGATGAGCTGGGGTGGTTTCTGAACCATGAGTCATCTTGTGCAAAGTGGCTCTGGCTTTATCAGGATGATGTGTCTAGACTTGCAGTCAGCTGGGGAGCAAGTAGGAGGATCCTGGGGAGGAGGCCGGGAAATAATGGGTGAGTGTTAGTGCTGGATCCAGATCGCTTCCTGCCCTTCAAGGAGTTAAGTTCAGGGCATCTATTCACACCCAATATTTATTCATTATTCACCCACGGAATACCAGACACAGTGCTTGGTTCTGGGAATCTAATGCTGACCAAGACAGATAGGACCCCTTCTCTGATGGACCTTAAAATACAGCTTGGGCGGCAGCTAGAAGACCTTATCGCATGATTGTTAATCCAAGTTCTCAGGTGTGCTCTAAGGGGAAAATGCGCAGCAGTCAATGAGAGCATAAAGCACGGAAATGGAGTTTTGCTAGAGTGCATCAAGGATCATTGTTATTTTATTTTTATTTTTATTTTGGAAGGTGGGGCCATTTATGGCTCCCTGTACCAGATGAAAGATTGCATGTTCATTAACATATTAATGCCATTTGTAGTTTGGATGAGTTAAACTCATCTAACTTTAGTGTTTACAAGGGATGAGCTACTATAGTCTTTTGGATCCCTTCTTCTCCTTTACCTCATCATCCTATCCACCAGTAAGTTCTAATCCATCTTTCCTACTCTGTCCCTGCTGTCACCAGCCTGGTCACGGTCCATCATATTGACGACCGCACCAGCCTTCTGACTGGACACCATGCTACTGCTCTTGTTTCTTCTCACCTATTCTCTGCACAGCAGCCATAGTGACCTTGGAAATTCATAAATCTGTCATGTCAGTCCCCTTCCCCCTTAAGATGTTTCAGCGGGATCCTATTTCTTATTTTCCTTCTCCTTCTTCTCCATCTTCTCCTTCTTCTTCCTCCTTCTTCTTCCTTCTTCCTTCTTTCTTCTTTTTATCTGAGACAGGGTCTCACTCTGTTGCCCAGGCTGGAGTGCAGTGGTGTGATCATAGCTCAGTGCAGCATCAACCTCCCAGGCTAAAGGGAGCCTCACACCTCAGCCTCCCAAGTAGCTGGGACTGCGAGCACACACCACCACACCTGACCAATTTCTGTATGTTTTGTAAAGATGGGGTTTCATCATGTTGTCCAGGCTGGCCTTGATCTGCTGAGCTCAAGCAATCTTCCCACCTCAGCCTTCCAAAGTGGCGGGATTATGGACATGAGCCACCACACCTAGCCAAGTCCCATTTCACTTAGGAAAAAAATCAGACTGGTTACCATGCCCGTGAAATGAGGTCCATGTCCTGAGCTTCTTGTTGATGTCATTTCGTGTCACTCTTCCATCAGCCCCTGTACCGCAGGCGACTCTGGCTTCCTGAGAGTCCCTGGAACAATTTAAGATTGTGTCCTACCCCTGAGTGTTTGTATGGGCTCTTCCCTATACTGTTCTCCGCATGGCCGGCTCTTTCTTAGCCATTGGGCTGTGCCTCAATATTATTTTCTCACTGGGATTTTCCCTTATCTACTCATCTTCTGGACTGTCAATCAGAGCATTTTGATTGATAACAGTTTAATCAGTAATTATCTTGTTTGTATATACATGTCTTTAATATGTGTCTCCCTCTCTAAGGTCACTGCATTCCAGTGAGAACCACCTCTACTGTTTTGTATATGACATTCCCAATGCCTTACACCGTTCTGAACACAGTGTTGCTTAAACCAGTATTGAATGAATGAAAGATAGAAAGAAAATGGTCAGCCCTGAGTAATTTTCTCTTATTTTTCTTCTCTTTTCCTTAATATCATCTGCAGACACATCTGCAGAGTATTTTTTTTTTTTCTGTGAGAATCCATTTCTACCTATGATATAGCTGGTTTCTGACCCTTGAGATATGACTCCAAAATTGGGACTGGGTGGTTGAGAGTGCTTTAGGAGAGGTAAAATTTGTCATTAATACTATTGTTTATGTGTGCAGTGTCCTTCATATTTTTTCCTTTCATATAGCATTTGACATTTGCAAAATGTTTTCCATTTATTTTTATGTTGGGGAAAGCAAAAAGCCGTACGTGTTTTTTGGTGTAAGTGAGCATAAAAGCAAGGCATCTGATTCAGGGTGATATTTTTTGTCATTTTCTTTGTGTTTTGATCAGGGAAAATTAGAGAGAGAGAGAGGAAGAGAGAGGAGAAATGACAATGCGTCCAACTGTTTTCCAGCCCTCCTCCACCGCATTCCCGACCCAGCTCTCAGGGAGAGGACTGAGCCACTGTAGAAAAGTGGGAACATTAAACGACCCAAGAAAATGTGAAATGGTGTGGGGTGTGAGATTTCTTTATTAGTCAATTTAAAATAAAATGTGCCTCAGTAATTTAGAATCTGTCTGGAGTCAAGCAGAAAATTAGCCATATTCCCATATCCTACCCCCGCCCCTGGAGGCAGCAGAAGCACCAATAAAAATAAAAATAACAATACCTTGTATTTATGGGGTAGCTTTCTCCCAGACCTCCTTCTCACTCACCCTTTTTATCTTTTCTGTGTCCTTGAAGGGGAGTGAGTGAGTCTCTGAAACCTGGGAGTTCAGCTCTCTGCAGATACGATCCTCAGCATTAAAACTTCTCCAAAGTCCTTCATTTGATCATACATTCATCCATGGGTTTATTGGTTCATTTATACTATTTAGCAGTGCTTACTGAGTATCTACACTGTGCTTACTGTGTATACTGCTTATACACAGTATATCTTACAGGTAGTACAAGATCCTAGCAGGTACTATAAGATCCTAGAAGGTAAGAGCTACTACTATATAGTCCCTAGGAGCTATTACTGTAATGTCTATTCACAGACAATGGAATAATCTTGTTAGTTTTTTTTCTGAAAACAATCATAACTCTCTTTAAACCATGGTGTTGTCTTTGGAACATTCATAGTTTGGTTCCTGTGTAGTTTTCAAGGTCCGTAAAGGCTGAGTTTCGGGTTGATGTGTCTGTAGGCTTTTTCCCTTGGGGGAAAACGTCTTCATAGAATTTGCTCCTCTAGGTAATAGATCATGAATATCTCTCTAGTTTGCAAAAATGATTGTTTAAGAAAGGACATGGATAGACGGATAGACTCCATTTCTCCTCTTAAAGATTTCCTCATTTTGAGGGGTCTTGGAATTATTTGAGTGTTTAATGAAAGCAAAGAACTTCCTCCCCAGAGGAATTGATATATGCACAAAGATAACACCATTTTGTACCGTCACTTTAGGGTTCACACTTTCTGGTACCCATCCTTGGACACTATCCATGGCCACCCAGGTTAAAACTTCTTCTTTTCTCTTTCTTTTTCTTTCTTCTTTTTTTTTTTTTTTTTTTTTGAGTCAGGGCCCCTCTGTTGTTCTGGCTGGAGTGCAGTGGTGGCACACACACAGCAGCTCACTGCAGCCTTAACGTCCCAGGCTCAAGCGATGTTCCTGCCTCAGCCGCAAAAAGAGCTGGAATTACATGCATGAGCTACTGCGCCTGAATCTAGACCTATTTAGAAAGTTCAAGTCTGAACATTTAGTGATGCCATAGAGAGCCCTCCCTTCCTGCCAGCATTCATTAAATGATGGTTTTCACTCTGCAGAGCAGCTTCCCTCCGCTTTCCCCAGATAGTCTCCCTCCCACCTACATATGAGAAAATAAAATGTTTTCCTGCATCACTATGAAAAAGAGCCCTAAATCAATAGCAAATCAAGCTATGGAATAAAAGAGTCTTTATGGCCCGAGAAGGTGATTGCTGAAGGTTGCCATTTAGCAGTATTGGGTTTGTGTCTCCCTGGGGTCTCCAGCAGCCCAGTGTCTCTGATGTGAGGCACCTTTGCCTACATGAAAGTCAGCCCCTCTCCCCCTCCCCCAGTGGAGTGCAGGGAGATAAGAATTCTGAAACAGGTCAGCTGACGTTGTTTTTTAAAAAGGTTTTGTTCTGGGCAAATCCTAGCCGGATGTGACTGGTCTGCTCTTTTGGTACCAATCCTAGCTTGACAGTGATCCCTTTCCAGACATAAGCACCTACAAGTCTCAGGATGGTTTTGCTGCAAGCAGGGGGTACCATCCCAATCATTTCTTTACCCCCTACCCTTTTTTGTTTCGTTTTGTTTTGTTTTGTTTTTTGTTTTTGAGATGGAGTCTTGCTCTGTTGCCCAGGCTGGAGTGCAGTGGCGCAGTCTCAGTTCACTGCAGCCTCAACTTCCCGGGTACAAGAGATTCTCCTGCCTTAGCCTCCCGATTAGCTGGGATTGCAGGCATGCACCACCACATCTGGTTCATTTTTTTGTATTTTAAATACAGACGGGGTTTCACCATGTTGGCCAGTCTGGTCTTGAACTCCTGACTTGAAGTGATCCACCTCCCTCGGCCTCCCAAAGTGCTGAGATGAGAGGCGTGAGCCATCACACCTGGGCTTCTTCCCCTTTTGCCATGTGATTTTTTTTTCTTGCACTTAAAGCAAGTGCAGAACCTCATATGATGATCTATATGCACTTACTGTGTTTTACCCCTCTCGGTTATGTTAGTGGGGGTATTTAGGAACCATGCTCATTTTCTGGGTGTTTAATAGCTGAATTCTGTTTCATTTAGATACTGATAAGGGTCTTGAAATTTAAAAAATGTATCTTTAAGCTTGACATCTCCCAGTGGTATGGCCCTGTATTAGGGAGATATAAAAATCATGTATGAGTCTCCCTATACCTCTCTCTGTTTGTGTTCCCGCACACACACTACTTCTCCATGGCTCCTCCATATGGCCAGTCCTCTTCCTTCATATACAGCCTAGTTCTCTGAGGTTCCCATCCCCTCAAGTCCATGACCCTCTGGCGGAGTAGCCGTAGTGGACAGGTGCACCCTCCTTCACTACCTTCCTTTCTCTGCAACTAGTCACCCCATCTGTGTCCACAGTTTGATGACTGGCTAGGGGCTAAGAGTGCTGTGATTAAAACTGCTAACTTCCCACTTCTTTTGACTGTTCCAAATGGGGGCAAGAATGAATTTTAAAATGAACTTTGCCTGTCAAAGCTTGTCTAGGTTAAGGGATGAGCAATGGCACAGTGTCGTTTACCCCAGAGCATGAACTGTTTGGTCCTGGTTCAAGCCCCTTCCCCATTTCCCATGATACTGGGCCTCACAATCCATATGCAGGAACAGCAGATGCCACGTATTGAAATTTCTAGTTTCTCTGCCACTAAAAATGATAGCTCTGCTTGCTTGCAATATATGTTGCCTTTGAAATGCACTTGCAGTGATGGTCTTTCCTATGCAAGGGCAGAGAAGAAATTGTCTCATCAGTATACTTTGCTGAACCAGCTGAACCCCTCGCCTACCCAGCAGCTCTGTCACCCCCACTGAGGCTGGCTTTCTAGTGACGATGAACAAAGGTGGTCTTCAGCTTTCTGATACTAGAGAGAGCTAGGATGCATAGGCCATCAGAGTTAACTTTTGTATTTCTTTCAGGTCTTCTTGGGTTTCTCATTGAAACAAAGCAAGAAGAATAAGCTTATGATACCCAGCATATTCTTCAGCACTCCAGAAACTCAGAACCCAGCAGATAACGTAAAAATAACAATGCGGCTGGGTGCAGTGGCTCATGCCTGCAATCCTGGCAGTTTGCGAGGCTGAGGCAGACAGATCACTTGAGCCCAGGAGTGTGAGATTAGCCTGGGACACATAGTGAGACCCCCAACTCTAGTAAAAATACAAAAATATATCCAAGGATGTGGCACATGCCTGTAGTCCCAGCTACTTGGGAGGTGGAGGTGGGAGGATCATCTGAACCAGGAGGTCGAGGTTGCAGTGAGCCATGTTTGCGCCATTATACTCCAGTCTGGGTGACAGAGTGATACCCTGCATCAAAATAATGATAAAAAAGAACAACGACTTTTTTTTTTTTTTTTTTTTTTGAGATGGCGTCTCCCTCTGTTGCCCAGGCTGGAGTGCAGTGGTGCAATCTCGGCTCACTGCAACCTCTGCCTCCCAGGTTCAAGTGTTTCTCCTACCCCAGCCTCCTGAATAGCTGGGATTGCAGGTGCCTGCCACCATGACTGGCTAATTTTTTTTTTTATTTATTTTTTATTTTTTTGTAGTTTTAGCAGAGACAGGGTTTCACCATGTTGGCCAGGCTGGTCAGGAACTCCTGACCTCAAGTGATCCGCCCACCTCAGCCTCCCAAAGTGCTGGGATTACAGGCATGAGCCACCACACCTGGCCCTATTTTTAATTTTTTTTTCAACTTTTATTTTAGGTTTGAGTGGACATCTGCAGGTCTGTTACACAGGTAAACTGCATGTTCCTGAAGTTTGGTAGACAAATGATCCTGTCACCCAGGTGGTGGGCGTAGTACTTGGTAGACGGTTTTTCAACCCCGGCCTTCCCACTCCCCTGCATCTCATAGTCTCCAGTGTCTTTTGCTCTTATCCTGATGTCCATGTGTACTCAATGGTTAGCTCCCACTTACAAGTGAGAATATGTGATATTTGGTTTTCTGTTCCTGCATTAATTCACTTAGATTAATGGCTTCCAGCTGCATTCACGTTGCTGCAATGAACATGATTTTGTTCTTTTTTATGGCTGTATAGTATTCCATGTTGTGTATGGACCACATTTTCTTTATCCTATCTGCCATTGATGGGTATCTAGGTTAATTTCATGTCTTTGCTATGGTGAATAGAGCTGCAGTGAACATGTGAGTGCGTGTGTCTTTTTGGTAGAACGATTTATTTTTCTTTGGGCATATACCCAGTCATGGGATTGCTGGGTTGAATGGTAGTTCTGTTTAAGCCCTTTGAGAAACCTCCAGGCTGCTTTCGCCAGGGGCTGAACTAATTTACATTCTCACCAACAGTGTAAATGCCTTCCTCAAGGAGTAATGCCTAGTTAGAACCTTGCAGTCACACAAGAGGTATACAAAGGTAAGAGCTGCCACTTCAAGATCAGAGGCCAAATGAAAAACTTTCTCTTTAGCAGAACACTCAAGATGAGCAGACAAACCTAGTCACAGCCAATCTCTAGGAAGTGACGCACAATTGACTTAGGAAAACAAAGCAAAAAATGCTGTTCTCAGGGCTAACTCAGAGGATTTACACCAAATACTGCCTGGGGTCTGTTAGATCAACAATTAAGATGAAAACAAAACTTTAAAACAAATGGAAGAAGTTTAAAGGCACACTCTGGCATGCTCTTGGTATTATTTACAAAGGAGTTTTCCTTTCAATGTTGTTTATAAGGAAACTCCAAGAAGCCTGATTTTAGCATCTATACAGGCCATTATCATATTAATTTTTTGCATTAACCAACACTCCCCTCTTTTGAATTTTCACCTCATCTTAAGTTCCTTCTCTATGTATTTTAAAACCTCTTTTGCTGTTTACATCTCAACTTCGGATCTTTTTCACACGCCGGCAGGAGGCTGTATACATTTAACATATTAAGGCCGCAGTGCCGAGTTCCCTGAACAGACAACATAGCTGTTTGATCGAGAATGGAGATTTTCCAAGTTTGATTTTCTAACAATTCACCCTTTCCCTTGTACTTGTGATAAATTCCAGTTGTGTAGTTTAAATGGTCATTGAATAGATGTGCCGCTCTACTCTCTACAGTTTTAACATGGTTGAATGATCTCAAAATGAGGCAATCGTTTGAGCAGAAACCCGAAGAGGCCTGGGAGGCAGAGCTGCCTGAGACTAATCCTGAGTTCGGCAGCCCCAGGCACTTGCCCTCAGACAGGCTCTGAGTATGTTTGTAGCAAAGTGACCCTCGGGTCACCATCACCTTTTTCATTCTTCCTTATGCTCGGAGATAGTCATCTGACTTTGCATGTGCCTAAAATCAGTTTAGTCTGATGCATTTCATTTCAAGAAGGCACAAAGATAGGAAACCTGAAGCCATAGTATTTTGCTTCTTTCCTGGCTTAGAGAATGCGTCAAGGGAAGGGGCCTTCTGGTCTACCAATTCTGCCCTTGTTCTTTTTTTCTAAAACATTTCCTTTCTCACAGTGGGAGACAGTCTTTGAAAACCCAGGTTTCCAGACATGGAAGAGAGAAACCAAGTATTGGAAATCATTTCCTACTGCCCAGTTTCCCCAATTCTCCTCCTTCATGTTTTTTTATTCAGAGTCAAGACTGCTGGACTTCCTGGTGCTGTTTTGATCTGGTGGAAGAGAGAGTTGCAATATGACTGTTTGCTTGTTAAGGAGTTGGCAGTAGTCATACCACTCAGGATGCAGGGTAAAGAGTCAAGTCTCTTGGTTTTATCTCTCAATAATCATAAAAGTACATCCATTGATCCCCCACTCCATTCCCACTGGTGAGAGACTTTTGCTTAAGACCACTGTCTTTCATGGATTGGTGCAAGCTTCCTGTGGCTCTTTCTTTTTCTTTTCTTTCTTTCCTTTTTTTTTTTTTTTTTTTCCCCGACAGGGTCTCATTCTATCACCCAGCTGTAGTACAGTGGTGCAATCTCAGCTCAGTGCAACCTCCTCCTCCCAGGCTCAAAAGATCCTCTCACCCCAGCCTCCTGAGTAGCTGGGATTACAGGTGCACACCACCGTGCCCAGCTATATGCCCCCGCAGGCCTCCCAAAGTGCTAGGATTACAGGCATGAGCCACCAGGCTTATCCTCCTGTGGCTCTTTCCTTCCCTCTCTACACCCGCCTCTACCCCATTCTGACAACTGTAGCCCCAGTGACTTTTCCATTAAGTAATGTCTAGCCACATTGCTTCCTACTGAAGACTCCCCAAAGGCTCCCAGTCGGAGCACCTCTTCCTTAATGTAGCCCTTTCTATCTGACCCCTACTCACTGTCTCATCTAAACTCCAGCCACATCCCGTGGCTTGTTATTTGCAAAATATGCCATGTTTTTCTCATACTCAGACTTTTATGTATGGTATTTCCTCTGCTAGAACCCTTCTCCACCTCTGTTCTGACTCAACAGAGATTACAACTCTTAGGGGAAGCTATCTGTGAACCTCCTGCCCCAGCCAGGTTGCCTGTTCTTCCCTCTCTCTTTCCTTGTGCTTATTCCGGTCATAGGGCTTTCATGGTCTGTTGATGTTTCCTATTAGCAGCCTCCTTCTGCTAGAACATGCACATCCGAAGGACAAAAAATATGTTTTATTTACCTATTGGCTGGCAACCATTTAAATGTAAGAGGTAAAAGAGACGCCTCCACCTATCTGTACAACCTTGGCTGTGTCTCTTAATTCTTTATGGACCTCTTTGTATGTCTTCACGGTTGTGTCTATATTAGACAGTGCCCACCCTACGTTAATGCCCTATGATTTGAGATTATTTGAGAACGTCATGAATTGGTCCCCGGGCTGTATTTGAAAACTGCTGAATCACACTCCATTGTGCAATGTCAGCCACAACTTCCACCATTATTACCACTCAATGGTGGTAACAATTCCATAAATGATGACACCATGAAGAAAGTAAGGGATGGCTACCGTGTGATCAACTCTTAACAGATATTTTCTCTATTACATTACGTGGCTCACTTTCAGGATATTTTCTTCTCTATTGACAACTTAATTCTTTACGACTGCTGTCTCCTCCAGGAAGAATTATTGAAAAGTAAAGTGATGTTTAGAAAGAGATAAGTCAAAGATTGTTTGGATATCAGCTGTTAACTTTTTGCTTCTTACTTGCAAAATAGAATAGAACCAGCAGTGTTCACTGCAGCATTTGTGGGTTATTAATAATTTACTCAATCTATTGATGCTTGTTAATTGAAGTCGCTGAGAAAAGTTAGTTAATGATGTGCCTGCTTACACCACATTATAATTATGATGGTAGTTCCCCTATTATTAGGGCTGAGTAGGTGTTCCCATTAGAAACCTTAATTTCTGAGCTGATTGTCTTCACCATTTTAAATTACATTGGGCCACATCTTGGCAGACACTTTCTGAAAGCAGATACGCTCCTTTCCAAAATTATTTTTGTGGTAGCACAGAAGTTCTCTCCCTCAAATGACAGAGGCTGTTAAGTGTATTCTACTTTCAGGAACTGTTTTATTAAGCTCCAACCAGCAATGTCCTATGTAAACTTATCCCAAAAGAAAGATGGTTGCTGAACTAGAGGCTACCTTGGCAAAAATCAGATCTCACTGGGAAAGTAAATTTTTAAAAGTCACTCATAGAATGGGAGATGGGCCACATTTTTCTTGCCTTCACTTGGATTCAGAATGGTTCTGATTACAGTCAACAGAAACCAAATTCCAACGTATTTAAACTTTATATTTTTTGACAGTGAGATTTATTGGCTCATGAAATTAGGACTGCAAAAGATATGTTGTCTTCAAGCAGGGCAGGGTAAAGGGGTTAAACTAATGTCACTAATGTCTTTACTTGTTCGTCATCCTTCAACTCCCTCCTGAGTGCTGACTTCATTCTGGAGCAGATCTTCTTCACAGGGCTACTTGTAGCCTCTAGACCAGCACTCCCCAACCTTTTTGGCATTAGGGACTGGTTTCATGGAAGACAATTTTTTCCAGGGATGGGAAAATGGAGGGAATGATTTCAGGATGATTTAAGTCCTTTACATTTATTGTGCACTTTATTTCTATTATTATTACATTGTAATATATAATGAAATAATTACACAACTCACCATAATGTAGAATCAGTGGGAAGCCTGACCTTGTTTTCCTGCAACTAGACAGTCCCATCTTGGGGTGATGGTAGGAAGTGACAGATCATCAGGCATTAGATTCTCATAAGCCACATGCAACCTAGCTCCTTCGCATGCACAGTTCACAAGAGGATTTCTGCTCCTATGAGAATGTAATGCTGCTGCCGATCTGACAGGAGGTGGTAATGTGAGCTATGGGGAATGGCTGTAAATATAGATGAAGCTTTGCTTGCTCACCTGCTGCTTACCTCCTGCTGTGTGGCCTGGTTTCTAACAGACCATGGACTGGTACTAGGCCATCGCCTGAGGTTTATGGACCCCTGCTCTAGAGTATATTGTTGACAGTCCCTGTATTGAAGCAAAGCAAAACCTTCTCACACATGGGTTCCATATATAAAACAAAAGAAGGTGTCAATTCTGTTTGGATCACATCCTCACCCCTGAGCTGATTCTTGGAGTTAGAAGGAGAGTGAATTTTGATTTCCAGTCTATACCATGCGTCCATAGCGGTAGCACAAGTAGGCTGTGCATAGCTTTAGTAAACCCACCCATGGAAAGTATTCTATCAGTGGAAAGAGAGATGTTGCTACCAGAAAAACTACAGAAGGGATAATGGACAAAAATTAAATTATAAATTTACTACTCCATGGTTGCATCCAGTACCTAATCCCAACCCTTGGCTGACCCGATAGCCAAAGAAATTGCCATCAATTGTTAATGGTTATCATAGTTCAAAACTCCATTAAAGATTTTATTTCAACTAGGATCTTTAAAAATTGTGGCCTTATGGTCTGGTGCTACCAAAGAGTTAGCTGTGCAATCTTGATAAAGATAGGCAGTTAGGTTCACTGGATTTCATTTGCATCATTGATAGTGGCTTCTCTGTGGTGTCTGTCTTATTGGAAAGATGTGAGTCTGGTATGCGCAGATGTCAGTGAAAAGGAATTTATTTTGCTTTGGAAATGCAGCATGGGCAAAATAAGTTGTGTCCTGGTTATCTTGACTCCTGGAAAAATAGTTTAGAATTGTTCCTAATGGGGTCCAGGTACGATATTTTATGTCTAAGCATGGTGGACCATTTTCCCTCCCTAGAAGAGACAATGGAAGGTGGGTGGCACCGAGTCTTGCATGAAGGCACTTAATCATTTGCAAGACTCAAGTGGACATAAAAATGCAACAGAGATGTTTTCTGAGAACAAACAAAATCTAGGCAAGGAGGGAACCAAGGAGTGGCCATTGCTGGTGCATAAAACCTATTTATTCTTATGAAAGAGAGTGTGTTCATTTGTGATTCTAATATATTTTTTTGTTTGTCATTTGGTTAATTATGTAGAACCATGGCATGGTCTAATATTTTGTACAAAACTTGTCTCTTAATGTTATAATCTGGCTGGAGAGAAAAATTAAAGCAGCTGAATATCCTCCTTTCCTCCTGTTATGAATCCGTCTGTGTCACTGGTGGACATAATCATTTTTTTTTTAAATTCTGCAATAACTCAACTTTGAGTCTGGTAATGTCTCTATCAAATGCATACCTGGAGGCATGGGTCAGAATCTCCTGAACTTTTTCATGTTTATTGATTTATTTCATTTGATAAACATGATCTGATTTACTCTGTGGCCAAACTATAAATGCAACCTTTTATTTTAGTCTTTCCTTCCTGTCCCACCTTCCAGGAAAAATTTGGTTTAGGGAGGGAGGACATGTATTGGATTGAAAGGACATCTGTTGGCCGGGCAAGGTGGCTCACGTCTGTAATCCCAGCACTTTGGGAGGCTGCGGCAAGTGAATCACAAGGTCAAGAGATCGAGACCATCCTGGCCAAATAGTGAAACCCCATCTCTACTGAAAAAACAAAAATTAGCCAGGCATGGTGATGGTGGTGGGGGGAGGGGGGCGCCTATAATTCCAGCTACTTGGGAGGCTGAGGCAGGAGAATCGCTGGAACCCTGAAGTCGGAGGTTGCATTGAACTCTAGCCTGGTGACAGTGAGACAGTGTCTCAAAAAAAAAAAAAATAAGGAAAGAAAGAAAGGAAAGGACATGTGTTTTATTGTTCTGCTTGTTTTCAGTTATCATGAGGGGGAAAAGTACCATGAGGAAGATGCCCTCAAACAGGCTATCAGATGTTTTTGTTCTTGATACCAGGCAGGAAAGAGATAGAGGTAAATTGTTCTAGTTAGGCATTAAACCTGGTTTTAAAAAAAACCCTTTTAAATGACGAGAATGGAGATAAAGAGAAAAAGCATTCTGTTGACATCTGTGTGGATTTGATTCTCAATTTATCCATCATCATTATCATAGTTGTTTTTGTTACTAGTATTTAGCAACAGATTTGCTTAAATAATGGGCTAGAACTTACAGGGGAATATTAGCAGGTAGAAAAGCACTCAAGATTGTTTTTGCACATCATAGTTCATCATCCAAAAGTTATTTGTTGAGCACCTATGATGTGCCAAGTGTTGTGAGACTAAGAAATAACCAGGATCATGTTACTGCCTTGGAGGATCTTCATTCAGTCGGAGGAAGACATGGCAGAGATACTTAGTTACAAGCTCTAGTGCTGTAAAAGAGACAAGTGAAAGATACAGAGGAAAGGGAATCACTCATCCATCTCTGCCTGGGAGATTAGAAAAACTACCACTGAAGAGTGTGACACACATTTCATGTGAATGTGGGAGGAAGTTTGAAAGATATGGTCCCATCACAGAAGGACAATAGATCTTTCCTAAGATTTACCTGACAAGAGGTCATTTGCTTGAATCTGCTCAGTGACAGGACCTTCCTACAAGGCAGCCATTTTTGCAGGCCTTGAGTTGTTAGATAGTCTTCCTCTTGTTAAAACTATTTATATTTAAACTTGAAGGCATTTAGAAGATACTGAAAATAGTGGGCAGTTGTAAGAAAATGTGATTGGAGAGGCATAAAACTTAGTTTGGGAAATGGCTAGACCCTCTTCCTTTGTGTGTGTGTGTGTGTGTGTGTGTGTGTGTGTGTGTGTGTGTGTGTGAATATTTGCATGTACCACATGTTGTATACATGGAGCATCAGTGAGTATGGGATACATATTTTACCAAATGCTTTATGAGTATTATTTAATGTTTTCAACAACTGTATGAAGTTTGAAGTTTGTATTGTTATGAAACCCACTTCATAGGTAAGGAAACTAGGATTACAGAGTTTTATAACTTTGCATAATGAGTGAGAGAATAGGGATGTTAACTTTTCTTTAAATAACTGTATCCTCAGAATAATATTTTGACTTGAATTAGGTAGATTCTGTACAGTATAAATTGCTATTGAGCTGGAATATTTTGTGTGGCGGAGGGCATCTTATGTGTGTGTGTTTCTTCAAGGTATCAATGCAAACTCTCCAAAGCCTCTTGTTTCAGAAAGATAAACAACTGTTATCAGCCTACAGATTTTTGAAGAGGCTGAGTACTACCACAAGATTTATTTTAAAATCAAGCTGAAACAAAGTTTTTAGCTTTTTAAAAAAATTAATTTTGAGAGAGTGAACTTCATATCATCACCTTTAGAGTTCCAGAATAGCAAGTCTTGAGAAAGGAATCGAGAGTTGGAGGATTGGCCAGGTACAGTGGCTACTTGTGATCCTGGCACTTTGGGAGGTCGAGTTCAGTGGGTCACTTAAGCCAGGAGTTCAAAACCAGCCTGGGATACATGGAAAAACTCCATATCTACATAAAATGATAATAATAGAAAATAGCAAGGCATGGTGGTATGCACTTGTAGTCTCAGCTCCTTGGGAGGCTAAAATGGGAGGATTGCTTGAGCTCGGGAGTTGTAGGTTGCCATGACTGGAGATTGCACCACTGCCCTCCAGCTTGGGTAACAGGGTGAGCACTTGTCTGAAAAAAAAAAAAGAGTAGTGGAATAAGAGAAATACCAATATTCCCAGGAATTGGGCCATGGAAGAGCTATCAGCCACTTGCCTTCCTCCCTTCTCCTCCCACCAAAAAAAAAAAAAAATATATATATATATATATATATATATACACACACACACACACACACACACACATATATATACAGACACATATATAATCATTCAGCTATTCTAATATTTGTATATGTAAATGTGCTCTATATAATACCTATATATGTGATGAACCATATGTAGTGGTCATAAAATTGGATATAAATTTTATGTCTCTATAACTGGACATTAAATCTCATTCCTATACCCCATTAAAAACTGATCTATTTTTCCAGGAGCCAAAATAACTATGTAATATACAGATATGTTTTATATATATATCTACACACACACTCACACATACACACACGCACACAGGTATATAGGTATACATGTAGATAGAGTTTCACCATGTTGCTCAGGGTGGTCTCAAACTCCTGGGCTTAAGCAATCTGCCCACTTTGGCCTTCAAGGTGCTGGGATCACAAGTGTGACCACTGTGCCTGGCCGATCCCTCAACTCTTGATTCCTTTCTCAAGACTTGCTACTCTGGAAGTCCATATATATATATACACACACATATATATGTATACATATGTATGTGTACATGTACATGTACATATACATGTAGATATAGGTAGTGTATTATACATATATAGACTTGCAGCATATGTATATACATATCTGTACATATACATGCACATATACATATGCGTGTACATATATGCACACATACATGTACATATATGTGTGCGTATAGTTGTACATACACATGTAGATATGCATATATGTGTACATATACATGCACATATACAGGTAGATACACATCTATGTGTGCATATACATGTACACATGCATGTAGATATATATGTGTACATATGCATGTAGATATACATATGTGTACATATGTATGCACATTTGCATGCAGATATACATATATGTGTACATATATATGTATATACATATGCTGGAAGTCTATGTATAATACACTACATTTAATTTTTAATAGTTTTAGTAGTTCTATAGTATTCCCTTCTATGAGTGAGACATTTAATGGATTCCTTATTGATGCATGTTAAATGGCTTGAGTTTTGTTGCTTTTCTACTTCAAACACTGCATCTGTGTATACTTCTATCTCTCTGTACTTGTACATGCACAATTATAGGATAATTTCTTATTTAATGGCTAGATCGATTTACTTTTCATAGATATTGCTAATATTTGCCCTCCAAGAAAGTTTTATCCGTTTACATTCCTATAATATATGTGATAACCTGTTCTCTTTACAGCAAAAAGTGCCTTTAAAAAAACACTTCCCTTATAACAAACATACATCCTCTGCTGTCAGATTGTGAAAGGCTGAAGGAAATTTACAAGGAGCTCTCCTGTTTTTCCCCTATTATACTTGATTATGCTACTAAATATTCAGCCACTTCCATGCTATTGAGTGTGGGAGAAAGCAATCGTATTCTCATTGGCACAGGATAAGGGAAGCAAACTCACCTGAGCATCGTTTCAGCCTTAGAATTGCAGGCTGGAAAGCCTCTCCTTGTGTGTGTGCATTGGCTGGCAGCTGCCTGCCATGAATGCTACCCAGGCTCTCAAAATGGGAAGAAGACCATATGCTTGATTACTAAATGAATTCACAGGACAAACTATCACAGAAAACATGTGTAATATGAGATACCATTTCAATTTGGCAATAAATGTATGGTAAATGGAAGGTTGCAGCCCATGTAAAATGCACTTAGGATCTAGTGTTGCCATGGAGTCAAAGGAAATGTTATGGCAGCAGATAGGTGCAATTCTGCCCTGGAATTTGGCACTCTGGGATTCGTTGGGGGCCTGTGGAACTATTCAGAATCCAGTGAACACCAACCATGGGGCTTTGCATAGCTTAAGTCCAGGCACGTGAAAATATCCGAATAGGGTCTGGGAGCTCTGAATTTCAAATATCATTGGTTATTTGATCTAAACTGGATTAAGGTGGTGGAAATGACAGTATCTCTACACGCCATAGCCACTCTACATGCAGTCCCACGCATCACCTCATTTTGTGGTCACTGCAGCTCTTCACTGGGCAAGTGGAAACAGCTTCACAAAAATCAGACTCTAGGCAAGAAATTGGATTTACATGTTTTCCCTTTGGTTTTAAAGAAAATGTAGATAAAAATCTGATAGTCTACTTCAGGGAGGACAAATATATTTCAGCTTCTCTGTTCACTTTGACCCATTGGTAGAGACTTCCGAGGAGCTGTGTTTGCTTTTTCTTAATTAAGCATTTAATGTTGAGATGATTTTAGATTTGTAGATTGACAAAAAGCTGTAAGAAATAATACAGAAAAATTCTATGTAGCTTTTACTCAGGTTTATCCAATAGTAACATCTTGAAAAACTACAGGGTTGGCTGGGCGCGGTAGCTCAAGCCTGTAATTCCAGCATTTTGGGAGGACAAGGTGGGCGGATCACAAGGTCAGGAGTTCGAGAACAGCCTGGCCAACATGGTGAAACCCTGTCTCTATAAAAATACAAAAATTAGCCGAGCGTGCCGGTGGGCTCCTGTAATCCCAGCTACTTAGGAGGCTGAGGCAGGAGAATCACTTGAAACTGGAAGGCGGAGGTTGCAGTGAGCTGAGATCACATCACTGCACTCTACCCTGGTCAACAAGAGTGAACTCTGTCTCAAAAGAAAAAGAAAAACTACAGGGTTAGGGTTATCACAACCAGTGATTGATCTTACTGATGTAGAAAGATATACTGGTCTTATACAGACATTGATACCACCTACTGATGCAATCTCCTGACCTTTTTCAGATTTCCCTAGTTAAATTTGTACTCCTGTGGGATGTATGTTTGTCTGTGTGATGTGTGTGTGTTTACTGTGTGTATCTATGTCTGTGTGGTGTGTGTTTGTGTGGTGTGTATGTGCCTGTGTCCTGTGACCATGTGTTTGTATGATGTGTCTGCATGTGTGTGTTTTGTGGTGTGTCTATGGTGCGTGCACGCACGTATGTGTGTATGGTGTGTCTGTGTGTTTGTGTGGTGCATATGTGTGCATGCATCTGTTTGGTGTGTGTTGTTTCTGGGTGGTGTGTGCATGTCTGTGAGTAGTGTGTGTGTCTGCATGCATATGCGTTTGTGTGGTGTTTGTGTCTCTAGTGTCAGCACTTGTTTGTATGGTATGTGTGTGTGCATGTGTGTGTATGGTTTCTGTGGTGTGTCTTTGCACACGTGTGTGTAATTATTTGTATTACAAACATTTATCACTTGTGTAGTTTCATGTGGCCACCAACACAGTGAAGATATACAACAGTTCCATCACCACAAGGATCCCTCAGATTCCCCCCATTTCTCTCACCCCTACCCCCGTCCCTACCTGCTGGCAACCACTAACCTGTTCTTCACTTCTGAAGTTCTATCATATCAAGAATATTATATAAATGGTATCATACAGGATGTAACCTTTGGAGACTGGCTTCTTTTTCTCTGCATACTGCCCTGGAGATTGTTTCAAGTTGTTGCATGTGCTAATAGTTGATTGTCTTAGATTGCTGAGTAGTATTCTATGGTGTCAATCTACCACCCAAGAATCTTTTTTCAGTAGACACCCTGAGGCTGAGCAGGAGAGGGTGCCATTGTCACTGCGTCATGCCTATCCCAGAGACAGGGATTGAGAGGGGTGGCAAGCCCCTGGTGAACCTGCTTGGCTTACATGTATGTGCTGATATTTGAAAGAGAATCAGAAACGGGACAGGATTAGCATCTATGTCACTCTAGAGATCAGTATCCAGGATTCAGAAGGGTCATGAGGGCTGTCACTAAGGGGACTAGTGATAGGCTGGAAATCACGCTCCATGCGCTAGGACTATAGCTTCCATGGCAGAAGGCAGGATTTGAACATGAGTCCCCAGCCACTTTTTCAGTGATCTCTCTACTCCGCTATAGCTTCAGTCATCTCCCGCTTATCGTGTGTGTTTGTGCTGGTTCTGGAGAGCGCACAATTTGCAGAAGGCAGTTTTGTTTGGATCTGCCAAGTACAAATGTGGCTGGCTAGTCTGTTGGATAGCCTGACAAGACCCAGAAATTTCTGTCTTTCCTCCCTCCCATCAAATAACTGGGCTCCTCCAAGAGCCAACGCATACATCCCACCTGTACCAACAGAATGTTGTAGTTTGCATACTTGGAATGGAAAAATAATATTTGGCTTGGCTTTGATCATATATACTAATTATTGCTAATATAGGCACCAGATGATTGCATTTTATTATACCTTTGTTTTTCACTAAATATCAGAATTCCTTCCTTGAGGGGGGAGTTGTCATACTACTTAATTGTTTTGTGTTTTCTTGACATATCTAAGCATTATCTGTGCAACTGTGTCAGTGTGCCTGTTGCTGTAAATATTCAAGGGACTCATAACAGTATTAGAACTAATTTCTTACCACAACAGAATATTATCCCTTTCATAATTTTCAATTGTTTCAAAGGAATTCTGAGGATTCTTGGTTTCCAAACTTCATATGACTTTTGACTTTTTTTTTTTTTAATAAAGTACAGCAAAGAGTTTTATGACTATGTGCTTTAGAGGCCAGATGGCATTGTTTTCTTCCTGTCTTTGGCAGGTTTCAGGCAAGTTGCATTAGTCTTCTGGACTTTGACTGCCTAGTGTGTAAAATGGCAATGAAAAAGTAAACGAATAAACCAGACTTTGTTTCTTCTTCTCTTCTGTACTTTTCATCTTCTTCCTCCTCCCTTTTCCTTCCTTCTTTCGTAAGGTTGCACAAAATAATGTACATTAAATGTGTAACGTGCAGCATGAACTACATTTTATACATATAGATAAAAACTGTTATACATATTTTTTTATTTGTGTCATTAACTTGTTCTTGTTGATTCAATGAAGATTACCTGCAGTTAGCTGAAAAGTCGTAATACAAACAATTATTTTATGGCTTTCTTTTTTCAGTATGATTTACACTGTCCAGTTATGTCTTTTTGAGGCATAATCTTCATCTTAGTTTTCCTGGGGGGTTTTTCTGTAACTCCTGTGCTACATTTTCAGGCAGTTTCTTAACATAGGTACCTATGTCTATTCCTCCTCCTCCTCCGCCTCCCCCTTTTTTCTCCCTCCTCCGTCTCCCCCTTTCTTCTCCCTCCTCCCTCCTCCCTCCTCCTTCCTCCTCCTCCTCCTCCTCCTTCTTTTTCTTCGTTCAATCTTGGAAGCTTTCCAATTCAACTCTAACTTCTTCAGCCCGTCTTTTACTTATGTGTAGCTAATACCACATTTATATCAGCGACAAACCTTCAATGGTTAGGAAAAAGAAGCTAACCCTTTATTTTCTCTTTAGATGTGTTGGTCCATTTGTTGTCAGTGTTTTGGTTCAGGTTGTTCCCAGCTACCCAGATGACTACCTTTCATCATATTTGCAGAGTGTATTTAGTGTTTACATCAAGACCAACCTCTGGGATTACAAAATAATTTTATACCACTTTCTATCTCTGGGTGATTGGAAGTGGCTATCTGCAGCAGGACTATGTGGATGATGATGAGGTCATAGGCAGGTTCGTGGAGAAAGAGTGCTATGATTGATTAATGATGTCTGCTGTGACCATGAGATAGGGGAATGCAGTATGTGTAAGGAATATTTGCTAACCGTTTTAAATGAATGTTCTTTATGCTTTTAGCATTGCTTTAAAATGGATAACAAAATTCATCATATATTTGCTAAATACACATTATACCTAAGTGTATAAATAACATTTATACCTAAGTGTGAGGCACTTGAAAAACTCTTCTAGTCATTATTGCCTGTAATTCTTTCTTCACTCTTAGGGGTTAGGAATCATTTTTAATTCCTATTTTACAGATTCAGAAAGAGAGGTACATGTCAGTGAAGTCCTTTGCTAAGGCTGTGTACCTACTAAGAATCAGATTTAATGTTTGAATCTCGGCTAAGTAATCCCAGGGAGCTTTCTATGGAGGTAAGGAAGAGGATCAGGTTCACAAATGCAGAAATAAGTGAGTTTTTCTAGTGAGGGTTTCTGTCCTTCATTTGAGCAGCTTCCTTTATGACTCATCTTTCTAGAATCTTGCAAGAATACAAACCAACATTTATAGAGGTGATTTCAGCACAAGCACTGGATGTTTAGAAGTTTCTAGTCAGTCCTAAAGTGAGAAGACAGAACACGTTCAATTGATTTCCATTTGCAGTGCCCAGAATGAGAAAGGTGATGTTTATTCTCCCTGGTAAACACACTCAAAGGTTTTGGGGTTACCCAAGTTGAGCTTTCCAGGCAATGAACCACTAAAAACATATTTGTTCCCAGAACACAGCCAGCTAGTAAGGTTTTCCCACTGGGGCTGACATTTACTGTAACAAGAGCCTGTTTCCTTCTCTCAGAGCTGCAGCCAGCTCCT
The DNA here is from genome assembly GCF_000001405.40 of Homo sapiens. Lineage (NCBI taxonomy): Eukaryota > Metazoa > Chordata > Mammalia > Primates > Hominidae > Homo > Homo sapiens. Next base: position 7,162,080 of record NC_000016.10, read on the forward strand.
CACAAGGGAGTTGGTGTCTTGCCAGAGAAACCCCTCTAAGCTCCAAGAGACGTGCCAGGGAAGCCAGTGCTTTTCCCTTTAGCTGAATGTGCCAATAATGGCAGAATGATGTCTGCTTTTTAAAGTGACAAGTTAAAATATTATCTACAATTTATCTGTCCACTCATCCATCATCTACTTATATTTCCTCTCTCTCCATATGTATATATATGTATACACACATACATGCACACATATGTATGTATATATCTATTTGGCGAAATGAATATATTTGCTCATTTAATATCACAGTAATTCTATAAATATAATTTAGCAAATTTTATGATGCTCCATTGTGCAGGTTCTAAAAATGATAAAAGAATCTAGACTTCTGGGCGCAGTAACTCACGCCTGTAACCCCAGCACTTTGAGAGGTTGAGGGGGATAGATCACCTGAGGTCAGGAGTTTGAGACCAGCCTGGCCAACATGGTGAAACCCTGTCTCTACTAAAAAAAAAAAAAAAAAAACATTGCCAGGTACGCGCCTGTAATCCCAGCTACTGGGGAGGCTGAGGCAGGAGAATGGCTTGAACCTGGGAGACAGAGGTTGCAGTGAGCTGAGATTGCGCCACTGCACTCCACCCTGGGTAACAGAGTGAGACCGTAGCTCAAAAAAAAATAATCCAGATTTCATGATTTCTAGATAAATACAAGGCAAATTGAAAACAGCTCTCCTCCTCCTCCTCTTTCTCCTTCTTCCTCATCTTTTGTTGTTAAAGAATTATAGACTTCAAAGCTGGAGAAGCAGTGTGGGGTATTCCCTGGTCCTCCTTCCAAATGCATGTTGAAATGAAGACATGTGGGTTTTCTTCCCGTTTTGGCCATCACCTGACCTAATGACCTTGGGCCAGTCACCTGGCATCTCCACGATCCTGTTACATTGCATATAAATGCAGACTTCTTTGTATGATGTCTAAGGTCACAGAGCAGGTATTATGCCCATCTTGTTTATCTGCCAAGCACAGTAGGGCACCCATAAATAATTCCTAAGTTACTGAATGCATCTGCAGCTCAACACTTTTGACATTTTTTTTTCTCATTTTAATATTGGCCAACTGAGATTTGAAAAGGTTTTGACTTGCCTGAGTTAAAGCAGGGGGAGTCTACTGGCCAATTTCTTTTGACTATTACGTTGTTTGATTTGGACGAAGGGGCAGGGGGTTGTATAAACGTCACTGTGGAGAGCCCTTGTCCCCTGGTGATGAGTAACCTTATCAATCCAGAGCAAAGAGGCATGTGAGGAGATTTTGCTTTGGAAAATGGCACACAGTTGAGGAAATTTCATCAATGTGTATGAAGCGGCTGGTCTGGTGACGTTTTGCTTTGCAAGTGGGTGACTGACATCCTTCACCCTCTGATCTGCCCATTCTCTCCTTTGGTCCTTCTGTTCCCGTTAGCACTCCCTTTAACATCAGTCTCTCTCCCTCTTCTTCCACCTAGAATCTCAATAAGCTCTTTCATCATCTCAGTTTCTACAGAGCAGAATAAGCTGAGGACTTTTTTTTCAAGTTTTATTTATGTGTTTTTCTGTTTTTTTAATTTAAAAATTTAATTTTTTTAGACAGTCTTGCTCTGTCACCCATGCTGGAGTGCAGTGGTGCAATCTCATCTCACTGCAACCTCTGCCTCGTGGGTTCAAGCGAATCTCCCACCTCAGTCTTTCAAGTAGCTGGGACTGTAGGCGCATGCCACCACACCCAGCTAATTTTTGTATTGTTTTTGGTAGAGATGAAGTTTTACCATGTTGGCCAGGCTGGTATCGAACTCCTGACCTCAAATGATCCATCCACTTCAGCCTCCCAAAGTACTGGGATTACAGGTGTGAGCCACCGCACACAGCCTGTTTTTTCTAATTTTAATTTCAGCAGGTTTTTGGAGAACAGGAGGTGTTTGGTTACACGAATAAGTTCTTTAGTGGTGATTTCTGAGATTTTGGTGCACTCTTCACTAAAGCAGTGTACACTGTACCCAGTGTGTAGTCTTTTCTCCCTCACCCCCTCCCACCCTTTACCCAGAGTCCCCAGAATCCACTGTATCATTCTTACGTCTTTGCGTCCTCATAGCTTAGCCCCCACATATGAGTGAGAACATATGATGTTTGCTTTTCCATTCCTGAGTTACTTCACCTAGAATAATGGTTTTCAGCTCCATCCAGGTTGCTGCAAATGCCATTATTTTGTTCCTTTTTATGGCTGAATAGTATTCCATGGTCTGTATATACCACATTTTCTTGATCCACTCATTGGCTAATGGGCATTTGGGCTGGTTCCATATTTTTGCAATTACAAATAGTGCTGCTATAAACATACGTCTACAAGTGTCTTTTTTGTATAGTGATTTCTTTTCCTCTGGGTGAATAGCCAGTAGTGGGATTGCTGGCAGAAATGATATGTGTCTTTTGCAAAAATCCAAACCAGAAAAGAGTAAAATTTATATACTATGTGTGAAAAGCCCCCTCTAAATCCTCTTGTCTAGAGAAAACCACTTTTAATAACGTGTAATTTCTTTTCTGTGTATACACACACACAAATACAAACACACACAATGACATTTCAAAATCGTGTGCACATCACATTTCTATTCAGTTTTCCCCTACCTCATGGCTGTATAGAAGTCTGTTGTTAAGGTGGTATTATAATTTAATCAAAAATCCACCTTCTGATCAACTAAGTTGTTCTCAACCTTTTGCTTTTAAAAACATTGCTGTTGTACTTCTTTGTAGACATTGTCAGGTAACTGCAGGAGAGGCAATAAATTTTAAATGGATAAGAGAATGAATTGTTTGCTTCTTGAATTAATGCTTTGAATCATCAACTGGAATAGGATATGGAGTTGGCAGCGTGTATCACAGTAACCTCTCCCTGAATTTGGAGCCCTATAAAACAAGTTGTGATAATTTCAGTCATTTCAGAAAAGCTTCTGGGTCATAAAGGAGAGCTACTATTCCAAATTCCCACCTTTGTCTTTGGTAGCCAAGGATGCAATCCTGTCAGTAGTCATCCATTTTCGCAGGTATCTGCTGGGTCCCTACTTGTGTTGAATATCATGTCAAAAACTGAGCAGGAAGGGATTAGCAAGACAGTCTCTATCTCTGCCACAGGTGTGACATGCAGTCGTGAGGTTGTGCATTGCTCCAAGATGCCTAAGCAAGGGGGCAGAGAGGGTGACACACCTTGCTCACAAGCCATGCACCCTGGAATGGGCTGTGCCCACCCAGGGTGAAAAAATGGACTTAATGGCTACTAGAGGCCCAGATCATAACTCTTCTGTAATAATAATAATAATAATAATGATAATAATCATTATTATTATTATTATTTTACCATTTGAGATGGAGTTTCGCTCTTGTTCCCCAGGCTGGAGTGCAATGGCATGATCTCGGCTCACCGCACCCTCCACCTCCTGGAATCAAGCCATTCACCTGCCTCAGCCTCCTGAGTAGCTGGGATTACGGGCATGCACCACCACGCCCGGCTAATTTTGTATTTTTAGTAGAGATGAAGTTTCTCCACGTTGGTCAGGCTGGTCTCAAACTCCCGATCTCAGGTGATCTGCCTGCCTCAGCCTTCCAAAGTGTTGGGATTACAAGTGAGAGCCACTGTGCCTAGCTCCTCTCCTGGAATGATTAGATTTAACTTTGTTCTCCAATTCTTAGACCTGTGACTCTGAATAGGGTGGGGATGTTCATCTTGATTTGCCTTCTGCTAGACCAGGAATGAAGAGATGGATGATATTACTCCTTTTGATGTTTTTATTCTTGAATAGATATGTTGGATTCTCTGTCTCTTGCCCCCTGCACCCCACCGCATGCACATACACACACACACACACACACACACACACACACATACATACATACACCCCAGATTTCCTTTGAAGGAGTGCATAGTCTATTTTTGTTGTTGTTGTTGTTGAGGTGGAATCTCATTCTGTTGCCCAGGTTGGAGTGCAGTGGATTGATCTCAGCCCACTGTAACTTCTGCCTCCGGGATTCAAGTGATTCTCCTGCTTCAGCCTTCCGAGTAGATGGGATTACAGGTGCATGCCAGCACACCCAGCTAATTTTTGTATTGTCAGTGGAGATGGGGTTTTGCCATGTAGGCCAGGCTGGTCTCGAATTCCTATCCTCAAGTGATCCACCCTTGTCGGACTTCCCAAGTGCTGGGATTATAGGCGTGAACCACCGCACCCGGCCGGAGTGGGTAGTCTTTATTCAAGAAAATTCCCAAATCAGCAAATAGCTTGTGAGCTTACAGGTGAGGTTCTGAGGGAGTGGGTTGTAAGGAAAGATAGAAAACTATAGAGGAGTCCATGAATAAATGTGATTCAGAGGGGAGGGGGAATATGAAAGAGAAGAACAGGGTGGGTAGGAAGATCAGAGGTTGGAGAAGAAGGAACAGGATGGCCTCAAAGAAGCCTAGAGCTGAGGTGGCCAGAGCATGGTTAAGGACAGCCTCGTCATCGGTTATGGGCTGTGTGCCTTGTTGTTGTCATGGACTGGCCCTCCTTCGACACCCCTGAGCAGTCTGGTGAGGAAGGGGTGAGTGTAAACCATCTTTGCCCCAGTCTGCTGTCAGCCGATGCACTAGGATGACTCTAACCGGCATGTCAAGGCAGACTTCAGCAGCATCCTTGGATGAGTGCGCACTGGGTGGATACAGGACAGACAGCCAAAGGAGTGCTGCTCCAACCCATGCGGCATCTCTCCCAGGTTGTGAAACAACTCGGGGGTGGTGCAGGATCCACGCTGGGGACTGCACAGACACAGCCACCAGTAGCCTTGCTCTCATTTGAGTTTTTCTTTCTTTACTGATGACATCAGAGAGAAAGCCCCAGATTGCTGCATTGGTGTTCTTTTTTTTTTTTTTTTTTTTTTTTTTTTTTTTTTTGACAGTTTCTTTCTGTCGCCCAGGTTGGAGTGCAGTGGTGTGATCTCAGCTCGCTGCAACCTCCGTCCCCTGGGTTCAAGCGATTCTCCTGCCTCAGCCTCCTGAGTAGCTGAGACTACAGGTGCCTGTCATCATACGTGGCTAATTTTTGTGTTTTTAGTAGAGAAGGGATTTCTCCGTGTTGGCCAGGCTGGTCTCAAACTCCTGACCTTAAGTGATCTGCCAGCTTCTGCCTACCAAAGTGCTGGGATTACAGGTGTGAGCCACCACACCTGGCTGAAAATAGGATTTTTACGGATGTCACTCATTAAGGATCTCTAGGTGAAATCATCCTGGACTTAGAGTGGACCCTAAGTCCAGTGGCTGGTGTTTCAATAAGAGAAATGGAGGGAGATTTGAAAACACAGAGACTCAGAGGAGAAGGCCACGTGAAGACCAAACTAGAGCTAAGAGTGATGCAGCCACAAGCCAAGGATGCCAGGACCACCAGAAACTGGAAGGAACAAGAAAGACCCTCCCATGCAGTCTTTGGAGGGAGTGCGACCCCGCCAGTACCTTGCTTTAGGATTTCTGGCCTCCAGAACTGACAGAGAATACATTTCTTTTGTTTCAAGCCACAGTTTTTGATAAGTTGTTACTGCAGCCCTAGGAAACTAATTCACTAGAGGGCTGCAAACTAAGGCCTGAGAGCCAAATCCAGCCTGACACCTGTTTTTGTAGATTTTATTGACAGAAACACAGCCTTATTCATTTACGTATTGTCTATGGCTGCTTTCACTCTGCAAGGGCAGAGTTGAATAACTGCGACAAAAACCATCTGGCCTGCAAAGCCTAAAATATTTACTATCTGGCCCTCTGCGAAAAAAGTGTGCCAACCGCTCTTCTAGGGAGGTGTTTAATTTATGTGCTTGTCTGGGGATGCTGCGGGGTAGGGGATGTTTGTAGTGAGAGTCTGTCTTTAACAGCGCAGAACCACACAAGGTAAGGATTTTTTTTAAACTTACATTTCAATTTTTATGAAGCAGGTTTTTTCCTCCTTAGAGGAAAAACATGAAATGTTCCAGAATAGTTGACAGCATTAGCTACATTTAAAAGATTCAAGGAAGCAAAATGGTTTTCCGTCTGTTGAATCAGTCAGCATTAAAGTTCACTTATCAATGATGGCTTTTCTATGAGCAGCAGCTTTGTATTAAAATGGCTAATGGGAATGTGGTTCCCCTAGCAAGCTTTGGTTTGATCTAGAATTTTTGGAGAGTCTGAGTGGGTTTTCTTCTTCTCAGCATGAAATGGACCAAGGTCTGTTTTGCAGCTGAGACATAAAGGAAGTGAAACCTTGTCTGATATGTGCTAGGGTGCAGAGCCAGGTAGGAAATGGGAAAGAGTGTACCTCAAACCTCAACAGCCACATTGTCCACCAATTCTCATTGCATGTGAATTCGTGAACCTCATTGGCGAGCTCAAAGAGGTGGCTATAGGAAACCTAATTATAAGCATCATTTGGCTCATACTGGTACAGAAAACCTTCAATTAAGTTGCAGAAAAATGGCCACACACAGAAGAAAGAAGTTAGAAGGGTTTTTCTGGTATTCTTGGTTTACATCTCAGTGGAAGCAATTTTTATGTCTTCTGCATATTTCACTGAGAAGCCTCCACCACTTCTAGCCATAACTTCCTTTCCTTCCTGTTACAAATTTTCTTCCTAGATTTACTCTTCAGTCCCTAAAAATATCCATAACACATTATTTATTCACTCCATAATGTACACCATCCAAATACAACAATTTTGCCAATAAACTGTTATTCTAATGAATAATTCATGCAGTCTTCATTCTCCTGACATGAACAAATATACTTTCAAATAGGAGGAGTGTGCCTCTATTTTTGTCTTAACTCCATTTCTTAATGTCATATATATTTTTAAAGGTTTGTGATGTCCTTCCTTGGATGAACTCCATGGGGAATAATTCTGATACTCTAATTAAGAGCAATAAACTATAGCACAGAAATATAACTAGATTTATAGACAGTGTTTGTTACAGTGACAGTGTAGTTTGCATGTGGAGGGAGGAAGTAGGCAAATCATTCAGTGTCTCAGGGCAGGAAAAATGTGAAGTTCTCACCTATTAAGAAGGCAACACCAATAATTGTTTCAAATTTTGACAATATTCATGGCCATAGTTTCCTCATATTTATATGAACAGGATGTGATGATAATGGTGACGATGAAAATCATAATAACATATTATTATGTGATGTAATGCTAAGAATTTTGAGTTTCTATGAGATACTAGCCATTTACTAAAAGCTTTGCATATATCAGGGTTTCTGAATCTCAGCACTATGGGTATATTGGGTCAGATAATTACTTGTTATGGGCCAGGGGTTGGGGGATCCACTGTGCATTTGCACGATGTTTAACGGAATCCCTGACCTAGGGTATCTGCTAGATTCAGTAGCACCTGCCTCTTCAAGTTGTCACACTGAGAAATGTCTATAGACATGGCCTAATGTCCCCAGGAGGGTAAAATCCCCTTGTAGAAAAACAGTGATGTACATGATTAATTGCATCTTCAACACATTCCTACCAGGTAGGTGCATTATCAGTCCCATTTACCAGTGAAGAAACAGAAATTCAGAGTGAATGACAGAACCAAATTTTGGTGCAGGGTTTACTACTACACCAATGTCAAGACTATTTTGTTGCATATGATGATACAGAGCATTAATTCATCTGCCTTCTCCTCTTACATGGGTATTTTCACATTTTAAAAATGTATAATTGCAGGGTGCAGTGGCTCATGCCTGTAATCCCTGCACTTTGGCAGGGCCAAAGCAGGCTGATCGCTTGAGTCCAGGAGTTCAAGACCTGCCCTGGCAACGTGGCAAGACCCTATCTCTACAAAAAAAATAAAAAAAATAGCTGGGCATGGTGACACACGCCTGTGGTCCCAGCTACTTGGGAGGATCAGGTAGGAGGATCACTTGAGCCTGGGGAGGCAGAGGTTGCAGTGAACCAAGATTGTGCCAATGCACTCTAGCCTAGGTGATAGAGGAAGACCCTGTCTCAAAATAAATAAATAAATAAATAAGTATTTGGTGTATGCATGCTGGGTAATTAATATATCTTATGTTTTGCACAGACAGAACTTCAAATTTCCAAAACCCCTTTTATAGAAACTGTAGCATGATGACCAGATTAATACTTTTTAAAACAATAGCAATAATAACAGTAACAATTTATCCTCCTGCTCCTCACCACTGTTAATTGAGCACTCTGTTTTTAGAGATGGTGTCTTGCTCTGTCTTTCAGACTGGAGTGCAGTGGAGCAGTCACAGCTCACTGCCGCTTGAACTCCTGGGTGCAAGTGATACTCTCACCTCAGCCTCCTGAGTAGCTGAGACTACAGGCACAGGTCACCACACCCAGCTAATTAAAATTCTTTTTTTTTTCCAAGATAGAGTCTTGGCGTGTTGCCCATATTGGTCTCAAATTCCTCAGCTCAAGTATGAGTAGATGGGATTGCAAGTGCGAGCCACCACTTCTGGCTAATTTAGCACTTTCCATGTGAGAAACTAAAGGATTTGACTGGATCACCTGTTTAATTCTCACATCTTAGAGGTACCCACTTTGGGTATCTTTTAGCCCTAAGCTGTATAATTCAGAGTTGTTTTGTTTTCTTTGGGTTTGGTTTCTGCTGTATCCTCACATACAGTGAAGTTTCCATACACCTTGGTTGAATGAATGTCTTCATGAGCAGCTACAGTCTTAGGGAAAACATGTAGCTTATTAAGGTGGTGACAGAGCTTCCACTTAAATCCAGGAGATCCCTTGCCCTTAAATCCTCTGCTGTCTGCTCTGCGCAGTTGAGGGTTTCATCAAAACGTCCAGCTCTGCTCTCAGCCATCTGGTTGGGTCTGTCTTTTATGACTTTATTTGTATATCAGGTTTCCTTTTGCAGGTGATCCTAAAACACACACTCTCCCGTCTTGCTCCAGTCTGCTCACCCTCTGCCTCTCACCTGCGATGTCTCCTTCATTTCCATTTGTCTGAATCTTATTTCTTGTTGGAGGTCCAGCTCCATCCCAGCTTTCTTCCCAAACCCTCTCCCTATGTCTTGGGCACTCTCAAGGCCTTACTTGCCACCATTGCCAGTCGGCAATTGGCGAGGAGCTGCACAAATCACAGGCACCCAGTACTAACTCCCAGGTCTAACCCTCCATGAACTATGCTCTTAGGAAAGCAGCTTAAAGTCCTTGAAACCCCAATTTCCTCATCCCTATGATGAGGACTGCAGTGTCATTGTACATCCCAATTTGCTGTGAGGGTTCAGTGGGAAAATGCTTAGCTGAGCACTTGACACATAGTATTTTCTTGATGAATTCCTGCCACCGCTAATGTCACTTTATCCCTGTTTTGTATGTTCCCTGGTTGCTTTATGTATGTGTGCTTTTGAACTAGATTGCAGGATTATAGAAAGAGATTTCTTTCAGTGTGAATCCTTAATGTGACACAAAATTCAGCACAAGGGGTAAAACTGTGGCCAAGAGGCCGCCTCAGTGTTTAGAATGTAATTTTCTCTCTTTATGTTCTGAACCGTGGTGTCTTTATCAATGACATGGAAGGGGCCATTTCCATTTACTTCACCATGCCAGAAGGGCCATTGCAAATGGATTTAGTTATAGGGTAAGCAATGAGCTTGTGTTTTCTGAACAGCTAAGCCTCAGAACTGTAATAACTCATTATCAATCTGTCTCCATACTTCATCAAAGTTCCCAGGTGCTTTGAATTTTGGCTTGGCCATTGTCTTTTTTTAGCTATAAAATTTTGCTTATCGCATAGTTTAAAGTGGGATGATGACTGAGACACATCTCTGCTTATGAGTACCACTTAAGAGAGGATATATCCTCAGGTAGAACAATTTCCAGAGAGGAGATGTGGGCACGGGGTCTGTGCCTGCCCTGGAAGCTGTGTAGTATAGTAGGAAGAATCCTACATTCACAGAGAGGCTGATTTTTGCTTCCAGTTTTGTCACAATTCACATGATATTGGGCAATTTAGAAAAAAATATTGATTTGCTTTAACGTTCTCATCTGTAAAATGAAACATCCCAATTAGATAAGTTATAAATGACCTTTCATTTTTAGAATTCTGCATCCTGGAATTAAAGTGCATTGGAATGAGCCAATAATTCCATATTTTCTTATATTACCTAAAATCCACATACTCTTCAATAAATTTACCACCATAGGGTTTTCAAACCCCATCAAAAAAACCACTTCTTTCATGTAAATGCCCAGCAGTTTATCTCTTTTTACTCCTCAGTACCCTACACATCTTCCTAATAAAGTATATAATAAAAGTAAATCTTCCCACTAGTGTGTTTATAGTGTGAAACACATTGTTATTCCCACCATGGCAGTGGTGGATAAAATATACATATTTCTCTGTCTCCCACAACCACCCTTTGATCCCCAGCCTTTTATCAGCAAATCCAAAGTGCTACCTTCTGCAAATTAGCACTACCTCCTGAGAAATTGTGCCAAGTTCCATTAAATGTAATTAGCATTCCTGTTGTTTCCTTCATATTGGAGAAAAAAAAAAGAAAACTCTCTCTTACTTACTGGGAACACACATCATGCCAAGTTGTAGCAACAGAGGCAGCACAAGGCTGAAAGCAGGAGGCAGAGGGGGATCTTGACACACAATGATGAGTTCACCTACATGGGGGCTCAGGTGGCAGACACAGAGGTGTCAGTCTTGGCTTTTAAAAGTAAAAGTTGGCTTCCCAATGTAGAGTTAAACAGATGGCAGAGTGCCTTCTGAAGTGAGGGTTTAGAGAACATGGGGAGATGGTTATCTGCCTCAATTTGAAACTGACCTGCCATGAGATTCCCAAGGAAGAGACTTGAATATCCTAGAGCAGTTAACTACAAAACTAAAATTTGCCCCCTCAGTATGGTTTTCGTGTAAAAGAATTGCAAAACAAAGAAAAACTACCACGTGTGTATTTTCCCTAGAATTTCCTGGTAGAAATAAGATATTAGTACCCAACAAGTAGAAAAGAATATGAGTTCAGAAGAAAGACTAGGGTTTAGTATCAGACATACTTTTTGATTATTCATATTTCATAAAATCTTATTTTCTTGACTTATAACAAAAATCATACAACTGTTTTATTATTAACGTAAAATTAAAGAAAAACATCACTACTTTTCTCCTCCCCCTTTTATTTCAAATTACGCCACTGACTACGAAAACCTGGTCAAATCCAACGTGCATTTAGAAACCATAATTTGAAGAAACTAATAGCTGGAGCTCAGTGCCACCATCCACAACAGATGTCCTTCCAAACTCCATTCACTGTCATGCTATAAAACAGAATTCAGAAACAACAGGGTATACGTATATATCTGTGCATTCAGTGACTCTGAAAGGGAGGCACTGGTTTCGAATGTTTTGTGTGAACACGAGTTCCATTTGACACTTTTTTTTTTCTCTCAGAAGTCATTTTGTCTCATTCCTTGCTTACTTCATTGTATTTCAGCATTTGTCATCTCAATTACAGTAGTGCATACTACTTTTACACTTCAACTGCAATATTCAGAAACACCAGGGAAAGAGCAGTAAAGATATTAGGAGGTGGTAATTAAGACTGAGAATGGCTCCAGAAGGGTGGAAACACATTTAGGATGTTTTTTATTTTAATCATCTGTAAAGAAACTAATTCCATAGGCCCATCTACAGTTAAGTTCCACTTGCAGCACAAAGCATCATAAATTGAATAGTAATATTCTTTATCCCAATGTCATACAACTGTTGTCCTATAATACTGTGACGTTGAATCATAAGACACACGTTAAATAACCTATTATGCTCAGTGGTTTCTCTGACAGTTGAGGATGAGACCAAAACGTATCCCACCCTGGGTGACGCAGAGAAACGAAATGAAAGACAAACCATTTGGTCTTCCAAGAAAGAGTTCAGTCAATCACAGTGAACTGGTTGGAGTATATTCATTAAACAAATATTTATTGAGCATCTGCTTTGTGTTAAATGCTGAATGGTGATTTAAGCTCTAGATTTGCCTTTCCTGGACAGGTTGTAGAAATAAATCCACACAATGTGTGATCTGCATCTGGATTATTTAATTTAGCAGAAAGTTTATCCATGATAAACTTTTTTTTTTCGTGAACATGAGGATGAACATGAGGTTCATCCATGTGGATGCATGTATCACTACTTTGTTTCTTTATTATTGAGTAATATTCCATGGTATGGATGGACCACATTTTGTTTATCCATTTACCCATTTATTGATGGATACGTGGATTGTTTCCAGATTTTAACTATTATGTAGAATGTTACTATGAACACTTGTTTCCAAGTTCTTGGGTGGATATATGCTTTCACCTTTCTTGGGTAGATATTTAGGAGTGGAATTGCTGGGTTGTATGGTAAGTTTAAGTTTGAGCTTAAGAAACCACTAAACTGGCTGGGCGCAGTGGCTCACACCTGCAATCCCAGCCCTTTGGGAGGCAGAGGCAGGCCAATCACTTGAGGTCAGGAGTTTGAGATTAACCTGGTGTAGGTGGTGAAACCCCATCTCTACTAAAAATACAAAATTAGCCAGGCGTGGTGGTGGGTACCTGTAATCCCAGCTACTCGGGAGTCTGAGGCAGGAGAATCACTTGAACGCGAGAGGCGGAGATTGCAGTGAGCCAAGATTGCGCCATTGCACTCCAGACTGGGAGACAAAGCGAGACTCAGTCTCAAAACAAACAGACAAACAAAACAAACAAACCATTAAAGTATTTTTCCAAAGCGGTTGCGTTATTCAATATCCCCACCAGCAACATACAAGCATCCAGGTTGTGCCACATCCTTGACAACTATTTGTATTACTTATCTATCTTTCAAATTACTGCCATTCTAGTGGGTATGTGGTGATATCTCATCATCATGGCTTTAATTTGCATTTTCCTGATGTCTAATGATGTTGAGCATCTTTTCAGGTGCATGATCTTTATGTTTGTTTATTTTTTATTTTTAATTCTGGGGTACATGTGCAGGATGTGCACGTTTGTTACATAGGTAAATGTATGTCTTGGTGGTTTGCTGCACCTATCAACCCATCACCTCGGTATTAAGCCCAGCATGCATTAGCTCTTTTTCCTAATACTCTTCCTCCTATCCACCCCAGCCCCCAATAGGCCCCAGTGTGTGTTGTTCCTCTCCCTGTGCCCATGTATTTTCATTTTTCAGCTCCCACTTATAAGTGAGAACAAAGTGCATGATCTTTCAATGAAATAACCTTCTTCGCCTGTGAAATGGGTCTCAGTGAATCTTGAGGAATCTTACATTACTACCTATAATTTCCTTTCCCTTATAAGTCAGCAAAGGCATGGGCAGGGGCCTGAAGTGGGAGAAAGAGCTCCTCCCCCTTTAACGTGGATTCAGAAATGTGTGACAGGGAGCTGAGACTTTCGCTGCCTGGTCATACTCATTGAGCCTATGGGCTGGTTGTGTGAACATGCCACAGGTAGGCACATAGGGCTCATAGGCAAAGGATCCCATTTGTGCATAAGGCACACTTTGAAAGGTAGGGTTTGGATCCATTATCTCACCCCAACAGCTGTGTGCCTCCAGTGTGCAGCTTGAAAGCCACGTGTTACCCTGTCAGTTCAAGCTTCCCGAGGTTACCTCTTCCAGCCACGCAGTAGTTGGTATTATTTCTTTCATTTTTTTGATAAAATGTCTTCCTCTCTCCTTCTCAGAGTAAAGCAAGTCTCTGCACATGTTTCTCAGCTGGGTTGCAGTAATCTAGGAAAAGGTCACTCTTTAGAGGAGTTGAAAGGACTCCAGGTTCTTATATTAGCCCTCTGAGCATATAAAGGCCCAAAGAAACAGACACCAATTCCTCTGCTGCACAGACTTTTAAACCTGGAAAGCTGTAAATGCAGAAACTTAAGTATCTGGGAGGTGCGTGCTTAGCAGCCATCCGATGTGAGTGTCAGTTCATTTTGACATGTAACCAAGATGGACCTCAGCCAATAGCAGTCTCCACTCACAGACCGCTGGTGTGGTTAGGAGCATGTACTTTTAATCAAATTTTTTTTATTGGAATCCCGGTGCTACATGCTAGGTGTGTGATTTTGGACAGGCTCCTTAACTGTGTTAGCTTTGGTTAATGAAACTGTAAAATGAGATTAATAATAATTCTTGGTTCTTAAAATCATGGATAGGATTACATGAGATAATGCATGTAAGTGCTTAGCACCATTTTGCATTTCTTTAGCTTTTATCGTTTTTATGTTATATTTGATTTTACATCTTTGGCACTGGGAAGAATGCCTGGCATATAGAGTGTACTTTGTGACTATAATTTGACCACACACAGTTAAGATATTCATTTATATAATAGATATGTACGAGGTATCTATTATGTGTACGAGGTATCTATTATGTCAGTAAACTATACCTCTCGGGAAAAATCCAGCTCTCCTCTTGTTTTTGTAAATACAGTTATAGTGGAACACAGCCACACCCCTTCATTTGCATATCGATTATGGCTGTGTTTGTGCTACAACGACACAGATGATTAGTGACAGAAACTATATGGGTGGCAAAGCCTGAAATATTTAATGTTTGCCCCTTTACTGGAAAAGGTTTCCGATCCTTGTTCTAGGTATTGAGAATGAAACAATGAACACAATAAGGTGATATTCCTACTTTTATTATAGTCAAGGTAAGACAGACACGACACATATAAATAAATATGTACTTACCTATACACATATGCACAAAACATCTGTGGTAATAAATGTAAAGAAAAAAATACAGAAATGTAAGACAGAGAGAAAGCAGGAATGGGGGGAGAGGAAAATTTTTTAGATATTTCCCATTTAAATGCCTCTAATCTCAGAATAGAATTTTATAGTATCGCTTTAGTAATTCATTTACAAGGTAGTTTTCAATAGAAAAATAAAAACTCACTACCCCATGAAGTCTCATTGAGCACAAAATTCAGGAACCACCCCAGGTTGCAAATAAATTCAGACATTGCCTGTCATAAAAAGCTGGTTCGGAGACAACTCCATTTAGTATTGTAGAACTGTGCAAAGAACACGACACTTTGCTGACTGGCATGCATTTTTGTCCAGGAGTAGTTTTCCCCACATGGAGAATAGCGACAATACAACCGCTTCCAATCAAAGGGGAAATTTGTGCTCCTTATCTAGCTTGATTGTCCATGGATAAGACCAAGTTCAAAAGTGTCAGTTCTACAAGCAAACAAACAAAAAGCCCTGAAGGCCTCAAGAGCTGAGGATGCAAGGAACAAGTAGAGTTTCCAACACAGAGGAATGATAAATGCTGGAGGTGATGGGTAGTGTAAATACCCTGACTTGATCCTTAAACATTCTATGCATGTAACAAAATACCACAAGCACACTGTAAATGGGTACAGATAGTATGTATCAATAAAAAAAAAAAAGAATACAAAAAGAAGTAGATCAGGGATGCTTTATATGGTTTTCTACCTTGTGTCTTATTTTCAGGTGTGTTTTCACAGGCACTACCTTTGTAGAACAGGTTGCTTGCTGTGACAGCTCCTATCTGAGCAAATTGCATTATTAACTAGATTGAACCAGGAGGTAGGGCACTTCCACAAAATTCTAGGACAGGGGTCAGCAAATCTCTTCTGTGAGGAGCCAGGTCATAAATATTTTAGATTTTGCAGGTCTTTTGGTCTCCGCTGCAACTCCTCAACTCTTCTGTTGTAGCACAAAAGCCCCTGTGGACAATGCATAAATGAATGAGCATGGCTGTATTCCGATAAAACTTTAGTTACAAAAGCAGACAGGATTTGGCCTGTGGGTTGTGGTTTACCAGCTTCTGTTCTAGTGTAGTTTTTCCTTTTGTAGGTGTGCTCAGAAGATCAACTGGAGAGCAGACACAACATGCTCACGCTCTGGTTCCTTTCTTCTGACCTATTGATTCAGAATCTCTGAGAGTAAAGGCCAGCCATGTACACTTGTACTGTTGTACAGATGCAGAAAGTCAGTATGTGTCAGGATATGCTGCTGTTACAAATAACCCCCAGGATGTCAGTGACAGCAGCAGCAGCAACAACAACAACAAACAAAAAACATGTTTATTCCTTGCTCATGCAAAGCCCACCATGGGCATCTCTAGGGAAACTTTCCTCCACACAGTGACCTAGTGATTCAATTTGTCAGAGGCACTATCAGCCTGTCGCTTTAGTTTCTGCAACACACAGCCTTCTTGATTGACGTCACTGAGAAAAACCAAGAGGAGAAGGTCTTCCAATGGTAATTAAATGACTGGGTCACTAACAATTTGGGCATAGCTACTTGCAAGGACATGGCAAACACAATCTTCCCAAGTTCGCAGGAGGAGAGAGAAATTGGATATGGGTAAACACTAAATTTTTTTTATTCGTTCATAAATTGATTCAATTGATGTATCGATTGACTGATAATCATTACTAAACAATGTGATGTGTGCATGGCAAAGAACCTATCTGCATGGTATTTATGGGTATATTTCTGTTTCCATCACCAGAATTTAACCAGTTATCTACATAAGTGAAATCTGAAAGGAAACTACTCTTTAGACCTGGGGTCAGGCACCTTTTACTTTATTATACTCTTCTACTTGATGGTAAAAGTCATTATCAGTTTTGTTAATCACATGCCGGACCTCAGATGTATTGCTGTCCTAAAAAGTCAAGCACATTATACTGACCAAATGTGCTTTGATCACAGGTGAGACATCGGGTTTCACACCTGTTATTCTGCAAGTTATGTATAAGGAACATACTTCATACTTCTTTACTTCCTGTACTGATCCAGTTTGGTTGGTTTTACTGATTTGGTTAACAAGATCGTAAATAATAGTGAAGTCTCTCTCTGTTTATGGTTAACACTGCTGGCCCATTATAATTTTCGGTGGCAGTGCATATGGCGGGTGATAAACTAATAAAGCTGCAGTAGGAAGAATAGTTCTGCTTTTATTTTTATGGCTATTTCTTTAATCTGATGCATAATTAATGTACAAAGTTCAACTTCGTTTTGGTCAGATCCCAGATTACTCGAGGCATCCGGAGGGGTTAATATTTTTTGGTGCATTTGGGGGTAGGAGGTTGGGATAAAACAACAAATTTTTATCTATATGGAAGGATGCTTAACCGGGATTTTTTTTTTTTTTCCAAAAAGAAAATACTTAAGTTATCCTTGCTTTCAGAGTTCATGTCCATTGGAAGTGTCAAGAGATTCTGTGTTCAAACATTCTCAAAGCACCGCTTTCCCCTTACCCCTTACCTAAGAGAACATAATTCTAAAAATCCCTTTGGGGAATAATTTTCTCTGCCTTCCATCTCTCTCAATGATGTGTCCAATCTCCACAATTTGTCTGGCCTCCTCTTGAACTGATTTACGGTTCACCAAAATCTGTGAGAGGATTTGCCAGGCTGCAGACCAATTAATTATGTTTGCTGTTAGACCTGTTAGGTGTTGGCATTTCCATTTTGTCAGACATTTTAAATTTAACGTGGACACATGGTTTCCTTTTTTTTTTATATATTAAATTAGGAAGCTGACCACATAGGGGGAGATTCCAACAGCAACACAATGAATTTATTTGAGATGCATTGTCCTTCATTTGTATATAGAACTCTTTAAAAAGAAATTCACCATCTTCCCAGATTTTTTTTTCTTTTTGTTTGAGATGGAGTCTTGCTCTGTCACTCAGTCTGGAATGCAGTGGCATGATCTCGGCTCACTGCAACCTACTCCTCCCAGGTTCAAGCGATTCTCCTGCCTCAGCCTCCTGAATAGCTGGGATAACAGACATCTGCCACCACGTCCAGCTAATTTTTGTATTTTTTTTTTTTTAGTAGAGATGGGGTTTCGCCATGTTTGCCAGGCAGATCTAGAACTCCTGACCTCAAGTGATCTGCCCGCCTTAGACCCCCAAAGTGCTGGAAATATAGGCTTGAGCCACTGAGTCCAGACCTTCCTAGATATTTTGAACAGAGCCTGCTTTTCTCAGAGAAAATATTTCTTCTTTTGTCCACAGCAGCCCTGATATCCATGGTGAATAGTGTGTTAGCCATTTTCTGCCTTGCAGAACTATTATTATAATATAATAATATCCAAAGAACAGTAGCAATTTTTATATAGCATTTACTGTATTTCAGATAATTTTTAAATGCGTTTTACATATATTAACTCTTTATGTCCTTATGTAATGCTCTAGGGAGGGTGCTATAATTATTCCCATTTTTCAGATAGAAAACTGAGGCTAAGAGAAGTTCAGTTACAGATACCACACACAAGAAAGGGACAGCATCTCTGGAAGTCTGACTCCTAATCATGGGTCACTCTTGTCATCAGATGCCGGGCAAGGTGAAGCCCTACATTCTACAGACGTGTTTTCAGAAAGTCTACACCACGTTTATGCACTAGTATTCATTTATCTGGTAGGGTCCTTTGATTTTATTGGGTAGTGCTTTATGGGCTGATAAATGAGGTGACATTAAGGATAGTAACACTGTTTTCTTCCCTTTTCTGTAAAAGGTGAGATGGTTGCCTATGGTGTTAGAAAGGATTGCAAAAGATTTACTTGGGGAAAATTAGCTTCCTCTGCACTCCCCTGCTCCATTTCTACTGTAAGTTATTATGATGAAAAAAAAAAAAAAACCTGCCAGAACATTGGCTTCAAGGTGAAAATATTTAGGCAAAATATTACCACAGGGAAAGTTTATTTTAAGCATCAAGGTTAAAAAGACACATGTGTCAGATTTAGGATTTTATGCTTAAAGCTCATGACATTGCCACAAAGTATTTGGTTGGCAAACTTTTCCTGCAGAGGGTCAGATAATAAATATTGTAGGGTGGTGGACCATACGGTCTGTGTCACAACTACTCAGCTTTGCAGTTGTAGAGAAAAAGCAGTCATAGGCAATGCAAAAGCAATGGAATGTTGCGGCATTGCAGTAAATGTTTTTAACCACAGTCAGCGAGGCTGATTTGGTCCACAGGCCATGGCTTACTGACCCCCTGCTATCAAGGAATGACCAGGGATTTGGAGATAGGCTTTCAATCCTTCCTTGTCATGTGCCAGGTGGACGGCCTTGTGGTTCAAAGACTTCTTTGAACCTTGCGTAGTCACAATCTCTCTAGATGTTAAATAGGGAAACTGCTATGCCCCGATGAGCATGGTCATGAGAACTGAAGGAGTACCAGAACTGAATGAATGAAGTACTGGATTCAGTAAAAGAAATTCCATGTCATCCTTCTCTGCCCTCTCCAAACCCCTTTGGTTCTACTTTTCCCTACCTTGTAATATTTTTGTTAACAAGTGGTAAGAGTTAATTAGGGGTCCCTGAGATTTTTAGGGTGCTTTTACATTTTGGTAAGGCTAGTAGTAGAAAAGTACTACCTAAAAGAGAATTAACTAAATTCCTTCCTTCCTTCTTCCCTCCCTCCCTCTTCCCTCCCTTGCTCTCTCTCTCTTTCTCTCATCTCTCTTTCTCTCTTCCTCTCTTTCTCGCTTGCTTGCTTGCTCTGTTGCCCAGGCTGGAGTGCAGTGGTGCGATCTTGGCTCACTGCAACCTCTGCCTCCCAGGTCCAAGCGATTCGTGTGCCTCAGCCTCCCGAGTAGCTGGGACTACAGGTATGCACGATGCCTGGCTAGGTTTTTGTATTTTTGGTAGAGACACAGTCTTGCCATGTTACCCAGGCTGGTCTCAGACTCCTGAGCTCAAGCGATCTGCCCATCTCAGCCTCCCAAAGTGCTAGGATTAAAGGTGTGAGACACCATACCCGGGCCCCAGAGGAGAGCTTTCTGAGTCACCATATGTGAAGTGGTTCTTACGTAATTTCTACGGAAAAAAAACTCAGCCGTCGAAATACAGGAAGGAAAAGGGTTAATTTCTTTGTAACAGAGATAGTGAATAACAAGCATACCACTGATTCCACCAATCTAATATACATGACACAAATCACTGAAAGATAATAATCTTCACTGATAAACTGAATGAGTCTTCAGAAGCTTGTTCATGACAGTTCTTTAGTCATTGTCAGTGATTCGTAGTTGTCTCATAAAATGAAACCTATTAGGTATCTTTGACCTAGTTACCTTTTAGGGTCAGAGACTTTGGAGATTTTTTCAGATTATAAGCTACATGAAGTTGTTACAGGGTTGCTAGTTTACCTTCGCTTTGTAAACAGTGATGCTCCTCTATAGGGATGTGAGGTTGAATTCCGAGAGTCACCTGCCCCCCTGCAAAAAAAAAGACCAAAAAGTAAAAAGCATCTTCCATTCTTCCTGAAGCCCCCTCTCTTCATGAAATGTCCTCACATTGAAGCCTGATGAATTCGTTCATGTTCTTGGCTCGAAAGTTCTTAGCAGCAGCAGCAGCTGAATTTCTGTTGTCTGTTCTTGTTTTCCTTGTTTTTACCATTTTCTAGATATTTTATGGTGAACTGTTGTTATAGAAATATGGAAACAAGGGATAGTCCTAATACATCCTGTTGCAAAGAACAGAAACCCAGTTTAGACTCAGTTAAGCAAAAAGGGAAAATTTAGCTTTAAAATATTCCATAGATTCCAGAGGATTCCAGAGGAGGAAGAGCGGCAGGAAGTACGATGAAGCAAAGACCAGGAAAGGGATCAGCACCCTGGACAGCATCTCTTTCATTTCTCTTTGGAAATGGAGCCCATCAGATTTGCCTCACCCCTGACTTAGCACTTTGTACTAAATCCCTTAGAAATGCCTTCCCTTAATCTCCACATTCCTGAGTTTTTTATGGCAATTGCATTTTAGCTCAACTTCTATGTCTTCCAAAGATCTTCCCTGTTCACAACAATTACATGCCCTGGTCATAAATTATCTTATTTTCTTTGTTGCTTGTTTATCATATGCACCTTCCCACACTGGAATCTAAGCTTCCTGAGAGCTAAGCCTTATTTAGAACAATGCCTGACACATAATGGGCACACAACAATATTTTTGCTTAAACACATGTATAAGTAAGCGAATGATCCCCTAACTGCCAATTTCCTAGGAGAGAGAATTGAATTGCCCCAGCTGGGATCAGTATTCAACCCTCTTTTTATTAGTTGAGGCAGAGTGGGTTGAGTCAGATAGAACAGCCACTTCTCCTGGCTGCCTGTGTCTGAAGGGAGGTGTACTTGATTTGGGGAGAAAAAGAAGCCATGGTGAATCACGAAAACATATTCCCCAATGACAAGTGTATCGTGCTTGTCAATTTACAGAGGGTAGTGAGGGTAGGGGTTGATCTCAAATTTGACAGAAGAAACAGAGGTAATTTTTTTCTACCTGAAAATCTTTACCAGCACTTGAGGCCAGTGGGCACCATGAAAGTATCCTGAACGAAAGTGTTTTATTTCTCTATTGTTATTAAATAGTGAAACCTTCGTTGGGTTCATCCAAATTTTAGCTATAAGAGATGCTTTATCTATTTTTTCTTTACTTTGTCAATAGTTCTGAATAAATGTGTGTGCTTAAGTGTGCTTGCACATGTGTGTATTTTTTTTCCAGGCTTTCAGAAGCCTGCATTAATAATCTCTTAGGGTCCCGAAGCAGGAACATGTATGAGAATACAGAACCAGATGATATCTTCAGGCAGAAATTTAGGAAGAGTTGACTCACACTGAACACAAGCTAGTTCTTAGGCTTACTGTCAGAACAAAATTGATAAAGCTTAGGAGGACATTTCATCTCCTTTCAGTGTGGTTCAGCAAGGAGCTATTTAATGCCTCCTATTGTCAGGTGTGGTTTTAGGTACCATTCGTATCAGGTCTCTGCCCTCATGGAACCACCATTCTAATTGAGGGAGTAGTTTAAAGGGGATAGATGGGAATTAATAAACCAATAAAGAGAGGCTAAAATTTCAGACTGCAATGATGACGTCATTAAAGAACTGAAATAGGATGATGTGAACTGAAATGATGAGGGGCGATGCAGATGGCTGGAGGTGGCCTAAAGCCCAGGAAAGTGGTGGTGGAGAAGAAGGCAGGATTGGTGAGAAGAGCCTGGCAGCACAAAGATGTGTGTAAAATCACTGACAGGAAAGGGCTTTGTGTATTTGAAGATCATAAAAAGAGTAGCACAGGGCTGGAATTAGCTCCGTGAACAAGTGGAGAGAAGGAAGTGGAGAGGCAGATCAAGGAGGACTTCTTTGCTTATAGCAAGGGGGTTGAATTTTAGTTTTAGGACAATAGGAAGCTGTGGAATGACCTTAGAGGGAAGACATCATCCAAATGACAGTGTACTCTGTTCCTTAGCTGAAGAGAGAAAAAAACAGATGCAAGTGCAAGAGGTTTTAGTAGAAGTCTAGGGGATACATGATGGTGGTTATAGCATATCCACAAACACCTCATGACCCAGGGTGTCTGTTCATCTGCATTGCATGCATGTTTTTACCTCCTCTGACATAGTTATTTGCAGCCCTGTCTCATGGTCAAAAGTTAGCCAAGTGATTGAAGTATGACATATTGGCTGTGCCTTTGTGACAATCCTTAGTCTTGTCTGTTTAGCAAACAGTATGGCAAGTTGGAATTCTAGAGCAGTCACAGTATACCATGCTTGATCACATGGGTATACCTAAACAGTTACAAACCCCCAAACCTGATTATGAGCTCTTGTGAAACTTCTCTAAAAATTTGGGGCAATGTGGAGTTACAGGTAGAACTTGAGCTTTTCAAGTCAGAAACCTTAGTTCTGAATGTTTGTGCCTCTATGTATCAACTCAGAACTTTAGAGGAGATCCTTGCCCTTTAGGTGTGTTTGTGTGTTGAAGTGTTACTAACACTATTAATAATGTTTACACATGGGTAATATTAACCATAATAATGCTTACTTGGTGCCCAAAGTACGTTTGATACTTTACATATGTTACCTCTCTCAAGCATTACAGTAAACATACAATATGCATAGGATAGCCCCACTTTGCCAATAAGGAAATTGATCCTTAGATTAAATAACATACTTGAAATTGTGCAGTAAGTACATGGAGGAATGTCCATACAATATATCTATTTAAACCACCTAACAGTGGGGTATTATGGAAGAGCATATGGGAGCACTTTGCAAAGTGTCAACCGCAGAATAAGTGCTTGATAAATTTCACATTATACCTCTCTCTCTCTCTCTGCAGATTTCAGTCACTTATGACCACAGAATTAATTCTAAAGAAAGCAAATTGAAGGAGGTGTTTGCACGTATTTTTTTTTCCCTAATGATTCTACTGTACCCTGGAGCATTTTCACGGTTTGTGTTTAATCACAGAATCTCAGCCATGATGTTTCTGACAGGCAATTTCCTTAATGCATTTGACAGAGATGGATTACATGGAGGGCCATTGGACGCCATGGTTTTGTCTGCAAATGGTAAGACTAGATTAGAGCTATCTGGGTCTAGTGCCTCCAGTGATATTGCATCCTAATAATTCTTATGATAACATGGATCACCTTTGTGGACACACACATTCTTGGCCAGATGGGATACAGTGGTTTTCAAGAAACCCTGCCACTTTTATTACACTTTGAGAAACATCTGGACTAATATTTGTGTGTCAGAATCATAAATCAATTTAGTTTGCGGAGATAGGCCTAGTTATGCGGTTTATCTTCAAAGGCACTCTTTTTTGCTACCACTGAAAGTGGTAAATGAGGCACATAAATGTCGAGATATTGAATTCCTTCTGAAACTGTAAAGTCTTTACACTGGCATATGAAGATCTGAGCATCAGTCAGACTCTCAGGTACTTGATGAACAAGAGTGATTTGGATTCCATGGCATTTTATCCCTAGATAACAACAAACCCAACCCATTCTTGAGCAATGATACAATTCCCACTGGTGACTCACTTCCTGACCCTTTCTCCCCGTCCTCTGAAGTATGTCTCAGCCATTAGTTCCTATGTTTATTGGCGCACTTTAGTATAGATCAAAGGCACACAGACAGGTTCAGCGATATTTGCTAACCCTGGGAAACATGAATGCTACTATTTTGAAGGATATTCTTTATTTGTCACTGGTATTTAATTGCACAGATATGTACAACCATTGTAAAGGAGATTCCTAGATATCATGATACTTATCTCTAATGACATAAATATGTATATAAATATACATAAATATAAATGTGTATATAAATATTTATATAAACATAAACATATTTATATAAACATAAACATATTTATATAAACATAAACATAAACATATTTATATAAATATAAACATAAACATATTTATATAAATATAAACATAAACATATTTATATAAATATAAACATAAACATATTTATATAAATATAAACATAAACATATTTATATAAATATAAACATAAACATATTTATATAAATATAAACATAAACATATTTATATAAATATAAACATAAACATATTTATATAAATATAAGCATAAACATATTTATATAAATATAAGCATAAACATATTTATATAAATATAAGCATAAACATATTTATATAAATATAAGCTTAAACATATTTATATAAATATAAGCTTAAACATATTTATATAAATATAAGCATAAACATATTTATATAAATATAATATTTATATACACATTTATATTTATGTATATTTATATACATACTTACGTCTTTAAATATAAGTTTCATGGTATCTAGGAATCTTTGTGTCCTTAGAGATTCTATATGAAGCAATGACATTATTATAACTAACAGCATTAACTTAAATCTATCCTGCCATCAAGTATCCAGTCTGTATTAAAATGTATTCAGTGTTTTGAACAATATTCTTTATGACTTATTTTTAAAATATAGCTCTCTAGGCCAGGCACAGTGGCTCACACTTGTAATTTCAGCACTTTGGGAAACTGAGGCAGGCAAATTGCTTGAGACTGGGAGTTTGAGACCAGCCTGGGCAACATGAGGAAACCCCACCTCCACAAAAAAAAAAAAAAAAAAAAAAAATTCAGAAATTAGCTGGACATGGTGATGTGGTCCCAGCTACTTGGGAGGTTGAGGTAGGAGGACCACTTTAGCCTCATGAGGTCAGGGCTGCAGTGAGCCATGATGGTGCCACTGCACTCCAGCTTGGGCGATGGAGTGATACTCTGTCTCAAAAAATAAATAAAAAAATAAATAAAATGTAGCTCTCTAGTCATTTTGAAGTACTGAAATCATATGTAAGAAGAGTAGGAACAAGTAGCATAACACAGGATATAAATAATTAAAGTAATTTTTTCTTAAAGTGCATCTGTCCTTCCTTAATCCTTCTGAGAGATTATCGATCACTTAAAAAATTGTGTGAAGTCTTACAAAGAAGTATATACATAATATGATACTATAAGAAAGCCCTTGGCCAGGCACGGTGGCTCACGCCTGTAATCCCAGCACTTTGAGAGGCCAAGGCGGGCTAATCACGAGATCAGGAGATCGAGACCATCCTGGCTAACACAGTGAAACCCCATCTCTACTAAAAATACAAAAAATTAGCCAGGCGTGGTGGCGGGCGCCTGTAGTCCCACCTACTCGGGAGGTTGAGGCAGGAGAATGGTGTGAACCCGGGAGGCAGAGCTTGCAGTGAGCCGAGATCGTGCCACTGCAGTCCAGCCTGGGCAACAGAATGAGACTCTGTCTCACAAAAAAAAAAAAAAAAAAAAAAAAAAAAAAAAAAAGGAAAAGAAAAGAAGCGCTTTTAAAATCTTAGAAACAAAAATCGCTCTCTGTAAAATAATATTCATCAGCATTTTTCTTAATGGTGAGAAATTAGAAACAACCTAAATTTCTGACATAGAAAATTGCCTAATTTATGGCGGTCATATTGGAAAATGTTCACCATGTATTGTCAAGTGAACAAAGTGGTTTCCATGACCGCATGGGTCAAATCACAGCACTTTAAGAATCAACTCACAGAGAGAACAAATCTCGAGAATGTATCTGACTGTGTGCTAGCCATAGTTATCTCTAGATAGTGAGATTATAGGCCATTTTTATTTCATTTTAACTTTTCTCTGTTTCTCACATTTTTTGCATGCAATGTGGAATATTTGGTAATTGTGTTTAACAATTTTGGAAGATCAGCCAACTCAGCAAGAGGTGTATTATCTAACTGGAAAGAAAACCAGAGGTATAAATACGATGGAATGAAACACTCCCTGAGCCTGTGTGCATTCTGCATAGGCTTCTTGAAATAGTCCATGGCTGCAGAGATGGAAAAGTTAACATAAGTGCTTTAAGTTAAAATGAAGAAACTGTTGTACATCTTCCTATATTTCCTTTGGCTATCTAAGTCCTGCATTAGAATGTTCTGATATTTTCTGAATGGGGTTTTATGAAAAACCTAGAGTTAAAATTTGCATTGCAGTTAGTTTCAAAATGCTATTTAGAGGAAGCTTTTAGCTGCATGTTACAGAGGTCTAATATGGACCCTAACTGAAGTTATGCAGAAAGGAAATGTTTTGCTGTGTGTGTGGGTGTCTGCACCTTTTCTCCCCATCACCCACCTCGTTCCCTGAATGCTATTTTATACTCTAAGCAATTAAGAGTGGTTTATGCTGC
Organism: Homo sapiens; assembly: GCF_000001405.40. Lineage (NCBI taxonomy): Eukaryota > Metazoa > Chordata > Mammalia > Primates > Hominidae > Homo > Homo sapiens. The sequence goes on from NC_000016.10 coordinate 7,188,609, forward strand.
AGACTTTTCCAATAAGCATTGACTCATTATACCAGTCCAGTATCATTATCCTGAGTTGAACATGTCCTGCAGCAGGTTTCATTTATTCTGCTGCAGTCTTCATTTCTACCATATATTTGGAGATTCAGATACAGATTTGCCTTGTAATTGTCAAAAGTAAGACCGCAAGAGCTGGTATAGGGCATGCTACGAAGGAACCAAAGAATGACATTGAGTTGGCTGTTAAAAATGCAAATTTTGGAGTTGGAAAGGACATCAAGAAAAAGGTTTAAGGAACAGAGGATACAGACAGCTAAGGATTGGGGAAAGTTCTTTGACACCATGAAGACTATAATTGCAGCCTGGGTAGCTTGATAAACCACTCAAGGAAGGGTTGGTTCAAGAACATCAGGCTAGAGGCAAGTCAAGACCTTAAGGCATTTGGAGGTGATACGGAGTGATTTCTCGAAAAGGAATTCTCAATGGATAGAATCCTCATAGGAAGACCTACACTGATTCAGGTAATAAGGAGTGATTTCTAGAAAGGAATCCTCAGGGCTGGGCACGGTGGCTCATGCCTGTAATCCCAGCACTTTGGGAGGCCGACGTAGGTAGATCATGAGGTCAGGCGATCGAGACCATCCTGGCTAACACAGTGAAACCCCATCTCTACTAAAAATACAAAAAAATTAGCCGGGCGTGGTGGCGGGCGCCTGAAGTCACAGCTACTCAGGAGGCTGAGGCAGGAGAATGGTGTGAACCCGGGAGGTGGAGCTTGCAGTGAGCTGAGATCGCGCCACTGCACTCCAGCCTGGGCGACAGAGCGAGACTCCCTCTCAAAAAAAAAAAAAAAAAAAAAAAGGAATCCTCAATGGATAGAATCCTCATAGGGAGACCCACACTGATTCAGGTATTCTCTCCAGTTTAGAATACATTGCCCCCACTCCAAAACACTATGTCCCCCAAAACACACACACACACACACACACACACACACACATACACACACAAAATAGAGCACATAAGCCACTCTATGCAGCATAATTATCTGTATCTCATTTTCCCTTCATTTGTAAACTAGCCTACCACTGGGAAAAAGGTACCATAGGTTATAAATTACTGATGGGGTCTAGGTCAGCAGTTCCCGTGGTTCCCACAGACACCTGCAGGCAATCCCTTCTATAACTTTCCCTATGCATCCAGCAAGTAAGTTTTCTTTCTTTCCTCCAGCTTTCTGGAAGAATCTGTTCACCATTGTACATCTTGATCGCCTTTATGTCTGCAATAGGCCCAACTCACATCCATAAGAAAAACAGATCATTCTCCTAATTGAAATAGAAGAGCTTGGGCAAGACATCAATTAGTGATGCAAATGTAGAGTTCTTCATTGAGCAATGACAAAATCCCAAGACTTATTAGAAGACCAATAAGAAATGGAAAACCATGATTTACTGGCAGGGCTAGCACAGTTAAATTTAAAATAAAAATCTTGGCCGGGCACAGTGGCTCACTCCTGTAATCCCAGAACTTTGGGAGGCCAAGGCGGGCAGATTGTTCTAGGTCAGGAGTTCGAGACCAGCCTTGCCAACATGGTGAAACCCCGTCTCTACTAAAAATACAGAAATTACCCAGGCATGGTGGCACACCTGTAATCCCAGCGACTCGGGAGGCTGAGGCAGGAGAATCACTTGAACGCAGGAGGCGGAGGTTGCAGTGAGCTGAGATCACACCACCGTACTCCAGCCTGGGTGACAGAGACTCCGCCTCAAACATAAATAAAATAAAAATAATATAAAATAAAAAATAAAACTTCCCTCATTGTTTTTGTTGTCAGCCTTTACAAGCATTGATGCTTCCAACTCTTCCACAAATTCCCAACAGGTATTTTTACATATCATCCAGGCATTTTTTTTTTCTTTCCTGAGTGATACTCTGATCTCTATCTGATGAGCTGGAGAGTGACCTAAGTTAGAAGGGAAAGTAGAGGAGGTTGCTAAGAGGGTAGGTGTAGTACTGAGGTATAGAGGGTTGGTAGAGTGGTATTGCTACTCAGAAACCAGTACCACATGAAATCAGAAATTCAGCTCCCCAGAAATCAGTGCCATTCCATCAACAAACAGATCCACTGTGTTCTCCTGGCCTTGCATGGTTCTAGGTTTGTAGAGCAAGTTTTTAATTCGGGTTTATGGCATTGCTCATATTCGCCATTTCAGTCATTTTTGGTAACAGTTACGTTGAGCTTATCTGCATAGACGCACATGATGAACAAGGATTGACTATTCTTCAGAGGATGTTAACTGTTTAGAGAATCATGAAGGAAGCATATTTTACAAAGACCTTTTTTTTTTCCTGGACTTCTCCCTAATCATCTCAATCAGAACCTTGAAAAAGGGGCCCAGGAATGCGAAGTGTATGCCTGTCTCCCACCCCCACATAGTGTCTAGATGATCAATCCTATTCGGGGACCCCTTGGATGTGAGTGTGATATCATTAGAACATAATGAAACTGTGATTCCTAACCCAGAGGAAAATCCATCTTAATTCTTCACCATCATACTTTATAGTTAGTGCTCTCTTCCAAAGGAAACCCCTTTCAACCCCTCTCATTTTTTAATATGGAACTTTGTCTTAATAATGGATTTCTTCAGTCTTTAATATTTGATGGGAGAAGTAATTCCAGTCATGGCACATCAGAAAGTTGCTTTTTTTCCTCTTTCTAATAAGACGTATAATCCGTTGCTGACAAAAAAAGAAAAAAAAAAAAACAGCACATTGCTACAATATTTCCTGGATGCTTTACAATACACTGTGACAAATGGCGCCTCATGTTGTACAATTGTCCTCATGGCTTGTAACACATCATTTAATGAATTGATCACAGTGGAATGTAAAGATGAAGCAGCATTTATTTTGTATGTTATATTGCATATAATTTTTAGAGTTGACATTTATAACCATGGAAGCTGTTATTTTACATATCATCTTCAAACCATATCAGCCTTAAACACATTTAAATTTAATAAGCAAGTAGATTAGATTTGCTTTTAAGCTAGGCATATCATTACAGTGCGTGTTTCCGTCAGAAGGGCATGCTCACGATTAAATACTGTCTTCAGTTGTTTTAAAGAAACAAAAATTTTAAAGAAGGGGGTTAGAGCGAAAGCTGAAATAATTGAGTATGAAGCCCTAAGAATTCTCTGTGGTGGACAACTGTAAGCATAGCCTTCTAACCATTGAGGCGAAAGAGTCCGTTTGGTTTTATTAACCATCACCAGGCAACTTTGAGGCAGAATGTAAGCCTTGGGAATGAAATGCAAATTCTATAATAGGAACATCATTGTGATAATAATTTATTAAATTTCCTGAGCCGTCTCCCTCTAAGGAGGGCTGCACAAACGGCCCTGGTGATTAATGTTCAACATCGTTTAACATTTTATTAGAGGGAAACAGTTTTTAATCTATTGATGCCCTGTCTGTAGAATTCTACGAGCTGTTTTCAAAACCAGAGAAAGGGGGATAAAAAAAGAAGCAAAAAATAATTGGTGGGGGAAGGGGGTAGGTAGTAGAAGGAATTCGCAATAGCGGTTCTAGTTCTGATGCCAGATTTCTCAGAATCTCCTGTGTTTTACTGGCATTTTATTGTTTTAGCCTCTTGGTAGCCTGTTGATGTTTTGTGCAAGGAGAGAGAGTTTCCTTGTGAATCTGACGTTAGGGAAAATGTCATATTCAGTGGAGAGGTTCCATCTAAGAGAGTTGGGGTGAGAAATTGGCTGAACTGGGTGCTTCTCTGAATCCTAGTAGTGTTTGCTTAGGAGCTTTAGACTCAAATGCCTATAGAGGCCAGAAGGGTCCCTTCAATGGAGATTATAATACGTGGAATGTAGTAAAGTACTTAGCAAGCACTCTTCACTTTGAATAAATATTGAGGTACTGAAGCATCAACTGTGAGAAGACCAAAGACAAATAACAGCAAAATACTATGTGAAATCATAGAGGAGATCCAGACACACGAAAAGGGGGCCAAATGGAAAAACTAATGCAATAGACAGTTTAGATCATAGTATTGTTTCGACGTCAATTTCCTGGTACCCATCATTGTATTATGATTAAGTATGATGTTAAACATTAGGAGTGACTGGGTGAGAGACCCAGGAGTGCTCTATATTATTTTTGCAATCTTTCTGTGAGTCTAAAAGCATTTCAAAATAAATACAACATTTTTAAAAAGTAAAATTGGAACATACAAAACACACTAATACGGAAGATGAAGTCCGAGGATCATGTGCTTACAACATTGTTACTTCGCCAGTCTCACACCCTCTTCTGAGAACAATGTAAAAAGCAGAGAGAAAGATCTCTTCCCCTCCTCTTTGTGTCGACAGACATCTTTGGGTTGGACAAGGTGGTAGGCAAAATAATGCCCTTGCCTTACCTATGGCCATGTCTTAATCTCTGGAACCTGTGAGCATGTTGGGTTACACTGCAAAGGAAAATTAAGATTACATGTAGAGTTAGGCTTGCTAATCGGTTGGCCTTGAGATAGGCGCATTATCCTGGATTATCTGGATGGATCCAATAGGATTACATAGGGTTGTTATAAGTGAAGAGGGAGGCAGAAGAGAGAGAGTATCAGAGCAGCTCTTCCTGAAAAGAACTCAACACATTATTGCTGTCTGTAAGATGGAAGGAAGCCATGAGCCAAAAGCAGCAGGCTGCCGCTAGAGTCTAGAAAAGGCAAGAACTCAGATTCTTCCCTAGAACCTCCAGAAAAGAACATGCCCCACAAACTCCTTAATTGTAGCTGGATGAGACCTGCATCAGATTTCTGAACTACAGAACTATAAGATGGGTTGTTTGTGTTGTTTAAAGCCATCATGTTTGAGGTCTTTGTTACAGCAGCAGTATCAAGCTAATACAGGCAAGTAATCAATATAACTGCAAATGCTTTTATGGTCCTTACACGTGCCAGATGCTCTTATGAGCATTTTACATGCATTACCGTCCTTGATCCAATGAGGCAGGTACTACATTGTGTATTCTGCTTTATAACTGAGGATACTGCAACAGTGTGATGTTAACTTGCTCGCTGTCACAGAGCTGGTATGTGACAAAGCAGATGCTTAGTCAGAAATACAGAGCCCATGCTCTGCACCAGCAACCATGGTAGACAGCTCAGAATATTAGTACTAGACTCTAGCACAACAGGTCCTAGAAGATATTATGGTAATGTATTTACGTAACTCAAAATGATCAGACATGTCACAAGAATGAAAGAATGACAGACTAAAATCTTCTTGGAGAGTTGACTGGAAGGATAAGATATTCTAGTAGCAGTTGAAAATATAGTAGCATCTATCTCTAGCTATCTTTTTTTTTTTTAAGGATTGGCTAAAAATAGTCTTTCCCAAGTATAAGCCGTATCATATTATTATGGATTTAGACGGGTATACATGATGCTATTAAATAACATTGAATCAATTATTGGGAGAAGGAGTTATTCTCTTTCCATTTCTCTTTCCATTACCCTATTCGTGTCAATGAGAAAGTCTTTATTTGGTACTAGAGTGTCTTAAACATCTCTCTAATACTTTGTGATCTCTGTTTTTAGTAATAAAATGGAAGCCTCCGGCTCAGTGTCTACAGGTAATGGTTGTTAGATTTTAATAACTTGTGATTGCACTGTATTTATTTTATGGCTACCTTTTATTCAGAATAAGTGATATTGTTATTTTATCATTTACATTACTGATATCCAGTTGCCTTTTAAAAATAATGCATTTCAATTTAAACAAAGCACATCAATGTAAAAAGATACTAAGCAGCTGACAATTTATGATTATGGTACAGGATGACCGTCTAGTGACTTTGGCAGTGGAACGGCTAGAGTTTGGGAAAATCTAGCTCTTTGGGGCTAAAGATTTCAAAATGTACATTTAAATTACCAAACAGATACTCATTACTAAAACTCAATGCCTGAAACCATCTTTGAATCCATTCTGTTTTCTACCCCTTTCCCAGAAACACTTCGTTTTATTACATTTAGAAAGTGGTGAATTTAGCCCAGGCACAGTGGCTCATGTCTGTAATCCCAGCAATTTTAGAGGTTGAGGTGGGTGGATTGCCTGAGCCCTGGAGTGCAAGACCAGCCTGGGGAATATAGTCAAACCTCATCTCTACAAAAACTACAAAAATTAGCTGGACGTGGTGGTGCATGCCTGTGGTTCTCGCCACTAGGGAGGCTGAGGTGGGAGGATTGCTTAAGCCTGGGAGGCAGAGGTTGCTGTGAGCCGAGATTGTGCCACTGCACTCCAGCTTGGGCTACAAAATGAGACCCTGTTTCACAAAAAAAAAAAAAAAGTGAAGAATTCAAAGACAGCTGAATAACACCTTTCAATATTTTATCGAGGTTAATAAAATTGATTGGTTCTTAATTAGTTGTTTATTGTTCTTCTAATTCTAGCAACAAAACTTTAAAAAATTATACTCTCTGAATTTTAATAAAGAGCTCTTCAGTCTATCAACACCCTTAAGTCTGTCAACTTCACCATGTTTTGTGCCTCATATTGCATTTCTTGTTGGACCAGCCATATTAGGAGTTGGGGTGGACTCTGTTCATGGACTGAGTTTCCCAGAATAGCCTTATATTTGGTGATAATGTCTCTGGCTGAGCCTCATTCTCTTAAATTAATTTCATCACACAGGCTTGCAAAATAAGGCTTCTTGTGAAAGTCTTGGTTGCAGTGTCTTTTCTAGCCAGTTTCACCAATGACCTGGTGTGCAAATTTGTCCACTGTAAGAGTATCAAAGACATATTGAGAGGAGGTGATCATTATTACACGACCTGGGCAGGTGGCTGTCCTCTAATATTGGCAAGGCAAAACAGAACAACTGACCCAACAGCACAGATTTGAAAGACTGTTTGAGGACCTACGATGCTTGCTCTTGCTCTCTTTATTTATGTATTTATTTATTTGTTTGTTTATTTATTGAGACAGAGTCCAACTCTCTTGCCCAGGCTGGAGTGCAGTGGTGGGATCTCAACTCACTGCAACCTCCACCTCCCAGGTTCAAGCGATAGCCTCAGCCTCCCGAGTAGCTGGAACTACAGGCCTGCACCACCACACTTGGCTAATTTTTGTATTTTTAGTAGAAACGGGATTTCACCGTGTTGGCCAGACTGGTGTTCAACTCCTGACCTCAGGTAATCTGCCTGCCTCTGCCTCCCAAAGTGCTGGGGTTACAGGCATGAACCACTGTGCCCAGCTCGATGCTCATAATTTTAGAAAGGTGCCTGGTTTATATTTCTTATAAATGTGTCACTGAATAAAGGTTAGCCCACGTGATATGATTTTTTCTTTCATTCTCTACTGCCACACTGCTATTTGTGGCAAGATCTAAGGAGTTTCTTCCAGGCTGTCACCGTCTGAAAAAAAAAATGTGAGTATCATATTTCCCAGCCTCCCATAGGGAGTTTTAATTATTATTATTATTGTTATTATTATTGTTTGCTCTTTTCTCTTCATCATCCTACTCCTCCTCATTTTTCTAAAGGAAGTAAAGGAACAGGCTTGGCCCAATAATTTTGAAGTATAAATAATCAGTATGTTCCATAGTCAGAATGGTAATAATGATTCCGTTAACTCAGTTTATTTAGTGCTTGTGTGCATGGTGAATGTAATGTTCTTGTTATCGACTGTGTTATCTTCACTCTCCCCTTTCATCCTGAAGATGTCTCAGGGAATTTCTCCTTCAACTTTTCCTACCCACCCTGCTTCACTCCCCCTCTCCCCAGCCCCATTTGCCACTGACTTGCTTAGCAGCACAAAATCAAGAAACATCTTTCATTCAGACCATTGCCAACACTGATAGTGTAGGTACCCAAAGGTCCAATGGCTTCCCAAACATTTAAGAGGCGTCTACAATGTGCAGGTTAGTGCAACCGGCTCTTTAAATGCACAAACCCACTTCACCCTGACAACAATCCTGAGCCATGAATATTTTTATTCGCATTTTTTAGAGGAAACCAGGGTCAATGCCTTCAAAGAACTTGTAGTTAGGCAAAGGAGACAGGCATGTGTGTATAACTATAAGTAAAATGCAAAGGCATCTGTGTACAGAGGGTCAGGAGTCATGCTGCAAAGTGAGTTTTTGGAAGGTTTGCGGAAAGAAGGGAAGCCTGGGCAGGCTTTTGAGGATGGGTGGGAATTTTTTCACACAGATGATTTATGGAAGGGTGTTTCAAGCAAAGAGGACAGCATGTGCAAAGGGAAAAGGAAATGGAATTCTGAGCCAAAGGTAAATATGCACAGCTAAATATAATTAGAGTGGTGTGCAGAGGGGAAGTTGGGTTATCTGAAATATATAAATCCAGTGGTCTAATCTTTGCACGCAAGTCTGGGTAATTTTAAGGAGAGTTTAAAAGACTCCATTTCGAAGGTGCACACCATAGCCATCTTTCAGCCAGTTGCTCCTTGTGTGCTAGACACCTGAACACATGTATTACTCCTGTTCCATCTCTCCCAGTTATTCCTTCTCTACCCATCTCCAATCTGTCCTTCATTCTAGCGTTCTCTGGTTTCTCCAGGCTGTTGAAACTAAGTACAGATGTGGCTCTTCCAAGCCTCCTTCATAGCCGTTGTCTTTAGGGATGAAGAAAATGAATAAGGAAAACTGTGGCTCTGAGCAGCTATTGCTTCATGTCGTGGTTGAAGCAGGAAGCGACTGAGCTTGCTATCGATTTTAACTCCTGATCTTGGGAATCCCAGAGCTTCTTTCTGTTTCTGGAGTGATGTTTTTCTTTGAAGCTAAGTTAAAAGGTAGTCATGGGGAGAGAGCCTAAAAACCTGTGAGTGGAAAAAAAAAAAAAAAAAAAAAACATCAAGCTGTGATACTGCAGAATTATCACAGATAGTGTAAAACTGTGTGGCCATGCCTTAAAAAAAGTTAAACATAAAATTACCACATTACCAAGCAATTCCACTTGGAAGTTTATTTGCAGTAACATTGAAAACAAGTACTCAAACAAAAATGTGTACAGAAATGTTCATCACAGCATTATCCACAATAGCTAAAAGGTGGAAACAACTCAACTGTCCATCACCAGGTGTGTGGATAAACTAAATGTGGTATATCCCTGTAGTAGAACGTTATTCAACAGTAAAAATAAGTGGAGTACTGATACATGCTACAATGTAGATGAGAGCATTATGCTAAGGGAAGGAACCAGACACAAAAGGTCACATGTTATTCCATTTCCGTGAAATATCCAGAATAGGAAAATTCACAGAGACAGAAAACAGAATGGGGGTTGCCAAGGGAGCAGGAATTGGGAGTGTAACTGAAAAATGATCATGTGTTTTCTCTTTTTTCCCCCGTTCCACTCAGCTCATACCTTGTGGTTTTCTTTCTTTCTTTTTTTTTTTTTTTTTTTTTTTTTGAGACGGAGTCTTGCTCTGTCGCCCAGGCTGGAATGCCGTGGAGCGATCTCGGCTCACTGCAAGCTCCACCTCCTGGGTTCACGCCATTCTCCTGCCTCAGCCTCCCAAGTAGCTGGGACTACAGGCACCCGCCACCACAGCTGGCTAATCTTTTGTATTTTTAGTAGAGACGGGGTTTCACCGTGTTAGCCAGGATGTTTTCAATCTCCTAACGTCGTGATCTGCCTGCCTTGGACTCCCAAAGTCCTGGGATTACAGGCGTAAGCCACCGCACATGGCCAATATACCCGGTGGTTTTCTTCTGGGGTGATGAAAATGTTTTGAAACTAGACAGAGGGTGGTAGTTGTGCAACATTGTGAATGTACTAAATGCTACTCATTTGTACACTTAAAAATAGTTAATTTTATGTTATATGAATTCCACCTCCATTGCAAAAGAGATAAAATCAAAAACAGGAAGACAGAGTGTTTTAGTTTGTTTTGTGTTTTTGTAACAGAATATCTAAGACTGGGTAACTTAAAAGCAATCAAAGTGTATTTGGCTCATGGGTTTGGAGGCTGGAAAGTCCAAGAGCATGACACTGCATATCACATGGGCTTTCCTGCTCCTCCATCACATGGTGGAAGGGCAAGAGGGAAGAATAGATGAACTCACTTTTATAACAATCCACTCACATGATAACTAACTCACTGCAGCAGTAATGACTTTATTCGTGAAAGTGGAGTTCTCGTAATCTAATCACCTCTTACTGGGCCTCACCTCCCAACACTGTTGCAATGGATATTAAATTTCTGACACATGGACTTTGGGGGACACATTGAAACCATAGCACACTATCAGAGGCAAAATATAGTGTTGGTTCCCAGGCAATGAGTTGGCTGCCTTGTTCACAGTTTGCTCAGTATGAACCATGCTTGCAGGAGAACCCCTGAAATCAACCCTTAGAGAAATGGTGTCCATCTGGGAAAGTAGAAAAGGAGACAGCTCCAAGCACCAGGACTGAGTTTCAGTTCCAAGGGACAAGGGAAGTAAGAATATCATCACCACAGGTCCGTCCTCCTCCCCAGAGGAAGAACACAGGCTGCAGAGGTGACAGCTCACAATGTTAGGGACTGTTGATGAGAAAATTGGAAATGGATGGATTTTTATGGCAATGCATTTTTAACTGCACTTCAGCATAGAGGGGGACATTTTAAGGAGCTAAGAGCTTAAACCAGACAAGATTTCCTTCAGTGTGATAATAAATACACCAAAGTGCCCTTTTATGTTTAATAATTCAGGATCCACTGAGTGTTTAAAGGGTTTTTTTTCTGTTTTATCATTTGAAAAATCGAATGGTAATCATTTAAAAAGTAGTAGGTGAGAAATGTTTTCCAAATAGGCCCTGAATCATGCACTTCAAAATGTCTTTGGAAATGAATGACTGAGTGTTTCAGGCAGCGTACGCCTGAAGGTTTGGAAGTTTTAACACAGCCAAACACCTGTCATTGCTGTGTATACTCATGTTCAGAGGAATGGTATCTACTTCCATACACAGAATCAGCCAATAATCTGATCAGGGCTGGGATGAAATTAGACAAAAAGGCTGGGCAGTGCAGTAGCTCACGCCTGTAATCCCAGCACTTTGGCAGGCTGAGGCAGACCAATCATTTGAGGTCAGGAGTTCAAGATCTGCCTTTGCCAACGTGGTGAAACCCCGTCTTTACTAAAATACAAAGATTAGCTGGGCATGGTGGCAGGCACCTTTAATCCCAGTTTGCTCAGGAGGCTGAGACCCAAGAATTGCTTGAACCCAGGAGGTGGAGGTTGTAGTGAGCTCAGATCTCATAACTATACTCCAGCCTGGGCAACAGAGCAAGACTCTATCTCAAAAAAACAAAACAAAACAACAACAACAACAACAACAAAGAAATTAGACAAAAGAACAAACAACGTGTTGGGGAACACTTTTGTAATCTCATTCTTGAATGTGCTCAGAATGTGGATAGTCACAATCATAGAGCCAGATTTCTGGGAAATTCTAGAGTGAAATCTAAAAGTCAGATACTAGTCATAATACATAATAGTGTCAGGGACATGAACACATAGCACCAACAAAACTGGTTTGAATTGTTCTGGGCTACAAATTGGGCCTCCACCTGGAATATAATGCAAAATCCTAGGAAGTAGTGACTTTTAGAAAGGAAACTCGACTGTCCTTGTAGATGGTAAGGATGATACTGTGGTTCTGAGATTTAAAGCAGGTAGGTTTTCCCAGGGAGTGGAGTGGAGAAGTGAATAACTTAATGGTGACACTAAGTTGGCCTGTCTTATGGAAGAGCCTGAATGTGACAGGAAGCACGCATGTGCATCGTTAAGTATCATCTTAGAAAATATAACCCACAACTGTGCTCTCTCCATATTCAGCAAATGTTTATTGCACCTCTATTTATGGTGTGCCTGTCAGACACTGCAGTAGGCACTAAGGATGATGTTGCAATATACCCCACAGACAACATCACTGCTTGCATGGAGCTCATATTTTCTGCTCGAGGAAAAACATTCAAGAAGGAGTTGTGACAGAAACTGCCAGCTGTCTACCCAGTATCCCTTTATGCCTTCTTTTAAAGGAATAGAGTGCTTGGAAATAGTTCACTTAGTCAGAGTCAGTATGCCCCAAATTAAAGGATAATAATGCTGTGTTCCTCGGCTTAGCAGAGAGGGATCCCCATTAAGATGGCAGTGAAAATTATTAGACATGCATCCTGGGAAAAGCCTCTAATAGGGACTAACTCATCGTGATGAAAACACCATAGGCCCTTTCATGCTTTCTCCGCGCTGTTGTATGACATTATGTGACTTTGAGGCAACTTCGTTGGTGGAATCTATGTTCTAAGGATAATGGAATAAAAAAGTGAATGAGGCAAGAAGGTTTAAGATGGAATATGTAGCCCTGAACTTCTTGTATGGGAGAGAAAAATTAATCTATATTTTGTTTAAGCCACCATTATTTGGGGACTCTCTAAATAGCAACCAAATTGAATTTTATGAGATCAGTGTGGGAATCACAAATATAAATTTATTTCTGAATGTAAAAATTGCTCTGCAGGCAACAAAGCTGGAAGATATGAGAGAGAGGAATTGGGGCAAGGGTTGGAGAGAAAGACCTCTCTGAGGTTAAAACAAAGTCTGGTATATGCACCTCTCAGGGAGAAACATCCCAAACCAAAGGAATGCCAGATACCAAAGTGAGCAACACAGCATAGCAGAGAAACAACGGAGAGCCAGGTAGTAGAAGAGGTGAAGTCACCAGCTGAGGTGAAGGAAACAGGAGAGATCAAGTCCTGTGTCTCCTATTGTGGGCTATGTTAAGAAGTGGGGATTCTATTCTGGCTGAGGCAGGAGGTCCTTAGTTTGATCTAGGCAAGAGAATGCCACGATCTGATTCTTTTTTTTTTTTTTCTTTTCTTTTTTTTGAGACAGTTTTGCTCTTGTCGCCCAGGCTGGAGTGCAATGGCACAATCTGGGCTCACTGCAACCTCTGCCCCACTGGGTTCAAACGATTTTCCTGCCTCAGCCTCCCAAGTGGCTGGGATTACAGGTGTCCAACACCACGCCTGGCTAATTTTTAGTATTTTTAGCAGAGATATGGTTTCACCTTGTTGGCTAGGCTGGTCTTGAATCCAGACCTCAGGTGGTCCACCCACCTCAGCCTCCCAAAGTACTGGGACTACAGGCAAGAGCCACCATGCCCGGCCGATCTGATTCTTATTTACAAAGCTTACCCAGGCTGGTAGAGAATGGGCACGGCAAGCGTGAAGTTAGGAAGCTCATTTGGGCAGTGACTGTAGACTGTAGATCAGAGGGAGTATTGATGGTGGGGTAGACTTAGATGGCAGAGGAGATGTACGAGGGATTTATTTCAGAGGTAACACTGGCAGAACTTGCAGAAGTTTGGGAAGCCAATTAACACCTAAGTAGCATGTGTTAGGAGGATATGCATAAATGTAGAATTTGCATTGACTTTGGAAGATCCTCCCATGGTCTTTCTCCTAGAGCCGCTTAACTGTCTCCAAAAATCAATATGGGTTACTCAACAACAACAACAACCACAGCAATATAAACAACTTGATTAAAATGGTTAAAGGACTTGAATAGACATTTCTTCAAAGAACATAAACAAATGGCCAATAAGCACATGAAAAAAGATGCTCAACATCATTAATCATTAGAGAAAAGACAAATAAAAATTACAATGAGATACCACCTCACACACATTAGGATGGCTGCAAATAAAAAAAAAAAAAAAAGAAGCACAGAAAACACGTGTTGATAAGGATGTGGAAAAATTGGACCCATTACGCCCTGTGGGTAGGAAGGTAAAATAGTACAGGTGCTGTGGAAGACAGCATGGAGATTCCCAAATAATTAAAAATAGAACTGCCAGATGATCCAACAATTCTTATTCTGGATATATATTTAAAAGAGGTGAATGTAGAGCAGGGGTCCCCAGTCCCTGGGTCATGTAGTGGTACCGGTGTATGGCCTGTTAGGAATTGGGCTGCAGTGGATGAGCAAGCAAAGCTTCTTCTGTATTTACAGCCACTCCTCATTGCTTGCATCAGCACCTGAGCTCGACCTCCTGTCAGAGCAGCCACGGCATTAGGTTCTCACAGCAGCACAAACTCTTTTGTGAACTCTGCATGTGAGGGATCTAGGTTGTGCACTTCTTATGAGAATCTAATGCCTGATGATCTGAAGTGGGACAGTTTCATCCTGAAACCATCCCCTGCAACAGCCCCCCACCCTGGCCATTAGTTTATCTTCCACAAAACTGGTCCCTGGTGCCAAAAAGGTTGGGGTCTGCTGAAGTACAGCCTCAAAGAAATGTTCTTTTTTTTTGAGACCGAGTCTCACTGTCACCCTGGCTGGAGTGCCAGGCTAATTTTGTTTTTATATTTTTAGTAGAGATGGGATTTCACCGTGTGAGCCAGGATGGTCTGGATCTCCTGACCTCGTGATCCGCCTGCCTCGGCCTCCCAAAGTGCTGGGATTACAGGCGTGAGCCACTGCACCCAGCCAAAGAAATGTTTTTACACTCATATTCATAACAGCTAAAATATGGGACTAATACAAGTGTTTATCAATGATGAACAGATAAGCAAAATGTGATACTCACACACGCACAATGGAATATTATTCAACCTTAGAAGGGAAGAAAATTCTGACGCATGCTTCACAAATGAGCCCTGAGGACATTATTCTAAGTAAAATAAGCCAGTCACAAAAACACACGCACTGTATAATTCCACTCACATGAAGTTTGTAGTGAAAAGCAGAGAGTCAAGGAGAATGGTGGTGGCTGGTGGAGAGGAAGGTAGGGGAAAGGACAGTTATTGTTTAATGGGTACACAGTTTCAGTATTACAAGACAAAAAGAGTTCTGGAGGTTATGGTGGTGATGGTTGCATAACAATATAAATATACTTAATGCTACTGAATTGTATGCTTAAAATGGTTAAGATAGTAACTTTTATGTTGTATTTGTGTTACCACTGTGAGGAATTGGAAAATTATAGAGGTGGGCCGTGCCCAGGATTGCAGTGAGTTTTCAGCTGGCACAGCTTTGTCCATGCTTCTCACAGCTCAGATAGGGTCCCTCTATGTGTGAGCCCTAGTCCACATTTTGGTTAATACATGGTCTCTTCCATTTCTCTGTTTCCCTTTGCAAATATCTGCTTGGTTAGTGACTCTTTCTCGAAATCTCCTCATAACCCACCAAGCAAAGGCAATCTTGTGCCTTCCCAGCAAGTGATTGTCTTACCGGCCACGGATTTAACCAGAAATCTAAGTTTGTCCAGAGAGCCAGTCCTCAGAAGGGGCTGAAGTCAGAACTAGTCAAGAAGGACAGGTGCACATTTACATATGATTTGCATCTGCTTTACATAGGGCTGTACAAGCTGTGCTGTGTTCTCAAACATCACTTACGTTATATTTTAAGACTGTCGCAATCTTTAACTAACATTTCGATCTGCAGCCAGGGTGCCCCTGACTTCTCCAGATTTCCATATTTAAACTGGCTACAACTCTAATCCATGGGAGGTGGGAAATCCACGGCACCCACAGGGTATCTGCAGATACCTGCCAGAAGGCTTTACTTTCTCAGAGTAACCATTCATTCCAATGATCCATTCTCAATGAACCATCTCATCCTACCTCTCATCTCTTGCCTCTATCTCAGGCCCACCCTAAACTTGCAGCATCACTCAAGGCCATTGTGTGTATCCCATTTTAATCTGAGGGAGGACAGGATTGCAAACACTTTAATATTAGCATTCCCATATTTATAAGTTCCTGGTCAGGTGTAATGGCATATACCTGAAATCCCAGTACTTTGAGAGGCTGAAGTGGGAGGATCACTTGAGCCCAGGAGTTTGAGACCAGCCTAAGCAACATAGTAAGACATTGTCTCTATAAAAATTATAATAGTAAATTAGCCAGGCATGGTGATATGCACCTGTAGTCCCAGTTACGCAGGAAGCTGAGGATGGAGAATCACTTGAGCCTGGGAGGTCAAGGCTGTAGTGAGCTATGATCGTGCCATTGGACTTCAGCCTGGGCAACAGAACAAGACTGTGTCTTAAGAAAATAAAAATGAAAAAGTTCCTCACTGTTCTAAGACATCAGGGATTATTCACTGGCATTTTTCCTTGTATTTTTAGAGCGAGGCTTCCTTCATCTCCTTTTCTCCCCCTCTCCCCAATCCTTTCTCTTTTCCTTCTTTTCTCCCTTAATGCAAACTGATTGGTAACTCCTCATTTTCCCCTCCGCACAGTTTCTGGCATTCGCCATTCTACTCCTTGGTTTTCTGTTCTTGACTGTTTTGGATATATTCATCTTTCTATGTCTCTTGCACTGTCTGGGACTATGCACTTCAACTTGAAATTCCTTGTCTTTTTTGTCCCAAAGAATATTGTGACTTTCTCTTTATCCTACACTCTCTTTTCCATGTGTAACAAGGGGAGGTGGGAGTATGATGCCACTCCTCTATGAGATAGAGGTAGAAGTTACATGTGGAATATTTACTTCCCCTTTTATCTGATTTTCTCCTCCCACCTCCCTTCACTGATAGTAAGATAGAGGCTGAGAGACCAAGAAAAATAGTGAGAGAGATGAGGCTTGCTCGATGAATATTTTGGAAAACTCCAGTTGAGTGAAAATGTATGGAAATGGGCGGGGCGTGGCGGCTCACACCTGTAATCCCAGTGCTTAGGGAGGCTGAGGCAGGCAGATCACTTGATGTCAGGAGTTCAAGACCAGTCTGGCCAACATGGTGAAACCTCATTTCTACTAAAAATACAAAAATTAGCTGGGTGTGGTGGTGCTCTCCTGTAATCCCAGCTACTCGGGAGGCTAAGGCAGGAGAATGGCTTGAACCCAGGAGGTGGAGGTTGAAGTGAGATCATGCCATTGCACTCCAGCCTGGGTGATAGAGTGAGACTCTGTCTCAGGAAAAAAAAAAAAAGAAAAAGAAAAAAAAGAAAACTTACGGAAATAAACATGAACCTTTCAGTAGAATGTTCCTATCCACCCTGTTTTCACTTCTACAATCTGTGTTTACAAAATACGATACATTTTAGAAACCAAAATTCCATGCCTTCTTGGTCATTAATAACATTGACGTAAACTTGGTCCACCATCTGCAGTCTTTGGTGATGGGCAGAAAGAAAACGAAGTCCCTGAGTCTTTGAAAAGGGCAAAAGTGAGTGCAGGGACTGCAGTGATTATCTGTATGAGGTGAATTGAAACCTTACCACTGAGAGAACTGTGTGTAGTAATTACTGAGGAGCCAATTGTGCTCTGCTTAACGCATCCAAAGCAAGGCAGCTATTAGTGGTGTCCCCACTTCGGTGTTTATGCTAGAATACAGGAGGACAGCCTGGTTTTCTCATACGATTTGATCTACGACATGATGAGCCTATGGCCGATGTTGTGTTCTGAACACAGGTGTGGCTTGCCCACCCAGAGGCGAGTAGGATGTTTAGTTTTACTTAGACTGACACTAGGAACTCAGTAAAATGTTAAGCAGGTTTAGGGAAGTGCTTACCTGATAGTCTAATTTAGAAACATAATCTTGTACACACAGTAATATTTATTATTGGAGTAAGTCAGTAGAAACAGACTCATAACCTTTCTAGGGAGACCCAGTAGGTAAAGTGGATTTACCAGACAGTAACATCTTAGTCTTTTGTGTTTGTATGGCAAGTATCTAAGTTAATAATGGGAAGTAGGTGAAAGTTTTCAGGTTGTGTACCATGCAATTGGTTTGACTTTGCCTTGCCAAGTAAGCCTAACATACCCCTTATAAATACACTACATGCATTTTTAGCAATTAGAATATTTACTTACTGAAATATATATATACATATATGTATTATATTTCCTTATTAATATATATAATATGCGTGTGTGCATATATATATGCACACACACACACATATATTTTAGAAAGACACTTGCAAGCTCTCAAAAATGAGTTGCTGCAATACCATTCCCTCTGCCAATCATATGGGTTAAGGCTGATTTTATTGCCAGTCATATCGTACTCAAGTTGAAGTGCTAAGAATGCTGTCTTATCCCTCAGCTAGATTAGTTTTAAAAGGTGATCCTGAAGTCCTGACAAGCACAGAGTGAGGATTTACGAAGTGACAAACAGATGCCGACGACATTTACTGTGAGATTTCTCATAGCTGAATTCCCAGTCCTGGCCAAGGAGAAATATGCAACAGGGGAGAGTGAAAGGGGCATTTTAAGTTGGGATTTATAAACAATCAATTCTCTTCTTATCAGAAAAAAAAAATGGAGAGGCTGGAGAAACCGTCTTAACTTGAAACAGTAGTTTATTGCTTCTTACAGCATGGTCTGTTTCTGTTCTGTGTGGTAGTCCCACTTACAGTGCACAGAGCTTCATGGCCTTTTGCAGCCAATTTAGCCCCTTGCAGCTCAGTGCAATGCCATGCTTCATCCTGGCAACTTCAAGGGCTTTATGGAAATACCCTACAGATGTGTAGGTGCTTTTGTACAGTTGGTAACTGAGGCTTCAAATCACCCCATCCATCTTCATGGCATTTCTTAGCTGATCAGCAAGAGGTGTACGCTGTATTTTCTTTTATAGCATCTTCATTACCTTTGTGTCTTCCGTAGCTGCTCATTTTTATGTATATGGCATCATTGGCCGGGCGTTATGGGGGTTCCTCTGGTCACGTTCCGGCCCTTCATTCTGCTAGCTTCAGGTTGGTGAGTCATGCATGTTTCTGACCAGATGGAACATGATTTTTCTTATTTCTCCACTGTCCCTTCCAAGAATCTTTATTTCTCTCTCCGTTAGGTTCACATGAATGGTAGAGAGAGGAACTCAACAGCACAAAATAGTCAAAACATAACATTTTATTAAAACCACATCCAGTGCAACCCCCGGACTGGCCCCTAGCACAGTGCCTGCTACATAATAGATGATCCAGTGAATATTGACAGAATGAAGACGTGATTGGATTAACGACTGATCTTGCCACAAAAAATAATGACATGGAAACTATGACAGCAAAACAGTGCTCCTTGCTGAGAACAGTCTCTGCAACCTAAAGAAGGATGGAGCGGAAGAAATGTTTTATCTTTGTTTAAAAGAATGCAACAACTGTGGAGCTACCTAGGGTTCTCTGTAAGGCAGTTGCCTCCAACACAGCCAGGGTTAATTTGCCTGTTGCACCCAGTTCATGTAGCTTCTCCTAGAATGTGCAGCAATAGAACGAGCAGGCCACCATCTATCACCAGAGAATATCTTACCTTTATTCAGGAGAGAGAGCTAAGGAGAAGATAAATGGTGACAGTGAGAGTTGAACTCCACAGGGTGCATCCTCTCCTTCCTCTCAATCTTAGTCCTGGGGAAGCTTCTCAGTTACCTTTATTGTGAGCCTCCTGTAAGTGGGGTTTCTTTTTTCCATCACTCACTGAAACCGGCGCATGGTATCTTCTCTGGAAAACTAGGACTTTAGGCAACATCAATCCTGCAACAGGGAAGCAAGAGCAACTTTGGTGGTTACAGGAAAAGCTGGAGATGGCTGTTTATGTATCCCTGGAGTTTGGTTTTTGGAGGCAGGTATCTTACTTGGGCTGAGGTATGAAACTGTAGCCAATTATGTCACCATCTATAATCGGCCAGATTGTCCCTCCACCAATTCATATGTTGAAATCCTGGCTCCCTTTGCCTCACAATGTGACTGTATTTGGAGACAGTTTGTCTTAGTTCACTTGTGTTTCAGTAAGGGAGTAGCTAACGCTGGGGAATTTATAAAGAAAAGAGGGGTGTTTTGGCTTATGGTTCTGCAGGCTGTGTAAGAAGCAGGCACCAGCATCTGCTTCCGGTGAGGACTTCATGCTGCTTCCACTCGTGGCAGAAAGAGAAAGGGAGCTGGTATGTGCAGAGATACATAGTGGGAGGGGAAGCAAGAGATAGTGGGGAGGAGCCAGGCTCTTTTTCACAACCTGTTCTCTGCTGGGTGCAGTGGCTCATACCTGTAACCCCAGCAATTTGGGAGGCTGTGGTGGGAAGTTTGCTTCAGGGTAAGAGTTTCAGAGCAACCTGGGCAACATAGCAAGACCGTATCTCAACAAAAAATTAAAAAGATTAGCTGGGCATGATGGCATATACCTGTAGTCCCAACTAATAGAGAGGCTGAAGCAAGAAGATTATTTGAGTCCAGGTATTTGAGGCTACAGTGAGCTGTGATTGCAGCACTTGCAATCCAGCCTGGGTGAAGAGTGAGATTCTGTGTCTGTAAGCAAACAGATAAACAGACAAAAAGCCCACCAGTTCTCCTAAGGACTAAGAGAGCAAGAATTCACTCACCCTCTATTCCCTTCCTGGCGGGCATTAATCTATTCATGAGGGACCCATCTACTCTTCACTTCATCTTCCCTCTATGCATGTCTGTGTCCAAAATTTCCTTTTCAGCTGGGCACAGTGGCTTATGCCCATAATCCCAGCACTTTGGGAGGCCGAGGTGGTCAGATCACCTGAGGTCAGGAGTTCAAGAGCAGCCTGGCCAACGTGGTGAAACTCTGTCTCTACCAAAAATACAAAATAATAATAATAATAATAATAATAATAATAATAATAATAATAATTGCAGGGTGTGGCAGTGCATGCATGTAATGCCAGCTACTTGGGAGACTGAGGCAGGAGAATCACTTGAACCCAAGAGGCAGAGGTTGCAGTGAGCTGATATCGTGCCATTGCATTCCAGCGTAGGCGACAAGAGCGAAACTCTGTTTCAAATAAATAAATAAATAACAAGATCTCCTTTTCTTATAAGGACACCAGTTAGATTAGATTAGAGCCCACCCTAGTGACCTCATTTTAACTTACTTACCTTTTTAAAAGCCCCTGCTATCATTTGGATAATAACCTCAAGGCCTTTGCACTTGCAGTTGGCTCCTGCCAGCTTATTACATGGCTGGCTCTTGCCCTTCCTTCTGCTCTCAGTGCAAACATTACCTCCTCAAAGAGGCCAACCCTCACCTTCTCATCAAAAATGGCTCCTCTTACCCATTGTAACCACTCTATTAAATTTTTCCTTTTTGAGCACTTAAGTCGCATTTAAAAAAATTTTTAATCCGTATTTGGTTTGCTGGTTCCCTATATGCCTCCCTTCACTGAGTGTAACCTTTGTGGGGGCAGGAGTCTTGTCTGAGTCATCATTGCCCAGGGGCGTTCTGTTGTGTTCAGCCAAATGTTGAATGAATGGATGATGCAATAGATGAATGAGACAAGAGTCTCTCCAGGGAAGCTGAAGTGGCACACACACTCTCAAGGTCTTGAAAATGCCTGACCCCTAGTGCAGGGGTTCCATGATGCACCATAGAGTTGATGGTAGGCAGGCAAAATGAAAGCTTTTAAGCCCCATTGATTCACCTGTGCTTATTAAACTGCCTTGCCTCTAAAAATGATCATTCTCCAGTGAAAACCAGGGATAGCGACGCTCAGTGCAGATTTCCCAAAGGAAGAAAATCCAATGAAGTGCATCTTTGCAGTGTGTGCATTGCTTGTCAACCTGCCCTGCAATTGTGTGTATTCAATAAGGGTGATAATGATGATGACAATGATTTTATCAGTCAAGATCCCACACAAGAAACACAACCAATAGGATACTTCTATAGGTTAAGAGATTTATTGCAAGGGAGTACTTATAGGATTGCGAGGCTGACTAAGCAATTCAGAAATCCATGGGCCAGGCCATCAGGAAGAGTATGTTGGCAACTCTTGGGCAGGAGCTGACAGCGTGGACCACACTGTGGTCCTCAAGGATCACATGGACCACGGTGTGGTCCTTCCTCACAGTTTTGCTCTTAAGGCCTTTTTCCAATTGCACTACACTCACCAAGATTTCTTAAGACAATCTACTTTACTTAAAGACAATCAATGTTAGGTGTTATTCATATCTATAAAATGCCTTCACAGCAATACCTAAATTAACATTTTATGGAATAAACGGATACTGTATTCTAACCAGGTTGACACTTAAGACTGACCGTCATACTGATGCTAATGTTGATGATGATGACAACTGCTACTCTGTATTTTGCTCTTAGTAGGTGTCAGGCATGCTGTTAAAGTTCTTACATGTGTTTTCTAATTTACAACATTGTTGCTCCAATTATCATTCTCATAGTATCAATAAGGGGGTTCAGGGAGGTTAAATGACATGTCCAAGGTCACACAGGGCTGAAAAGTACATCTGTGTGTGAGCAAGTCTAGAGATCCAATGTACAGTATGATGACTCTAAGAAATAATAATGTATTGAATACTGGTAATTTGCCAAAAGGGTAGATTCTAGGTACTCTCACTATAAAAGAAAAAAAAATTTCAAGAATATAAAAATAGAAAGGAGGGAAGAAAGGAAACTAATTTTATGAGATGATGAGTGTGTTAAATTGCTTGACTACATAATCACTTCACTCTGTATGTGGAAGTCAAGATAAGTATGTCAAAGTATTATGTTGTATACCTTAGATACATACACTTAAAAAAAAAAAAAAAAGGACTCTGGGCCGGGTGCTGTGGCTCACACCTGTAATCCCAGCACTTTGGGAGGCCGAGGTGGGGGGATCATGAGGTCAGGAGATCAAGACTGTCCTGGCTAACACAGTTAAACCCCGTCTCTACTAAAAACACAAAGAAATTAGCCAGGTGTGGTGGTGGGCCCCTGTAGTCCCAGCTTCTCGGGAGGCTGAGGCAGGAGAATGGTGTGAACCTGGGAGGCGGAGCTTGCAGTGAGCCGAGATTGCACCACTGCGCCCCAGCCTGGGCGACAGAGTGAGACTGCCTCTCAAAAAAAAAAAAAAAAAAAAATTGGACTCTGGTTTCTAAATTTAAACGTTTATCCAGTGGGCTGGTAGCTGTCATAGGGATAGAAATTCTAGGCTCTAGGACTCTATCACTAGTAAATACAGGGAATTAAAAACTCCAAGGAGTATTTTTCATGTAAAGCAAACAAACAAAAAAGGCCTTGAGTCTTAAAAGAGAGAGAAAGAGTTGTTGAAATCTAGAGGCACACCTAGTAAGCAAGGGTAATGTATTGCATTTCCAGGAGAAAATGAACAAGAATGTAAGTTACACTGATTCCTGCCCTGGGGTAA
Source organism: Homo sapiens (assembly GCF_000001405.40). NCBI lineage: Eukaryota > Metazoa > Chordata > Mammalia > Primates > Hominidae > Homo > Homo sapiens. Next base: position 7,211,700 of record NC_000016.10, read on the forward strand.
TGGGTGGGTTTCCTTTTCAGCTCTCGTGCCAGGTGGGCATTCGCCTGAACTAGGAGGACTCGGGGGGATTCAAGCCCCCTGTCTCTAGGTTGCTATGAGCTTTCACATCTTCCTCTGGTTTATCCCCCGCCCTTAGCACGAGGTGGTTGCAGCGTTTCCTAATATAAATGCAAGCAAAATAAAATTAGAAATGTGCTGGTCGGGGGAAGCCAGCTACCCACAGGCGCCGTAAATTGCCTTTTCCTCTCACCCCTACTCCCTCCTACCCACCCCTTCTCACTCCCATCAAGCCACCCCAAATAACCTGCCTTGCCTGGCTGAGTCACGGTTTCTGGAAAAGTGGGGCCAAGAAGGTTCCTAACAAGTCACTGGAGTGATGATTAGTGGATGATCAGCGGTCAAAAGAGAATCATGCATGGAAGGAAGGTGGATAGGATTCATTGGCATGAGTGGCAGATCCGGGAGGACTGCTTGGGGCAGACTGTTTGAGTGACATAGGTCTTTTAGGGTCAAGGGAGAGAAACCAGAGAATGAGGGAAGCACAAGCTACTAAATTTTGCCATCACAGCAGCTGCCTTTGTGTACAGTCCCTTTGCCTCTGCTGTTCCAATATTGGGATGGTTCCCTACCCTCAGGAAAGTATTCGCTTGCCTGTAGCCGCGTTGACCCTAGCGCTTGATGACTGAGGAACACTTGTGTTATTAGCAACCCCTCTTTCCCACTATTTTAAATGAATAGGCATACTTGTATCCATGCAGATGCTGCTTTAGAGTTTAGGGAATTACAAAATCAGGTACACCCTAGAGTGGGGTTTCTCAACAGCACCAGAATAATGGGATCAGTCCTGGGCACGAACATTTTTCCAAGCAGAGTAGTCTCACATCCCTTGAAGGCTGAGAACTCTCATATAAAGGCATTCCACAAGTTGTTTTAGAAAAAAAACGAGAAAATAGCCTCAATATTTGAGGAGTGTAGTTATTAGGAATAACTTACGCTACATGAGGACAAATACCTAAAGCATGTGGGCCTTAAAACCTAGATGACAGGTTGATAGGTGCAGCAAACCACCATGGCACATGTATACCTATGTAACAAACCTGCATGTTCTGCACATGTATCCCAGAACTTAGAGTAAAATCAAAAAATAAAAAGAATAACTTAGGCTACAATGATGATGTCGGTGCTGGTGTTGATGAAGGCAATAGTGGTTACATGTAACCTAGTATCTAGCTCTTACCGTGCCACTCATATTTTGAGAATAATTCTATGGAACACTTGACTTGATCCTTCCAGTCATCTTGTAAGGCAAATATGATTGTGCCTACCCTTGCTTTTATAGATGAGCAGAAGTAAATGAAAGCCAGAGATTGGAATAGGTTGCCAAGACTTTACTGCTAATAGGGGTTGAGAATGGAGGGACATAGGTTATCCAGACCCTGAAGCCCGAACTCCCTAACCACCTCAAAACACTGTCAGGATCAGGAGAAATGCAGATTACACGGAACAATATCTGGGGCAGAAAAACAATGAGGCATCAGTTTTTCCCCCTTTATCAGTGGTTCCCCATTCTGGCTGCAACACATTCGCTGAGGTTGCCTTAAAAAATCACGTTGCATGGATCCAAGCCCAAACCAATTAAAGATAATTTTAGGAATACGGGACTCAGTGATCAGTATTTCTTTAAGTTCCCAGTGTAATAGGCAGCCAGAGTTGAGAACCATTGCCTGACATTAAAGATTCACAAAATGTGGTCCATGAATCAGACTTTAATAGATCTGTTCCAAGTTTTCATGAATGAGTATTTAGTAAAGATGTGGTGCATGGCTTTTCCTAATTCTCAAAGGGATCCTCTAATGCCAAAAAAAAAAACACAAACAAGGTGGGAAATCATTCCCTTGGAGTATGATGGGAGCTTACCGTGTGCCTGGAACTGAAGTGGATCTTGAGATGAGCTATCTCATTTAATAATCCTAACAGCCCTGATATTGTCCCATTTTATACTCAAGGGACCGAGGTTCCAGAAGGCTAGGGAATATGCTTGATATGTCATCATGAATAACGGATAGAGCCATAAACCAACTCAAATCTACTTAATGTCAAAGCCAGTTATTCTTAATAGACTTCTCTGATGGATGAGGGTTGAAAAAGTCCTGCCCAGCAATAGGGGGAACGACTCAAAGACAGCTAGAGGGCTTTGCCAGCCAGAGGGCATGCAGGAACTCTGAAGTGGTGGGTTGTTAAGAACTAAAATATTCCATTTGCACCGCAGAGCTCAGAATTAATTTCCACTGTCCTGATGGAGCAGGTGGGAAGGAATTTGACCTCTCCCCTTTGCCTAGAAACTGGTCCTTTCTGGAAGCTTCTGAGCTTGCTATGGAAAAAAAAAAAATTTTTCCACTTCTTTCCCCTGCTACCTTATTTTCTTGTTCTCTGACCATTTATCTCAAACAAGGAATTATTATCTTTCTAATGAAGCCACAGTAGACCCTTCATTTATCCTAGGATATGTCACCCCTACAATTTTCTGTGAAGTGTTTTTTTCTCAAAAGACTTCTGAAATTGAATTTCTTACGCATATGGGAGGAGAATGATCTTTATGATGACACGATGATCTTATCCAGCAAATATATTTCCCTGTAGATCCCTACTTTAGCAGATGGCATGATCGGGGTGCTCAAGCTAAACACTTCTTTGTCCTCCTTAATTCCTCTCTCATGGGCAGACTGCTCCCTTCCTATTCTAAATCACCGTGTCTTGCCATGCCTCTCCGATCCATCCACTGCCTCCATCTCCATCATCTCTCTGGTCCAAACCTCATCCGTCTCTCAGACAGGAAACCGCTGTGGTTTCTGCTTGGTCACCCCACTAGCTGTGCTCCTACCTCATCGTCTGCAGCCAGAGTAATAACTTTTAGTACAAATCTGATCATGTCTGAGCTACTTAAAACTCTTCTGTGGCTGCTCTGAGCCCTGCACATAAAATCCAGAACCCTTCACACAGGCTACCGTATACTGCGCGATCTTTCTTTTTGCTCTCCAGCCTAATTTTTCTCCATGGTTTCCTTCACTGTCTCAATCTCACCCCTGCAAAATGAAGTAGACACATGTTCCTCACATTTAATGTCTGCATATATGAGATTAGAAATGGGATAGTCTGGGTGTCTGTCTCACAGTGAAAGAGTTTTGTTTATTCTTTTTATTTTATTTTACTTTAAGTTCTCGGACACATGTACTGAATGTGCAGGTTTGTTACATAGGTGTCCACGTGCCATGGTGGTTTGCTGCACCTATCAACCCATCATCTAGGTTTTAAGCCCCACATGCATTAGCTATTTGTCCTAATGCTCTCCCTCTCCTTGTCTCCACCCCCCGCGGACAGGCCCTGGTGTGTGATGTTCGCCTCCCTACGTCCATGTGTTCTCATTGTTCAACTCCCACTTATGAGTGAGAACATGTGGTGTTTGGTTTTCTGTTCCTGTGTTAGTTTGCTGAGGATGATGGTTCAGCTTCATCCGTGTCTCCAAGTGTAAATTAGTTCAACCACTGTGGAAGAAAGTGTGGCAATTCCTGAAGGATCTAGAACCAGAAATACCATTTGACCCAGCCATCCCATTACTGGGTATATACTCAAAGTATTATAAATCATTCTTCTATAAAGACACCTGCACATGTATGTTTATTGCAGCAGTAATTACAATAGCAAAGACTTGGAACCAACCCAAATGTCCATCAATGATAGACTGGATAAGGAAAATGTAGCACATATACACCATGGAATTTTGTTTATTCTTTAAAGAGCTTTATGAGATACGATTTACACAGTGCAAAATTCACCCATTTTAAGTGTACAGTTCAATGTTTTGTAAGTACATTTACTGAGTTGTACAGCCATGACCACATTCTAAATTTACACCATCTTTATAACCCTCAAAAGATCCTCGGGCAGATTAGCATTTCTTCCCCCAGTTCCCCAATGCTAGGCCACCACTAATCTATTTTCTATCTCTAAGAATTGGCCTATTCTGGATTTTTTTTTTTTTTTTTGAGACGGAGTCTTGCTCTGTTGTCCAGGCGGGAGTGCAGTGGCGTGATCTCGGCTCACTGCAAGCTCTGCCTCTCGGGTTCACGCCATTCTCCTGCCTCAGCCTCCCGATTAGCTGGGACTACAGGCGTCTGCCACGGCACCCGGCTAATTTTTGTATTTTTAGTAGACATGGGGTTTCACCGTGTTAGCCAGGATGGTCTCGATTTCCTGACCTTGTGATCCGCACGCCTCGGCCTCCCAAAGTGCTGAGATTACAGGCGTGAGCCACCGCGCCCAGCCTGGATGTTTTATATCACTGGAATCATACAGTATTTGTTCTTTTGTATTTGCCTTCTTTCACTTAGCATAATGCTTACGGGGTTCATCCATGTTATAGATGCGTTGCCAGACAACATACTGTTGTGTGGATATACCATGTTGTATTTACCTCTTTACTAGTTGGTAGATAATTGGGTTGTTTCCACTTATTGGCTATTGTGAATCATGCCACTATCTGCATATTAGTTAAGAACATCGGAAAGTCCAGGTTCTCTCATTGACCATGAGCAGAAATCCAGCTAGTCTTTTGACTTGTCTAAGCCACTGTTTTTTTCTTCCGTAAAATGGGAATAATAATGGCATCTACCCTAGACCGGGCGCAGTGGCTCATGCCTGTAATCCCAGCACTTTGGGAGGCTGAGGGAGGAGGATTGCTTGAGACCGAAAGTTCTAGACCAGTCTGGGAGTCAGAGTGAGACCTTGTCGCTAAAAATTTTTAAATAGCGTCTACTTCATGGGTTATTGTAAAACTTAAATATAATGATAGGAGTAAAGGGTGTAGCACAGAATTGCTTGAACCTGGGAGGTAGAGGTTGCAGTGAGCCCAGATCGTACCGCTGTACTCCAGCCTGGGCAACAGAGTGAGACTCCGTCAAAATAAAATAAAAATTAAAAAACCCACAAACAAACCGAGACAATGAGTGTAGCACAGCACATAGAATGTAATTAGCACTCCAGAAGCCTGAGCTATTGTTATAATTCCTCTTTTCATTACAGAAAAATTCTTAGGGTAGCAGTTCCTGGTAGTTACTGTTTTTTCACAAATATGTATTTACTTTTTACCAAGTTCTAGTCATTTATTCATTCTTTTCAATCATCCTGTGTTGTAATCATTACTTTCCCATTTTATACCCAAGGAAACAAAGTCAGAGTATTCAGGAATGCACCCAGGGCACATTGGTAAGGAAAAGTACAGCAGGATTTTCCTTCCTTCCTCCCTCCCTCCCTTCCCTCCCTCCCTCCCTCCCTCCCTCCCTCCCTCCCTCCCTCCCTCTCTCTCCCTCTCCTTTCCCTCTCCTCCCCTGTTTCCCTTTCCTTCCCTTCCCTTTCCTTTCCTTTCTTTTTGACAGTCTTGCTCTGTCGCTCAGGGTGGAGTGCAGTGGCACAATCTCAGCTCACTGCAACCTCCGCCTTCCGGATTGAAGAGATTCTCCTCCCACAGCAGGAGTAGCTGGGACTACAGGTGCGTTCCACCACAGCTGGCTAATTATCTTTTTTTTTCTTATTCTTCTTTTTTTTTTTTTTTTTTAGTAGAGATGGAGTTTTGCCAAGTTGGCTAGGCTAGTGTTGAACTCCTGACCTTAGGTGATGTCCACCTTGGCCTCCCAAAGTGCTGGGATTACAGGCATGAACCACCACGTCCAGCCAGGAAAACTACAGCAGGATTTATGAGCGAAAGCAACCAGTGAATATTTGGAAGCTTTGTTCCTGGTGTTCGGGAGTCTGCTGTCCTCTGACCTCTTGACTTCCAACCCCTCGTCCATCACTCTTTATCTTATCCCTCAAAAAAGGCATGACAAAGGGTCATGAGAGGCCTGGTTCTGAGAATATAATCAATTACTTGGCTTGAAAAGGAAAAAAAAATGTCAGTGTTTATTTGTTTTTAATCATAGGGGGAAGGATTTTTTTGGTGAAGAGTCACCATTCAATTTCTTCTGAGAAAAAGCTTTATTTACATCAGTAAAGATTGCAAGGAGACATCAGAAAGAACATTTTTATAGTGAAGGTTTTGAGATCCTAGGGAGTTCATCTGAAAGACTTACAGCATTGTCACTACTCACTGCATGTGTGTGGGCATGTGTGTACACGCGTGTGTGCATGTGTGTGCATGCGTATGTGTGTGCATGTGTGTGTGTGAGTGTAGGTGTGTGCGTGCATGTGTGTGTGTGTGCACATGTGTACCTGTGTCTGCGTGTGTGCATGTGCATGTGTGCACGTGCATGTGTGTTTGTACGTGTGTGGGGTGTGTGCGCGCGTGTGCGTGCATTTGCATGCGTGTGCGTGTGTGTGTGTGCGTCTGTGTGTGTGTGTGTGTGCCCCTGAGTAGAGCTCCCTCTGCAGAAGTCAGGCTGAATCATCCCACCTTGCTGACTCTTTCTAACCCTATGATCCTTTGCCTGAGTAGGTGGGGAGTGAGTTTAAACCTTATGTCTTATTTTCCTTCATTAATTTGGCCAAATCATCTGAAAATCACTATTCTCTACCTCTCAAAGATGTAGATGGTGGTACTAATTTAAAAATTGCTATAATACTCTAAGCCATCATCAGTATATTGTTTTCTGGTTTTCACCTTCTTCAGTATGCTTCCTATGAGACAGAGTTAGAAGTGGAAAGAGGTGAAGATAGAGATGGTGAAAGAGGGTGAGAGATTTAAAGCCATATTCGATCCCAGTGAGAGAGCTCATACAGAAGAGGCATAGTTGAGAGAGAAAATAGCAAAACAGTAACTAGGTGTCACTCTTTTACCAGCATTCACAGTAATTGAGCTGAGAAAGAGGTAAAAAGTTTTTTTGAGTGATTTTGTTAACCAGAAGACGTGATTTGACTTAGGGTTTGTGGGGGTTTGCTGTGTGTGTGTGTGTGTGTGTGTGTGTGTGTGTGTGTGTGTGTGTGTGTGTGTCCTTTTGTTCCTAACTGGCTGTGAGACTTTGGTAAGTCATCTTAAAGTGTTTTTTTTTTTTAAAGTAGTTTTCAGCAGAGATTGCCTTTTATTTTTTCTCTTCTACTGCACGATGCAATCAGGAACCTGTCTAGAAGTATCAGAAGTTGCTGCTACATTTTGGTGGACTTGCACCTGACTCACCCCTCCAGCCTCGATGCATCGCATGCAGTTAGCATGTTCAGCACAATCTTCTCTCTTGGGTTTGGGCAGGCATATGGTCTGTGCCTAGCAGAGCTGATATTGCTGGTTCCAAAAAACTGCCTGTTACATGCTGGTGGTCACAAGAGAAGAAGAGGTGAGAAGGGCTCGGAGCCAGACAAAGCACGCCTTTGTAAATGAATGTGGAGTTGGCCACCAGCAGTCTTCATTATCCCCGTCATTGCAGGCAGCTGAGCTGGCTTTGTGTCAGCCCTGCTCGGAGTAGCCTTGTTAATTCACCCCCATGAAAATGGAAGTTTCATACACATTGACATAATTAATGAAGAGGCAGGCAGCATGCTCTACCAATTAACACCACAGGGAAAAGTAAAATGGGCTTTCTTTTGGCATATTGTGCCAAAGTTAAGGACTGTAAGACACAGCAAATAAATAGAGATGCTTTTAATGAGCTGCAAGATCGAGCTGAATAAGTCAGAAAGGAGTGTTGGGTAAACACTGCCAACTCTTTGCACCGTTAAGAGTAATTGATGAGCATAGTTGAAAGTTTGGGGGGAAAGAGAACCGTCGGCTGCTCCAACCGTGTTCATTTATAAATGCATCTTTCCCTGAAAGCTACTGTTAGGTGTGTTTAAGGGTGTAATGTGCAAGAGGAAACAAATATGACAGACTTGCTATTTTGTAGTGCCCAGAAAATATGAGGCATAGCTGTTGTAGAAAGAACAAGCGTGGCGGATTTTTCACACTTGATGGGATTGTTTTTGTCAAACTCGGAGTAAAACTGGCTCCTCTGCCGTATAGATCCCTGCTCTGAGTACACCCTGGAAACAGGAAGCAGGGAATCTTTAAGAGTGGTATTGGAATGACTCCATTCCTTTTAGAAAAGCCAGACGGATAATTTAATTTTTGTTCTCTATGTTTGTGATATGAAAGCATGACCTTCCACCAAAGGATTTCCCATTGTTTCTGAGAGTGAGTGTATTTATATAAAGAAGTTTTCTAACCAAAGAGAAATCTGTTGGATCAAAAAATAGAATGATCAGTAGGGTTTAGTAGCTATTTAGGAAATTTTCTGAATTCAAACCAATTGAATCTGAGTTCAGTTGGTTTTTGTTAATGTGGTGTATCTTGTTCGATTAAGCCTTCATTTTAAAATTAAAGGTGTCTTAAATGGAGTTGCATTGTTTGACCTTAGAGAGATCAATTGTGTGTATCAGACCAAACAAAATTCACCATATTCAACAATTGTCCTAGCACCCATCTCCCCTCCCCACTCCCGACAACCATCATGACAAAAGTGCAGGAGGAAAATTCTTGACATTAGCAGACAGCATGCTCTGAAGCAAGTAAGAGAAGGATAATTCAATATAGTACTCGTCAGTGGGCGTCTGGTCCTGCCCATTTTTCCTGGCTCTGACATTTCATCATGCTGAGTGAGATTCCATTTCTAAACTTGGTGTCATTCATGCAACATGGCCCCAAGTATAGGACAACTACTTAATCTGTTGTTGCTCAAAGAAGGTGCAATGCATTACAATGCTAGAGAGAAAAGTGTTCATAGGAACCTAAAGAGACAGTGTGTTGACACCAACATGGGACCTCCCTAAGCAAGTTGCTGAGATTTGATTATGTGTGATTTCTGCCTTATGTGCCCACTTTGGATGTAACCCTGATGTCAGGTGTGGCTCTTGGAAACGACACTATTTTCTGTTGTGCAGGTATCATTGCTGCATCTTCCTCTGGTTGAGGACTTGTTACCTGGACTTTTGAATTATCTTCTTTGTACATGGGGGGATGGCAGTATTTCTCTGATTGTGATCTGTGAACTTGCCACAGGATCATCTTGGATCCTGGCTGAGTGTGGAATTTCCAGGCCCACATCTGACCTATCAGGGCTGGCCGTACAATCAGCATTTTAAATAGGCATCTTGGTATTTCCATGGGATTCTCTTGATCTCTATCCACCCTTAACATCCCATCCTACTTTCTGCTTGTTAAGACTCAGGATACTTCTGGGACTGCTCTATGGAATGGGTTCTTAGGAATTCTAAATGCATTTGCATTTCAAAGACTGATGAGAAAGGGACACCTGTCCAGGTAAGACAAGTCATCGGTTTCCAACTCCAGCAATAAGAACTTAGTTTATCAGATGTACTGTCTAACTAGTAGAGGTGTGTTCGCTGTCTTCATTAAAATGAAGCCAGGTTGATGTGACTAAATTTTGATTTGATTTGCTGCGTTTTATGTGGTGGCTTATACTTGAATGTCTCTATAATATCTCCCTGTGTATTTTAGAGAGTGTGAATTAAAACAGCTGCCTTGTACATTGTAAGTGTTCAAAAATAGTTTGTAAAGTGTTAGAATAAGGGCTTCATAGCCACAAGGAGGGTCTCAGAAGGTGATTTGGCTAGATTATAAAACACAAATATTAACTTTTGACTTGTTTATTCTTTATTTTTATTTGATTATTTATTTATTTATTTATTTTTTTATTTATTTATTTATGAGACAGAGTTTTGCTCTGTCGTCCAGGATAGAGTGCAGTGGCCCAATCTTGGCTCACTGCAACCTCTCCCTCCCAGGTTCAGGCGATTCTCCTGCCTCAGCTTCCAGAGTAGCTGGGATTACAGGTGCGTGCCATCACACCTAGCTAATTTTTGTATTTTTAGTAGAGAAGGGGTCGCACCATGTTGGCCAGGGTAGTCTTGAACTCCTGACCTCAGGTGATCCACCAACCTTGGCCTCCCAAAGTACTGGGATTACAGGCGTGAGCCACTGCACCTGCCGTTGACTTATTTATTTGTAAATTATCCTGTTCTCCACATATATACTTTTAAAAAGCACTTCAAAATTTCAGTGTGGTTATTCAATGGCCATCAAAGTTTGTTATTCTACCAGAATGGTCTTATCTTTTACAAGCGAGATCTAAGAAAGCACATACAGAGGCCTGAAAAGTTGATTTCCCTCCTTGGAGGAGTTCCTGATTTAACTTCATAAATCCACAAGAGCTGACATCTCTTCATGTCCAACCACAAAATGGGTAGAAAATGATGAAATGCAGAAGAGGCTTCTAAGTCTTGGTCTGCTTCTGTGATAGAACAGGAGAGAGGCAGCATTTTATTTTTACCATTATTAGCCAGCCTGTCAGTCACTTAAAATTTTTCCGTGAAGACACAAAGCTAAGTTTTGAATACTCTGTGTCACTGCTTCCAGCTGATATTATAAAAGGCAGTGGTGAGGATTTCAGCTAAAAAAAGATTCGTTGTTTCAAAAGCCCAGCCTGAAGTAAGACAGTGCCATAGACACGACCACACCAGAGGGCAGGTGGTTCACAAAGGGCCTTGCATTCTTCTTTGCTCTTGTTTACTTTACATGAGGGCAAGGAGTCTCAGAAGCGTAAGATATAATACTACACTAGACAGGCAAGCAGACCTAATGTGCAAAGTCTCATGTTGGCTATATAGGTAGTTTATATGTCAGTTCCAATTATGAATACATTCCTCAGCAACTAGAGTTTTCTCATTCATTCTTACTGAACTGTTAGGGCATGTGGCAGCCCAGAGCTCTGTCAAAATGAATTGTCCCCCTTGAAAAGTTGGCAATGCAAGGAAGTGACAACCTAATGCATGTTAGCACTCTTGATAACAGGACCCAGAGGAGACGGCGAAGCAACAATTGGATATGTGTCTGGGCACTGGCTGTTGTTCCTGCCTGGGTTCAAATCTCCTCTCTGCCGCTTATGATCTGTGTGCATTTACAAGTTTGTTAGCCCCCTTACCTCTTTGTTCCTTATAAGGTTGTCGTGCAAATTACATGAAATGATGTTACAGGTGTAAGCCAATGCCTGACACACATATGTATTCTACAGTAATCATTATCAAAGTGGTAAGCAGGAACCAGTGCCATTTCACAACTATCAGGTACTCTTCTGGGTACTCATCATGAAAGACTGCAGTGTTCCATTTACAGGCATTGGTTGGTGGTTTACTAAAGAGTGTGTTTTTGTCCAAGAAGTTCACTCACTACATTTTGCTCAACCAGTCCTCTCATTTGCAGCGATTTTTTTTTCTTTGAGCGTCCCTTGTTGTGCAGCATAAACATCTGGGCTGCATGGTCAGACCCATGAGGCTTCTCTTCCATCTGGCCACCTGTTATATAATTAAGCCTGATTGCAGATGCGATTCTCATTTAGCTGTCAGCAGCAGCCTGGGAGACTAGCAACTGAGGTGAATAAAGGTAGCTCACCACATCTACAAGGGTAGAAGGGCTGAAGCGAAGGGTTGACCAGCCAGGACAACAAAGGTTATTGCTTATGGCAGTGTCAGCCTAAGAGCTCAAGTTCAAGATCAGAAGCATGAGAGGGTAAGACCTCTAGGGGAGTCTGCATAGGTCCAGGTGAAACCCTGGGTGTCTCTTGATTGTCAGAGCATGTAAATGATTTTTCCGTGAGGATAGAATTTGACAGTCAGTGCTAGAAAGGGCTTCAGAGTTTGGTAAGTCTCTTTGGTGGACTGCATGGATAGATGTGAAAAGATAAACCAAATCAAAATGTATATTCCATTGAATCATGACAAATTCGCATTGGTAATGCGAATGATAGAATATTATAGGTTATGCTTAAGTGCTTTACCTGTGGAAGTTACTTATCAGAACTCCAAATTTTCAGGGGCATTTGCACAGCCAGTAATTGTGCAGGAGATCCAACTCACATCCACCTCAGCTTAACTGCCTCTTGATGCTTTCAAGCATTATGCTATTTATTTCAGTGTCTTATGTTTCAGAACTAAAGAAATGTTGAATTAAATTCCCCACTATATGCCGTCAGTGTTTCAGAAAAAAAAAAAAAAAAAAAGAAAAAGAAATGAGCAAGGCAGGTGGATTTCTGGCAAAGTTTTGTTTTCATTTCTGTCTGATAGAAATGGGAGCACTTCCTAAACCAAAAGAGCATTTTTTTTTTGGTAGAAATAGCCATTTATTAAAAACCATAAATCTGTTATGGCTGGTTGGTGAGCATACCTTACAGTTTAATTGTACCAAGTTGAAAGTGGACACATACCAGGATAGGCACACCTCATTGTTCCACATGTGGCTTCAGTGCTTTAATGTGAATTATAAGTACATAAGTAAAGTACATATTATTTATGCATATGTTGTATTTATGACCTTTGGGATGCATCAGAGGTTGCTTAGGCTCGTTGTTCTGGGTCTTTCAGGATCTAGATTTTCTATCCTGATTCTTCCTTTTTCTAAAAAAAAAAAAAAAAAAAAAAAAAAAAAGGCTCAGTTGAGGAACTCACTCAGCTCACTCAGTGCAATACTATAATGGGAAGAGTTCCATGATGCTGCCATTCCAGTTATAAAATGGCTTCTTTTAGTCATCGTACAAGCCAGCAGTTATGGACAGTGTTTCTCTAAATGTTAGTAATAAAGTGTAGCAGGTTTCATATCAGTATACTAATTCTACCAAAAGCCATTTTCAGTCCCATTGACATTTGAATTCTGCCCATGCAAATTAGTGGAACTTGCCATCACCCTTGGCCTATAATGCCCCATACCAAGCATCACCAGCCCAGTGCTTCTCAGTCTTGGCTGCAAATGATCGAGCTATAAAAATACTGCTACCTGGGACCTGCCCCTCAGTGCCTCTGATTTAACTAGTAAAATCAGAGGGAGGTTTGAGCATCAGGATTTCTAAACTTTCAGATTTTCAGTTGGGCGTGTAGTGGGGTGGGTTAGGGGGAGGTAATGTCTCCAAATGGAAATGTCTTTTTGGTTAAAATAAAGTAGAAAGACCAAATAAGTGATATTTGGGGAGAGCAATGAATATTCTAAAACCAATCAATGGGAATTGTCATTTTATGGTTCTCCTGAATGTGAGTGTCCAAAGTCCTCGTTATTCAAAGTGTGGTCCAAAGACCAGCCTCACTTGGTAACTGTTAGAAATGCAGACTGTTATGTTCCAGACACACCTACTGGATCAGAATGTGCACTTTACCACGACTTCCAGGTGATTTCATGTACTTTGAGTTAGAGAAGCACTGTCCTAGTCACAGTGATGAGGAGGGTGATAAGAGTGGCAGAATTCACTTTATTGAGCCTCTGCTATGTGTCAAGCACTATGCTAAGACATTTTTGTGACATACTTCTCCTTAAGTTGTTGCCGGAGTTAAATAAAGTGATATGTTTAAAACACTAAGTGTAGTATCCAATATCAGGTGTTCCAAAAAGGGCTTATCATCATCATCATCACGGTCATTGTCATTATCTTAAATCCATGGTCACCCTAGGACAGGAAGCATGAATCTAGTTTGTAAGTGCACGTGATCTCCTTTCCATGGGTGATATGGGTTGGCTGTGTCCCCACCCAAATCTCATCTTGAATTGTAGCTCCCATAATTCCTACGTGTTGTGGGAGGGACTTGATGGGAGATAGCCGAATCATGGGGGCTGTTTTCCCCATACTGTCCTCATGGTAGTAAGTTTCATGAGATCTGATGGTTTTGTAAGGGGTTTCCCTCTACGGTTGGTTCTCATTCTCTCTTGTCTGCCACCACATCAGATGCACCTTTCACCTTCCACCATGATTGTGAGGCCTCCCCAGCCACGTATAACTGTAAGTCCATTAAATCTATTTTTCTTTATAAATTACCAGTCTCAAGTATGTCTTTATTGCATCATGAAAGTAGACTAATACAGTGGGCCATGTGAGATGATGAGATTGTGACCTTACATTCAAAGATAACTAAGCTGTGGTGGCAATGGATGATTTGTTCTCCTGAAATCTTTAGGTGGCACGGGACAGAAATCCAAATAGAATTGGCGTTTGTCAAAAGTAGAATATATTGTACTTTAAAAATGTGAATGTCAGACATTTGGGGGTGGGGGGAGGGGGGAGGGATAGCATTAGGAGATATACCTAATGTAAATGACGAGTTAATGGGTGCAGCACACCAACATGGCATATGTATACATATGTAACAAACCTGCATATTGTGCACATGTACCCTAGAACTTAAAGTATAATAAATATATATATATATAAATGTGAATGTCATGTTTCTGAGATGGGTGTCAGGAATAGCTGAATCAAGGTGACCAAATGGCGATGCTCTAAGGAATGGGCCTTGCTGAATCTGTACACTCTGCTTTTCTTGGCGTCCACTTTATTTCATGTCATATTCTCTCCAAATAGTGGCAAGATGCTCACCCTCAACTCAGGACTGAGATCCTATCACTTTGTCTTGACCAGGAGAAAAAGAGCACCTCCTTTACAATCATGAAAGGTAACATCCCAGGGATAACTCTCAGGTACCCTGTGCACATCCCTGAGCCAGTTACTCAAGTCAGAAGCATGGATATTCTGATCAGGCAGGTTGGCTTCAAGGATGAATCAGGCCTCTCATGAACTACAAGCTACGGAGTTCTCTGAAACTGGAGAAGAGGTTCTTCTTCAAAGAAGTGCAGTGTGTAATGCCCACCTGAAGAGGGAAGGAATTTCCAGCAGGTGTAAGGGACTAATGTCCACTACAGGCCCTCAGTTAAAAGAGTTGGGTAGAAAGAGGTGGGGTGTGTGTATGTGCAGCCTGCATTGACTCTCCACTTGATGCTGTGTACATTCTGAGGGCAAAACCCTGAATTTTCCTTGGGTCTGCCGTAACAAATTCTCTCAATGGTGCCTCCATAGGGAGAAAGGGGCCAACATCTGGGGGTTCTTTCCTGGAACAGTGTTAAGTGCTTTCAGAGTTAACAAGTTTTATATTCAAACAACTCCATAAGATGAGTCTTTCAGACTTAATTTCTAAAACCGCAAAAAGTACTGTAGAGGAGTTCAGAGATACGTCTAAAGTCACAGTTAATCAAGAGGACTGGTAGGATTCCCAGCTCACTTCAAATTCATACTCCTGTATATTCCTCTTTATAAATAAGTCAGTGAGCAAATTATCTCATTAAAATGTAAGTCAGAGATTGCCAACTTCAGGCTCACAGGCAAATGGACTTTATAACTTGCAGATACAGTGGGGGTATTTTCATCTGTGTGTCTATATGTATGGATGTATTTACAAAATAACATTTTATGTAAGAATATGAATTTCTGGCTTGTCTTCATCTCTCCAGGATAAAAAATGGCTAAAGTTGAGTTGTGGTTGTCCTCTCCGGCATTGCACACTTTCTTCATTTCCCCCAGCATTCTTACCTGGCCAGTTTCTGTCATTTATAGAACCTGTTTGGTCCTGGAGATATTTGAGTTTGAAAATCCTGGAGTAATAGTACCCCATTATGTCACTCATGTACATGGTAGCCTATGCAATGTGTCATTCCATTCTTCTTTAACTGTTGCAAAACATGCCATGTGCTCTATCTGTATATCTCTCTCTGTTCTCACTGTCACATACCACACACACCCCACCCCACCCCCACACACACACACAGCAAGGGAGGAATTTGCGTTTGCTTTGCTCTTTTCTTTCCCTGCCCCCTCTCACTTAGCTCACTGCATAATCCTCCTCTCGTAACCTTCAACTCCACAATGCAGGAATTTTGCATGCTCTGTCCCCAACCGTATTAATAAAGCACTTAAAAGTATGCGATTTTATTCAGGGTTATTTATCTAACTGTCTCTACTGAAGTGGTACTTCTGCAGCTCTTCAGACGCAGTGGTTTCCCTGGGGGCAGCTTTCGGAGTCCGAAAGCATTGACTGAAATGCAAAGCCCGGATGCCAGCTGCACGCGCAAGCATTCCAAGCCCAGTCATTGTAGCCACTGGAGATGGGGGTGGGGGATTTGAGTGGATGGGTCCTTCCAGCGGGCATTTGGGTCATTTGGCCCGTCGCCCTGCCTGCAGGCTGGCCTGCACGCAGCACCTGGCCTAGGCACCCTGGAATCTCTCCCTTCCTGTGGCAGACACAGGAAACTCCTACCTCATCACGGCAGCTGCATGTGTGGGTAAGCCCACGGTGATGATGACTTCTGTACTGGCTGTTTTTACTCCTTGCTTTAATGATATTAGCTCACGTGGTTATCCTTTCCCTTCTAGCAGGATTTTTCCACAGCCAGACAATTCTTTGCGGTGAGGAGGCCACCCTGTGCTCTGTAGGATGTTTAGCAGTATCTCTGGCCTCAATCCACAGGATACCAGTAGCACCCACCCACCAGGTTGTGATGACCCGACTTTCTCCTGATACTGCCTGATATCCTCTGTGGGTGAATTTTCCTGGTTAAGAATCACTATCTTACAGGAAGGTGGCAAAGATGAGAGTATCAGACTGTAAGTTCCGCGAGAGCAGGCATTGTGTCTGGTTTGGTCGTGGTTGTGTGCCAACAGATAGTAGATTTTCAATACATATTTGTTGAATGAATGAATGAATGAATGAACTTCCGACTGATCAGAGCTGAGGACTATATTCATCCTCAAGGTAATATAATGATTATTATTCACATATTAGGAGGAAAATCAAGGGTTCCTTTTTATCTTCTCCTACTACCCCCCGCTGTCATTATCAAGTGAGTTCAACTAAGATTTGCTTAATGAAAACCTAAATCATTATGGCTCTCTTAATCAGAGTACCTACTATGTGGCTATTCTAAATAGGTGTTCTCATTGAACTTGGTTTTCTCAGTGATTCATAAAGATGGTTAATAGCAATGAAATTTTACAGATTGGGAAACTGAAAACCAGAGAAGTGAAGGAATTTGTCCATGGCCACACAGCCGTAAGGGAGTAGAGACCTGATTCAAATCTTGGGCTAGAAGGATTCTCAGAATCTTCTTTTCTCTTTGCACCTGATTGGCTGTGCCTCTCGCTTTATTCAGTCAAAGCTCAATTCAGGACGACGTGAAAGAACATTAATTCCAAGGTGAAATGTGCAAGAGGTTAAGTGAATTTGACCAAGTTTCCCATTATAATTTATTTTGGGGGAAAATGGATTAAAAACATAATCTCTCGGTTCTAACTTCACGTTCACTTGAAAATGAAAAGTGAGTGTTTTACAGATCCACAGCTTCACGTTATCTGTTGCATTTTGAGAGAGAAGAAGATGGATGCATTGGGGTAGAGAGTATAATAATATTACAAGGCTTTATATGGAAGGTCAAGTGAGGGGAAGATGAGCTGGAAGGATGGGGAATAGCAGGCTAAGAAAGAACAATGCATAACAGATGTATCTAAACTGTTTTTAAAAATGGTTAATAGACTCAAGGAGAAATATAAAGAAGGGAGCACTCTGAAAGGTCAGAACAAGTAGTCAAGTAAGAAGCAAAGTAATTTAAACATAAAAAGGAAAATCCGCAGATATTTCTTTCATGCTTCAGAAAGCGTCGGCCTTAAACATTGCAGTGTCCCAGTGATGCATTGCAATCTTCTGCAAGACACTGAAGTATTTTATGAAGGCATACTTTTTCCTCCTAAGTTGAGGAGACCCTGAGATGGCCCAAATTTCCTTTAAAAATGAAATGAAACTGCTCGGCTTTCCTTACATTAACCTTAAAGATAATGAAGTTTTGGTCCTTGCCCTATAAAGGATAGACAGAAAGGGCCTAGTCACATCTTCCTGTCATCTATGTAGATGATGTCCTTATTCAGAAGTCATTATATGAGAATATGAGTGTTATGGGAAGGCAGGAAGGAAGGAAGGGAAAGGAAAGGAGAGGAGAGGGAGGAAGGGAAGGAGAGAGAGAGGAAGGAAGGGAGGGAGGGGAAGGAGAAAGGGAGAGAGAGGAAGGAAGGAAGGAAGGAGAAGAAAGATGGAGGGAGGGAAGGGAAGGAAGGGAGAGAGAGGGAGGAAGGGCAAAGGAAGTAAGGGAGAGAGACGAAGGAAGAGGGGAAGGAAGGAAGGGAGAGAGAGGAAGCAAGGGAGGGAGGGGGAAGAAGGAAGGGAGAGAGAGGGAGGAAGGGAGAGAGAGGAAGGAAGGGAGAGAGAGGGAGGAAGGGAGAGAGAGGAAGGAAGGGAGAGAGAGGGAGGAAGGGAGAGAGAGGGAGGAAGGGAGAGAGAGGAAGGAAGGGAGAGAGAGGGAGGAAGGGAGAGAGAGGGAGGAAGGGAGAGAGAGGGAGGAAGGGAGAGAGAGGGAGGAAGGGAGAGAGAGGGAGGAAGGGAGAGAGAGGGAGGAAGGGAGAGAGAGGGAGGAAGGGAGAGAGAGGGAGGAAGAGGGGAAGGAAGGAAGGGAGAGAGAGGAAGGAAAGGAGAGAGAGGAAGGAAGGGAGGGAGGGGAAGGAAAGGGGAGGGAAAGAAGGAAGGGAGAGATGGAAAGGAGGGAAGGAAGGCCTCCTCATCCTTTTTTTCTGCGTTCGTTTACTCATTTCACTTTTTTTTTTAATTGGACATCTGTATATGTCAGTCACTGTGGAAGACATTTGGGAAATGATGACTAGTAAAAACCCAAACAAAATAAACAAACAGAAAGTACCTGCCGTCGTTGTCTAGTGGACAAGGCAAAACATCAATAATTCAATAATTACTCCGTGTGTTGGGGCAGGGTCTGTTTTCTTGCAGTCATGCCTCAGTTTTGGCTTAACATATCAGCTTCCATAGTTAACTTATTCATCTGCCTGCCTCTAAATCCCACAGATTTTGAGATGTAGATCAGCTTTGTCCTCTCAAGGGTTTCACATTCAGGAAAGGGCTGACCCATCAGGCATGATGAAGCACTGCTTGACAGATTCAGCCTCCCCAGTCAATGAAGGAAAGGAAAGGAAAGCAAGGTTCGTTTCATTTCCCAATCACGTGATGGCATTGGGCACTACCACTAGCTTCTGATGCATTCATTCTGGAACTTGTTTGTGAAAATCAGTTGAGATACTAAATATAGAAGGGGAGAGCCACTTGGAGTTGAAAGTGACCTTTAAGGCCACTTCTGTCAACTTAGCACCAAATGCATGAATTTACACAACTGAATTTCTGCTCTTCGGACATAAACTTTCCCCATTCTTTTTTGGTCAGTTTGTTTTTACCCTGCAGAGCTGATACTGCAGAGGGCAGCTCATTTTATTCCTGGACTATAGTTCCTCATTTTGTAGAAATCAACTTTGTCTTCCCAAGGTTACTGGTGTTAATTTTACCTTCTGATGTTAGGTAACCAGTCACTGGTTTCCGAAGCTGGGTCTGAGTCCCAGAATTCACATTGATCAGCCATGGTACCTGAACAAGCACCTCTAGCCCCCTGAGCATCAGGGATCTTTCCATTAAGTGGAGAGTATCCTCCAGAATCTACCTCTCCAGAATTCAGGGTAAGATAAGTATGGTTGTTTGGATCAGATAGGTTTTGTCTCCATGGTAGACAAGAGACCACTATAGCTTAAAACTCCCATTCTGCCAACAGAACAACCGAAAGAGCTAGAATACGCTTGTTTATGTGTTTGTTTTCTGGTAGCTGGGCAAAGAAATAAGGGAGGGCTTGGCTGGTTTGTCTTGTACCATGTGTTTATCCTTAAACCAATCAGAATGAATCAGGAATCGACTACTATCGTTCACGTGACTAAACTGGAGTATTAGAGAATCAGCAGGGTTCATGATGAGGGAGTATAGCTGTGTTCACTGCAACACAGCTCCTAAGAGCAAACAGTTTAATCAGCTCATTTATCATCCTAACCAAACTTTTAAAAGGCAGTTCCTCGGGAAGTTAAGCATAGAATTACCATATGACCCAGCAAACCCATTCCCAGTTAGATGCCTAAAGGAAAGAATTGTAAACAGATTCACTTGAATCCACATACACAAATGCTTATAACATCACCATTCATTACAGCCAAAAAGCAAAGACAACCCAAATGCCTATCAATAAATTTATCAATAAATAAATGGATGAACAAAATGTGGTCTATCCATACAATGAAATATCATTGAGCCATAAAAAGGAAGGAGCTACTGTTACATGCTACAACGTGGATGGACCTCAAAAACACTGTGGTAAGTAAAAGAACCCAGAATCAAAAGACCACAGATTATGTGATTTCCTTCACCTGAAATATCTGGAGTAGGTAAATCCACACCAACAGAAAGCAGATTGGTGGTTGCTACAGGCTAGGAGGAAGGGGTTGGGGAATAACCATTAAATAGGTACAGATTTTGTTTCGGAATGGAATGATGACGTATTTTGGAACTAGATAGGGGTGGTGGTTGCATAACATTTGTGAATGAACAAAATGCCACTGAATTGTTTCCTTTTTTTTTTGAGACAGAGTCTCGGTCTGTCACCCAGGCTAGATTGCAGTGGCACAATCGGCTCACTGCAAATTCCACCTCCTAGGTTCAAGCGATTCTCCTGCTTCAGCCTCCTGAGTAGCTGAGACTACAGGTACATACCACCAGGCCCAACTAATTTTTGTATTTTTATGAGAGACGGGGTTTCACCATGTTGGCCAGGCTGGTCATGAACTCCTGAAAACTGTTTACTTTAAATGGTTAACAACCACCACAACAAAAACCATGGAGACCAAGGGAGAAAACTTAAGTGAGATATATAACTTGCTTGAGCTATGTGTTCATTTTATAAAATGGGCAAAAGATGCCTATGTCTTTAGGTTATAACAAGCTTCAAACAAGTGAATATTTATAGGGGACCAGGTTCCTGGCAACTATTAGGTGCTCAATAAATAGCCTGCATGCAAATACCTCCCCACACACATATGCCCACTTGTACCCACGTAATTCTTATTTAATGGTGTTCTTTTAAAGAATGAGATAACAGGCCAGGCATAAGCGGCTCATGCCTGTAATCCCAGCGCTTTGGGAGGCCGAAGCGGGTGGATCACCTGAGGTTGGGAGTTCGAGAACAGCCTGACCAACATGGAGAAACCCTGTCTCTACTAAAAATGCAAAATTAGCTGGGTGTGGTGGTGCATGCCTGTAGTCCCAGCTACTGAGAAGGCTGAGGCAGGAGAATTGCTTGAACCTGGGAGGGGGAGGTTGCCGTGAGCTGAGATCACGCCATTGGTCATTACACTCCAGCCTGGACAACAAGAGTGAAACTTCATCTCTTAATTAAAAAAAAAAAAAAAAAGAATGAGGTAACAGAAACAAAGAACTTACCTAGCACATGATGTTAGCAAACCCTGTCAAATTTGTATTCCCATATTTCTCAAAACTTGTTCTTCTTTCCCTCTCCACACCGGTGATTGTTGTCACCCTGCTTTCCTGGACTGCTAAAATAGGCTACATTTCCCTTTTCAATCCCTTTTGCTTGCTCTTGATGTTCCCAACAGCGGCCAAAGAACCCATCTCACAATGTACATAGGATGCTTTCCCTTCCCAGTTAAAAACCCCACTGTACTTAGAGTTAATCCCAACCACCTTCATATAAAGCCCTGGAAGTCTGGCTCCTGCCAACCTTGCTAAACTCATCCTTTTTTTTTTTTTTTCCTGATTCTTATCCCATTGACTTTGACTGTTTCTAAGCTGGCTCTATCCCAAGTGAAAAGTCACCTCTTCAAAGACCTTTTCTATTTAAAAGAATTATCCCAGCTCTTCTATATTCTTTTCCATGACATGTTATTCACGTGCTTCCAAGTCCTGATCACCATTTGTAATTTTAAACATTGAGTTGCTTTTCCTTGCTCTTTCTCTTATTCATGAAGGCAGCTCTGCTGTTGAACACAATACATGGTAGACAGCAGGCCGTCGATCAGCACTTGTTAAATGAGATCAATGTGTGGAAATTATTATTAAAGTCCTGAAAATTTTACAAAGTCTATTTTGCTCTAATGTGTACATTGGTGGTATAGTCTGGGGAATACATGTATAGTTTGCATTGTGGACATCCGATTGTTTCCCTGGATGCTGCCCTTTCAACAAGAAATGCGACCTTAGCAAAAGATGGGGGCCCCATGAACTTCCAACTCGTCTTTTATTTATGGTATATGTGTCAGAGAAACATAACAACATTTGGGAATTTATTAAATGGCAGTTTTCTCTTCAAATTCTTGCTCTAGTTTATTGTGCCTAATGGAGTCTTACTAAGGGCAAAGCTAATTGACAACAAGGTTTATTTCTGCCGATCTTAGCCAAAAAGTCAATCACCACTCAACGAGAGCTACTCTGACTCTTTGGCCAATGGACAAATTTCCATCTTGACTGGCTTGACTGGTCCTGGGAGAATAGAAGTGAATGAGCTTAATTCTATTTTGATACTTTTCATTTTCAGCAAAACTGAGACAACATCAAGGAGTTACATTATCATGAGAAGAGAGGGGTTGCATGGAAATTATGTCACAAGAATGCTTGGTCAATTTTCATTGCATTCAGCTCTATTCACAAAGGCCTGTTTTGCTGGCAGACGCTTTTGTCAGATATGTGGCTCACGGCAGGCAATCAAGCTGTGGCATGTTGCAGAGGGACAGTGAGGGCTCACATGCTGGAGGCAGAGGTTACTCAGGCCAGGTAATGAATAACCCCACTGGAAGAGCAAAAGAGCTCATTTCTCAGTGGTTTATCTTCCAGTGGGTTGGTGTTGTGTATAATACAGTGAGTTGAGATGAGGAATCTATTTGGTTTTGGTTCCACCCCTTTGCCAGCAAAACCACAAAGTGGGAAAAGCTAACCTTTGGGAGGTAAAAGCTAACAGTGCAAGATGCCATCAATAAAATAAGCTCCCTCATCAGTGAAGAAGGGGGAACCAGGCTCAAAGTTTGTCTTCTACCAGGAATATAAGCATCGTGTCCTGGATAGTATGAAGCATTTAACCATGAAGTCTTCTGTTGCAAATGACATGTGTATACATATGTGTGTGTGTGTGTGTGTGTATATATATGTTTGTATGTGCTTGTGTATATGTGTGTGTTTGTGTGTATGTATATATGTATACATATTTTATATATATATGTATATATATATGTTATATATATAAGTTGCTTTCACCAAATCCTTGTAAATACCCTGTGCTGAACGGAGAAGTCAGAAATGGGTAATAGACTACATTCAAACTCATTTTCAATTTCCAAAAATATGCAAGGCACCCCATTTTTGGTACGTGGATGTTTTTTAGCATTTAATGGATAACAATTTTGTATGTCCCATAAGAATTATTCACAGACATCTCCCAATTCCATTTTCAGAGACTTACTGTAGACTTGCTTTTATGCCTGTAGCTTGGATCCAAGAAATTTATTTCTACCTCTGCAGTCCAAAAAACGGAATGTCTAACGATTTTTTGCAAGGCAAGTCGAAGTGCTATGGTGGAATTCTTCTTAGCAAGACAAGCTTCAGTGGAAGGAAGAATGTAAAACAGAAAAAGTTCTTTAAGAGGTATATAAATCTACACATCGGTAGTAGTCACACTAATAATAAACATTCATTTGGCATCATATATTTTTAAAGTGCTTTAAAATGTTGACATTCCTTAGAAAGGAGAGAATAGCTCTGGGATGAGGATTTTTATTTTACATTTCAGGGATGGGTTACACAGAAAGAAAGCCACTTGTTCATTATTGACTAAGTGTGGCAACCAGTGTGACCATTCCCTAGTGGTATTTTTGGCTCTTGGCTTAGAACAGGGTATGTATCCAGGAGGCAAGAGAATGAGTAAGTGACCTACTGTACTGAAAAGAACAGACAGAGATGTAGTCACAAACCAGTTTAGATGAGGGACCTTTGTTTGTAAGATGTAAACATCGTAAACAAGGAGATGCTGGTAGTTTTTGACATTTTATGGGCCCCCGTAGCTTCATCGCTTATGTACATTGAATGGATGTATGTTGTGATGGAAAGGCAGTGGCTGCGTTTGCCCTTTCAATTGATGGGCAGCCATATCTTGGGATGAATTAGCCTTTTGTGGGATGAATATGATGCCTCCCTCTGCCATGACATCAAGAATATCCTCTTTGAGGGTTGGAGAGAAGTTGTCTCTTTTTTCCTGCCTTGCAATTTATATATTAAGGGTTGACCAAAAATTGTTAAAAATGTTTAAAGCTAAGTAATATCCTGTGCTAGCCTGAACTAAAAAATAATGCCTTATTCTGACAATTCCAGTTTTTACAGTTGAAGGCTATTAATCAATGAAGCAGTGTGGATCCATATAAATATTGATCACTGTCTCCTTGCCCTCCTGTGAATGTTCTCTCTTAATGACAGCCAATTTCAATATTCATTAGAAAGGGTGCATTTTCTGGCTTGCACCATTGCTGATTAGTAACTAGAGAGATTTAACTAGACCATGGTCATTTTGTATAAATAGTTCCTCAGATCAAAAAGATCCTGGTTATTGTCTATCTGGACTTAGCTTACCTCTTCAACATTTCAGAAATTAGAGTGTTTTCTTGTTTGTGTCATATCCTGCTCACCTAAACATTGCTACTGTTAAGCATTAATCTTCTCATATTTAATATATAAAAATCAAAGTAAATATTCAAGAGTTATATTTAGATCTGTAAAGGGAAGCCCAAGTGCTTTGTATGAGGTGCGAACTAGGGTTAATAGGATGTATTTAACACCATATTGTTTCAGCTCAAGTTAGGGAGAGAAGGAGATCATGTATGCAAAAAGTAGAACATTTCTCCCCTTCCTATTTTGTCTAGAGGGGCGTACCCTCTTTTAAGGTATTGTCACATGCACAACATCTGGCCTTCAGTTCTCCTCTCCGCTGTCATGCAATCTG
This sequence comes from Homo sapiens, assembly GCF_000001405.40. Taxonomy (NCBI): domain Eukaryota; kingdom Metazoa; phylum Chordata; class Mammalia; order Primates; family Hominidae; genus Homo; species Homo sapiens. The sequence goes on from NC_000016.10 coordinate 7,236,460, forward strand.
GCAGAATCTCTTTCTGCTCCATGGTTCCTAAATGCATCCATCCCATTGCCATTAGGATTCTACTTTTGGCATTTTCCCCATCTGTTTTGGTAATTACTGTCAGATGAACTGATATCTCTAAGTTGAAAATGGCCACCTTTTAAGGTAGCACATTGTAGTCAACTTCCCAAATCATGAAGTCTATGTGGCTTTTAGTAGTTGTTTGCAGAAGTAATTTAGTAACTTTACTTTTTCTTTTTTTTTTAATTTCTAAGCCACTGCAAGCACGCACCAGCCTTCAGTGGCCTGAATTATTCAGCAGTCATTAAAAATGCAGTCAGTGATAAGGCAGACAGTCCTTGTGCCTGGGTTTGTCAACATATCTTGTCCTCAGCAAAGACTAGGTTCACTGGAAGCACGCAGGATTTAGTTCACCTTCTCTAGAATGGCTGTTGTTGGGAGGATTTCTAGCAACATTACTATAAATGATCTGCCTGCCTCTGTGTTGTGGTTTATAAACTCTGTGTAACTAGGATAAGCTGGCTTTGGAAGAGGCAAGCCGTTCTTTCACTAGAAGGGAGAGGTTATTGCATCACCCATCAGCAAGAGAGGAATTCAGGAGAGGTAGAGAGCTGTGTGGGGTTTGGGTGGCAGCCAGCTACTTTCCAAAACTTCCCAGGGGCTGCAATACAGCCGCCAACCCAAATGTCATTGGGATAGGCCAGCGTGCCAGATGCCATCACAGAAAATAACTTCCCTTGCCTGGCATCTGGGTTCTTGCCTTGTAATCCAGAAGACCACATGCTGGATCAGCTGGTCCCAGCGGGGACCATGAGCTCTTCCGTCCTCTCTCCCTCCCTGTCTGCTGAGCATTTGAATGAGTCATCAGAGTGCAGAATGGATTTTGGCCATGCCCTTAATTGAGTGTTCTGTACATACAATAATAATTAATAATAATTTGAACTGATCCTTCTATAGTTTTGTCTCTGGACCAGGCACTGCTCTAAAGGCTGCACAGATTGTAACTCATTTACATATGTAACACATATCTACATATCTCATTAGCCTGAAGCACAATAGAATGAGAAAAGTGAAAAGCAAAGTGCTTAGACTCTAGATTTGGACCAACTGGCTTCCTATGTCAACTCTGCCTCTTTCAGTATAGGTGACTTTAGAAAGTAAATTCTGCTTTCTCAAGCCAAGCGTCCATGCACAGACAAGGGAATAAACAAAACGTGGTGTATACTGGAATATTATTCAGCCTTAGAAATGAAGGAGATTCTGGCCGACTGTGTGGTGGCTCTAGCCTGCAATCCCAACACTTTGGGAGGGTGAGGCGGACAGATCACTTGAGGTCAGGGGTTTGAGACCAGCATGGCCAACGTGGTGAAAACTCAACTACTCAAAATAGAAAAATTAGCTGGACATGGTGGCACACACCTGTGAAGCCAGCTACTCAGGAGGCTGAAGCATGAGAATTGCTTGAACCCTGGAGATGGAGGTTACAGTGAGCCCACGTCGCGTCCCTGCACGCAAGCCTAGGCAAGAAAGCAAGACCCTGTCTCAAAAAAAGAAAAGAGATGCTGATACATGCTACAACATAGATGAACCTTGAGGACATTATTCTAAGTGAAATGAGCTTGTCACAAAAGAACAAATATTGCATGATTCCACTTATATGAGGTGCCCATAGTTGTCAAATTCACAAAGACAAAAAGTGGCATGGTCGTTACCAAGGGCTGGGAGAAAAGAGGAATGGTGAGTTAGTGTTTAATTGGTACAGAGTTTCAGTTTTGCAAGATGAAAAGAGTTCTGGAGATGAATGTTGGGAATGGCTGTGCAACACTGTGAATGTACTTAACACTACTCAACTGCAGACTTAAAATGGTAAAAAAAAAATAAATAAATAAAATAAAAATTAAAAGAAGAAGTAAATTCTGCTTTCTGCACATCTGCCAGCTGCCCTTGTCTAAGTTCCCAAAACAGATTCTGCTTTTTGCTTCCACAGAGCCTTTGCATGGTTGTTTCCCCTTCCTGCAATATTTACTTAGTACTTTTTCCTAGGTTACTCTCCTCATCTTTCCAACCTTGGGCTACACACGCACCTTTAGGAAAGCCTACTTCTGTGTTCTTCCCATCTTGTGTACGTTCCAAATTCTGAATCTCCAATAAAATGAATATGCATTTCTTTCTCTCTTTTTTTGTAACTTTTATTTTATCTTCAGGGGTACAAGTGCAGGCTTGTTACATAGGTAAACTTGTGTGTCATGGGGGTTTGTTGTGCAGATTATTTCATCACCCAGGTGTTAAACCTAGTACCCATTACTTGTTTCTCCCGATCCTGTCCCTCCCCTGACCTCCACCTGCCAAGAGACCCCAGTGTGTGTTGTTCCCCTCTATGTGTCCACGTGTTTTTATCATTTAGCTCCCACTTATACGTGAGAACATGCAGTGTTTGGTTTTATGTTCCTTTGTTAGTTTGCTGAGAATGAGAGCCTCCAGTTTCATCCATGTTCCTGCAAAGGACATGATCTTGTTCTTTTTTATGGCTGCATAGCACCCCACAGTATACATGTACCACACTTTCTTTATCCAGTCTATCATTGATGGGCATTTAGGTTGATTCCACATCCTTGCTATTGTGAATAGTGCTGCATTGAATATACACATGCATGTCTTTTTATTATCATTTTCTCCTTTGCCTTTCCTAAACCATGCAGTTTGATATATGATGAGGCTACTTCTACCATTGATGTAGGTACTGTGGGTGCCAGGATGCCCAGGAAAAGGTGGAATCAGCCAGTAATCCCAGCAATTTAGGAGGCCAAGGAGGGTAGATCATTTGAGGTCAGGAGTTTGAGACCAGCCTGGACAACATGGTGAAATCCCATGTCTACTAAAAGTACAAAAATTAGCCAGGCGTGGTGGTGCATGCCTGTAATCCCAGTTACTTGGGAGTCTAAGGCACCAGAATTGCTTAAACCTGGGAGCTGGAGGTTTCAGTGAGCCTAGATCGTGCCACTGCACTCCAGCCTGGGCAACAGAGCAAGACTGTCTAAAAAATAAATAAATAAATAAAAATTGGAATCGGCTGGGATGATACCTCAACAAGTGAAATTGTCCTGTCAAGACCATTTGCATGTGTGAAAGAATAAAAGAAAAACAGAAAACACTGAGCTTCTCTGAGGCTTTATTGCCCCCTGATAAGACCGTGAGAACTCATTTGTCTTATATTAGATGATTATTTTACTCTTCTGGGTCTTTGATCTAGGCAGTTAGCTGGTTAGAATTTGCTGATGTTGTATTCATGTTTCTTTGAATCAGCAGTAACTCACTTAGGGATGAAAATGGGGCATTTGGCTTATAAGAAGAAAACAAATATCATTTATATTCATTTTTCTACTTGAAACTACTACTTGAAAACTGGGCCCATAGAGTTCGTTGTGCTAAAAGGAACATTTCTCATTGGTAGTTAGTATTTCAATTGTAATCAAATTCCAAAACTTCCTACCTGTTGAAACTATAAGATGATGGTGACGATTATTTGAGACTGAGCCTAGCTCTGTCGCCCAGGCTGGAGTGCAATGCTGCAATGTCTGCTCACTAGAACATTTGTCTCCTGAGTTCAAGCGATTCTCCTGCCTCAGACTCTTGAGTAGCTGGGATTACGGGCACCCGCCACCACGCCTGGCTAATTTTTGTATTTTCAGTAGCGAAAGGGTTTCACCATGTTGGCCAAGCTGGTCTTGAACTCCTGACCTCAGGTGATCCTCCCGCCTCGGCCTCCCAAACTGCTGGGATTACAGGTATGAGCCGATGCATCCTGCCGAATCTATAAGATTTAAGGATAATAATAATGAATGTTTACGGAGCAGTGTTCATCAGGTAGTGTTCTAAGTACTTTACATATATTAATGATCTTCACTATGTTATACTTGTATATCACCATCTGTGATCATCTGAAGCCCTTACAGTTTAAGGGAAAATCTGCATTTGATACATATAGTGTGTGTTAAAGAAACATGTTAAAGATGAAGGAGGAGTATGTTATTTTATTGTATTGATTTCTGTTTCTAAATACTGGGGTTTTCGTGGTGTTTTTTGTTTGTTTGTTTGTTTTTGTTTGTTTGTTTTGAGACAGGGTCTCACTTTGTCACCCAGGCTGGAGTACAGTGGTATGATCACAGCTCACTGCAGCCTTGACCTTCTGGGCTCAAGTGATCCTCCCATCTCAGTCTCCTGAGTAGCTAGGACTAGAGGCATTCACCACCACACCTGGCTAATTTTTGTAGTTTTGTTTGTTTGTTTGTTTGTGGAGATGGGGTTTTGCCATGTTGCCCAGGCTGGTCTCAAACTCCTGGACTGAAGCGATCCACCTGCCTCAGCCTTCCAAAGTTCTAGGATTACAGGCGTGAGCCGCTGCACCTGGCAAAATATTGTTTTTTGAAACTCTTCTTGAAGTACTAATGTTGCTTTAGATCTTAAACAGCAGCACAAAAAGTTTCTAACTTTGTTGGAACATTCTACTTTTCCCCCACACCTTCCCAAACAATTCTCTTAATATACAACAATATCTGTTCTGGCTATCGTGAAAATTAAGCCACTGGATTTGGGTTGGAAAAGAAGGTTTATTTAGCGCAGTTTTTAGTATTTATATCAGATTGCCATTTCTGGCTTGAGACCCGAGGCAGAAGTATCCCCTGCATTTGGAAAATGAAAAATCCACTGGAGGATTGATTATTCATAACCCTGAAATGTATTGCCCCACCTCTACCATAAATCACACGGAGTTTTTATTCTCATTAGCTGAATTCTGGCATCTCAGTCTCGGCACTACTATTTATTCTAATTCTCTCAGCTTGAGTAATGGGTGTGGCCCAAGCAGGAAGCAGGTCACCTCCTGGCCCGTTGGACTATCTTGGAAAGAGCATGTGATTCCCTGTAGGATTAGGGGATTTGCAGTTCAATGGGCAAATTATGCATTCCAACGTCTAAGTGTGGTTGTTTAATTAAACCCTTTGGTTCATTCAAGATGACTAAAATGTTTCTTGAAACAGGACATCTTGAAAGTTATTAAAATTTCACAGCAAACACTTTTATGGCAGGAACTTTTATGAATTTTGTTTGGGTTGGGGCATTGCAAGAGGGTTACTTAAAATGTTTTATCTGGAATTTATAATAAAGAAAAAACATTTCTTCTTTATGTTGGTCATATTTTCAGTAAGAGTGCATTACAAAAAATCTACATCTGGATGACAAATGTGATACAAATGGACAAATATATATGCATATACACAAACACACACACATGCCCATTTTCTCATCCCCCCTTCTTTTTCTCTTTCAATCTGTCTATAAATGTAGATACTCACATATACATATATGTTTATACATATATTAAATATGTAAATATGTATATAAGTATATATGCATATAAATATACTTATATGTGATTTGTGTATACATAATTACATGAGTGCATATATACCTAAATATGTATATCTGCATATGCGTGTGTATATATTTAAGGGTTTTCAACTTTGGCCCTCTTGATACTTTGGATTGGTAATCCCTTTTTTTGTGCAGTGTCCCTGACCACTAGATGCTATTACCATAGGCACCTCAGTGATAACAATAATTGAAAAGTCACCAGGAATTTCCAAATTTTCCTTCTGTTGAGAACCCCTGCTTATTGCTTGGCACACATGCGCACAGAGAAACCCATATATGTGTAGGTCATGCACTTACTGTAAGAGACATGGAAACTACTGTCTCCTAGTTTATCCCCAAAGGACTGACAAGAGTGTTCACTGAAAATTCAGAGACAGGGTTGCATGTAAATGTCTGAATAAAACACATGGAAAAATAAATAATAGGCATGACATATCATCATTGGAAAGGAAGGTACCTTCTGATGCAGACAGGTTGTGCCACATGACAGCTGTGTGAGCTTGGGCAAGAAACTAGATCTCTCTGAGCTTTAGTTCTTTTATGTTTGAAATGGGCAACATCATGATTATTTTTCACCACTTGTTGAATTTATAGATACAGTGTACCTCCCCCTGCATCCTCATTACACATTGACTAAGGAAATGGAATGGTCTGGAACACGTGGCAACTTGGACATGGGGAGGTCTCTTCGCCATTGGCTGAGAGTAAGCTGAACAAACTTTCCATGGTGACAGCTGCAGGATGCTCAGCATGCAGTCAATTCAGTCCAACATCCGTGCTTCGTGATTTGCATCCATGTGACTTGAAGCAGCCAGTTGGACCAGGTTTCTGATTGAGTGGCCACGTGCATGATGGGTTGGGTTGGACTAACTAGTTGTCTGCAAGAACTGGCTAAACGGCTCAGCCAAATTTTCTGTTTGTTGATTCAGACCCGACTGACTTTGCCAGGTTTGGACTGTGCTGGTGAGAGAGATATGGAGTCTGCGGACAGTTTGCAAGCAGTGCCTCTCGACATTTTCATCCTGCATATGGGGCTGTGTCGGCCTTACCTGTCTACCTTCTTTATCTTCTTCCTTCATTTGTTCTCTTCCTCCTCCTCCTCTTGTTTTTGTTACTTGGATTTTCAGGATGTCAAGCCCTGGCATTTTTAATATAAATTGGTAATATAATAATATATTCCCTTTATTCTTTGTCATTAGCTGAACGTTTTAGGAATATCAATATAGAATACATTTGAATGTTTTCATTAAAATTGTAACACACCCAGTATTAAATCAGAAAGTGAATGTTCAGCAAACACATATTGATCTCTTGCTACGTGCCAACAACTACTCCAAGCACTTGGCATGAATGTACCACATTTATTCTCCAAACCAGCCTATAGGCGTGGTCAGGGTGTGCCACGTGACAGCTGTGTGACCTTAGGCCAGCAACTAGACTTCTCTGACCTTTAGTTCTTTTATGTATGAGATGAAGAGACATCATGGTCACTTTGTAAAATTTATTCCAAAACAAAAAGATGTGGAAGAAAGGCATATTACCTTTGGTTGACATTATCTTTGTTTGTAGGTGAAGAAACTGAGGCTTAAAAAATTCACATATGTTGTGGCTAAGCAGAAGGGCTCCCCAGGAAGTTGACCCCTTACTCTTTATTAGTAGTAGTATTAATACATTTTGAGAGAGGCTGTCACTCTGTCACCCAGGCTGTAATGCAGTGGCATGATAATAGCTCACTATAGCCTCAAATTCTGGGGCTCAAGTGATCCTCCCAGCTCAGCCTCCCAAGTAGCTGGGTTACAGGCGTGCATCATCACATCCAGCTAATTTTATTATTCTTTTTGGTGGAGACAGGGTTTCGCTGTGCTTCCCAGACTGGTCTTGAACTTTTAGGCTCAAGTGATCCTCCTTGCCTAGCCTCCCAAAGTGCTGGTATTAGAGGTATGAGCCACTGCATCCTACCCCTTATTCTTTGTTCTTAATGATTATGTTATAATCTGGGATTTCACATAATCAAAACTCTTAATTTCTAATGGATTTAAGAGATTCATTAAACCTCTGAAGTCACATACAAAACTCGATAACTAACATACATTTCTTTTTTCCTGGAGAGAATGTTCATAGCTTTTAAATCAATATCTCAAAATGATCTTTGTTTTCACAGCAAGATTAAAGATAATCATTATGTAATAAAACTTTTATTTTCTGTTTCTTAGGTCAGTCTACAGCTCAATCTTAAACAGCAGTATTGTCATCAAAGGGTAACTCCAGAGAAAAAAAATCAGAGTAAATAAACATTTATAATAATATATCTTTCATCCCTTCTTCAGAGTCTGTTCTAGGAAAATGCCAAAGTATTCCAAAAAAAAAAAAAAAAAAAAAAAACACCCTTGGGCTTTTCATTAACTACACTTCAGTCCTTGAGATTATCTTGATCTTGAAAGTTGCTGGCCTTTGAGCAACTTCTTCAAACCCTCAAGATGCATCCCCATGGACCATGCTGGTCCTTTTTCCTGAGCCAGCCATTTCAGCACACATCTTTGTCATTTCTTGTCATATTGAGATCAAGTTTGGCCATCCTCTTTGCAAAATCATATTCAGTTTTCTTAAGTAAGATTGTATTTTTGGCATGCTTCCATTAGAGTCAGAGCCAGCGGTGGCTCTCAGTTGCAATGCTCCTAGAGAAAGGGAACTTTAATTAGGACACAATGGGGTTGGCCTAGGGCTCGAGTTAGATTCAGTATTCAACCAATGTTGCTGCTTAAGCCTGTAAATGTATGGTATGCAACTTGTGGGTACTTTCCAGTTTTCACTGACTTTCTTCCAATATTGTGTAGTGTGTAAAGATCGGAGGTATTAAATCCAGGACCTGGGAGGTCATCACACTCGAAGGAGGCAGGCTGGGTCATCAGACATATGGCTGTCTTGGTTTTGTTTCCTTGTTCCCACTTCTGCTCATGATGGGCCTAAATAAGAGATATTCCTCTACTGTAAGAAAAGCTCCGTATCCCAAGTGAAGCTAATTGGTAATTGGTGTTTCATGTCAGAGGCACAGTAGGGAGCAGTGGGGATTGTGGCAAAGTGAGGAACTCATGCCTGCCTTCACAGTGCAGCTGCTCCTCAGCTGCATACCATTTTCATGAATTAGAAATATACCAGACTTTCTGATTGTTTACCTAAGAGAGTCTGAAAAGTCTTATTTCTAGGTGCTGTATGTCCATTTAATTGTTGTTACTTAGTCTAGATTATTTTTATTGATAACATAGAACAGTGGTCTTACATGTCTCTCTAGATCCTAACTAAAATAATAAATATCTTATATTTCATTTGAAAAATATTTCATATAGTTATAGAATTCTAGATTTTGAGTAATTTTCTTTGAGAGCTTTGAAGATGTTATTTCATTATCTTTTGTTTCCTGTACTCTTGAGTTTTTTTAAATTTTATTTTAGGTTCCAAGATACATGTACAGGATGTGCAGGTTCATTGCATAGGTAAACATGTGCCATGGTTGTTTGCTGTACCTATCAACCCGTCACCTAGTATTAGTTGAATGTTTGAAACTCAAGGTTAAACCATACCTGGGGGTGTTATCTGGTCTTCAATTCACCACTGTTGACCAACAGAGGCTATTATGATTTGCAAAACGTATTTTCATAATCAACAAGACAAAAATAAATAAAATTTTAAATCTGATTTTTATAACTTTTCTGAGAGGTTAAACTTTTGGAGAGCTAGAGAAAGAGCTATGCTGATAAACAAGCTTACTTAGCCTTATGTTTTTGTTTGTTTGTTTGTTGAAAGATGTTTGCCTGCTCACTTAAGGATACTTAGCATTAGAGAAAAGTAGCTTTTTTGAAAAAAGAAAATAACTTCGGGTTGCCCTTTTTGTCCATCAGTCTTGCATAGTGCTTTAGACAGCACTTCATACACTCATGCAACTCTTCACAAATTACCAATTACTTTCCCCTTTGCGTTTATCTAATTTAATCCCTACAGTCTTGCAAATAGATATTCAATTCTCCCAGCCCATAGCAGCTTGAAACAGTTCAACAAACACAATTAGCCCATCCCTGAAAAAAAGTATAGATTGCAGTGTAAATAGAAATTTGTTTTTCCACTTCAAGTGTGGCACAAATTATCACCCACCTTAGATGAATGATTAATTCCACAACTGTTAAGTATGTTTTTACTTTTATCTAAGCAAATATTTTGAGAGTTTTTTTCATAACTTAGTTTGATACCTAAGCTGGTAAATGTTTTGTTCAAGTTTGCTGAAGCCAAGACTAATTTAGAATTAGGGAAGTTAGGACTGCTTTCAAATTTGAGAGAAAATTTGGAAGGAATCCTTAGCCTCTCCACAGCCACCACCCTAATCCAATGCAATCCAATTGCCTCTCACCTGGGCAGCTCCAGCAGCACCCTCCCTGGATTCCCTGTCTCCGTCCTTGCTCCCTGGCATCCCCCACAGCAAAGCAGCCATGGAGATTGTTCTGAAGTGATAACCCGAATGTTTTCCTCTTGAATGTGTGATTTTTTTAGTGGCCTCCTGTTGAAAGCAGAATTAAATCAAACTCGTTGTTTTGCTTTCAGGCTCTGCATTATCTGGCCTCTCTCCAGTCTCTCCCTTATAACTGTACCAAACCATGGTGGCATCCTTCCTTTTCCACAAACGCCAAGCTTATTATGAACCTAGGGCTTTTTGTTGTTGCACATCTATTTATTGTCAGACTGTATGGTCACCTCCTTTTTTTTTTTTTTTTTTTTTTTACTGAGTTTGAATGCAATTATTCCTTCCCTTTCCTCCTTGGTAAAACAGAACTCTTGGAGTTTTGTTGTGCTGACTGCGGTGGTATCAGCACCAAGGACAGCGCCTACGTAGCACATCCAGAGGCTTATTAAATATCAGGTTCAACGACTGGCTGACTGACTGATCAAAGAGAGCTACAGCATAAAGGCTTCAGAGTCAAAGTTGAACTCCAGTTCTGCCATCCACGAGACAGGAAAGTTATACAACCTCCCTAAACCTCAATTTTCCCATTTTACGACAGGGATGAGAACAGTGTCTCCCACATTAGGATACCCTATGTATTCTTTTCCTATTGGTCCCCAGCAATCACAAATCTAATTGGCAGGTAACAGTGAGCACTTGTTTAGTGCATGTGTCTGTAGTACAATGGGGTCCTTGATTTAGGCTGCACTCAGTCATGTGTCTGCAGGTCAGCTGGCCCTCAAGTGAGGAGGCTCAGCTTTGGAGGGAACTCTGGTCCCTGTGTCTCAAGTCCTCTGCTGGAGAATAGTAGCTAGTCAGAAATGTTCTCTTGGTGAAGGAGAAGTGCAAGAGAAACTTCTATTGTGCAAACGCCTTCAAGCCTTTAACCGCATCACACTCGCTGCCGGTTAACATTCCTTAACCAAAGCAAGTCTCACAGACACACCCGCAGTGGAGGGGACACTCACAGCCAACGGGTAGGAAAGTACACTCTGCCCATGGAGGTGGAGAAGGAGCAAATACTCCTCTATGGTGATCTACCACACACTAAGAGTTGTGCAAGATAATGAGTGTTAAGTTCCTGGTATGTGATAGGCACTCAGTAAATGTTAGCTAAAGTTGAGAATTACTAATTTTTCTGTAAGACCCTGTGCCTGCCACAATAATATGAAAGTAATGAATAGTTTTATGTTAACAAAAGCTAAAAGCCCCCAGGTCATCCTTAAATGAATGTATATCCTGATTCAGGAATGCCGTGATTTTAAGAATACATTAGTGACTGCTTGTCATTTACACATCTCTTAATTTAGCTGAAATGGAATACGGGAAACATAGCCTCTTTAAATCCAGGTTAAGTACATTTCCATTGCAGGGAGCAAGGTCGGTGCTGTTCATCTAGGTATTTTAAAATGTGGTTCCAAACACTGCATGTTCTCACTTATAAGTGGGGGCTAAATGATGAGGACTCATGGACCCATAGAGGGGAACAACACACACTGGGGCCTATCAGAGGGTGGAGGGTGGGAGTAGGGAGAGGATCAGGAAAAATAACTAATGAGTACTAGGCTTAATACCTGGGTGATGAAAAAATCTGTAAGACAAACTCCCATGACACAAGTTTACCCAAATAACAAACCTGCACATGTACCTCTGAACCTAAAATAAAAGTTAACCTTAAAAAAATAGAATATGGTTCTGGAAGGAAGAATAACCGCTGATTTTAGGAAGAACTGTGAATGAAGGCAAAGACTTCAGAGGGAGATGGCTCTCAGTTTTGAGCCTTGGTTTCTTTATCAGTTAGGGATATTACCAGCTCTCTGATAGGGTCCCTGTGATGTTTAGAAAAGGGTCTACAAACCATTAACACAGTGAGTGGCACATGAACGGCTTTGCAAATTCTTGCTGCCTTTCCTACCTACTGCTCACTCCCTTCCTTGTTCATAAAGGACCGTGCTGTTGGCCATTTTGTCGTCAGCTCTTCTAGTAGGATGCCCTATGTGGGTATCAGAATACATTTGTGCAGAATCTTCTAGCTGAGTCCCTTCATATCTTTCCAGTCATTTGGGGGAAAAGGTAGGATCTGAATGAACAGAGACTTTCACGCTTACACTTGCTGGCTTAGCTGAATTAGGGGTAGCATTACTTAATTTCACCCATCACAGATGGTTTTACCTGTCATCTCAGCCATGAGCCACCTTCCTTCCAGAACTAGGCATTTCTTCTTTATGGTGAGTGAACTTAGTTTTTGACCTTCCTTTTTATAAAACACTAATAGTTGCTTATAGGAAATTCAAGTACTGCAGATAAGCACCAAGAAAATTAGAGTTGCATGTTATTCATCATCCAGAGATAATGTGAATTAGCATTATCATTAATTGATTTTTCTGTATGTCTAGGCAGAGATATATCAGGGAAAATGCTATTTATAACAGTTGCCTTTTTGAGTAATCATTTAGCTGTCATCTATTTGTAATCTGTATGTATATCCTACCTATATACATAACAAGGCAAATGTTGCTATGTATAGCCAACAGCCATCGCCCAAGAAAGGCGGGTAGCACCATCTTGTTCTAGGAGAGGTCCCTTTGTCTGTGGAATCCCAGATAGGTTTGATTTTGCAAGACTGAGAGTGGGAGCCAGGGAATACAGCACTGCTCTGCATAATAGAGGGAGGGAAAAGTAGTGTTCCAGGAATAGGACTGATAGGAGAGGGAGGGGAAGAGAGAAATGGGAGAGGGAAAGGAAGGAATCAATGCTGAAAGGAACAGAAAGCTGGGGGTTAGGTGGTATCACCACCAACCTTCAGCTAAGTTGACTACATTTTTAAATGTTTTTGCAAGGGTGGGTTTGTTTCCATTCCCCTCTTTTTTCCCTTCTCTTCATTGTCTTTTTCTTTCCTTCTTTTCTTTCTATTGGATGAACCCTGAAAGTGGTGCAATAGAGAATAAATAAGATAGGAGGAGCCTGGAGGACAATAAGAACAAAATCTACCTGAGAATTTGCAGGAACCTGGGGACATCACTAGACTTCCAAGGGCCATAGAAATTGGAGCTTTATACCAATTTTACTTACATCACCAAGGAGAAAGCATTTTTCCAGCTATCTGAATTCTCTGTCTTTCTCTCTGACTTCCCACATTGTATATCAACTGTTTATATGTTTTGTAGTTTTTTAATATAGCTATATATTATGAAAATTTCCTTCTTCATAGGCTTCTTTCTTTAAAAAAAAAAAGAGCCTGTAAGAATAATGAAAGGGCTGAAGAATAAAATCATTGAATGGGTACCAGATTTATTTTTATGTATTTTTTATTTTTGGCACAGTCCCAATTGCTGAGCTTTTTCTTGTGCTATCTCTGATTTTCCACCATAACAAACCGACAGTGATGAGCAACATTGTGTCTATATCTTAAGCACACCCAGGACTTTCTGGAGTCAGTTCCTACAAGTGGAAATACTTGAATAAAGGTTATACAAATGTTTAAGCCTTTTGATACACATTGTTAAATGATCTCTTCAGAAAGGTTAAACCAATTTACACTCTCAACAGTAGTGTTTAAGAGACTCTTTCTCTAAATCTCCTTTAATAATGAAGAGAAGCATTATAAAATCCTTTCCAATTGCCATTTTTATAAAAAATAGAACCTATTTGTTTTGCACGTATTTGGTAACTCTAAGAATCCCTCCCCCTTTTTTTCCCATAGGGTTTTGAACCAGTTGTGTTTCCTCTGGGAAAATCTGCTTCTTCATGTCTTTCAAGCCTTTTATTGATTTTCGAGAGAAGTATCTTTATGTTTTGTTTTTAAAATTCAAATGTGGTGTTTCTAAATGGTATGTGAAGCATGATTTCACTTAGTAGACATTTGTGGATTAGCCATTAGGTGAAAAATAACACTGAAGAGTAAAACAAATGCTTTTTTTGCTGTTCCTGGGAGCGTGGGATGCTTATATTAATTGTTTACTGGTGACCATGGATGCTGACACAATGATTAAATGCTTTAAAGCCAGCTTAATGATATAAAGCCATTTCTTCATTTGTGTCTTCTAAGTGAAATCCTTCCTAAGTGAACCACAAGAGTTTCCTGCTTCATCGCCTCAGCTGCAGCCTCAGCTGCTGTGATTACACTTACCTTGTCTCTGCTTTAGTTAGTTTTTATCCCCTCCCTCCAAGAAAGTAAACTACCTGAAGGCAAAGACTAAGAGTATATACCCCAGGGACGGGGATCATAACTATGTACACAGCAGACACTGAGCAAGCATTTAGAGGAGTGCATTTTACCATTAGACTCTTGAAGGACGTCATACTGAATTTTCAGAATTTTTTATGTACCCAGGGCATTTTATGTGAACGTATTTACCAGGGAGGGTCATGCTGTGTATGACCTTTATGTCATTCTACCAAAGAATCAGGCACCAAGACAGCTGCAGTTTCTCTGGCTACTCTGTTTCCTTCTTTTAGGGAACTTAGGACACTGGGTGATTCTTTAAAAAAATAATAACGAATTAACTTTTTGAATTGACAAAGATGGTATACATTTATCATGTACAACATGACGTTTTGAAATATGTATATATTGTGGAATGGCGAAGTCAGGCTAATTAATACGTGTATTATCTGATATACATTTTTGTAGTGAAAACACTTAAAATCTACTCTTCCAGTGATTTTCAAGAACATGATACATGTCATTAACTATAGTCACCATGTTAAACAAAAGATTTCTTGAAACTATTCCTCCTATCTAACTGAAATTTTGTATCCATTCACCAACATCTCCCCAACCCTCACCAACCCCAATCCCACCCCAGCCCCTGGTAAGCAAACTTCTATTCCCTACTTCTATGAGTTCAACTATTTCAGATTCTACATGTAAGTGAAATCACGCAGTATTTGTTCTTCTGTGTGTGGCTTATTTCACTCAACATGACATCCTCCAGGTTCATCCACAGTGTTGCAGTTGACAAGAATTTATCTCTTTTTAGGGCTGAATGACATTCCATTGTAGATACAGAGCATACTTCTGTCCGTTTTTTTTTTTTTTTTCTGTGGGGGATGGAGTTTTGTTCTTGTTGCCCAGGCTGGAGTGCAGTGGCGCGGTCTTGGCTCACTGCAACCTCTGCCTCGTGGGTTCAAGTGATTTTCCTGCCTCAGACTCCCAAGTAGCTGGGATTACACGTGTCTCCCCTCGCCGCCATCAAGCCCAGCTAATTTTTGTATTTTTAGTGGAGACGAAGTTTCACCATGTTGGCTTGCCTGGTCTTGAACTCCTGACCTCAAGTGATCTGCTCACCTCAGCCTCGCAAAGTCGTGGGATTACAGGCATGAGCCACAGTGCCTGGTCATGTCCATTCATCTGTCAGTGCACGCTTAGGTTGATTCCATATCTTAGCTATAGTGAATAATGCTGCAGTGAACCTGGGAGTGCAGATATCCCTTCAAAATACTGATTTCGTTTCCTTTGGATATATACACAGTAGTGGGATTGCTGGAGCATATGGTAGTTCTATTTTTAATTTTTTAAGGAACCTCCATACCATTTTTTTCATAATGGCTGTACTAATTTGCATTCCCACCAACAGTGGGGCACTGGGTGATTCTTAAAGAGAGTCTTCAAGGAAAATGCAAAAGCTCTACAGTATTTGGGTGGTGAGACAGAAAGTGGAGAAGGATATTGTGTTCTAGCACACTGCAAACATGGTTACTGAATTTGAAATTCAGAAGGAAGAGAAGGGATTTATTTTCCAGCTCAGAATTGCAGGTAGAGCCTAGCTATGAGAACTCCTATTTCTTACATCATCAAAAAGGAGGAAGGAGCTGGTTCTCCTTTGAGAGATTTTTGTTTGTTTCCCCCATATCTCCATTCATTTATTCGTTCATTCAAAACTTTAAATTTTAAGCTTTTCCTCCATTGACTTGAAGTAAGTGGAAATATAACTTATAAGGAAAGTGGAAAACAAATTACATTCACCACTCTGTGCTTGCTCATTACAAGTAAAGGTTACACATCTGGCTGGGGCAGAGGTCTTCAACTGACAGTTCCTAGGCCTTTTGTACTTTGCTGTCTTTTTGCTGTTTCATGTTGGAATTCATCGTCAGCACTGAAGTATCTGGAAATTTTGCACAGATCTTTATATTTCTGGCTTTTCATTAAAAGTTGGAAGATCTGACAAAGCTTGTCCATCATCCAATATAACAGCAATCTGTTGAGCTTTGGTAGTTGTTAAATGTTTTGGGTGTAGCCTGAGTGTTTCAGTTAACCTGCTTTACTCATTGGTGTCAGCTACTTGTCCTAGACGTAACCTTTTTCATTTACATCCTTTTTTTTTTTTTTTAAATTTGAGTCACCCAACGCTAAAGGTATTTAGGTTGGCTATTATTATTTCCACTTTTGATGGCATTAGGTATCTCTGGGCTAATGTTACATAGTAACGTCAGATCTGGGATGTGAACGTGGTACCTAAATTCAGACCAAGTGATCTTTCCCTAACTCATATGACCTACCCATATTTGGCAGAGCCGTTATCTTAGAGCCTCCAAAAATGCATGTGTGTAATCACACACATTTTGTAAATTTTGTAAATAAGCATGCACATATGTTAAAGGAAGTTCAGCATCTTGAGCCTCTGATAATAAGCCCTTCTGGGTAAATGAGTGTTCTGCATCTTTTCCATCTTTTTCATTTACGCTCTTATAATTACCTTTAAACACAGCATCACTGGACACAGCAAACATATCTAGGTCAATCTGTTTGCATTTTGATGGCTCCGCTGGATAAAATCTCTTCTCCACTTTCTTGTTTCTTTGGAAGAAGCAGAGACCAAGACAAAAGAACCTGTGGTTCATAGTGGCTTCACCATTCACAGGTATTCTCCTGGGGGTCAAATCAACAAATCATTCTGTCAGTTCTGTGGAGCTATTCAGAAATTCGTGTTGATGTCAGTGGCAACAAGGAAGAGCGGAGACATGTCAGGCTTTGGTTTCTGGTTCATTTTCACTCTAACTGCTTTGCATGGTGTTCTCCGGCTTGACAACCCCTCAACCTCTTCCTTGTCCTTAGGGTAAAGTCTGAGTTCCCAACGAGACTTCAGGATCAATCCTCTGCCTATCTATACATCATTGACCTTGTCATCACTTCCTTTCTAACCATCTGCAAAACATTAAATGCACTCTCACCTCTGAGTCATTTCTGGATGTCTCCTCTGTCTGAATGCTCTCATTTCCAGCCTCTTTTCCTTTTTCTGTTCAGCTCATTTCTACATGACCATCTTGCCTATGCTTTGACATCACTTCTCCTTACCCTACTTCTCAGGTGGCCTAGAAACCCCTACTCCATCACCACATAGTATTCTGTGTCGATCTATGGAGCCTCTCGTTACTTACCTTGCTGCCTCCTTGTGACTGGGAGTTCATGATGGGAAGGAATCTTTTCCTTGTGTCTCCAACACTGAGTCCAAGGTCTGCACATGAGAGCTCTTGAGAAATGCATATTGGAGGATTTAATATTTTGTTCGTTCATTACCTGAATCTGAAGAGTCTTTATATAGGAGCTCTCTTGTATCTAGAAAGGGGACTATTACAGTGTGAGACAGCAAAGGAAGAATTGCCTTGAAAATACGTTATGGTGTTAGCAGGGATGGAAAGTGTAAATCCTCCTAACATGTTTTTGAGAGTTTACTTCACTTTGGGCATTGTGTTGTTGTGCTAAGAATGCCCTTTACTTCCACCTGTTATTTTAATTCTCACATCAACCCTGTGACCCCCTTGTTTGTCAATGAGAAGACCAATGAGAAAAGAAATGAAATAGTTTGCCTGAAATCACACAGTTCATTGTTGGAGAAACAAGGATCCCAGAAGGAGCTGTTTGGCAGCAAGGACTCATAGTATTAACCACTCCATAAAGAAATTCTTGACTCATTTGCCTTTAGCCCTTTTCTTGGATTACTAATTCAGCAGGAAGACCAACCCTGGGCTCCTTAGGTTAATCGGGTTTATTGGATTATCTAGCACATTTCTTAGATTATCCAAGCTGGAATCTCCATTGCCAAGATATCACTGGCCTGATTAAACAAGCTGCGGTCTCTAAAGACTCCAAATGTCATGTTCCTGTCTCTCTCTCTCTCTTTTTTTTTATCAATATATGCCCATTTTAGGTGTTATTTTATTATTTCTCTAACTGTACCAACTCATCATTGTGTTCCAAAGGACCTCCCAGGTATATAATCCTCTCTGTTGCTACTTAAAAGAGGAAAAATTTTTCTTTTCAATCCTGTCTTCTGATTGGAGGTGAAAGCCATTCAAATCTAAGTTAGAAAGACATTCACAAGCCATTTTTGCAATTGTTATTATCCTAAAACTAAATTATAGGCATTACGTCTCTGAAGCATTATTGCTCATACCTAGAAGGGTGCTTTATGTTGTATTTCATACAATGATGAACAAGAAGAAAAAGACTGGAAGTTTAGAATGAGTGATTTTGGTCTGAAATAGGTATGAATTTTTCAAGAATGTGGTCACTGCATTTTGTACCATCATTTCTCTAGACATTTCAAATTTCAATTCACTCATTAATGGCTCAACCGTTAATAAGAAGGTGTTTTCCACAGTTTTCTTGAGTTTTATTTGCTGTTGTGTCCTGAGTGTGCATAATTTTGGAACTTTATAACAGTAGTGTTTTTAATATTTTATTCATAATATTAACGTTAGCTGTTATTTAGGGAGTATCCCCAATGTGCCAAAAATAACCCCATCTCCGATCTTTGCAACACTGTTGAAAAATAGAAAGATAGTTTCTATTTTAGACAATGAGGCTGAGGGTAGAGATATGACTTGCTTAGTGATAAACAGCTGGTTAAAGCCTGAGACTTAATAGGAACCAAAAATTGCCTGACCTTAAACTCTGTGCTATTTCCATTCTATCACACTGCTGTGGAAACTTTGAGTACAAAAAGATTTCGTTAAAAGGATGTTAATTGCAGAGTTGTAATAATAGTGACTACTTGGTAACAATATAAGTATCCACTGATAGGGGATTGGTTTAATAACATTTTGTTATATCCACATAATGCAACATTATTTAATGTTTAAACATGCACTTTAAAAATAAGTGAATATGTATTGCCATGGCAAGATGTCCAGCTTATATTTAGTGTAAAAGAGATTGAAAAAGAATTTGCACCACATTATCTATTTTTAAAGCATGTTTATATTTGTGCATGCATGGGCGTATCCCTAAGCAAGGTCTGGACCAGCACTGTTCAGTAGAAATATAATGCAAGTCACATATGCAAAGTAATTTTTTTAGTGGTTGAATTAAAAAAATAAATGCATGAAATGTTTGTTTTAATAAATTTTACTTAATATATCCAACATATTTCAATATATAATCAATATAGAAATATTAACAATATATTTTACATTTTTTTGTGCTAAATCTTCAATGTACATTTTTATACTGACAGCACGTCTCATTTCAGATCAGTCACATTTCATGTGTTCAATAGCCACATATGGCTTTCCGTTACCTTATTGGATAGCACTAGTCTAGAGGAAATATAATAAGATCATAAAGTGTTCACTTTGGGATGGGGTGATTATGTGTGTTGGTGTTAGTTTATTGTCTCCTTTTGTCTTATTTGCATTTCCCAAATTTCCATAATGAATACATACTGCCTTTGTAATTTGGAATTAAAATACACTGTTAAAGTCATCATTCATTTTTAATAGGGAGTGGTGAGCTTCTAAAATGCACTGTTAAAAATAAATACATAGAATGTAAATCCGTGACCTATTTTCAGTCGAGGCGAGAAGCTGGAGATGGTATGAGGTTGGCTCTCCTCTTTACTCCCTTGCCTTCCAGCTCTGTAACCCCTGCTCCCAAAAGCCAGGCCTCTGGGGTTCTGATGAGGGGAGAGGTTAAGCCTCACCTCCACAGTCAGCGAGCAGATCTCTGATGAAGCCACCATTCCTACCAGAAGTTCTGAGGTTTGGCCTCAGATTCATTTTCAATCTCTTTGAAAGACAAAGGCGGCTGTCATGGGAGAAGCCTACACTAGTTTGTCTCAATCTTTTATGGCATTATTGCTGACCTTTCACCAAGGAGCCTTTTTAGACCTTTTTTCCCTTCCTAATCACCATTCCCCTTCCCTCATTAAATTTTAATACCACACATACACTGTATGTCTGTTTATACCATGTAAACTGTGTGTGCGTTGATGTATGGTGGCCTTCTGGATGGCCACAAACCAAAGTCATATCTAAAATTTCTTACCCTCTTGTAACTAAGAATCCATTTCCACCCCTTTAGGGTAAATAATCGCTCCCTGTCTCATTGAGAAGGACGCCCAGGGCCATGTTCACTGGTGCCAAATGTCAGTAATACGGTTGTCCTGTGAGTTGCATTTAACTTCGAATCTTGGACCAGTCACCAGCTCTCTCACCGTTCTACGCACACATCTTTGCCTTTGTGGATACCTGTCACTTCCCTATCCCCACTAGGGCATCTGAAAGTCCATCACACCCGGGAAACCTACCCAAGTCTCTCTCCCTGACCACATGGGAAACAGCCTTTCTGTTTCTCCTGTGGCATGTGTCATGGCTGGCATTCTCTGTTACTCGTTCTGATCCTGTCTCCTCTCCCCCTCTGATCCGACCCTCCTGGAGAATGGGATGCTGTATAATTTCATTTCCCGTGTGTGTCTAGAGCCGGGCTTTGCATGCCATCGTCCTTCAGTGAACAGTTGTGAAACTGAACGAAATTGCCTTCGGAAAACCCTTTCCGGTCCAACTGTTTCTCTATCAGAAAATCTCATTAAGACTTAATCGCTAACATCTTCCCATCCCCGGGGTCATGCTGTAATCCCCAGCTGAGAGTGCGATCCCTGACTGGGAGGAAGTGAGAGTATCATTTCTTTCCCAGAACCCACACGCTTCCTGTGTATTTCCCACCACCCAAAGGTCACCACCTGGGGTAAAATTACATGCAACCTCATGAGACTTGCTGCCCCTCTATCTTCCCTCTTTTATTTCTGAAGTCACTGTAGGGAAAATGTACTGATTGCAAACTGAAATAGCAGCCACTGGGAGCTGGACTGGTATGGCTGTCAGCCATACCCCCCGGGTTTCACCTGCTTAATGAGCCGGTAGCCCATGCTTTATCCAGTAGAGACCTCACTGTCTCCCATTCCAGCCCACCGTTGCCCACCCTTGCTTATCCACACCTACCAAGAGCCCCTTCCCGAGAACTGCTCTTCCAAAGTGAGATTGTACTCCCAACCCTCCTCTGTAGCCATCCTTGGGTCCAGTGTTTATTTCTTTGTGGCCAGGAAATCTCTCCCTTGCTCTGTTCTGCATAGATGTTGCCTGTGTTAGAATTTCAGTAGAACTCTGCAGATTTGAATGGAAGATTTGAGGGCTGCAAGAGCTATCATCGTTGATAGCAAGCATTTAGCTAAGGAAATTAAATTGGAAGTCCTTGCATTCTGGCTGGATTCTGTTACTCTTTGGGCAGGGAATGATTTGGTTTCAAGGAGATTCCATCTTCGTATCTCCTGCTTTCAAGGGAGGAAAGGGGGAAAGAAAGCTGAACAGAGCCTAATGAAGGAATTCTGTATCGACACAACTCTGACATTTGAGATGTTCAATGTAATCAGCACAACTGGTAGCTTTAGGCATTGATCACTGTGCTGAAATATAAAATTCAGTTGGCCATATTCTGTTCATGAAAATGCCTTTTCATAATTCACTGCTTCCAGAGGTACCAGCGATAATTTCTTGACTATTTTATTCTGGAGAGCTTTAGGTATGGTTAACAATGTGCCATGTACAGAGAGGCATGTATGCACACCATAAAGATCTTAAATGCATTTTCAGTTCAGTGTCCTTCTTATTAATTATTCTAGTCACTTTAATTTATTCAGCCTCCGTATTTTATACATTAAAATGAGTGAAAATGATAAGAAATATTAATGGTTGTAATTATTGACTGTATATTTGAGATTCATGTCTAAATACACTTAACTTGGGAAGATTTGACATTCTGTTTCACTGTGTGCATTATTTGCCTGTTTCATCTTCTATATTCTCCTAAACCCTCTCTCTCTCTCTGTCAAGGGGGGAGGCGAATTACTGCAAGTAGATTATGAAATATTGTTGTACATGCACGTAAAAATATATCAGTACTGGCACATCTGTAATTTACTCATAAGTATGAGATTCATATTAGAGATCTATATATCATATAAGCAAAATAATATCCATCCTGTACTATATTATTTTACTAACATGATGGCTGAATTTCAAATGAACTGCAAAGGTCATGGTTGCTGTTCTATTAGAGCCATTTAATCTCATTTGTCTCCCCATTACTAACCTCAACTTTATTAGTTGCTGCAACTACTGCTGATTTTGAACCGAGAAAGGGTTCCTCTAACTGATGTCATTTCATGCTTTGAATTTACAAGTAAGAGACCCTGATTTAAAATTATTAGGGCTCCTGGGAAAGGAGAACATTAAAAGTTTGCAGTGGTCCTCTGGTTTCCCATAAGGTGAAGTTTTTAGATGGAAGAAAGATGGGTCCTGTTTCACCTATGACATATTGCATACCTTTCCAAGCCCTTGTATTCCCTCACCTCTTGCCCCTCTTCAAACTAGTGATCACGTCTACCTTTGAGAAAACTAGTAGCTAAAATGAAACAAAGCTACTTTATGAAAAGTCCATGAGAAGCAATTTAACCTGGTTGACCATCTCCATCAATCTGTCACCTGGAGAGAAGCTGTTGACACCACATGACCTCTCCTCCACCATCACGCTATGAAGTTATCACTTGAGTAAGGGCTTTCTCTTTGATGCTATACAATTAAACTGAAGGAAGGAAGGCTTTCGCTAGTAGGAAAGCAACTGCAAAGAGAGGCTTAAACCCTATGGAAACACCTTCCCCTCTCAGGCACACACATGCAAATTATCTTTAACCAAAAGCGAATGGGTTCCAGTCGTTCAGCACACATCACATATAAGATATTCCTAGGGCAGGAACTTTTTTTTTAATGAGTGAGACCCCTGTAGAGTTCATGCCATTGCATAAAATATTGCAGCCATTTGCATTTAATGGTGATACAAATACTGCTTTGAACACTGGGAACATCATTTACTGAGAGAAACAGGAGATAGTCAGTATAAATCTCCAATGTAAAAAAAAAAAGGATTAAGATAAAAAGTAGTTTAAACTCCAACACTTTCTCTGTATTTTTTATTATTTCTAATAAACAAGCCTATAGCTTTTGAAATTTTATCACTAACTTGAGAGGTGACTGTTTTCTGATGTTTATACATCACTCACTTAGTCATGAACTTGTAGTAACAATGCCACATGCTTTATCAATAGCTGGTGAGTTAATTGGGAGGGAGGGAAATGTTTTCTTAAAAAACTACCTTTTCTCCAGAAAGGATAATTTTATGTGTGTGTAATAAGAATCTAGTATACCTGGTGTATTAGGTGCTTAATATATTGTAGGCCCTTGGTAAATAATTCTGGGATAAATGAATGCCTGCCAATTTATACTGTCATTATCCCTCCCCTCCCTGATTTAGTAATTTCAGGCTCAAGTAGTTGATCCCAATGCTTTTGTGCAATGTGTGGCTTGTCTTTTGTCATTGTTTATAAGCTCCATAAGAACAGAGACTGTCTATTCACTGTTTTGTTTCTGTAAATATATAACCATATATTGTGTATATGGATCCTTAAGCATGAAGGCTTAGAGGAGATAATGAATAACACTTTTATACAGAAATCAAACCAAGACTTTCATATCATTATGGAATCACATGCTTTTAGCGTAATTAAAGTTGTTGCATATAGAACAAATAAGACTGCATTTTCTTTAGCTGTTAACTTGGACTTGCCAGATATCCAGACATGCTTCACTTTTGGTTTGAATTAACAGGTGAAATAATACAGTGTGTGTTTTGTTAAAATTTTATTAAACGCCGCTCTTAAAAATTAAGCAAGAAAATGAAAGAAAGAAACAAAAACAATTAACCAAAGATCACCCACAAAGCTCCCAAACTGTTTTGTTCTGGGTGCTAAGGCACTGTTTGATTTTTTTTTTCGTGCATATTGATGTACTCTTTCCCCGTTAACTGCTTCTAGTCTCCCTGGACCTCCAAGGCTGCATCTTCAGGGAATAACTCATCGCATCTCCATTATGTGTCATGTAGAGACGCTATGTAGGTAAGATAACAGAGTCTGGCTAAAGGGCACGTTTGGTGTTATATTCCATTAGTTTATTGATTTTTTTTTAAGTTTCTCTAATGTTCTAATGAGAATATTTTCCACTCAATCCTGAAGGAGTCCAAAGCTTTTTACGAACTTCAGGATAGAACACACAGGGACTGATTCCCTAGGCTGCCGAACAGCAGGGTCCTTGGAAAGACCAAATGGAAAATTGCTTTTCTATGAACCCCAGGTGCAAGAGTTAGGGAACCCCTATCTAATTAAGAGCTGGGGGAGTTCTGATGCAGTCACTGGGGTTGGACCCATCATTACGGTGAATGCTAGGCTCTGGCCAAACACCTACAGCCCCTTCAAGGGTCAAGAAAGTTCATGGCAAAAGATTTGAGTCACTTCAGGGGATGGTGGAAGTTTCTCCCAAGCCTACCTTGGCGTCTATGACTCCACCTGAAAAATGGCCCAAAATGGACAATAAAGGAATTTGGAGGGACAATGGCATCAAGTCAGGACTTCCTCTGTAGGACACATATCCAAAGAGCCAACCCACTAGAGCTCCAGCCGCAGTTCTTGCTTGTTTTGGCTGTGTGAATTTGGGTAAGTCACTTAGCTTCTCTGAGCCTTAGCTTTCAACTTTGTAGAATAGTTCTGAGCATTAAAGGAGACAGTATATGATGTATAAAGTGGAATTGATGAATGGCAGGTTCTCAATAAAAGTTGGCTTGTGGTTATATCATTATCATCACTACTACTGTCATGATGTCCAGACATCAAGGCAGCAGAATGTGTCCTCCATGTGTTAACCTGGGGCCCAGCCTCTATTTGGTGCCTAATAGTTAAAAGTTGGATGCTTGTTGAGTAAGTGAGTGTATGAGTCCCTTGTCGTCTCCCTGCCAAAGGGAACACTTGATCAGCATAGGAGATAACTAACGGCAGTAACTTTGCTCTGAGCTCTTGCTTCTTCATCAAACCGTGCTTTAAAGACTTCCCTGTGCAGAGGCAGTATAGAATGAGGCTCAGGAACTCAGGCTCTGTAGGCTCTCTCCACTCACCTCTTTATGTGTCTGACAGGATGCCAGTCCAAGCATCCTTTTCCTTATTGATAAAAATAGGCATCATGATAATAATAGTATCTACCTGATAGGATGGTGAGGACAACAAAGTGAGATCACGAGAGCCTGACACTAAGAATCCCCTGGAGAGCTTTGAAAGCATTACTGATATCCAGACCCTCTCCCCAAAGTCTTGGATTCATTTGTTCAGGAGGCAAGGTTCCTTTGGGCATCAATAGTGTGAAAAGCCCTCCAAGTGATTCTAATTTAGAGCCTTTGCAAGTCACTAGTTAAGGGGTGGTAGGGTGGCTGTTGTTAAATCATCCTAACTTTTTGTCTTTTCCTGATTATCCCTTTCTCTGTTGGTTCCTTTTTCACATTTATGGGAAAAGCAATTATGTACCTTTTTGGAGGTTTCACTATGTTTTCCTTTTGCTGGGGGTACCATTTCTGGGAAATATGACACAGAGAAACTTTGTAGTAAGTGAAAGGTAAATATAGTTATATATCTATAGATATGGATCTGTATATTGAAATTTAGGAAATGAGTTATTTCTACTGCAGTAAGCCACATTTTCATGCATGCATAGCCTGCCATTTTATGGTTGCTGTTGTTAAATCATTCTAATATTCTGTCTTTTCCTGATTGCCCATTTCTCTATTTTTTTTTTCATATTAATGGGAAAACCAATCATGTACTTTTTTGAAAGTTTCACTTTGTTTTCCTTTTGCTGGGTGTACCATTTCTGGAAAATACGGCACTGAAAAATTGCAATAAGTGAAAGGTAAATAACTGGATATATGTCTATAGATGTGGATCTATGTATTAAAATTTAGGAGATCAGAGTTATTCCTACTGCAATGAGCCACATTTGCAGGCATGCATAGCACCCCACTTTGTGGGGCACCCATTGCTCCTCATTCTGGGTCCAGCTTTGATTCCCTGTGGCTGCTGCAGTCTCTGGCTCATCTCTGCAGCTTTGATAGCTGTCTCAAATACAATCTGCAATCTATCAAGGAGGGCGTGGAGGTGTCCTGAATAATCAGCAGGTGTCTTGGTTATCACCAAGGAGAGGGCATCATGCCCGGCATGCATGGATGGCAGAAGAGTTACTGCAAAGGCAGTTGTAAGCTCAGGAATCCAATTCTTTTTCTAAGTTAGTGCTGAAATGTGGCTGACTCAGATGTGGGGTGTCAGGATCATAGATAGGACAAGAGAGAAAACTTGTGTTCTTATTTGAAAGCCACAGCCTGTGTGGAGAGGCCTGCAGTTCATTGCCACTGGACAAGAGAGTAAAATTTCTGGGACCTCCACTTACTCTAGGAAGTGTTAGAGGGTGATAGGAAAGGAGTTTGTGCAGACTTCTGCAGCCTCTGCAGGTGGAATGACTGTTCTCTCCTCTAGTCTCTTAGAGTCTGTCCACAACCTCTGAATAGCCCTTATTCCTTGGTGAGTCACTCAGCAAATGAGAAATTAAATGCTATTGTGCATGCTTTATATTATGTGTATTTCTTCTCTGTTACATTCTAAGCCACTTGATGGCAGAGCCGTGAGTTACTTTGCTCAGGATATTCAGCACCAGGAAGGTACTAGGCACACATCCTTAGTACCCAGGAAGCACAGGGGAGTTGAAGATGCTTTGAAAGACCTGTTTGGCCCTTCAGGTAGACATGCATGGGCCCTGAGAAGCCCCAGAATTTCGATGTTCTCAGGAATCATCAGGAGACTAGAAGACATTGATTCTCAACCCTGGCTGGGTAGCAGGGCTCCTTGGAGAGTTTTAACTAGTCTTGATGCCTGGATCCCAGAAGAGACCAATTTAAACCAGTGTCTCTGGATTTGGAGCCAGAGTACCTACAGTATTGTAGTTCCTTAGGTGCTTTGGGTTCAGGCAGGGCTGAGGACCACAGCTCCATAATAAAAGGATGGCTGAGCTAAAAGGGGTGATAAGAGGTAGAAAGAGGCTGGGAACGGTGGCTCACACCTGTAATCCCAGCACAGAGAGGCCGAGGCAGGTGGATTACATGAGGTCAGGAGTTCGAGACCAGCCTGGCTAACATGGTGAAACCCCATCTCTACTAAAAATACAAAAATTAGCTGGGTGTGGTGGCACGTGCCTGTAATCCCAGCTGCTCAAGAGGTAGGCTGAGGCGGGAGAATCGCTTGAACCCAGAAGGCGGAGGTTGTGGTGAGCTGAGATTGCACCATTGCACTCCAGCCTGGGCAACAAGAGCAAAACTCAGTCTCAAAATATATATATATAAATTAAAAAAAAAAAAAAAACAAGTAGAAGGAAGGAGTGATACAACTGAAAGGAGAAACAAAACACAGAAAGATCTTGGCGGTTTTGTTACATCTTCAGCCCCATCAAACCAACACCCTTCAAGCTAGACACTTTGCTTTTAGCATTTTGTCATTGTTACCCTGTTTCTTACTCACAGTGATCTTAAACAAAATGACTACCCTCTTTGTAGCAAAGGAAAGGAAGCTTATAAACTGATGTGCTAGGCTCCTGGACTCCAGACCTCAAGCACTTAGCCAGTAAACTGTGTTCCTTCAAAAAGACAAGGTAAATATGAAGGAAAAAGGGAGTGAACTGGACAGAAGAAAAAACAAAATTGGTAAACTCAAGGAAAGCTGATAGGCACTAAAGCAAAAACAAATGAGCAGAATTCATAGTTGTTGAGGGCCTCCAAGATCTTATGAGAAACTCAGAAGGTGCAAAGCAGACCCAGTCATCTCCAGCTTACAACAGATCTGGGATGGCTCACAGTAGTCCAGTGTCTTGCTCAAACTCACAAAGCTAAGTCTCTGAGCTAGTTTTTCTGTAAGGGCCAAAAGCTAAGTATGTTAGTCTTTGCTGACCACGTAGTCTCTGCCACAAGTATTGAAATCTGGTATTGTGGCAGAAAGTGGCCACAGATAGATAACATGCAAAGAAATAAATGTAGTTGTATTACAATAAAATTTGATTTATGGACACTGGAATTTGCATTTCATGTAATTTTCAGGTGTCATGCAATCTTATTTTTCTTTGGATTTTTCTCAACTTTTTTTTTTAAAAAAATGTAATCAACCATTCTTAGCTCTTGGCTATATCAAAATAGATAGTGGGGCACATTTGGCCCTTAGGCTGTCATTTGCCAGCCCTGGTCCAAACTTTAAAGTACCCAGAGGGTAAAAAGTTGATGAGAAAGCATAGAAAAAAATTGATACATGACTATTTGAGACATTTACCCCCAGTCCACCTTCCCACAGAAAGATCCATCAGGCCAAGAGTCCAACACTTTCCATCTTCCATGACTCAATGCCACCAAGCAGTTATTTGTAGAATCCATTTGCGGTTTTCAAACCATAGGCTCTGGACTTCAAAGCAGGCCAGTCCCATTCTTTTTGTCTTGAAATGAGTATAATAAGCTCCCAGACCCTTTGTTCTAGCAATATTTATTGAATTACTAATAAAGACTAGACTCTGTTCTGCGCACTAAGGGTGCAGTGGTTATCTTAGTCTATCCAGTTGCCATAGCAAAGTGCCATAGACAGGGTGGCTTAGACAACAGAAATCTTTTCTCTTGCAGATCTGGATACTGGAAGTGAGATCAGGGTAGTAGGATGGTCTAGTTATCATGTGGTCTCGGTGGCTTATGGATGGTGGCCTTCTCCCTGTATCTTCCCTTGGCAGAGAGAAAGAGAGAGAGGGAGAGGAAAGAAGTGGGTGTGGAGGGAAGATGTCTTTTCTTTCTTTTTCTTTATGTTTTCTTTTCTTTTCTTTCCTTTATTCATTTATTTATTTGTTTATTTATTTGTTTATTTTAGATGTAGTCTTGCTCTGTCACCCAGGCTGGAGTGCAGTGGCACGATCTCAGCTCACTGTAACCTCCGCCTCCCGTGTTGAAGCGATTCTCCTGCCTCAGCCTCCCGAGTAGCTAGGATTACAGGCACCCACCACCACGCCTGGCTAATTTTTGTATTTTTAGTAGAGACGAGTCTTCGCCATATTGGCCAGGCCGGTCTGAAACTCCTGACCTCAGGTGATCCGCCTGCCTTAGCCTCCCAGTGTGCTGGGATTATAGGCGTGAGCCACCATGCCTGGCCAGGTGTCTTTTCTGATAAGGACACTAATCCCATCAGGAGGGATTACCTTTGATATAGTTTGGATATTTGTCCCCACTCAAATCTCATGTTGAAATATAACTCCCAATGCTGGAGGTGGGGCCTGGTAAGAGCTGTTTAGATCATGGGAATGGGTTCTTCCTTGCTTGGTGCTGTCTTCACGACAGTGAGTGAGTTATGAGATCTGGTGGGTTTTTGTTTTTTTTTTTTTTTTTTTTTTTTTTCTGAGAGGGAGTCTTGCTGTGTTGCCCAGGCTGGAGTGCAGTGGCGCTATCTTGGCTCACTGCAAGCTCCGCCTCCCAGGTTCACGCCATTCTCCTGCCTCAGCCTCCCAAGTAGCTGGGACTACAGGCGCTCGCCAATACACCTGGCTAATTTTTTATATTTTTTAGTACAGACGGGGTTTCACTGTGTTACCCAAGATAGTGTGGATCTCCTGACCTCGTGACCCGGCCGCCTCGGCCTCCCAAAGTGCTGGGATTACAGGTGTGAGCCACCGTGCCCGGCCGGTAGAGATGTGGTGATTTTAAAGTGTGTGGCACCTTCCCCCACGCTCTCGCCCTCTTGCTCCTGCTTTGGTCACGTGATGCTTCTGCTCTTTCCTCACTTTCCGCCATGACGAAAGTCCCCTGAGGCTTCGCTGGAAGCCCAGCAGATGCCTGCGCCATGTTTGCTATAAAGCCAGTGGAACTGTGAGTCAATTAAACCTCTTTTGTTTATAAATTACTCAGTCTCTGGTATTTCTTTACAGCAATGCAAGAACAACCTATTACACCTCATGCCCTCATCTAAATCTAATCACCTCACCAAAGCTCTATCTCTGAATACCATCGCGTTGGAGGTTAGGGCTTCCGCATATGAATTTGGAGGGCACACTTCACTCCGTAACAATGGTATACAAAATAATGAGGTTTCTGTGTTCATGAGCTTACATTCTTTATATTTGACAATAAAAAAGTAAGCAAAAAGTAAGAATTTTTAGCTAATGTTAAATGCTACAAAGGGAAAAAAAATAAGAAAACATGTACCGATTACAGAGATGAACTGGGACAGGAATTACAAGTTTGGAAACTGTTTTCAGGGAAGGCCTGTTTGAGCAGGTGACTTAGGACTGGGGGTGAGTGGTGTGGAAGCACTCCTGGAGGTTGCTGGGGGGAGACTGGAAGACTGAGCAATAGGGAGAGAGAAGATCATGTTCAAAAGGGCCACTGAGACCAAAAAGCTCCCCAAAACAAAAACAAGGTTCAAAAGGGTGAGCCAGCGGGGTAGACAGGAGGCCAGCATACCTGAGGAGAGTCGAAGTGGGGGACAGTAGCTCCCACTGTGGAGAGTTTGAGTGTTACCTATTAAATGCAATGGGGAGCTGGGCACAGTGTGGCTTATGCACTTTGGGAGGCCGAGGTAGGCAGGTTGCTTGAGGTCAGGTGTTTGAGACCAGCCTGGCCAACATGGCAAAACCCTGTCTCTACTAAAAATACAAAAATTTAGCTGGGCACGGTGGCTCATGCCTGTAATGCGAGCACTTTCGGAGGCCAAAGGGGGCGGATCACTTGAGGTCGGCAGTTGGAGACCAGCCTGGGCAACATGGCAAAACCCCGTCTCTACTAAAAATATAAAAAATTAGTCAGATGTGGTGGTGTGCACCTGCAATCCCAGTTACTTGAGAGGCTGAGGCAAGAGAATCACTTGAACCTAGTAGGTGGAGGTTGCAGCGAGCCAAGGTTGCACTACTGCATTCCAGCCTGGGCAACAGAGTGAGACTCTATCTCGACAAAAAATTTAAAAAAATAATAAAATAAAATGGGAAGCCGAGCACGATGGCTCATGTCTGTAATCGTAGTACTTTGGGAGGCTGAGGTGGGCGGATCACTTGAGGTCAGGAGTTCGAGACCAGCCTGGCCAACATGGCAAAACCCCATCTTTACTAAAAATACAAAAAATTAACTGGTTGTGATAGTGCGTGCCTGTAGTCCCAGCTACTTGGGAGGCTGAGGTGGGAGAATTTCTGGAACCTGGGAGGCGGAGGCTGCAGTGACCTGAGATTGTGCCACTGCACTCCAGCCGGGGCAACAGAGTGAGACCCTGTCTCAAAAATTAATTAATTAAACCTTCAATGAGGAGGTTTTGTTGAGTCAGAAGCACTTCAGTACAGTCATGCAGCACTTAATGGCAGGGGTACCGCTCTGAGAAACAAATCGTTAGGCAATCTTGTCATTGTGCAAACATCAGAGTGTACTCACACAAACCCAGATGCTGTAGCCTACGACACATCTAGGCTAGGTGATCTAGCTTATTGCATCTAGGCTACAAAGCTAGCAGGTTAGTGTGCTGAATATGGTAGGCATGTGTAACATCATGGCCAGTGTCCCTGCACCTCAATATAGCTAACCATAGAAAAGGTACTGTAAAAATACTGCATTAACGTCTTATGGGACTGCTGTCCTGTAGGCAGCCTGTAGTTACTGAACTGAAATGTGGTTAAGCTGTGTAGGACTGTGTTTGCATTTTCAAAATATTTTGGGTGCTATTCAGGGAACGGACAGTAGGGGGCAAAAGTGGAAGTGGAGAAACCAAGGAACAGGCTGCTGAAGAAGTCCAGGCAGCCTTGGAGGACTCGCTCTCACTCTTACTGGTTTTCGATGCCTGAGTTACTTGCTCTCTGGGAGAAGGAAGCAGGTCGTTCCTCTGCCCAAATTGCTGCTACTCAGGAGTGCCTGACACTCCTTTCCAAAGATGCTCTGCGGTAATATGTTCTAATGAGGAGTTTGAATTGCCAATTGACTTGCTCTTTGCAGCTAATAAAGAACAGATTATGCGCTGGATGGTTTGCAGTTGGTGGCCAAGTTGTCTTGTGATTATTGTAAGTTCTTTTAGTTGAGCTTGTGTAACTGTGAGTCAATCCTGCCCATGTTTTATTTGGAAATTAGTACTAGAGCCTCCTTGGGACTAGCCTTTTTCTCACCCAAAGGCAAAAGAATCCATCTCGGCTGGGCACAGTGGCTCACGCCTGTAATCACAGCACTTTGGGAGGCCGAGGTGGGTGGGGCGGATCACGAGGTCAGGAGTTCGATACCAGTTTCACCAACATGGTGAAACCCCATCTCTACTAAAAATACAAAAATTAGCCAAGCGTGGTGGCAAATGCCTGCAATCCCAGCTACTCAGGAGCCTGAGGCAGGAGAACCGCTTGAACCCTGAAGGCAGAGTTTGCAGTGAGCCGAGATCACGCCAGTGCACTCCAGCTTGGGCGACAGAGTGAGACTCCATCTTCCATCTCAAAAAAAAAAAAAAAAAAAAAAAAAAAGAATCAGCCTCTGGATCACATTAACCCTCACAGCCCATAGTCCTTCGTCTTCCTCTGAAAAAATATGAAATATTAAAGATTCTTAAACCAATGAGCAGTTTCCGGTTATTCCAGAATATACAGCACGTTGGTGACTTGTTCCACATTTTCTTTTTCTCTTCTCAGTGCTTCCTGCTAGACATAGACACATACACACACCTACACCCCTTTTAACCCATTTTAAATAATTCTGTTTAGAAAAGCAACATATGATCATTTAAAAATATTGAGAAACACATACAAAAGCAAAAATCATCCATTAGCTGCTCATCACCCCCAAATAATCACTTTTTAAAAACATTTTGATATTTCTCTTTTTGGGGTCTCTGTGTGTGTGTATGTGTGTTTGTGGGACAGAGAGAGAGAGAGGCAGACAGAGGAAAAAAGCTTACAGTATTTGACTGATAGTGAATTTTTAGAATTTATCGTATAATTTTTTACTTGGTATTAAAATGTGAACATTTTACCATGCCATGAATCATTTTGGGAAATTACATGTAATGATTCCATAATGTTCTGTTGTACCAAAAGTTATTACCTCTGTTGTTATTGAAGAAATTTTTTATCTTTCTCCCTTACTATTATTAAGAATAATGTCACAGAGAATTTTCTTATACTCAAGTCTTTGTTTACATTTTTGAATATTTCCTTGGACTAAATGCTAAAAAGTATTGTGTCAGGGTCGGAAGATATGAGCATCTTTATACTTTGTGAATAGATTTTATGTTGCTTTTTGAACTGGTTGTGCCCCTGCACATCCCATAACCATAGCGTATTAGCATACCGTTTAATCTAGTCATTACCAACATTATTTGGTATTATTACATACTTTATTAATTTGATAGGTAAAAATTGGTATTGCCCTGTTTAAACCTTCCCCTTTTCATCTTGTCTGTTTCGTAATGCCAAGAGTAAACACATATCATGCTCTTAACACAATGTGAAATACTGTGGAAAGTAGATACTACTGTCCTCATTTTACAAATTGAGAAGCTAATACTTCTCGTTGAGAGGTGGAGCTAAGATGGGAACCCAGTGTAGGCAATGGGAACCTTGAGTCTGAGCCTTAGCCAGGGCTCTGTTCCGCCCCCAGGCAGGAGCAGGAACCTGAGAGGACCTTCTCAGTTAGGTGTGAAATAGGAAAGCAGCCTCATTGAAGTAATTCACACTAACATGTGAATGACCTGGAAGCATCTGTCTGGTTTTTATGAAAAACCAAACAGAATTACTTGTTATTTCAGATAAGCTTCTCCTTTGTGGATGGAAATGTAAGAAGTTTAACGCAAGTAAAAAAAACATCTAACAATGATAAAGGAAGATACCATCGGGCAGATTCAGACCTTATGGAAATGTAAGAAGTTTAACGCATGTAAGAACACCTAACAATGATAAGGGAAGGTACCATTGGGCAGTTTCAGACCTTCTTGCAATGCAGTGGTGGCTCACTGCTGGCCCACAGACTAGAATCATATTTATTCCTATGAGATAAAAGAAAATAGGTCTTAAAATTCAGTGTTTAAAATACTAAATCAGTTGCTATTAGACAAACCTCTACTATTCTACCTTCTCTTTAAAAATGGAAGCTCTGGAAACATTCACTACTGTTTCTTTCAGTAATTGACTGCATCTGATTAATCCCACTGATGCTTCACCTTGCATCTGTTAGCTGGCTAGCTCTCTTCTTCCTTCCCTATCAACTTTCCCCGCTTTCTCCCTTTCTGAGCCAACTCTCTAAAACTTTTCTTTTTGATAAGAATATTATATTTTAATGAAAATCCTTTCTGTCATGGAGAATCCCCTTTCCATCATGGTTAGGAATGGAGACTTAGGGGTTACGGTGGGGCTGGGTGCTGAGTCATTTGGAAGACACACATGTGCAAGTTGGGGCCTGTGTCTTTATTAGCCCTGCTTAAATTGCTGGGTAATTTAAGCCTCTCTTATTTTGCTGCATTGCCTCACAGTTCTAAAGGAGACCTGAAATAGAGTGTATCACATTGTGCACATTTTTGAAGGATCATGAGAGCAGCCTAAATATAAAATTCACGTCCATATTCTTAGTGTCCTTTTCCCCTAAATGGAGACGGGATGCACTTGAGCATTCTGTCCCATGCTTGCCTTTGTCTACACGTGTTTCCTAATGTTTGATCTCTGTCCTTTTTGTATGTGAGAACATTCACAGGCATCTTCCTAGCTGCAAAAAGACGGGCCTGGGTTGCAACAACTGGATCTTTGTTATTTCTTGGGGGGAGCTCGTATCAAACTCTCCCCAATCCATGTAGTGATTTTTTTCTACATCTAAAAATGATCCTTTAAAGTTTCAATGATGCCTTGGTGACCCAGGACCACTGTTGTAATTTTTGCCAGTTTCTTTGTATCACTTGGTTGATCTTGTATTAAATGTCTAATTGATTTGTTTTTTTAAAGATACGTGCATGTTAGTATAATAACTAGAAGCTCGATGTTATGAGTTGAAGCATAATTATGCAAGCAACTTAATACTAAACTTAGAAGATACGTGACTACTAACCAAGACCATCTGATGTACCATTGATGGCTCAAATGCCAGATGTCGGGAAACAGTGATTTAAAAGGAAATATTTCATGGGGGTCAGCATAAAGTCGGTCCTGCTTCTAGAAAGCCACAGTAGTTCTCTGTATCCATAGCTAAGGGTCTCTTAGGCTCTTATTGTAAATGTCTGGGTTTCACTCAGGAAAAAAAAAAAATCTCAAAGCTATGGCCAAGGCAGAGGCTTCCTCACAGCCCATCCCCTGTGCATATCGATTAGTTGACATCCATGAGTGCCCCAGTCCTGCTGGAAATATCCCCTCAGGCTTGCTTTTCTGTGGTATCACCACCTATTCCCCTCTTGTTACTCGGACCTCTTTGAAGTCATCATAGTGTTTTTGGGAATAGAGAATACCACTTTGCAGAGAGAGTGATAGCGGCTTGTGATCATATCCTCTTCATATCCCCATTGTCGGCGTTTGTAAGACCCCAAATGCTCCTGAAAACTTGATTTCTAATGGTTATGCAATATTTAAATGTTAATAGATTACTCTTTGCTTGACCATTTCCCTATTTTATTTTTTTTGAGAAAGAGTCTCGCTCTGTCATCCAGAGCTGGAGTGCATTGGTATCACCTCGGCTCACTGCAACCTCCACCTCCCTGGTTCAAGTGATTGTCCTGCCTCGGCCTCCCAAGTAGCTGGGATTACAGGCGCCCACCACTACACCCAGCTAGTTTTTGTATTTTTAGTAGAGACTGTGTTCCGCCATGTTGGCCAGGTTGGGCTTGAATTCCT
Organism: Homo sapiens; assembly: GCF_000001405.40. NCBI lineage: Eukaryota > Metazoa > Chordata > Mammalia > Primates > Hominidae > Homo > Homo sapiens. The sequence continues at coordinate 7,272,413 of NC_000016.10, forward strand.
GACCTCAGTGATCCACCTGCCTCAGTATCCCAAAAGGCTGGAATTACAGGCATCAGCCACCATGCCTGGCACCCGTTTCCCTAGTTTAGACATATATGTTGCTTCTTATTCTGCATCATTCATTCATTCATCAAATATTTATAGGCAACTATCACTTGCCAGGTTGTAGAGAGGACAGGAAAGCAGTGCTGAGCAGCCAGGCCTCTGGATCCTTCTTCTCCATCAATCTGTGAATTTTTACTTATATCTGAGAAGGGGGAGGGATGGAAGGAGGGAAACAAGGGAGAGGAGAGAGGAAGGGAGGAAACAGACGCAGCTGAGAGCTCCTGAAGCTCCTGAAACCTCTGAGGAGCATTCTCTTGCTTTGTATTCTTTTCACAGAACCAGTGACTCTTGTTTTCTTTTAAAATCCTCTCCTCCCTCCCCTCCCTCCCTTCCCTTCTTCCCTTCCGTTCTTCCCTTCCTTCCCTCCTTTCTTCCTTCCCTCCTTTCTTCCTCCCTCCCCTCCCTCCTTCCTCCCTCACTTCCTTCCCTGCTTTCTTCCTTTTCCTTCCTTCTTTCCTTCCGTCCCTCCCTCTCTCCCTTCCTTCCTCCCTTCCTTTCTGCCTTCCTTCCTTTTCTTTCCTTCCCCTCCCTTCCCTCCCTCCTTCCCTCCCTCCTTCCATCCTTCCGCTCTCCCTCCCTCCCTTTCCTCCTTCCCTCTCTCCCTCCCTTTCCTCCTTCCCTGCTTCCTTCTTTCTCCTTCCTTCTTTCCTCTCTCCCTCCCTTCCTTCCTCCCTTCCTTCCTCCCTCCCTTCCTTCCTTCCTTCCTTCCTTCCTTCCTTCCTTCCTTCCTTCCTTCCTTCCTTCCTCCCTTTCTCTTTTTCTCATCTATGAGCCAGAATGTTACGCTAAGTTTTGGAAACAGCACTCTCTGCTGTGTCTTTAGGATGCTTGTTTCCTGCATGCTGACCAGACCTCCTGTTGGACTGATATTCTGGATAATGGCTTGGTGCCTTTCTAGCTTCTAATCTAAACAAGAATTATTTCATTTTAGATTCTCTCTGCTGCATCAAGGGTCCCTGGAATTTGATGATGACTTAAGTGGAAATCCCAGCTTTAGCATATATAAGCTCAGTACCATAGACCAAGTGGGTTAACCTCTTTGTGCCTTCATTTTTTCAATGGAAAAGTTGCAAACAAGATACTTACCTCCCAGGATTTTCCTGACAATGAATGAGAAAATGTAAGAGAAACTGCCTTTCGAATTGGGAAGCTCTATTCTGATGAAAGATGGACCTTATTTTTAAATACAGGACGTTTAGTAATTTTATCTAAATTCCCCATTCATCAGAATACAGTGGAGAAGATATTTGCCATACCCATTTCATTGTGTTGTTCATAAACTTGTTTATTTTTCCAGGGCTGGATTGGTTTGCCTTTCTCTCTTTCTGTCTGCTACTGCATAATTTCATTATCTGCCATACGTAAATGTATTATGTAATTCTCTCAGTTGTCATTGATTGCTTCTGTTTTTCTGTAGTATTACTGGTCTATAATACTTTTTATTAAATCCCCAAGGATAGTTCCTGAACTGTGGTTGAAGGACCCTCCTTTCCACTAAGTAAAATACAACACTTAGATATTTGAAATGACACAAAGTACTAGAGAAAACATAAGTGTGGAATTTTCCCACTGGCTTTATGAAATCCAGGAAACCAATTGAGATATTTGTTTATGATGCCTTTGTCTATCCTGGAGGTTTCTCTCTGCGTTCTTTCAATGGCAGTCACAGCATCAACAAATTATATAAAATTAGCTAATGTTTATTGAGTGCTTACTATGTTCCGAGTAATGTTAGGAACTGCTTGCATTGTCATTTAATCGTCACAACAGCCTCATAAAGGAGGTACGCTTTGTTATCCCCATTTTATTCTTGAGAGAACTGAAATTCAGAAAGTTTAACTGCTTTGCTCAGAGATACACAATAAAGAAGAGATGAAACTGTAAAGCACACCCCTCTCACACACACACCACACACACATACACAACTTTATGCAAGCTTAGCAAAGTCAGTTTCCTTCTTAGCTTGGAGAATACATACATATGTTGAATGCCTGAGAGTTTGGGACTTCTCTGCTCTGTACTTGCTTCTGACACTAACCTTAAACTAATCACTTCTCTCTGGAACTAGGTCTACTTATGGGCCACGTTTGAAGGGTTGGATGAGGTCATTAGTTTTTATTTATTTATTTATTTATTTATTTGAGATAGAGCATTAGGTTTTTTTTACTTTTTATTTTATTTTTTTGAGGCAAGGTCTCATCCTGTCACCCAAGCTGCAGTGCAGTAAGACAATCTTAGCTCACATCAATCTCTGCCTTCCAGGTTCCAGTGATTCTCATGGCTCAGCCTCCTGAGTATCTGGAATTACAGGTGTGTGCCACCACACCTGGCTGATTTTTATATTTTTAGTAGAGAGTGGATTTTGCCATGTTAGCCAGGCTGTCTCGAGCTCTTGGCCTGAAGTGACCTGCCTGCCTCGGCCTCCCAAAGTGCTGGAATTAGAGGTGTGAGTCACTGCACCTGCCCAAAAGCATTAGCTTCTAATTGACCTCATGATGTTCAAGAATCTGAGCAGGTGGTCGAAGGGTGGTGGAGAGGATAGGAAGGCAGTGCTGAGCGGGCAGGGTTCTGGATCCTTCTTGTCCATCTGTCTCTGAGCTTTTGCTTATATCTGAGAGGGATAGAGGGAGGGAAAGAGAGAAAGAAGGGATAGAGGGAGAGAGGAAGGGAGAAAACAGACAATCGACATCACATGCTACACTACTAACTCATTCAAAAATAGCATTGTGCCATTGCTATTTCCCATGTATGTCATTAGATATTCCATGAAAACTTGATTTCTAATCGTTATATAATATTCAAATGTGTTAATAGGTTACCCTCTGCTTAACCATTTCCCTGTTTTAGACATGTGTGTTGCTTCTGATACTTCATCATTCATTCATTTATCAAATATTTATCAGCAATGATGATTCTCCAGACATTAACATAAGTAAGTAGGGTGTGGATTTTCTTATATATAAATTTTTGACATGCCTGCATATATGTGCTTCCATAACTATATAGAATTTGGTATTTTTGCTCTTGCTGCTAATTGCTGGACTTCTTTAGTGAAAGATTACCTGTTCTGGAAAGCCTGCTAATTTAGATGGTAGGTTGGATTGAAATCTGTGCAAATGATGAGCTTATCTGTTTCGGGGAACATAATTGGAGTTCTGGACACACTCTCTCCCAGGATTATAGGTATGAGATTAATAGGCATTGTTTTGATGGCATATGCCACAAGCATCAAAATATCCACTTTGTGACCTTCAGGCTTAAAGGGATCATCTTGAAGGTATAGCTTTACATGTTGCCTAGTTTAGAGGTAGATGAGGCTGTAGATAATGTCCACTCCAACCTGTGCAGAAGGATCTGAGAGGCAGCCCCAGGGGTTGCTGTAAGACTTGGTGTTGCTGACTCCCCTTAGAAGTAATCTCCAAACACCACCACCACCACCACGAAGTGTGTCATCATATAAACTGAAGATAGCTGAGATTACACACTGCCTAAATTTCACTCAGAAAAACATGATAGAGATCATTTCTGATTGAAAAGGCAATAAAGAAACTCCTAAACATACCTCTTTGTCCATAAATGGAAACCAGACAAATCAGGCTTGTAGATTTAAAGAGACCCTGCAAGGTGGCGATTCTGAAATACCCCTTGGAAGGACCATGCCAAGTCTGAAGTGAAGCTGCAGAGTGAAGCAGTATCCAGAGACTGAGCTATTTCTGGCTGCAGACTTTGTGTCATGAAATGGTGATAATTTCCCCACGCCCCATAATGTTCCTCTCCTTCCTGATGGCTCTATAAGTTTGAGTGATGTCAGTCTGTTTGGAGGCAGCTAGGTTTGCTTGTGTCTTAGGACAGATGTCCAGAAAAAACAAGGCTAGACCCTGAAGAGCCTGGACATCCATTAGAATGACAAAAGACTCTGTGGATACAAAATACCATTAGTTTTTCTTCCTTCCTCTATATTCTCTCTTTTTATCTCCTTCCCTGATAGCAAGCAAAGGGTAGGGAAATCTAAGTAGGAGGCTTCTATCCTTGACTGATTTTTTTTTAAATTTTTCTGCCTCCTAGGGGATCACTTAATTCATTTTATGCCTCTGGAAGAGACCAGAATTTCCTCACTCCTCCAAATTCCTGGGCAGGTTACCTCTCCCAACCTCAGTTCATCATTATTCTGCACTGAGTTATGTAATGATTTGATCGTGTTGAGGAGTAATTCACCTTTGTTCCCACCTACGTTAAGACTGATTACAAATCCTCATAAAATACTGATTATGCTACCAAAAATGTTCTTAAGGATAGTCTGTTAGGAAGGAGGTAATGCTGCTGCTCAGAAGTGTGGGCTTCTGTCTAATTATGTGTAAATTATCTGAGTGGAATCTCAAATGTTTAGTGATAAACAGTTTGATGCGTCCCAGCAAAGTATCTAGTTTGTGAGGCAATATAATCAAAAGCAGCTTATGTGCAGCAAATCGTAGATGGTATAACTTTGCGTCTTTTTCAAGTTATTTTTACAGAAAGAAATGAGAATTTGTCTGCAGCCCTTTAAGAATAGCAAACGTTGTATTTTGCATTTTTTAAAGAAAGATAATTGATCCTTTGACTATACTGCTGTTCTGTTCTCAGAAGAAACATTAAAAAGTTGGATTTCTTAAGAAATGCAATTAACCGACTTTTATTTAATGATTTTTTTTCACGTTATTCATCCTGGAGGAATGGTTTCTGTTGGTTATTATCAAAGATGAGGATGGATTTTCAGAAGCAAAATATCATGATATTCTACTGCAATGCATCTGTGGTTACTCAGGGAAGATCCAATGTGGTTTGTATGTAGATATCTCCTTCTTTAGAAAACCTTTCCTGAATTGCCTACCTCCATCTCCCACCCATCTCCAGCTGGAATGTTGTACATTCTCTGTGCCACCAGAAGAAAGCTATTCTAATAATCAAAGCGAATAGGACACCATTTAATTGGGATGAAGCCACAATTGTTAGTGTAGCTAGTGGTAATTGAACCTAGATGTTCATAATCTAGGATCCTAAACTAGATGTTCTGATAATCTAGATCTTCATAAAATACAGGTATTTAAGTCTGAAAGCTCATTATTTCTTAGTCTCAGTGGTAGGGTTCCTTAAAGGCCCAAGAAGCTTGAGAGAAGTCTACCAGGGCGGATACCCATCGAAAAATCAAAGCCAAGGACTTCTATAGGCACAGAATGGTCAAGATATTTATTCAGCATAGCATGAGGAAGTTTAGTCCAGTATAGAAAACAGGAATATCAGTTAAAATGAAATTAGCATATTAGTTAACATAAGAATTCCCACGTCAGTGTTTGAGAACACTTTGCAGCTCTTCTAGAGACATTCTTATTACAGAAGAAGATGACTAACTCAGAAGAAAAAGGGTATGAAAGTCTAGTAGGAGAAAATGATTAGCAAAAAAAAAAAAAAGGTACTAAGACATTAATATTTTATTGAAAAGAGGCAAGAATTCTGTCAGTTCCTTATTGGTGGTCAATGCAGAATAATGCTAGCATTGCCTATCATTCAGTTGATTCCGTAGGCGGCTAAATTGGTTGCTTAATGAATCCATAGTGGTATTTGGCTCCGCTTGGTTTCCAAAATTGTAAGGTAAATTCTGTGCACGTGGTTTTAAGTTGGAAATGGTTGATATGGTTATACTTGGTGTATGCATTCAACAAATTAACCAGTTGCAAATGTGTGCCTATTCACAAACCCCTTGATTGAATTGCAAGTATACCAGCTAATTAGACATGTGTTCCGTAATGCTTAAAGAGAGATCAAACCTCCTTCAGTGTCTCTAGATGGTGAAGTCTTAAATTTACCCAAGATCAAAATATCTACATAAAGATTCCTATGTATATCTGACATGTGCAAGCCAGAGGGTGTTGGACATTTTGAAGGCCAACCATTTAGATGATTGACTAAATATATTTACTTTCATCATACAGATCTGTCCAATATTACCAGCATACCTTTTAAGAAAGTGTATTCATCCTTTTAGAGTTCATTAAAATTTATCATGACTGTCTGTGGGATGCATTTATTTCATATTGACTTCTGTTTGTATCCTTTCCTATCCTACATTCTCTATAACCAGTCTTTTTGCAAGTCTGCAATTCATATCAAAAAGTCTGAAGGAATTTTATTTTTATTTCCTTTTCAGTGAAAACATATTACAAATTGCCAACTCATGATGTATTCAGTTTGAACTTAAAATATCATTTGTTTAAAAAATGCAATAAAACCTGATATGTACACTGATATTCATTCTGAAGATTAAAGCTGCCAATGAATTATGGAGCTGGGCCAAGGCTGTCTTGTTCTCAGCCTAAATTTATCTTGTCGAAAGGGAATTATTCTGACCGGGGCTAGAGAGTGAAGATAGTTAAAATTTGATTGTTCGATTGCTTTCTTCTGGCTTTTTTTTCCTTCTTAAAAAATATTTGATTATATTTCTCTTAAGAGCTGGATTTTAAAATCTAAAAACTGATGACGGATGGATAAAAAGTCCTATTTTATCTAATTCTAAAAGTGACGTAGGTTTCTGGAGACTCTTTTTTTTTTTTAATGTACATTTTCTCTTTCCTTTTCTTTCTTTCTTTTTTTTTTAAACATGGATCTTTGGCCATGGGGGACCCCATGCTGAGTGCCTACCCTCTCTGACTTACACAGAGGAAGCTTCAGTGTAATAGAAATAAATGCTGCATTTTCTCTGTTTATAACATGTCACTTGGGCAAAGTGGTACAGTGTCTCTTTGGTAAAGCTGAAATGCGGATTTCTCAGAAATGTCTTGTTTTCAGTTAATGATATTTTCTGCTTTTCACCAGGTGGTCTCTTTGGGGCTTTGCTCTTGAATTCATTTCTCTGTGCGTAAGCCAGGCTTTCTGTTACTCGTTTATTCAGCCGGCATTTACTGAGTCCTCACCACACTCAGGCCTGAGCGCAGCGTCCAGGTTGCAGTGGCCACGGAAACCAGCCCTGTCCTATTGGTGCTTGCTGGCTTTGGGGTAAAGTGACAGGCTGATACTATATTATAGCCAGGGCCACGTTAGACATCAAAATAAAATGTTCTGGGAATAGAGAGGAGGGATGGCCTGGCATGGAGGTGAGCTGGGGGAATCAGGCTATCTATGGTCACATCATTCTATGAACTAGCAGACCAGGCATAATGGGCGACGTAAGCTCGCCCTGGTGTTGCCTGACCTGAATGAGTGCTTCTCTGGAAAGAGCTCATAGTTCCTCTTTCTCTTATGTGAAATCCCACAAGGAAAGGCAACTTCCAGAAATGGCCAAGCTTTCTATCCCTAAAGAGCCAGCCCTCAAGGACTCATGAAGGCTGAAAGGGAAATTGATCATTGGCTCATTATGGTCCTGATCAGGTATGACCTTTGAGAAACCAGTGGGCCTGGTAACAATAGGGCAGCCAAGTTGGCCATATCAGCAGATGTTGCATTTGCTGACTCCATGGCCAGCGCCACATCACCTGCTCTGAAGGTGTTTGGTTCCCGCTGCGATTGGATCTGTATTCAAAACAGATTGTGCCTGCTATGGAAAGAGAGCCAGCTTCTGAATCCTGGCTGAGTTTGACTTCGTTGACCACAGAGTCTTGGTTCTTTGCAAACGCAAAGGAAAACACGATGTACACCTTGACTAAATTCAGCTGTTTTCCTCATCCATTCAGCCTTGCCTTCATTGCAAAATGAGCAAGCTTGTGTTTCAGAGGGCTTAGGTCACTTCCCCAGCTTCACTTAGATCTGGGTGTTCTGCCTTCCAGAATAGAGTCCTTCTTCTCCCTCCATAGACCCTAAGACTATTAACAGTAGGTCATCCCCAACCTGTTGGTTAAGAAAGACATGCACAGTATCTGCACAATGTCCAAGGGATCCCCAGGATCACCTCACCTTTGTCCAAAGAGAATAATAAGGTGTTGGTAGATAAGAGGGAGGCCCATGTGCCTCTGCCATTAGGTCCTGTGACAGGGAGTCCACATGGAGATCATCATGTGATAAAGACCACTAGGGCTGTAGTCCAGGGACAAGCTTGAGTGACATCTCAGTGGGGCCGCTACCTTCGGAGAGCTCCGCACATAAGGACAGAGTGGCTGGGGCAGTCAACTGGCATCCTAGAACATATTTCTCAAGAGGGGCCCTGCTGACGTTTTGGACCAGATTGATAGTTCATTGATATGAGTTTTATCCATTGTAGGATGTTTGGCAAAATCCCTGGCCTTTCCCCATGAGACACTAGTAACACCCTTTCCTCTGGGAGTCAAAACATTGTCCAGTATCCCCTGGGGTGCAAAATCACCCACTGCTTGAGAACCGCTATCCTATGGCCATATTTGTACTCACTAAAGAAAGGGTACATAATGGCAGCTACTCTGGGCCTCTTGAATCAATTGCATGTGATTCCCTACCTACCTCCCTCCCTCCCTCCCTCCCTCCCTCCCTCCCTCCTTCCTTCCTTCCTTCCTTCCTTCCTTCCGAGACAGAGTGAGTCTCCTTCACCCAGGCTGAAGTGCAGTGGCACAGTCTTGGCTCACTGCAACCTCTGCCTCCTGGGTTCAAGCAACTCTCCTGCCTCAGCCTCCTGAATAGCTGGGATTACAGGTGTGTGCCACCACACCTGGCTAATTTTTATATTTTTAGTAGAGATGGGGCTTCACTGTGTTGGCCAAGCTGGTCTCAGACTCCTGAACTTAAGTGATCTGCCTGTCCCAGCCTCCCACAGTGTTGGGACTACAGGCGTGAGCCACCGTGCCCAGTGCAATTGCATGTGTATTTAATGAGCTTCTGCTTGGGGGGTAGTTTAGCATACATTTGGAGGCAGATGGGCTGCTTCCCTTATTGTATGAGAGCCAGGTGACTTTGTGCAAAACACTTGCCTGCTTTGTACTTTAGTCCTCTCTTCTATAAAACACAGATAGTTCTAACACTGTATATCTCTCCCAAGTTTGTAGTGAAAAAGGATTGCACACATACACACACAAAGAGACCATTATGTAAGTGTTAACTACTATTCTTATTAGCATTGTCTGGGCACAATATCTGGTGTTGGAAGTCAGAGAAAATACACAGCATGTTCTTTTCTTCATGGGGTTCTAGTCTAGATGAGAAGACAGTGTCCAGCCACTGAGAGCAATATGCAAATCAGTCATCATAAACTGAGTGACTGTTAGGAGAGAGTCTATTGAGGGAAACGTGGGTTATTTATAGTTTGCTTGAGTTTGAATCCAGGAGACAATCTTGACTTCCTCTCTGCAGACCAAAATAATCTTTCTTTCTCTCTTTTCCTCCCTGCCTTCCTTTCTTTTCTTTTCCTTTTATTTTTGTTTTCTTTTCCTAGAAAAGGTCTTACTCTGTCACCCAGGATGGACAGGAGGTCAGTGGCACAATTATAGCTCACTGCAACCTCTACCTCCTGGGCTCCAGCAATCCTCCCACCTCAGCGTCCGGAGTAGCTGGGACCACAGGCGCGTGCCATCACGCCTGGCAATTTTTTTTTGTATTTTTTGTAGAGACAGGGTTTCTATTTGTTGCCCAAGCTCAACTCCTGAGCTCAGGTGATCCACCCACTTCAGCCTCCCAGAGTGCTGGGATTACAGGTGTGAGCCACTGTACCTGGCCGACTAAAGCGATGTCTGAAAAGGGAGGACAGAATCCACCACTCACCGCCCCAAACCCATTTTCTTTGCAGCGTTTGCTCAGACTAACAGTCAGAGGAACAAGTAAATGGCATTTGCAAAGGGGATTTCATTTATTCCTGGATGCCACAGTTACTTGTTCACCCCCAACTCATTGCAAGGCACAGGGTCTTAGGAATTCTTTAATTGTAAGGAACAGAAACTCACCCTGTATGAAGATATCTCATTATAAGAATCAAAAGATATTTCACAAAACTCAGTTGCATGAAATATGGGGAAATACATGGATATTAGAAGTTATCAGGTGGATTTTCTGCTGCCTTTTGCTCTTGCACCCTCTCCCTGGAGCCTTCTGCTCTCTGTTCTCTGGTTGATTAAGCTTTTTTTTTTCCTGTTATCGTTCTTTTAAAAAATTTTTCCATAGGTTATTGGGGGAACAGGTGGTGTTTGATTTCATAAGTTCTTCAGTGGTGATTTGTGAGATTTGGGTGCACCCATCACCTGAGCAGTATACACTGCACCCAGTTTGTAGGCTTTTACCCCTCACCTCCTTCCCACCCTTTCTCCCTGAGTCCCCAAAGTCCACTGTGTCATTCTTATGCCTTTGCATTCTCATAGCTTAGCTCCCACTTATGAGTGAGAACATATGATGTTTGGTTTTCCATTCCTGAGTTACTTCACTTAGAATAATAGTCTCCAATCGCATCCAGGTTGCTGCAACTGCGATTAATTCATTACTTTTTTATGGTTGAGTAGTCCATCATGTGTGTGTGTTTGTGTATCTGTGTGTGTGTATCTCACAGTTTCTTCAATGCACTCATTGGTTTATGGATGGGTTGGTTCCACATTTTTGCAATTGTGAATTGTGCTGCTATAAATATGCATGTGCAGGTATCTTTTTTGTATAACGACTTTTTTTCCTCTGGGTAGATACCCAGTAGTGGGATTGTTGGATCAAATGGTAGTTCTACATTTAGGTCTTTAAGGAATCTCCACATGATTTTCCATAGTGGTGGGTTAAGCATTTTGACTTTGTGTGCCTCTCTCTGCTTGTCTCTCTCTGTTCGTTCATCCCCTAGTGCTTGGTCCAGCTTTCAGTTTTCCATGGCCTTCCTCCCTGGTCCCCCAATCTGCCTCTGCAGTCTCTATACTCCAATCCAGCATTCCTGACAGGGAGAAGATCTCATTGAACCAGCATGGATCAGTGTCCACCATGAGTTCCCACAGTTGGAAAGATTTAGGGGAGCTCACTAGGTAGATGATGGTGCCTCTTCCGTGGTGGAAAGGAGTATGAATTTGCTAAGAAAATCGTATGGGTGGAGGAAATTGGTTGACACTTCCATAACACCTCCCCTCTGTGTTGGCCAGGGAAACACCCTTGACATTCTGTATCTCCATCCCCTAGATCGCCTCTCCCTAAACACCACTCAGCCTCACCGTCCTCAGAAGCTGTATCCTTACTCAGTTTTCTTTAATTGGCATCTTCTAAAATAAGACTCTCATATTGTTGCTTCTTAGGGTCACCCAGAGCTTGCCAGAAGTGAGAAAGGATCTCTTCTGGACTTGATCTAGATCATGTCATCAGATCATTGCATCAAAGTCAGGTTTACTGAGGCATAATTTACACACGGTAAAATGTACTCATTTTAGCACACAGTTCTTCAAGTTTCAATAAGTGCATACAGTGATGTAATAACCACCAGCGTCCGCATGATTTGGAGCATATTCGTCATTCCAAAAACTTGCCTAGGGCCTAGTTATAGTTAGTCCCCAGCTCTAGATCCTGGGAATTGGCAGTCTCTTTTCTGTCTCTACAGTGTTGGTGTCTCCAGAATGTCCTACAAATGGAATCAGAAGTACGTAGCCTTTAGGCCTGACTATCTCTGTGTAATGGATTTGAGATTCATCCAGGTAGTTGCATCTATCAACAGTTCCTTCTTCCCTTTTATTGCTGAGTAGCATTCTGTGGTACAGATGCACTATAGTTTATTCACTAGTTGAAGGGCGGTTGTGTTGTTTCCAGTTTTTGCTGATTATGAAACAGTTGCTGTAAGCATTTATGTACAGGTAATTCTGTATAACAATTCTTAGTTCTCCTGGGTAAATTCCTAGGAGTGGTGTTGCTGGATTGAGAAGTATGTTTATGTTTAACTTTATTCATTCATTTAAGATATAGACTCCTGCTCTGTATCCCAGGCTGTAGTACGGTGGCACTATCACAGCTCACTGCAGCCTTGAAATCTTGGGCACAAGCAGTCCTCCCACCTCAGCCTCCTGAGTAGCTGGGACCACAGGCACTCACCACCACGCCTGGTTAATTTTTTAACTTCTTGTAGAGATGAGGTCCTGCTATATTGTCCAGATTGATCTCGATCTCCTGGCCTCAAGCAGTCCTCCCACCTTAGCCTCCCACAGTGCTAGGATGACAGGCATAAGCCACCACTCCTGGCCCTTTTTAACTTCATAAAGATGTTTTTTAAGAGAGGCAGAGGACAGAGTGGTAGTTTCGGTGTTTAATCCTGGATCTGATACTTCCTAGCTCTGCGACCTCACGGTTTATCTGTGCCTTACTGGATTGCAGCAGAATTAATGGCAAAATAATAACTCTGCACAAGTTCAGGGCAGTCACTGGCTGAGTGTTAGAGCTTTAAGATGGCCCCTCATCTTTTGGCCACTGCCTTCTTGTACTGGATGTTCCTTCTTTATTGCCTGAGCATGCACACTCTTTCTTACATCCTTGCCACACACTGTTTCCTTTTCTGGAACATTTTCCCACCCACCTTTCTCCTCGCCAACGCCTCATCCCTCCGTTGCCCAATGGAATGCCGCCTCTTCAGAAAAGCCTTCCCTCACCCTCAGTCTCAATCCAGCCCTTTGCTATCTATAGATTCCTTACTTTTTTTTTTTTTTTTTTTTTTTTTTTTTTAGCAACCTGTTCTTATCCTTTATAGCATTTACCACAATGGGCCTCAGAAAATTAACTGTATAATTTGATTTTTAATTGGAATTTTTATTGAGATAATTGCAGATTCACATGCAGCTGTAAGGAATAATACAGAGAGTTCCAATGTACCCTTTACACAGTTTTCCCCAATGGTAACATTTGGCAAAATTAAAGTACAGTGATCACATCTAGGATATTGATGTTGGTACAACCCAGTGATTTTATTCAAATTTCCCCAATGTTACTTGCATTAATTGTGTGTGTGTGTGTGTGTGTGTGTGTTTGCAGTGGTGGTAGTTTTATCTGGTTTTGTAGAATTTTACCGCACATGTAGGTCTGTGCATCCAACACCACAGTCAGGATAACAAACATTTCCATCACCACTGGATCCCTTCTGTTTTTCTTTTTACAACCACCCCCGCCCCCACTCCCAATTCCTAATTTCTGGCAAACACTAATTTTCTCTCTATTTATAAGCTTGGACATTTCAAGAAATGGACCCATATAGTACCTGACTTTTAGGCATTGACATTTTTTGATCAACGTAATTCCCTGGAGACTCATTGAAACTGCTGTGTGTATAAATAACTTATTCCTTTTCATTGCTGTGTAGTATTCCATGGTATGGATGTACCACAGTTTGTTTAACCATTCATCTATTGATGGACATCTGGACTAACTCCTGGATTTAGCTCTTATAAATAAAACTGTTACAAATCTTCAAGTGCAGGGTTTTGTGTGAACACAAGATTCCATTTCTCTGAGATAAGGGCTCAAGAAAGAACATGCTGGGACATGATTTTTAAGAGAAACTGATTGATTTTTAAACTGAGTCTCTGCTGATAGACTTTTAGTTCCATCCGGGTAAGTAGACTGAGTTTTGTTTGTTTGTCTGCTTGTTTGTATCTTTAATCAGCATACTGGGAACACTGTACAATTCTTAGAACATAATTTACCACTCTATAAATATTTATAGATGATTTAAATAAGGAACGAATGAGTGAATGCATGAATACCACTGCTGGCATAGGGATTAAATGAAATAATTTATGTAAATCATGTTCAGAATGTCTAGCATGGAGTAAGCTCTAATAGGTAAACACTTGTAGCACAATCGCCATTGTAAGATATGATTTTGGTTGAAGGTGACATGAGGAAATTTCATATCCTTCCACCTTCAGCATCATACAAACATCATGTGGCTTTGCAGGATCCCAAGGGTCTAGGTTCTTGCCACTTTATTTCTTTAAATAAAAGCCTATCTTGTGAAAATGCTCAAAAGTGTCAGAGTGGGAATTTGGGTTTCATACTTTGATACTTTCTTATTTTTTTTTTTTTTTTTTTGAGATGGAGTCTTGCTCTGTCACCTAGGCTGGAGTACAGTGATGCCATCTCAGCTCACTGCAGCCTCCCCTGCCAGGTTCAAGCAACTTTCCCTGCCTCAGCCTCCTGAATAGCTGGAATTTCAGGAGCACACCACCAGGACTGGCTAATTTTTTTTTTTTTTTTTTTTTTTTTGAGACAGAGTCTTACTCTGTCACCCAGGATGGAGTGCAGTGGCGAGATCTCGGGTCACTGCAAGCTCCGCCTCCTGGGTACCCACCATTCTCCCGCCTCAGCCTCCCGAGTAGCTGGGACTACAGGTCCCTGCCACCATGCCTGGCTAATTTTGTTTTTGTATTTTTAGTAGAGACAGGGTTTAGCCATGTTGGCCAGGCTGGTCTCAAACTCCTGACCTCAGATGATCCACCCGCCTCAGCCTCCCAGAGTGCTGGGATTACAGGCATGAGTCACCATGCCTGGCCCTGGGCTTCAAACTTTAAAGAAGATACTGCTTAAATAGGTCAGGGTGAAGCTACATAACCACTTGCCTCATTGAACATGAACGCAGGCAATGCGTGATAGAAGCTGTAGGAGTGTGAGGATGTGTGGCACAAAAGAGGTTAACTTTGTTCCAAGATCATTATGGTCCCAGAGTGTGACATAAATATTGGTGAAGCCAATGGAGTTAGCACAGTACTTAATAGAGAGAGAAGATTAGTGATTCTCATTTGCCTGAGGAAAGTGCAGGTCTTGATAATGTCTTGATCTATGTACAAAGAGCTAGTAAAGACAAGCAGTCCTCATAATAAAAATAGAAATGAGGTTTTCCCGACAAAGATGCCACCAGAATGATGAGCTGTCACACAGGACCTGGAGAGACAAGAAAGAAACTTCTTTGGTGACTATAATTAGGATTCCATGGAGAGCAGCAGTGTGCAGGAACTATGCCAGGGTGCTCTCTTTCTCTTTCTAGAATCACCATCAAACTTGCTCTAAAGGACCAGGACAGCGAGTAGGTGCAAGCTGATCCTTGGTGGACCAAGCCTGTATTCCCCACAGGCCATGGTGAGGCTCTGACCTGGGGTATAATAGGCAAGAAGTGTTTTCAGTCTGTGACTTGGGCTACTTAAATGGAAGAAGATAAAACCTTTTATTTTTCCTTATAATGAAAGTACTTCACGCTCATTATTAAAAACTTGGATTGATTGACAATTTTGAAAAATGATAAAAGTCGCCTCTCAACACCACATTTGGGTGTTTCCTCAAAGCTTTGAAAATATCTATGTAGATCTATATGTTTAGATTTAGAAAGAGATAAATTTAGAAGTGGAGAACACAAATTAGTTTATGATAGATTTTACATATATGGGGTATTACCCAATAATTATGGATTTGCATATTACCTTCCCCCACCCATTTCGTGTGCATTTTTCTGCTTCTTAAGCTGTTTTTCCCTCGGTGTATTTTCAAAATACACATAGTTTGTGAGGATCTAGCCCAAATGAAATGAGTGATGTGTGACTGGCTGTTGAACGAAAAATCCAAACCAATCTCGTGTGTATTTGCTGGCTGAGATCTGTTTTCCTCATGTTCTGTAGAAGGGAAGGAGTAACATGGTCTCCTTTAGATGCTGGATCAAGGTCTGAGATTTTTCTACCTTCACCCTGGTTTCCATATAACAGGGAAATCCTAGAGTGGTTTAAGATACCCACAAGCACCCTGGGGAAGCGGCACCTACCTCAACCATAGTTTGTGATCCTGTAATTCAATTTAATTTCTGGAGAAAGAATCCACTCTCAGAGAACTCTCACATCAATTGTTCAACTTTCAGACATTCTACTTGGAAATCCATTTAAGGAATGCATCATACAATAAAGTAGAAGATTCAAGGTGAGAAAATCACACTCATCTGAGTTAGGGCCTCAGGGTGTACATTTAAATAAGTTATTTATCTTCCCTCATTCTCAGCTTCCTTACCTGTGAAATGGGAGGAGTCACATCACCTTGCTTATCAGATTTCTGGGAAGATGAAATAAGATAATGAATGTAAAACCCTTGGCATAGTGTCTACACACAGTAAATGCTAAGTAATTCTTAACTGTGCTATTACTGGCCGGAGAGCAGTGGCTCACACCTATAACCCCAGTACTTTGGGAGGCTGAGCTGGGCAGATCACTTGAGGTCAGGAGTTCGAGACCAGCCTGGCCAACATGGTGAAATGCCATCTCTACTAAAAATACTAAAATTAGCCAGGCATGATGGCACATGCCAATAATCCCGGCTACATTGGAGGCTGAGGCAGGAGAATCACTTGAACCCAGGGGATGGAGGTTACAGTGAGCTGAGAGGGCACCACTGCACTCCAGCCTGCGCGATAAAGCAAGGCTCCATCTCAAAAACTTTGTTGTTACTTTTTACAGTATTTCTTGGACTTGTGTGTGCTTCTTGATAGGACATTGGCTATGCAGGGGAACAACATTGGAATCGTTTGTCTGGTGAGAGGCAGGGGTTGGAGAAAAGAAAGTGACAGCCTGCTGAGAATCTGAGTGATATTAGAGGAAGTATGGGCACCCTGGAGGTTAGTGTTTTCACTAAAAAGATCATAAATTATTAACATCCAACAGAGTTACCCAGAAGAACACTCATGCCAGATCCTGCCTGCTGTATCAGAGAGCCTCCTTAGAGATGTCTGTGGCTGAGTTACAAAGAAGAAAAAGCAGTCAGGGTGATGATGGGTATTACATTTGCTTCCTTAGTCAAACACTAGAGTTGAGAGAGAAAGCAAGATTGGAAGTAGCAATGGGCTCTCCTTAGAAAGATTAAAGAGATGGCTCCCTTTGTTTCTAGCCTAAGAGAACAGGGCTGGCTGTCTTTCCCACAAAGGTCAATGTACATTGCCTTACTTTTGTGTTTACAATCAACAGTAGCCAGATTATCATTACCGATACCAACATTACCACCACCATTATCATCATCACCATCACCATCATCATTACCATCATCATCAGCAAGAGCATCACTGTCACCACCATTATGATTATCATCATCGTTATTACAGTCACCTTCATCGTCATCATCACCATTATCACCATCAGCATCAATATGATAATGATGATCATCATGATTATCAGTGCCATCATTACTACCATCACTTTCATCATAGTCATCACCATCATCATCACCATGATCATGATCATCATCAGCATCACCACCCCCACCATCATCATTATCACAATTATCCTTGAAGCTGATATGTGTTGTGCACTTCCTAGGTGCTAAGGGGTTGCACCAAGAAATTTAGTGTATTAGTCCATGCTATCAAATTTAGTCTTGTGAGATAAAAATATTAGTGCTTGTCTCACTTATAAATAAGGATCCAAGACTCAGGAAGTTTTAAATAACTTGCCAAAAGCCACTCAGCTAGTATGCTGTAGTTCAAAGATTCAGAACCAGGAGGTCTGCCTCCCTAGTCCTTATCATCCATTTCGTTATCAAGAAGGCAGGACAAGGTTAGGATAAACTCTGTGGCCCCAGAATAAGCTCTTTTAATTCTTATTATTTTTCTTCATAGGAGAGTAAACCTATAATCTGTGCTTCCCAGGGTTACATGGCACACCACTGTTTCTCAGATACCTACGTACATTTACACCGGTAGAAACCATTTTAGAAATAAATGTTACAGAAAATTCCATCTATAAGAGAGATAAAAGGAGCAGGATAAAAGATGCATTTTATGACTTCAAATGTGAAGCATGTATCGTAAAGGCAATTAGTGAGAAAATGAGGCTATTTTGATGAACACCAATATTTGAAATTGGGAGTATGGATAGATAATATTGTTTTCAATTAGGCTTATAATCCAATTCATTTCAGTCTTTTAATTTGTTGCCTGCTATTGAGAAGATGCTGGTTCACACACTGATACTGAGATGCAGAAGGTAATTTTTTAACCAGGTGACCTTAAAATATCTCATTAATCTGGAATGTAAGCTCCATGTCCTTTCGTAGTTGAGCACTGTATCTCCAAGGCCAGCACCATGCTTCGCACAGACACTATTTTCAAAAGGTAGCTGACGATTGAATAAATGAATTAACCAACTAGTAAATTAAATGAATCTCAGAAACATGAAAATGGAAGAGGACTAATATTTTCATTTTCAAATTTGCTCATTCACTCAACTAATATTTAACAAGCATCCACTACAGTAAGCCAAGTGCTGTTCTAAGGTGGTGAGCATGCAACATTAAGAGGGGAAAAATACCGTTCTCATGGGACATGTGCGTGTCCGTGTGTACAGGATGGGGGCGTGGAAGATAGACAGAAAATAGACAAGGAACTCACCATTAACACTCGCTGTAATGTTTAGAAGCAGACAGCTTATCTAAGCCTTCTGAGTCTCAGCATGCTTGTGGGTAATGTAGTATTATCGGTATGTACCCAGCAATACCCCTGTGAAGAATAAACAGAAACACACAGAGGTGCTATCATCCTTGCCTCCATCTCAATATTGCAAAACATACAAGAATGCACATTTCATTCTGTGATTATTTATTTAACTAGGCACTGGGCATTCTGGGATTTGTACATTCATATCATTAAAGCAGTTTCAGCCAAAGAGCATATATTTGGAGATGTTTTAACATGCACTGGGCATAAGTGATTATAGCCCTAGGTTCAAGGTGACCAGTATCTGGACAGAGGGAGATATGTAGAAGAAGTACCAGTTACGTTGCAAGGTAAGATGTGCAGAACCAGCTTAAAGCATTCAATACTGTGCCCTAACCAGCTGAAGGGGTCATTGATGCCCTTTGAACAGAAGACAGACATCCTTAGTTTTGGGTATTTAAAATTCCTCTGTGGCACCAATGTGAGGTATGAGTTGGGAAGAGCTGAGACTGAGAGCAAAGGAACTTACCTAAGTATAGCTTTTTCCCCCTTTTCTAAAAATCTAGGCTAAATAAAATAATGTGATGTGCTAGTATAGCCACAATGGAAAATTAAGACAGCCTTAATAGTTGGGAGATGGAAGAGTTAAAAATGATACAATTTGGGAACCAATTGACTATTCAGAGCAGCAAAGGAAGATGTGAAGGGCAAATGTTCAGCTTTCAAGATTAAGTAAATGGAAGGGAGGTGCTTCCATTAACAAACAGGTAAGTCAATAGAGGAAGAGCAGCATGTGCAGATGCGTTTGTTTGGGGGAATGTTAAAATAGCAGCAAGGATGGGACCTTGGCACTGAGACATGCAGGAGGCTGTCTGAAGTTCATGATGATTCCTGAGATGCAGCCTGTGAGGAGAGGTCATGGCTAGGGATGCGATAAGGATTTGTCTGTATTCTGCAAAGAGTCTGATGCAATGGCTTTCAATCATTACTGCAAATCCTTCACAAGTGTGTAAAGAGTATCATAGCCATTACTATATTACTATATATAAAATATATAATGTACTATATAATGTATTATATATAATATATAATGTATTTTATATATTATATATTATGTATATAATATATAATATATTTTATATATAATATAGAATATATGATGTATTATATGTATTATATATTGTATATATTATATTATACAATTATAGTATATATTACATATTGTATATATTATATATAGAATATATGATGTATAATATATAATATATCATGTATTATGTATAATATATAATATATAATGTATTACGTATGATATATAATATAGAACGTATTATATATCATATATCATATATGATATAGAACGTATTATATATCATATATATGATATATGATATAGAACGTATTATATATCATATATATGATATATGATATAGAACGTATTATATATCATATATCATATATGATATATGATATATGACGTATTATATATCATATATCATACATGATATATATAATATATAATGTATTATGTTATATATCATATATGATATACATGATATATAATATGTAATGTATTATATTATATATATAAGGTATTATATATAATATATAATATGTAATGTATTATATATAATATATAATGTATTATATAATATGTATTATGTATTATATATAAAATATATATAATACTATATGTATACACACACACACACACACACACAAATATATAACAGAAGTGGGTTGTGCACGGTGATGACGATTAGGGTATAGGAGGTAAGAGACCTAACAAAGCACGAAGTGATGCCAAGCGAGAGTTTTTTGTCTATGAGGCATGTAAGAACGCTACAATACATGTGCATTAAAAAGTCCAGCCAGGGACATATATAGTCTTTTTCTTACATGTCACTCTACTGAAATAGTCTTGAATTATTTTATCTGATACGAGGTGAAGGAAATGCTATGTTTTCATCAGTAAGCACAATAGGTCTTGTAATGGAGCGTACAGGTTTGGTTTGGAAAGATGGCTTGATACAAAGCTGGATAAGAGATGATCCCCTCAAAGACACAGAAACAACTGTTGCCGAGCTTTTAAGGAGCAGGAAACAGAGGATGAAGGGGTGAGGATACGAATTTGTTCTCTGGCTCTCAAAAAGAAAAGAGGGAAGAGGAAAAGGAAGTAAGGCAGAGAAAGTCTGGAACCAAGACAGTTTAATCAAAGTCGAGGGCACTAGAATAGCCAAATGTCATTTTCAAGGATGTGATAGATACCGTTGACCCTCCACGTCCTTGGGTTCTGCATCCATAGATTCAGTCAACTGCAGATCAAAAATATTCAGAAAGAAATTGTGTCTGTGCTAAACATGTGCAGACACTTTTTTCCTTGTCATTATTCCCTAAACAATGCATTGAAACAACTATTTACATGGAATTTGCATTGTATTAGTAAACCTAGAAGATGATTTAAAGTATACAGGAGGATATGTGTAGGTTATAAGCAAATACTACACATCTGTAGATTTTGGTGTCCTTGGAAGGTCCTAGAACCAATCACCCATGGATAGTGAACGATGACTCTACCGATCCTTGTCTGTGTTTTTAAAATGAGAATCACATCTTCCATTCTCTCTGCCACCATCTTCATGTCTGCTCATACATGCATCATTTAGTGGGTGTATTGCAGAATGGGCTAATTAATTTTATGTGTGGGTCTTTGTAATGGAACCCAGAGACAGGGAATATAAGAACCTGGACTCGCAGGCCAGATGAGGTTGTGAGAACATGAGCTGCCTGTAACCGTGAATTGCAATTTGGGGACTAAAACTTGGAATCCTAGAGATTGTCTGTTTGCCGAGGTGAGATTTTTGAGAGCCAGGAAGGTTTTCTACCCAATACCCGATACATCCCCAGTGTCACCTTGTAAGTTTTGCAGATAAACCTAGTTTCGTATGATTCCTTACATCGTTCCTAGCTCACCTCCAACAATCATCAGACTTTGAAGGTATGCAATGATGCCAGGGACTAAGAATTCCTGGGGTGTCTTTGACCTGTGTTCCAGGATGAGACCCTGGGAAGGTCCAGGTCAAGGTGGATTAATTCAGAGCTGGAGATGTTAGAGGTGAAGTCACTTCTAGTCAGAAATGCTTAATGACAACTCATCTTGTACTTTAAAGATAAAATTTCTGAGCATTTCTGGGGTCAAAGAACCTTGCAGCCAAGCTCATGAAAGAGGAAAAAGAGAATCTTCTGCAGGCTTTGTTTGCCTTCAGGTTTGCTTGAGTTTAATCCAGAAGTCGAAACACAGAGAGTGGGTGGGGTGGAGGGTTCCCAAAGTAGACCTTCCCACCCACTTGTTCATTAGGAGAAATCACCACTTAGCTGTTTTTGTCTCTGCCGCCTACCCTTCCTTGTCCCACGCACTTACATTCAGTCCTGTGCACTGGAAACAGACTCCCACCCTCTCAACTGCCAAACGCTGCACCTTGTCTTTGCTTCACCTCCTGGAGTCCATTGTTTCAGGAAGGCTGCTATAGGAACTGAAGTTACTTGCTTGCTCTGGGTACCTTTTAATTTGGGGTTCTACCTGGTGTGTCTCGGGTCTCTTTTGACATATGTCAGTTGGCTGCTCTGATAGAACATTGTCTCCATAAATTGTCACTTTTGCCAGAAATGATGATAGGAAAGTGTTGGCAAGAAAAAAAAAAAAAAAGACTGAAGCAGAATATTTTCTTTTGAAAAGCTTAGGGCAAGCTGTGGATAGGGTGGGACTTACTCCTGCTCTAATTGAGTAAGGACAAGAAAGCTAGGAAAATTTCATATGATAAAATTAGGTGGCTGGGGTCAGCGATATATTCCTGGAAAAAGAAAGCTTGAAGATAAAATGGCATAGAGTAGTTCTTCACAAAAGTGCTTACGAGGTTTAGATATTGTAAAAAATGATGAATATGATGATGATGATGATGATGATGATGACAGTGGTGATTTTGTAAGCAGCATCTCTACTGCTGTTTGTATTGCATGGTTAAAAAGGATACTTTCTCATTTTGTTCAACAGACCAGAAAACCCTGTTTTCCATCTCTTATTAGAAGGATAAGATAGATACTTCTTGTGCCCTCAGTTTCTTCTTATGTAAATTGGAACTATAAAAATAATCTACCTTGCAGGATTTTGTGAAGATCAGAAAAAAATTAATTACCATCTGGCCAGAAGTAATTTTCTAACATGTATTACGCTTGTCAGTCTTCACAAAATAGTGAAGGACTTGACCTGATGTTGTGTGAGATACAGTTGGTGAAGATTTTAGTTGACAAGGGTTAATGTGTAAGCTGGCATTCATTTGATTCATTAGCAAGGTTAAATAAATTGTGTACTCAGAAGACCAGGGCAGAAAGGTGATGTGTATGAT
This sequence comes from Homo sapiens, assembly GCF_000001405.40. NCBI lineage: Eukaryota > Metazoa > Chordata > Mammalia > Primates > Hominidae > Homo > Homo sapiens. Next base: position 7,295,237 of record NC_000016.10, read on the forward strand.
GTCTATACATTTTTGTATAGTGCCATGTCATTTAAAAAAACTTTACAAAAAGAAAATTGTATCTGAAGTTAGTCCTTCCATAAATGTATTGACTTTGTTGGTCTCGTTTGTGTAATTTTTTTGCAAAGAAGGAGGAATGATGGTTTCATCAACTGGTCAGGGGCTGAAAATAGAAATACCTCATAATAATAGTTGCTATATATTGAGTGGTTGCTAGATAATGGGCACCATTTTTATGACTTATATATATTACATGATTTTATCTTTCAACAACTTAGGAAGGAAAAGTATCATTATTCTCCTTAGAATGAAACTGAGGTTTTAAGAACTTGTATGTCAGTAGACATATAATAGCAGCTGCAAAGGTATGATCCAGAGATAGATCTTCAGACCAAGCAGCAAGACTCCAAAAGGTGTACTGCTCACTACAGGTGTACTCAGGGGAGTACACCTTTTGCAGTCTCGCTGTTTGTGTTTGAGGCATACCCACATATGAACCAGAAAGAGTTCCCAAATACCCCATCGCAACTCCATATTTCAGGTGGCCTTGAACGAGCAGGGCTGAGTCATTGAGGAACAAGAATAAACTCTGGTGATCCAACAAATTCAATTCATTTGACCTTTATTAAGCCTCTCCTAAGTGAAAGGCATGCTGCTCTGTGGTTCAGGAAACTCAGAAATGAGAAGGGTGTTTGGTTTGGTTTGCTGCAGTGAACCTGTGGGGGTAAAGAGAATAGTTATTCAAGCCTAAAGAGTGTAACTATTAATTGTTTTTTAGTCTCCTCGTGATAGCTAACAAGTATTGTTGATACTTGTTGTGCCAGTGCCTATGCTGAGAAGCACTTTACATTCATTATCTCGGTGGTTCCCAAATGCCGATCCACAGACTCATTGGATTCTGTAATGACATTTTCGACAGACTGCAGCTAAATGAGAAAATTAAGGGCAATTTAGTGAAAATTTTAATAGACTTAAATTTAATCAATTTGAAGGACTGTCCTTTATTTTCAGATTATGTCCTCCTTTTTTTTTTTTTTTTTGCATTTTCGTGTAAAATGCTGTTTCTTTTATTAAATGCTTATGACAGTAGACAGTGTATGTGAGTTTATGTGTGTATGTATGAATGTACTACCTTGGCAAGAAATTTAAAAGCTGTTAATTTTCATGCAGTCTCTTTACCATTTTTAAACTTTTCTTGGAACTGTCCATGTCATTGAGGGCTAGGGGATAAGAAGTCTGAGAATCATTATAGTTCTGTAAGGGTGCTACCATTGGCCCCATTTTACAGATGAAAAAAACTAAGGCTCGGAATGGTTAGCTCACATGCTCATGTTCACGATAGCTTGCAAGTAGCAGAGCTTGAATTTAAACCAGTTTGTGTGTTTCTGTAGATGCAGAACACCTGCATGATGGGCATATGGCTGCTTTTGCTGCAATGAATAGGCTCCCTAGCCTGTCCCTGGCCATGGATGTGGGCCATGCAACCGTTTTCAGAGTCCCAGGACTCTGGGCCTTTCTTTCGGGTGCAGACTGAAATCCACAATAGCTTTAGACATTCATGGTGTTTCCTAGGAGCTAGTTTGCAGCAGTTCTATTCCTCTACTTGGAGGAATACAGGAGTTAAGAGCCTAGCTTTGTGTCCCTTCCCTCTGCCCCTGAGTCCTGTGTTTCTGTTTACCCTCAAAAATGTGAGCAGTATAGGTATGTGTAAAGGTAAATGCAGACATCCTGCTTAGTGGCTTACAGCAGAACCTCATGTCAGGGGAAGAGCTGGGTTGAAAGATCCCGTTTTCCAAGCTTGCACTCCATGGGAGCCATAGTCAGTAGCCAGTGAGACGACAGGAGGAGAGACAAGGCTCAAGGGTCAAGGGAGAAGACACTGTCTGTACCTCCTGAGCTTTCTCTTCATTGTGCCTGCAGGGAGGAGGGAAGGCAGTTTGGGCCATGGCTTGTAGGAACAAAAAAGGACAAACTTATTTTCCACATCTTCCTGCTTTATATGTGAGGCTTGATGTAAAGACAAACTACCCCACCCTGTGAGATGGGTAATTGAGAATGAGACATAACTGGGTTTGGAAATCAGTTGCATCCCTTCTCTTCTCCAGAAACATATGCAGGTTTCCAACCTGGCAGTCTGTTTCTCAGCAGCCTTGGCACCTGAGGAAGGGGTAAGATGAGGATCTGGGTATTTTTATTTTGATTTCTGACATTGTCCCTAAGAAGTTATGCTGTAAACGGATAAGAGATTCTGGGTTACTGAAATCCTGTATGGATGCTAAGGTGCTATGTAGCTTAGTCCATTCCCTTTTTTGTTGTGGATGTTAATTATCTAGAATATTGCAACTCAGTAGTGGCTTTAAGCAGGTTTTCATGTACTAGCCAGGGAAAGTTACCACCATTAAAAAAAATTATTCTTTAGGAACGTGTAGCCTGGGGTCTTTATAATAACAACAGTTGTAGTAGTAGTTGTAGTAGCAATGATGATAATATAACTGTTTCATTTTATTGTAAAAGTAATACACAGACACATTCTTATTGTGAAAATCTAAGCGACATAAATCTGTACAGAGTAAAAATTGAAATCCCCCCCAATAGCCCCTCCTCTATTACCCTAGATCTAAAAGCATTTATTGGATTGATTTATTTGTTTCCGGGCCCTTTTGTATGCACTTCACATGACTGCATGTATGCCTATTTTACGCACATGCATATGCACATACTTCTGTGGATGTCTATATGCATCCACACACATGTTTTTAAAGAATCGTAGAGTTTTGCTGTTTGTTTTGGTTTGATTTTTCACATGTGAAATTTTGTTATCTATATCCTGAAACTTCTTAGAGAATTTTCTTAGAGATTTTTCCAAGGAAAGACACTCAGATGCCCCGCATTCTTTTTAACTGGTGCATTGCATGCATGTCCTGTACCTTGTTTTATTTATCCCCTGTTTCCCCTATTGCTGTTTATTATAGTTGACCCTTCAGCAACATGGGGGTTAGAAGCATCAACCCACCACAATGTAGAAAATTTGTGTATAGGTTTTTTTTTGTTTTTTTTTTTTTTTTTTTTTGAGATATACTCACTCTTTTGCCCAGGCTCTGGAGTGCAGTAGCATGATCTCAGCCTACCGCAGCCTCCGCCTCCTGGGTTCAAGTGATTCTCATGCGTCTGCCTCCCAAGTAGCTGGGACTACAGATGCGTGCGACTATGCCTGAGGGCTAATTTTTGTATATTTGGTTGAGAGAGGGTTTCACCATCTTGGCCAGTCTCATCTTGAACTCCTGTCCTTAAGTGATCCACTCGCCTTGGCCTCCCAAAGTGCCGGGATTACAGGCATGAGCCAACATGCCCAGCCCAAAATTTGTGTATAAGTTTTGATTCCCCCAAAACTATGATTAGCCCACTATCGACTCAAAGCCAACAGTGGATTAAAACGTATTTTGTATGTTACATGCATTATATATGTATTCCTACAATAAACTAAGCTAGGGTAAAGAAAATATTAAGAAAATCATAACGAAGAGAAAACATATTTACTATTGATCAAGTAGAAGTGAATCATCATAAATGTTTTCATCTTTGTCATTTTACATGAGGTAGGCTGAGGAGGAGGAGGAGGACGAGGAAGACAAGGGGTTGGTCTTGCTATCTCTGGGTCTCTCAGGTGGCAGAGAATTTCTGCATATGTGGTCCTGTATAGTTCAAATCTGTGTTGTTCACGAGTCAACTGTATTTGCTTTTACAAGCAATGGTGGAGTGAATATCCTGGTTTATGTATCATGTATCTACCTCAAATATTTCAGCAGGACAGATATCTAGAATTAGAATAGTTACTTTGAAAGATGTGCGTATTTTAGATTTTGATAGTGAGCACCAAAATATTAATATCATCTCCAGGACTGTACCAGTTTTGACTCCCACCATCTGTGTTTCAGGTTACCCATTTCTCCACAGTGATGTCAAATCTATATATTATTGATAGGCATTTTATTCGTTATTTGATTTTATTTGTTAACTGATGTCAGTCTTTTAGGCAAAAGATGGCCGTAAACTGTTCTAAACCACCAATGTAACTTTGAAAAGCTCATTTGTAGTGGGAGCGAGTTGTGAACTGGGTATTGCCTGCGCTTGTATTTCTGCTCTTGGAAGCGTGGTTTATTTTTAGTCCTGGACTCACTGACAACCCACACCCAAACTAGAAAGCTAGAGGAGTTTGAGGGTCCTTTACACAGAATCAGGCTCTAATCTCGATCCTGTCATTACATGCAAAGCAATTGCTGCTGAATGGTTGGAATTGGTTCTGCCTGGGACGAAGCCCTTTACTCTGAAAAAGGAGCGCTGTGCTCATTTGAGCACTGCCAAAATCCTGGACCCTCTGACTCAGTGTGGAGTGATCGTGCTTTTGCCTAGAGAAACTGTGTCTGAGAAATGGAGCTTCTGCAAAATACAGCTCAGAGGGACCATCAGGGGTTGAGACATTCTAGAGGCCAACAGGCCAGCTTAATGTATACATTAGAAGTGCCAAACTTCTCACCCCTATCCCTAGTAGATTGACCCAAGAGAACTACAGAATTCATGTAGACATGCTCCTCAGTTTACAATGGGGTTATGTCCTAATAAACCCATTGTAAGTTGAAAATATCATAAGTAGAAATTATGTTTTCGACATAGGATATTTTCACCTTACCATGGATTTATCCAGATGTGACCCCATCGCAAGTCAGGGACCATCTGTATTAAACAAATGTGAGGCTTATGCAATAAGATTGGAAGGAGCGGGATGCAAGAGGGGCTTTCTTGAAGCTGAAACTGCATTTTTTCAGAGCAAGTGTAGTTTTTAGGTAGATTTCACTGCCGTCTCCCTTACCCTGGTTTCCCTAATTCCCTGATCTTGATCTTGCCTGCTATGCTTCCCACAGCACTCACCACCATCTATTGTACTGTACTTATTTCTTCTCTGTATTACTTACTTTCTGCTGCCCCTCCCCCACCCACTAGAATGTAAACTGTCTAATGTCAGGGACCTTTGTTTGTCCGGCCCCACTGATGCCGACCTGGGGGCTAGAACAGTGCCTGGAATGAGATCAGCACTAACTAAATATGATTCAGGTGTTTGAACAAGCCAGTGACTCAAAGTGCTTTTGATACAGATAAATAATAAAGTTTTCTAAAGATACTTTCATGCTCACTTTAATGAAGATGGAGACTATATTGTCGTCCACATTAAATTTGGAAGTGAAAGTAAAATATTTCTAAGTCACATCTTGACGTTGCCACTGAGCTAACCCCAGTATAGATGATTACATTGAAGTTCAAGTCCTTCTTTCTGTCTAACTGGAGTCTTGCTTGCTCTGAGGTATGGCAACTCTTATAGAAAGTATTTTTTTTAGTGGAATGTCTGCTATTTCAACAGCCTTGGGAAGTTATAATAAATAGTTATGAAAATGAGAAAAGAAAAAAATGGTTTCCATTCTTCTTTTAAATTGCTGGCAAAGTTGGAAGAAAAAAAGTTACAATATTATTTTATGAGTCAAATTAAAACTTGGGTAGTTGCCTTCTGCCTAAGGAAGTTTCATTTGAAGATGACATTATTGATTGCCAATTTTCCTGCACTTTTTCAGCTTCCTGTGGGGTATGTATAACCATTCCATTAAGGGTCCTTGTAGCTGAAATGCAGGCAGGGTGGCCCTTGAATGCATATGAACCCATGTGATGTTGAATGTCTAGAATTTTTTTTTGTGGAGAGATAAGAGTATTTTCTTTCCCCACTTCTCCCATTTATTGATGTTGGAGAATCATGCCAGAGCTAGTGGCCTTGATATGGCTCTTTCTCAGTCTCTTTTGAGATGGAATTCAAATTTGCTATCCCCAGATGCGGTTTAAAAGGCTGGCAAAGTGTTGTCATCAAGTGAGCGATGATTGTGGATATGATGCTACCATTTGATTTGGGGTCATTGGATGCCCTATTCCTGATTAAGGAGCACTGATGTTATCAATGGAAAAGTGTTCCTCTGGGCTCCTTAATATAGTTGCAGTGTTTATGGGAAGGGGACTTGTCCCTGTGTGTGATTGTGTTTGCATGCACTGGTGGAGAGATGTTCAGGTTTAGTTATCCAGAGAGCAGAGCCCGACTCCAAATAATTTTGATGTGGATTTAGGTCTGGTTCTCATGTTGTACTTTGCAGATCTTCAGTGTGTCTGACTGTGAAAACTTAAGTTTAAGGGAATGTCAGAGCCGTTATTGCAAGATGGATCTGTGGGGATCTAATCACTACTGAGGGGTTCCAACTTTGGGGAGAAAACGGACTGGAAAATCTGTATTGCCTTAGTGCAGCCAAGAGCATTTATTGGGTCTTTACATAATGTATTTGTTTTTCATTAAACCGTTCAGATAAAGTCTTATTAAAGTGCCATGTATTATGTATCATGTTTCTTATGAAAATGAGCTGAAGGAAAAAATTCTCTCCTCTTCTTGGGTTATTTACAGGCTTTTCTAATGCCAGCAAGAGAAAAAAAAATAAAGGAAAGCAGTGCGAACCCGTCCGTACAGCAGATTGCTTGACGCAACAGTAAAGAATGGGAAAGGGAGAGTGAGGATTGGAAAGGTAGAATGGTTGGCCTTTTATTCCATTCGTGTTCTGTGGAGTGACTTTCTCTTTAGTTTTGTGAATGCAAAAATAAATAAATAAAGGCAGGTAGGAAGTAAGAGAAGAAAAGAGGGAATTCTTATATTATTTGTTAATCAAAGCTTGTCCCATGAATGTGACCTCTGATGCAACGTACAGCAAACGTTTTTCAAACTAACCACTGCCAGCACCCCCCAATAAAAGCAGTACAGAATAGCAGCCTCTACTTTCCCACTCCCCTGGATGAACTTCTGCCTAGGGCTAAAGGGTTAAACATGCTACTGTGTCCCTGATAAATTGATGGGATGTGTGAGCCCCAGAGAGGTTGGAGGCACTGGTTTTGCAAGATGAAAAGTGGAAAGAAACAGCGGGTTGGGGCCTAGTGTTAGGCAGAGTGAAGACTTCATAGTTATTTCAAACAGAACGACAACAAAAAATAGAGCCGTGGGATAATTAGTTTTCTTTTCTTCAGAAAGCATTTTGATTAGCCTGCAAAGTGAGTTGTGCCTTGCGAGCTGATGGCTGGGTTCAGAGCCTTCATTTGGCTGAGGATGTCGGGGTGAGCCCTGAGGAGGAGGGGATATTTGGGATGTCCCTGGTGGCCAGTTCCAGGGTTCTGCCCCAAATATTCTTTTGTGAGAGAGCCCCCATCCCCTCTCAGGTACGGTTCCGTCCTGCAGGTCAGTGAGAAGCTGTCAGCAAGGTTTCTTTCAGGAAGCCCAACAATCAAAAAAGCTGCTGTTTAGACAGCTGATCTCTTGGTCTGAAAACAAAAAAAAAAAAAAAGAAAATCCAATCACTGGGTCAAAATCTATATTAAAAAAATATGGCTACTCTTCCTGATCACGATTTTATTGCTGCCAAGAATGCAAGAATGTGCTTTTTTTTTTTTTTCCTGTCAGGACCAAGGACGAGTTAGAGTCTTAATATTTTCTTTCGATTTGCAGATCACATCCTATTTTATTGCATAAAGACTAATGAAATCTACTAATGAATAATTATTACTTCATAAAATAAAGGGGAGGGGAGACCCGTTTGCAAGAGCAGAATGTTAATTTGGCCAAGGAGGGCTGGACAGGCAAGAATAAAAAAAATAAATAAATAAACCATTGTAATTTGCTCCCTGCAGCCGACGGAGTAATCTCTTATCAGACACGGACTTCCCTACCCTGTGCATTTATAATTTGAGAGGAGCGGGTGTTCTGGGCTGGGAGAAGCCCCCTTCCAGTCGCCCCGAGCTGGCACGTTAGTCCAACAGGCTTGATTTCCACGCCAGCCTGGGCGGTTGCTCTCATTGAACAGCTCAGGGGCTGGTTCGCTGGCTCGGGGCTGCCTGCCCAACCAAGGCGAGGCACAGAGCGAAAGCTGCGCCCCAAACGCCCGGGGGTGCATCGGCGCTTCGGTGCTCTGCTGGGGGGCGCAGAAACCTCCTCCCCTCCCTCAGCCCAAGCTCCCTCCTGCCCCCAGCCCCTAACGTCTCAGCACTCCACCTCCTGAGGAGGGGAAATCCCTTTTCTGTGTTTATTTGGCAAGGAATCCGGCAAACGCACCGCCACCAACATCTACCACTGTGGGTCCCAGCTGGGCCATCGCGCTAATTGTCCAGCTCGCCTGATGCCGGGCGCGCGGGGCGCTCGCTCGCCTGCTCACCGGCAGAGGGTTTTAGCAGACCGAATTTAAATTTTGGTGAGTGTTTTTTTGAAACAAACAAAAAAAATAAATAATTTTTAAAAAAAGCGAAGGGGAGGGAAGGAAAAAAAGGAAAAAAAATCTTTCCCCTGGACCCATTTGACAAATGAGGAGACAGACAGCATCAGAACCAACGGAGTGAGCTTCAGTGTGAGTCAAAACCTCTCTTCCTCTCTTTCAATCTCTCTCTCTCTTTACCCTCCCTCTCGCTCTCTCTCTCTCTCTCTCTCTGTCTCTCCCCTCCCTCTCTCTTCCTCTCTCCCTCTCTACCTCCGTCCCACCCCTTCCTCCTCTCCCTCCCTCCCTCCCTCTCGCTATCCTTGCCCCCCTCCCATTCAGCCTCTTCGGGAGGGCAGCGCATCCCCTGCCCCTTCCAGAGAAGTTCCCTCTGCCGGTTCTCGTGTCACCTTCACAGGGGTATGGGGTGGGGGGCCCCTTCCACTTTCCGGGGGATCAAAAAGCAGGCCCAACAACCCAGAAAAGCCAGACGACCGCGCGAAGGGAACCAACTAGTTTCCAGGTCCCCGCAAGTGTTTTAGTTGGAGGCAGAGGAACGCCGGGATCTAGCACATCCCCAGGCGGGGAGAGCCAGGGAGGAGGGACCGGCGGGGTGCGGTGGGGGGAGGGAGGAGGAAAGAGGGGGAGAGAGACAGAGAGAGAGACAGAGAGAGAGAGAGAGAGAGAGAGAGAGAGAGACAGCGCGAGCCACCGGTCATTGACTTAGATAACCAGCAAAATTAAAAAAGAAAAAAAAAAATTGTAGCGCCCAGGCAGAGAGCAACGTGATTGCATTCAAGCGTCCCCACTCGGGCTCGGCGGGCGCCAGAGAGACATGATGCAGCATCCTCTGACGGGGGCCACCTGCGTGGCGCTCCCCAACGTGGGCATGTGTCCCCAGCTTTCGTGTGCCTTGACTTTTATGTACTTACAGCAGGTAAGGCGCGCGTCTGCCCTCGGTGGCTGCTTTCCTGGGGCTGGGCCAGATGGGTCCCCGCGCGTACTGGGCTGCGCTTCGGTGCCTTATGTAGGTTCTGAGGAGGGGGCTCCCGCGTTGCGATGGAAAGGGTGGATGGAAGCCTCCTGCTCTCTGTGGAGCCCGGGCACCTCGCGCTGAGATGTTTCTGCACCTGTCCGAATACTTTAAAACCGCCTGATGCCCAGCCTGGGCACCGGAAGTTTGAAATGGAAAACTGCCTTTTCCTTGCTACCATCTTCCTTGTGTCAGTGCCTTTCGTGGTGATCTGAGTCTAAGACCCCTTTGATGCTAAGAGTTTGAATCTTTGTGGAGGCATTCCGGTGCCTGTAGTGTTAATTCAGCTGATTTAATAGAGAGTGGAAAGGAGAAGTGTGTGGTGTGTGGTGTGGTGTGTGTGTGTGTGTGTGTGTGTGTGTGTGTGTGTGTGTGTGTTTTCCTAAGTTTGTGTGGTGCTATATTCGGTCCGCATGGGATCGCAGCATTTGAATTTCTGGAGTGTGTCAGCCCCAGTCTGCCTTCAAACTCACTGGCAATGCTGTGAAGAAGGTGAGCTGTTTAGGATGTTGTCTTTGTTGGCATGTGTTAGGGTGTTTGTGTGTGTGTGCGTGTGTGGGTTTTTTTTTCCCTTTCACTTCTCCTTAGTGGTCTTGCTGAGGGAGTCTGTGTTTGCTTTATTTTCCATTCATTGTGCACATTTCAGTCTTTTGACACCTTACTCTCTGTCTTTCTCAGGGTGTTTCCTTGGGACCCTCTCTGCTCTGTCATTCTTTCTTTATTGGAAGGGTTGCTTCCTGAGTTGGTTCCTGGGCTTGGGAAATAGCTCAGCACTGCCCTTGTAGGGTGACAGGCCAGCTCTCTGTCATTGGGCAGGGGCAGTGGATGTGAACTGAAGGGCTAGAAGGGGTTTTGTCATGCAGATGAAAATCCTTTCTCCCTCCCAGGATCTCCATCCTATTCTATGAAGGTTTACAGTGATTATACTCATTTTATCTGTTTTTCCACGGACTCACTTCAAGAGTACCATTTGTTAACATGAGTGTGTGAACAGAACTTCCTATGCAAGAGTTGAGAGTGGCCCTCTTCCCCAAGACCCTCAATTTCAACCTGTGTTAAAGGAATGTATATTTTTATAAAATGTCAGGATTCTGTTTTGAACATTTGGGTGATTTTCTATCAAGTTGGTTGACTCCAGAAAATATTTCTTAGGTGTATTTTCTGTTGCATGTCTTTTTGAGAACAGTCTTAAAAAAATCTTGGGAACCAATTTGTTCTTTTAAATATTATTTTATTACGTTCATTATTGAGTAAATCGTGCCAGAAGACATTTCCCAAGAGAGTATTGATAACATATTATATGCTTCATCTTCCACAATTTCTGTGCCTTTGCTGTGGGTGTGTGTGTAAATGTGTATGTGCATGTGCGTTTTATACCAGTTATTTCCACCGGAAGAAAATTCTAATGAGCATTTCTATAGATGCTAAGCCTCAGTTGGATTTATCAAATTATTACTGAGTTGATCTTTTGCCTTTTACATTTACTTCTTTCATGTTATTTATTAATCAATTTGAATATCATTTACCTAGCAAGTAGAATGCTATAGGTACTCAATGTTCTCCGTTCCTTTGTGTGGTGGTGTTTGTGTTTTTTTCAAAAATACATCCATGTTTCTGCCTTCTAGATTTTTAAATTGGCTTACTCATTTGGGCACAACTTAGGAGAGAAGATAGTGACTTTGAGTGAGAGGTTATTCTTGCCATGAGAAGAACAAACATATAAGATAAACACAAAGGTTCTCAGCATCTTCCAGGCAGTCTCTCCCACGAGGAAAAACACCCCTGCTCTGGAAAGGGGAGGCTTGAAGAAAACATTGGCAGCCACAACAAATATTTAGAAGTGACTAAATCAGCATCATGGTTCCATATGAAGATAGATGGAGGGTGGATTTTGAAATGTGCTTTGGAATGCATCTCCCCCTCCCCTGAAAGGACTTGCACTGCTATCTGTGAAAGTGTTTATAATGTGATACTATGACATAATGTGGGAATGGTGTGCGTGTGTGTGTGTGTGTGTGTGTGTATTTTCTCTGAGCTTCACTGAATACCTGAAGTATAATAAAGGCAGTCATTTATTTTTGCCTGTTTCATTCAGAATTAGGTTTTCTAGCCCTTCCTGGAAGCTCACCGCTAGGGTGTAAGTGATATACCTGGAGTCATCTGTCCTGGCCATTACTGTCGTGATAGTTCGTTTAAAAGTCTCAAGTCACTTATTTTATTTAGCATTCCAGACAATCGGCTGATTAAGAGTGTGAAATAGTTTAATCTCCACATACATAAATCATATCGATAAGTAATATCTTGTACCCAGACACCACTACTATATTTTTTATCTGCCTTTAATCTGTAGCTATTATTGGATCTCTAGCTAATTTTGGTGAACAGAAGGGTAATCTTTGATCTCAAAGTAAATTGATCAAGTGGACGAATCAGGCAACATTTATGATAAGTAACACCTTCACTGAAAACAATTTTATTTTATAATTGTTTAGAAATAAACATAATTCAGAAGTCTTTGTCATTGAGATCACCAATTACATAAGAAAGTAATCAACCCACATTGATCTTATTTTGGAGCATTTATCATTTTGTTTTATAAATCCACAAACTCTGACCACCGGCCATCGAGTCTTCCCTGAAGTATATTTTTCTGGAATGCAGTTTCATATGGTTATTTCTTATCCAATAACTAAGGAAAATGACTTCATTAAATGCTTTCTTTGTCTCAGCATGAACATCCAACCTTTCCTCCTAAATTCTCACAGATTTATCCATAAGACAACTCATAAAAACAAAAATCAATTGGGGTGCCTCAGCATCGGAGTCTACTCTGAATGGCCAAGTGTAAGTGGCAACATATCACTTTTGCCACGAATAATTTATTTACTTAGGCCAATGAAGAAGCAACTTTGATGTTTACATTATTTGACTTATCCTGTTTCACTTATTTGTATGTCCCAATAACTTTTATCTAGATAAGTGTTTACTTACAGCTACGATTTCTTTTCTTTTCTCCTTCTCCTCTTTTTTCCTCCACATCCAAGATGTTACTACAGTTTAGAGCTGCAAGGTGGGATAATGCTAAATAGTTTTTTTGGCGTCTAGATATCAGACCCAGTGATGTACTCACATAGGAACACACAAATTTGTATACATACACACAGACACATATACACACACACCTAGTATAGAGCATATATTTTGTGGTTGTCAACCACTTTCAGATGGAACGGACAAGTAGTCCTTGGAGCAACTGGCTTCAATCTTGCTGTCCAGGGAAAGTCCCTGCCTCAATCTCCTTTCCTGAGTGGCTTCATGCTGTGTCTTCTTTGATGGTGAATCTTCTTGAAGCTGAACTTAGAACTCACATATCCCCAATACTTAATCTTCCACGTTCCAAAGTAAGTACTCATGGAACCATTCTTGCTTTGAGGAATAATTCTGAATACAATTCCACATTAGGGGGTTTGCAGCAAGCTAGGTCAAAAGAGAACCTATTTTGTTTTCCTGATAGAGAAGAAATAGAAAACAGCCACACACACATGCATGGACACACAGGACACAGAAATCTAGAGATGGTTTATTTCTATTGTAAGTAATAGAGGGCAAACCTTATAGCACCCATCTCATGGTAAGGTATGGTGAGGCAACAGACAGGATGGATGATGAGATTCGTTTTCTGATGCAAACTGCGTGTCAGATTCCACCCAGAGCTGTTTTTTTTTTTTTCCACTGAGTTTAATGTCCTGAAAGAGGATCAGTAGCATATTAACTTAATTTTCTCTGTTCTTACACCACCAGCGTCTCTCAGTACTATTCTAAGAAAGCTTCTTATCTGTCAAGCCCTATCCACTGAGAACCTTTTTATCAGCCTAAATTTAAAAATACGTCAAATGCTTAAAATCCACATTAGAGGGGGCAGAAAAGAGCCTCTAAAGTGGGCCATGCCACTGTCAATATTCGAAGATTGGTAATTTTTCCCACTTAATGATGATCCATGTGGTTTGTTTTAAGTAGTGAAGTGGTTTGTACAAAGGGTAATTCCCAGTAAATGAAGCCATTGCTCACTGTGGACATCTTCAGATCGAAAGCAATTGAACTGAAACCTGCATATCAACCCTTTCTGTCTTTAATTAGAAAGCGATTCTCAGTTCAGGGAATCACCTGGGGAAGATGGGCTCTCGCGCGAAGGCTGCAGGCGTTGGGGAGGGTGGCCCCATGCACCAGCCACGGTTATAAATTTTGGAAACATTAGGTAGGTCATAACAATTATGACTGTGTAGAAAAGTTCAATTCTCATTGCAGTTACTTACCTTGTGTTACTCCATCTGATGATTTATAGGGGGCCAAATGGAATTTATCACATTCTTTCTTTTTGGCTTAATCCCGTGTTGATTTATTAGATAGTGCTATGGATTGGGGGTGGTCGATAGTGTCAGTAACGCAGAAAAGAATTAGGATAGATTAGCTTCATGTCTGAATTGTTTAAAGGAATTTAAGTGGCTGGAATGAGCACATTTCCAGGCCCAGGTGGCTGCCTGATAGAAGAAAGGTCCCTCAGTCTCTTTCTAGAGGGATGTCTTACGTCGTAAATTGGTTAACCAATCTTTCTTGTTTCTCTGATCTTTTCCGATTAAGAGAAGGCATGAAATGTTAGGCTGTTATCAGCCAGGTAAGGCCCACATTTCAGGTGAGCTGGGGGTCATCTGTGCTTCCCCCCTTTGGGGAACCTATGGAGGGCCGCGTGTTGTGGACATGGACTGCAGGGCCACCTGGGCTGCCTCTGCTTTAAAATTACTTAATCCAACAATCACTTCTGAAAATTGTAAGCATCTGTTCATCCACAGACCAAAGCCTTGTGCCATTCGCCTGCTCTGCCTGCCATTTTGAGGCAGTTTCTGTGTTATAACATGCAACTGGCCGCTCCTGCCTTTGCCCGGCTGGAGAAAGTCTGTGTTATTAGTGCTCACCCGCCATCTGTTTTCCTTACAGCTGACCCTTGAGTAATTCTCCAGTAGCTGATGGACTGAGGGTAGACAGTCTTTTTTAGGGTTTTCTGATTCATTTAACCAGGTTCTCTGCCCCAAGAGGAAACATAATGCTTGTTTATTCATATTGGCCGGGTGAAAACAGTGTAGTTTGTCAGGCAAATAATAGTCCTGTGGAAGGGAACGAAATTGCAGCATTGTAAACAAAATCAGGTTGCTGACTCTGTGCCTAAGGGGGTTGGGTGATGAGCAGCACATGTCATCCCGTGAAGGAAGCAGAGCTGACAGGTGTGGGTGTAATTGTCCCATCTGCAGACCCCTTTTTAATGGACGGGGAGAAGTGTCCCAATGTTCTGTTTAATTCAGTTAAGAAAAGCAAAGAAAGTTCCATTCATCAATAAAGTTTCCTATTGCCGGGTGCTGCCCAAGAGAACTCTGCCGGGCTGAGCGTTGGCCCGTGGCTGTTGGCATGATGCAGCTTGCCTCACCCAGCCCTATTGAGGGCGGCTGTGTCAGATAGGGTCAGCTCTCAGGCACAATGGCCCAGAAGAGCCCTGGCCCTGGCCCTTTAACCATGCTGAATACAGGTGAGCTAGCCAAATGAGCAATGGACCCGCAGGCCGCCTCTGCTGGGAGACAGAGCTGGCCAGGGTTCTCTCTGAAGGATCCTGAAATGCAGTTCCTGAGCCTGGCATACGATGAGGAAAGAGCTTGTGTGGTTGGAATGTCCTGGCTCCTGAGAGGGTTTGGGGAAAGAGGCTTTTCATGGTTGTTTCTGATCTTCCTGTCATGCTATAGCCCTGATGGATTGATCCCGGCTAAAAAAGTGACAGAATTTGGAACCAGGGTTGGTGGGGAGGAGGTAGAGAGAAGGAGAAGATGTTGATCAAAACTGTAAAAACTGACGTTAACTGTGGAGCACCCAGAGTCCTGTTGGTATGTTTTATCAAAACTTCATCAAGGGGCATACTTATTAACATGGAAATAATTGTCATGGTCCAGTATTTCTCAAACTTCAGACATTCAGGCACCACTTCCTAAGTCCTGCCAATCTACCCATTACCAGAGTTGATATCTACTTAATATTTTTTAAAATTAACTTACATATTAAACATAGACTTGCCCAAACCAAATAAAACACAGTCACTGAATCACACCTGTGATCACACTTTCCCAGCATACGTGGAACTAAATGTGTATTCATTCACCTGTCCATCCACCCATTCCATGTTGATGGAACTCCTGATAGGTTTATGGAACTCCAGCTGCCCTTCTAGACTCTCCCAGGGAGCAAAGCAAAGGCCCCTGTCCTCACAGATAGTCTGTTACGTTGTTCATCTCTTTGCCATCTTGTGAACCATGCATGCAGTACAACGCTTTGGAAAACTTCCGCTTGGCCTGCTGGATTGCCTGGGAATCCTCTGCCGTGTCCGGTCTGGAATTACTCCTTCCGCTACCTTGACCCAATTTGCAAGGGGCAAGGCTAGAGTTAAGTTCTTTGTGATGCTTTTTTTTCCATCTGCCAGATCAGCAGCCACTAGTGCACAATAAAGGAAAATAGCCATACATTCAACGTCTACATCCCAAGGAGGGCTTTGAGATGATGGAGCTGGGACTGGGAAACTGCTGTGGTCCTTAGCACTCAGCCAAGCTCTAGCTGAAGAGCAGTCCTACCCTGTTTTGATCCTTTTCTTTATGTGTCTTGAAACAGAATCAAAATTAGGAAGGGGAACTGGAGTGGAAAGCATTCAGAAGGTTAGTGTGTGTTCCCAGGGATGCAATGACTATTTTTTTTCTCCCCTTTTGTGGCCATAGAACAAAGTAGAAGCAACTGTAGGATTTAAGTGACTCCAATTTCCCAGGCCTGATGAGTAAATGCATAAAAGGTTTAGTCTTGATGAGCCTTTTCTTTTTTTTTTTTTTTTTTGGCATTCGATGTTTGCTCAGGATTCGCCTCAATGACTAGATTCCCCTTATCAAAAACAGTAACAAACATCCCCGGTTTTTCCCTTCCATAGATCAGCTTCCTCTTGCTCTGCCTGAAGCCAGGCACGGGGCAAGCCCTGCTCTTATGGAAAGGTTGAGAGCAATATTGGTACCTAAACCCAGAAGGAACAGCGAGGTTTACACACTGCAGTAGCCAGCTGTCCATCTCAAGTGTCTCACAAAATTCAGATGAAAAACCCAGATCTATTTAGAGCCAGTTGGTATCATGGTATCAGCCTTCCCAAAAGTACAGGTTTTTTTGAAAAACGATAGTGTTTCTGAAGTTATATGTAGGACAGAAGTCATGAGCTGAAGGCTTAATCCCAACTCTGTTATTCAATTAGCTGATCCAGCTGAATTGAGCAAGATAGTTTTTTTTTGTTTATTTGGGGACTTAATTGCTCCTTCAGAAAAACAGGGATTAGAACAACCATTTCATACTGTTCTTTGTGATATTAAGTAAGATGCAAATGGGAACACTTAGCTCAGTGCCTGGGGTGCAGTGAGCAGCCTATAGATGTTTGATAAAGAAATGAAGGAAGGGCCGGGCGCAGTGGCCCACGCCTGTAATCCCAGCACTTTAGGAGGCAGAGGCAGGTGGATCACTTGAGGTCAGGAGTTTGAGACCAGCCTGGCCTACATGGTGAAACCCTGTCTCTACTAAAAATACAAAAATTATCTGAGCGTGGTGGAGCACACTTGTAATCCCAGCTACTTAGGAGGCTGAGGCAGGAGAATCACTTGAACCCAGGAGACAGAGGTAGCAGTGAGCCGAGATCGCGGCGTTGCACTCCAGCCTGGGCAACAAGAGTGAAACTCTTTCTCAACAGCAGCAACAACAACAATGAAACAAAGGAAGGCAATATGTTAAAGAAACGTAGGATTTGTTTATTGAAGCTGGACATAAACTTCTCGTTTCCATTTCTCTCAAATTAACATGATTAATACACCCATGGCCTGCCAAGGACACAGACACAAGGGACTTGGGTGTCACTCCGGGTCTTCTTGGTTCCACTACCCTGTTTGGGAGCTCTTCTCTTTCTTCCTCCAGTGAGCTGTCATTCCTGCTTGTGTCACTGGATTGTAATATGGCTACACAGCTCAATTAATGCTCAGTGTCAGGAGGAGGGAAAATAAAAATTGTCTTGCTCTTGTCAGTAGCGAAGTTATTTACTTTCAAAAGCTGACAGAATCACACTGCAGGGCCTTCATTTATTTCCATTCAGAACGTCATTATTCTGTGATGCCAGAGACTTGGGCACACGTTGAAGTTTATTCCCATAAGCTTTAATATGGCGGGGCCCTGCTAAAGTGTAGATCGTCACCCAGGAGAGTCTGGGAGAGTCTGGCGGAGCTCTCTGGGGGCCCCAGGGTGCCTGGGTGCTTGGCACTGATGTCTGGGAGGGTACCCTAGTTTCAGGATGGACCGGGGAAGCTGACACGTGCATTTTCATGCCCTGGATCTGTTGTAGGAGAGGCAGCGTGTTCCCCACTGCTGCTCTTCCTTCTGAAGCAAAAGAAAGGGGTGTGGGACTCGTACTTCCACATCACTCTTCATCCGGGCCACTCCTGGAATTTCTGGAAACACAAAAGCGCCTCCTGAAAGTGGCTTTGCTTTGGATCTATCTATTGTCTCTGCTTAAACTCGTTGACAGGTTCCCTCAACCAAATAATCTGTATAAAACTATGCAATTTTTTGTTTGTTTGTTTGCTCTCTTTCTTTCTTCCTTTTCCCCCTAAGGGTTTGCAATGAGCAGTTAACACAGGAAGGGGTTGAGTGGAGAAATTCTCTTTTCTTCATGGTGCAGTGGCAGAACCTTCCACTGGGGGTCTCCATTTAGAGTACGTGACTCAGGATTCCTGAAGACTTTCTTTTTTCCTTTCTTTCTTCTTTTTTATCTTTTTTTTTCTTTTCTTGTCTTTTTTTTTTTAAGGCTCTTTGGTTCCGTTCAAAAAATGAGGCTCTTTCGGACAGCAGTAGGAGAGGCAGCTTGTAAGACCATTTAGGTAACGAGATAAGCCAGCCTTCTTCCACAATGATGATCATAATAATAAAATAATTAAAATAATGAAATAATCAATAACTTTTATGGAGTGCTTTGTGACAAGCACACGAATAAGCACTTTTACATGGATTATCACATTTAATCCCCCACAAAAAAAGCCTCCAGGGAGTTGAAATTAATGGCTTCATTTTTAGATGCAGAATCCAAGGCTTAGGTGGGAGAGCTGATATTTAAAACCAGACACTTTTGCCCCAGAACCGACACTTAGAACCACGATTCTGCACCATCCCTATGTCCTCCTCCTCACTGTGCCGGCCAGTGGCTGGTTCTGTATGATTTACGGAGAGACCTCTGCCAGGTTCCTGCGTTGGAAGAATAGCTCCAATTGATGGAGTGGGCCTCTTTTCCTTTAAAGGCAGGACTTGCCAAAAGAGGAAAGAGTTCAGGCGACCTGTCAACTTTGATGCTCTTCCCGATTTTGTTTTTTTTAAGTCATTACGATTTTGTTTAATGAATTGCAACAAACCATGAGGCTTTTGGACTTGGGGAGGAGGAAGGGAGAGGGGAAAGAACGAGGCTGTGAGAATCATCAGCACTGAGAATGATGGAGTGTATTTCTCCGCAACCAATTCCAATCCCCAAATCTCTGTTGTACTGGGGAGCTCTCCAACTAACAGAGGAAACGCAGTCACTGCCCGGCACCGTATTAATGATTTATACACCCCGCACCACTGCTTTTGTTCACTTGCGGGGCCTGGTCGTGTTCATAACGGAATTTCAGGGAGTGGGGTCCTGCCTTGCCATGCTGTTTTGCTCAGTGCAGTGAAGACTGCTTCATAAATCAAAAGAATTTAGTGCTTTACAACCTTCCTGAGCTCTGAGATGGTGTGCGCCTGTGTGCGGTTGTGTATGTGTGTGTGTTTAATCAGATTCACTTAGACACATTTTCATTGCCTTTCTGTAAAGAATGAATGAAGAACGGGATGCGATCTGTCTTAGGTGTTTCAGGGCTGATTGGTTTGTTTCACAGTGGCATCACGGTCCTATTTGTTTCCCATTTGGTGTTTATGCTTTATGGTGTTGTCTGTGAAAATGGGCTGACACTCTTTTATTAGCATAAAGAGATTCAGATCACATTAGAATCCTCCGTCCTTCTATATCATCAAAAACAACAGGCAGGGGAGAGGGCGAGTTGACTGTAAGCCGAATCACCATTTGTTCACGATAAGTCAACAGGAGCTTGATGTGATCTTTAAACAAAGGGGTTTTTGAGCCTTTTAAAAATGATTCTTTTTCAATTTTTCACTGAAAAAGAATGCAGCTTCGTTTTGAATGTTATCGAGGACATTTATTTTCCGGATTGGGAATTCTGGATGTAGGAAAGTTTCTTCTCTTGAGTAAGCCACAGAAAGCTCTAATTTTAACCTCCGCTTTTATTTTTTTCCTAATTGGAAGAAAACAAATCATAACCTCATATATTTTATTTGGAGCCCTCAATCAATCTTTCAAGATACCAGCAGAGAAAAGCTCTTTTTTTTTTTTTAATGAATTGCACTTGTACTTGTGTTTTCTTAATTATGTCATGCATTTCATTTTGTGTGTGGTGATATTTCTTTCCCTATAGAACTGAGAACTGAAAACCAACAGAAGACAGAGTAGGAGTTTGAGGGGGTAAAACAGAATATTTAGAAAATTAGAATGATACTTTAAATATTCCAGTCAACAGTAATATTTTTGTCTATGATAAAATCTTGATTTTAGGAAATGCTCTTGAGTTAAAAAAGAAAGATACGTAAGGCTTTTAGGAAATAAACATGTCATTTTAGTAGAATTCTGAAGTGAATACATGAAGGAATAAATGCAAAGACAAATGATTAAAGCCCTACTCTACCCTACCCCCCCCCCCATACTGGGGGCTTGAATTTCTTTTACAAATGTGAAAGTTTTAGCTATCTGGTTCTTATTAACATTTATGCTTATAAATTTTTTTAACTGTCCAGTATGCTTGTCAGTAATGATGAAATTGAAGCAAATATTCATTGTGGAAGATAGTCTTTTATAGCCTTCCTGAAAAGTGGAGAACAGAATATATATATATATATATATGGAACATTACACACACTTTTCATCATGGGACATATGATACAGCATTTTGGACTCGGAAAGCAGGTGTCCAGCAAATGCACTTTACATTTATATTGTACTGATTTTTGTATTTTTGTTTGTTCTCTATTATTTGAATTCGTGAGTGTCTCATTGTTTTTAATTATGTCTACATGGCACAAGACAGCAGTCAACATCTGCTCTATTGTTTACTTGGTTTACATATATCTTTGATGGGTTACTAAACAATCTATTTTTCAAACCCCAAACAGAAGAAACAAGCTGAACCCATATTACAGCATTTTGTAAAGACCCATTATGCAATTAGCACTTGGGATTTGTGCAAATCTGGTGATTCACCCAAACAAACATCCCTTTATTCTGATAGTTCTTCCTGGCTTTGTGAGAAATATCAGTTTCCAAAAAAATAAAATCACATTTCCTCTTTAATCATGCAGCGTGCCAAGAAGATTATGTGTTTATATGAGGGATGGATCCTCCACTTTGTGTATCAGAGAAAGATCAACTTTTCAAAATAATGATGTCTTTAATTCAAGGCAGCAGTTACTATATTACATAAGACAACTATCTGCTTACACATAGCAGACTTTTGAGAGTTACATGGTACTATTGGAGAAGAGAAATGCTATGTTTTTACCTGTTTGTATAATCTTCCTAACATTGCATGATCTGTTTACAGAAGGCATAGCTGGTCATCTCTTGCAAGGCATGTGAGGCCCAGAATGATTAAGTCACCTCAAATCTGATTATTTCTCTGAAGTCAATGGTTAATAATTAATTTACTCACTCATTCATGCAGCACATCCTTATTTAGCCTCTGTCTCAGAGATTGGGTTGGTCATTGAAGGGATACAGACAAGGAAAGCAGGTCTGCTTTTCTTCATGGAGGTTACAAGTCTGTGGGAGAGAGACAGCCCATGAGCAAGTGATCATCACATAACTGTGCCTTGCCAGGTGTGATAAATGCTCTGAAGGAAAAGAGTGGGAGTTGGATTCAGGGGTGAGGGAAGCTTTTTTGAAGAAGTGACATCAAAGCTGAGATGGAGTGGGAGGTAGGCAAGGAGGTGGGGTCAGGGTGGAAGAGAGGATTCACACTAAGGCATAGAGTGTGTGTAGTGCCTGTTGCTTGCCTAGGTGTCTTTAAGATGCTGGAAAAACAAAGGGACCAGGGAGCCAGTGAGAGAGGGGTAAAGAGACACATAAGGGCCAGAGACGACTGGAGTTTGGAAATCTTGACCTAGAGTTGGATTTTTTGCCAAGACGAATGAAGAAGACAGAACACACACACACACACACACACAAACACACACACACACAATAAGAGGGTTTAGGCAGGAGTTAAATGACCATATTTAGCCTTTTTACAAAGGCCAGTTTGGCTTTTCTGCAGAGAATAGAGGGAGACAAGATAGAAAGCTGAGGACGGGGGTGTCAAGTAGGAAGTCACTGCGATACTACTGGTGCAAGCTGATGGTCGCTTGGACTAGGAGTGGACAGAAAAGAAACGGCCAGGAGTAAAACGTTTTGAAAATCAAGCCTGAGATTCATCCCCGAAGCTGATGTTCAGCCAGAAGAGAAGAAATGCAACTCCCTGAAGTCAGACTTCGGCAGGCTTTGGTGAAGTCAGGTGGCACTGACCTGGGTGGTATGCAGCTTCATGGAAGTGAGTGACAGGCCAGTCTCAGCATATCTTAGGCCAAAGCTCCCAGAGCTCAGAATTTTTCATCTGAACTCTACCATCACCACCACTATCACCACTGTCACCAATCCAGTGCTATTATCACCACCACTATCACCATCGCCATTAGGACCATCACCATCACGAAGCAACTGGTCTCATGTATGAGTTGGTAGCAGTCACCAAAGACAAAGGCACTCACCAGCTTGGTAAGGTGCTCTGTAGCATCCCACTTCTAATATGGTGGGTGAGAAGTGGGGAGTCATTTTTATGAAATGTCCACTGAGCAGTACCTCCACCCGCTGCCTCCAGCCACAGGAGTACAGGAGTGAAGTGCATTCACGGGAATGTGAAACAGAACTGACTTTGAGTCTGAAACAAATTACAAATCTTATGGGCCTCCAACTAGCTCTATGGGCATGTTTCTCGACTTCTCTGCAGTTTCATTTCTACATTTACGAAGTAGAGGTAACAGCAAGACCACAAAGACATAGCATTGTTAGGAGTATGGCACGAGCTAGTTTGTATACTACCCCAGTACAGTACCCAGCAAACAGAAGGAGCTCAATACATACTTCTACTTTTGATGCTGGAGGTGATGGTGGTGATGGTGGTGGTGATAGTGGTGGTGACTGTGGTGGTGACGGTAGCGATGATGGTGATGATGTGAAAATGGTGGTGGTGGTGATTGTGAATGGTGACGGTGGTAGTAGTGGTGATGAAGGTGATGGTGGTAGTGCTGGTGGTAGTGACGGTGCTGATGGTGATGTAGTGGTGATAATGGTGGTAATGGTAGTGACGGTGGTAATGATGGTGATGGTGATAGTGATGGTGTTGATAGTGGTGTTGGTGGTGATGGCCATGGTAATGGAGTTGGGATAGTGGTGATGGCAGTGATGGTGGATGGTAGTGTTGGTGATAGTAATGGTGGTAGTGCTGGTGGTGCTGGTGGCTCTGGTGGTGGTAGTGACAGTGCTGATGGTGGTAGTTGCAGTGGTGGTGGTGGTGGTGATGATGTTTGGTGATGAGAGTGATTCTGGTTAGATGCAGCGTGGTAGAATAGTTTCACACATAAGTACCTGGCTTCAGATTTGGTTCAAGTCTACCACTTACCACCTTTGCACCGTTGGGCAAATTATTTAACCTTTCTTTGTTTTAATTGTCTCATCTGTGAGATGGGGATGGTGATATTCATTGTCATTATGAAGACTAAATTATTTAATGTTTGTTAAAATCAGAATAGCGTTCCTATAAACAAACTCTTAGACATAGAGAACGTTTGTTAAATAAAGTGTCAGTGCAGAATACAGCTTTTAACAAAAAGGTACCTAGTGGCTTCTGGACTTCTGCTATATTCTTGATTTTGCTTTTTATAGCAGGCTGAAAAGGCTGTCTTTGCCTTCTCTCAACCGCCAGACCCACCCCCCATCTCTCCATGTGTTCTGCGTAGAACAGGTGTGTGGTGAGCCGAAGTTCTGGCAGAGCGCAACATGAAAAAGACTCCCAGTAATTATAAAAATAACAACGAAGGCTGCTTAGCGAGGTAGGCAGATGAGCACACCACTAGCCAGAATGATAAATAGCGCCTGCAAATGTTAGGTCCCAGTGGGAGTATGGGAACATATGGGATGAACCACACTAAAAGTTGGGCATCATTGGTAAGTTTTAGATGGTTAAGGCAGGCTAACTCCAGTGCCAATTTTTTTCTTCTTTCTTTGTTTTTTTATCCTAATTTTAAATCCTTCAGTTCCCTTTTGTCCCTTTGTTCTATTTTGGTCCTAAAAGAAGCATTCATCTTTGAGGCCAGCCAGGGAATCTCCAAGGAAGTGAGGTCTGTGCCGTAATCCTAAAAACAAATGGCCACCCTGGAGTCTGTGAATTTCCACGTTGAGCTCTATTCAATATTGTTGGGGGAGATGTAAATGAATGTGGTAAATATTTAATGGAATGCTGACATGTTGAGTCCAGACCTATGATAGGTGGGCGTGTAGAAAAATTAGTGCCTAACCAGCTCAATAAGTTTACAAGCATTTGTAGAAGAGGCAAACAATTCTTGTCTGCCAAACATTATTTAAAAAGAAGACGTGGAGGGTGGTAGGTTGATTTCAGGTCAGTGTTTGTATGTCTGGGTCTGAATATAGTTTGGAGACTGTACAATCTGTTTGGCATGGCTCTGCAGCAGTGGGATTTCTCTGGAAGGATATTTTGGAATTCTTGTTCACCACCCACCATGCTTTTCCTGGGCCTCAGAAGAGATTTCAGCATCGAGGCGAGATTTAGAATGTGGGCACCTGAGTGTTGGTGCCAGCTCCTTAGTAGATTTCCAGGGTTCCTTACTTAGCAATTACATCAACATCCTTGGTCATGTGAAGCAGGCAGAGGAAAGGAAGTAGGATTTGGGATCGGGCAGGTGTGGCTTTGACTGCCGGCCCTCCCTGCTCAAGTTGCCATGAATGATGTAAGGCCTCTGAGTTCTAATATCCTCATTTGTAGAATGGGGCTATTATGAGTACCAATACCATGGACTTGTTAAAAGACTGGATGAGTCAAAGTGTTGGAGTGCTTAGAATTGTGTTTGGCACATAGTGAGACCTAGGAAAGGGTTTGTTAAAAAATTAAGCAGAACATATCTTCTAGGACTGCCTTTTATGCAAGTGTACGTGTATGTATGCATTAATCTGTTTTTTTGAAAGTTACCTTTTCTTAAAAAAATTAATTTTATTGTAAGTTGCAGGATACATGTGCAGGATGTGCAGGTTTATCACATAGGTAAACGTGTGCCATGGTGGTTGTCTGCACCCATCAACCCATCAGCTAGGTATTAAGCCCCATGTTCATCAGCTATTTATCCTGATGCTCTCCCTTCCCCCACCACCCCCTACAGGCCCCAGTGTGTGTTGTTTCCCTCCCTGTATCCATGTGTTCTCATTGTTCAGCTCCCACTTGTGAGTGAGAACATGGAGTGTCTGGTTTTCTGTTCTTGTGTTAGTTTACTCAGGTTAATGGCTTCCAGCTCCATCCATGTCCCTGCAAAAGACATGATCTCATCCTTTTTTATGGCTGCATAGTATTCCATGGTGGGTATGTACCACATTTTCTTTATCCAGTCTATCTTTGATGGGCATTTGTGTTGATTCCATGTCTTTGCTATTGTGATTAGTGCTGTATGCACTAATCTTACAACCACTTTTGTACTAGTCCAGAATCTATTAGTTTTAATGGACAGCTACCCAAATCAAACTTGCTTAAGCAAAAATGGGGATTTGTTGATTCATGAAACTGGGATAATTGAAGGTCAGTCGGTAGTAAGTGAATCATCATTTAAACGCTCAGCACTCTAATTGAGATATAAACAGATGTGATTGTAAGAAACACCATGAATAAAGCTCAAACACTTACAAATGGGTGCAAGCCCAAAGAATATTTTAAGTATGTGGTTATATTACTTAGAGCAACCGCACAACAACCCTGTAAGGGGAGTGTTATTGCCCCAAATTTATAAGGGAATTAATTGAGGTTCAGAAAGTTTAAGTAACTTGCCCAGGGAAAAACAGCCAGGGATTTTCAGAGCCCAAATTTGGACCCAAACTTCTTATGGCTTCAATAGCTGAGTTCCTGATCAATATGATACATTGCTATTACGATAAAAATAAGTACTTTTTATTAGTAAACTGGAGACCAGAGAAATTATCTATCTATCTGTCTATCTATACGTATACATATACATATACATATACATATACATATACATATACATATACATATACTTATACTTATATTGTTTGTTTTTTGAGACGGCGAGATGGTGTTTTGCTCTGCTGCCCAGGCTGGAGTGCAGTGGTGCGATCTCATCTCACTGCAACCTCTGGCTCCTGGGTTAAAGCGATTGTCCTGCATCAGCCTCCTAAGTAGCTGGGATTACAGGTGTGTGCCACCATACCCGGCTAATTTTTTGTGTTTTTTATAGAGACAGGCTTTCACCATGTTGGTCAGGCTGTTCTTGAACTCCTGACCTCAAGTGATACACCCTCCTCGGCCTCCCAAAGTGCTGGGATTACAGGTGTGAGCCACCATACCTGTCCCAGAGAAATATGTTTTCAAAAAACAAACAAACATGAAATACGTGGAAAGGCAGCATAACATGGGATTATGTATGGGGCCAGATTTACCCTTCACAAGCTGTGTGATTTTGGGCAAGTTACTTGACCACTCTGTGTCTTGTTTTCCTCACAGTAATATGAAGATAGTCATAGGATTTACCTTATAGGATAGTTGTGAAGATTAAGTGAGTTAATATACAAAGGAGTTAGAAGATGTTTGGCAAATAATAAATGGCATATATAGTTTATTTTAAAATATTTTAAAATAGATTGTCATGTAAGAGCCAGAAAGGAAATGAGGTCACTCAGAGTGGTTCCTCTTTTGATGTCCCCAGGGTGTCCCACAAGGACACTGCTAATCTGGGGAGTTGAAAATCCCACCTGTCAGAGGCTCTCTGTTGCCACCAGCTGCCTGGCCATGACATCGCAGAGAGACCATCTTGCAGCAGTCAGCCCCTTGGCTAATCCTCTCCAATGAGAGGTTCAGCTGCACAGCTTGGCACAGCTTGGTTCTGGGTCCCTCACATCTCTGTCTTGTCTGCAAAACTAGGCTGTATAGTCTCTGAAAACACAGTTTTATCTGCTACCTCCTTTTCTCCTCCAGTGCTGTATTTGGTGGGTTCCCAGTGATGGCTAATACCCATTCATTGGTCTGATAACATATTTTTTCCCCTGGTCTGAAGCTGGAGAAAAAAGCTTCAGCAGAGAGAAGCCATCTCCTGTTCTGAGATGACTGCTAGTTATCGGACAAGGGAATGAAAGATGTGTTTTGCACTTCTTAAGCACAGACTTGCTTTTACAATATGGGGTGCCTTAGCACCTGCCCCATGTTGTTTGACCTTCTTGCCACCTTGAAAACCTGCCCCCTGCCAAGCTGTGGTGAATGCTGACTGGCAGGTTCATAGCGTCAAAGTCACAGTGCTAGTAAACACGTCAACGTGATTTCACGTGAAAACAGCCATCCAAGCTGTTAATATGAGCCCGCCTTAAGGGATTTTGACTTTGCGCATGCCTGCCCTTAGTAGAAAGTACAGCACATCTTGCTACCTACTTGGAAATCTGATGGACAGTCAGAAGCTCCTCTGGAGTCCTTTGGTGAATTTCACAAGAGCCATCAACTCTCTACAATGATGGGGAATATTTGGGGAGTTACATGCGCAGTTTTCTGGGATGAGGGCACAATTCAGAGTGGTCCAATTTCAGAGTGGTTCATGCCTCAAAAATAAGATTGAGGAACCGCAGTTTCACCCTTAGAAGAGGCTCAATGGTATGGGAAAAAGCCAAGGAGAAATCAGCCCTTGAGGTGGAGATGATGCCTCAGCTTCACAAAAAAAGGGCAACCTAATAATCTCTTTATCTGTCCTCCTCCTGCGTTCCTTCCCCTTCTGTTTTCTCCTCCAGTGGTTATTCTTTCCTGGTGTTCCCTGGTGATTAGCCCATTTCCATGTACCTCTGACTTTCTCTTGCTTGGGAGGCATTTCCCCACTTCCTGAAGACTCAGTGGTGGGTGGTGTAGGTCAGCTCTTCTCCAGCCATCAAAGTCTTCTCCTCCTCTCTCTGCTCTTTGGATTTGTATTCCTTTACCTCTAAGGACTGTTGGGATGGTTGAGATTGACTAAGGGGTGGAGAGTAAAGGAGATGAAGAAACCACTCAGATTGAGTTAAAATGTCCAAGCTAAGACTGGGCACATGGCTCATGCCTGTAATGCCAGGACTTTGGGAGGCTGAGTTGGGAGGATCACTTGATCCCAGGAGTACCAGACCCGCCTGGCAACACAGCGAGACCCCCATCTCTGAAAAAAAGTTTAAAAATTGCCAGACGTGCTGGTATGCACCTGTAGTCCCAGGTTTTCAGGAGTCTGAGGCAGGAGGATTGTTTGAGCCCAGGAGTCGGAGGCTGCAGTGAGCTATGATCATGCCACTGCCTTCCAGCCTGGGTGACAGAGTGAGACCCTGTCTCAATAAATAAATAAAATAATTTTCTAAAAACCCAGGCCACCATTTCTCAGAGTATATTAATCCATATCGCATTCAAAAAAAAGAAAGCCTTCTTATAGTATTGAGCACAAGGGAGTTTTGTAGTTTTGTAGCCTCTCAGTTCATGGGGATAGCTCTGTGTTTGACTAACTCTACGGCCTTGGCCAATTCACTTCCCCTCTCATGGTCTCAGTGTTCTTGTTACTAATGTACTAGATGGAACAGACTCTACTTCATAGGAATGAAGAGGGGATAAACTGAGATAACAGATACAATGAAATGAGTACTGTGTCTGGCACATAGTAAGCATTGAATAAGTGGTAGTGACTCTGTTAGTGATGATGAAGAAGATGAAGATGTAGGAGGAAGGAATGAAGAAGAGAAGAAGCCAAAAGCCTAGCACAGGTCTGATACATAATTCTCAAAAAGCAGATAATCCAATAGATAGCAAAATGAATGATGAGTGGATGGGTGGGTAGACGGATGGGTGGATGATGAGTGGGTGGATGGATGGATGGTGTGTTGGTCATCAAATCAGTTTTGGAAAGTCTGGATCAAACAAGATCCAGCAGTTTTTTGTTTTGTTTTGTTTTGTTTTGTTTTCTTCTTTACAGGACTTCTCAGGTGCTTTTATATGCTAATAGTCATCATGAATTCCCAAGAGGAAGACAGGGCAAGCTGAATTTCTCCAACTCATTTGTCCGTGGTGTCCTTTTTACAATGAGCCATCTGATGAGCCTTCTATCCATGCAAAGTATGCCTTGCAAGATGCCAGTCCAGCACACTTAGCTTCTAAAGAGAAAATAATAGGCAGAAAGCTCAGGTGGTTCAGCCAGTTCAGCAACTGAATGGAATTAGTACAAAAATCCTCATTTACCAGTCCTGGAGACCTGTGCTGTTAGGAGTGGCCTCTGTGTCCAGCTCCTGTAGGGTCCTGGAGCACAGAAGGCAGAAGATGTAGAGAGTGCACAAAGAAAAGTCCAGCGGAGTAGCTGCATCCTCCCCCCTTCTGAGAGGCCTCAGGGGGTATTTGTTTGCCTCAAGCAAGGTCAACAAATTCTCAAACCCAGTTGTCATTCATCCCCAGACAGGTCAGAGGTCGGTTCCTGAGGCATTGTTGATCTCAGCAGAGATGATGTGCAGGGTTGATATTCTTAGATTTGCTCATTCAGCCAGTCAGTCTGGCTTTCAGAGGAGAATCAGGTCAGGAAGCGCTTAATGAACCAAGAGGAGCATGGTGCTGCCTGAACCACTGGGGATTTGAGTTTGTAATGACTATCAGCAGGCTCCTCACTTACAAAACCTACTGGAATTTTCTTTGTGCATCTCCATAACCATTTTTAGAGATGTGGTTAGTACTGCTGGTTAGAGTAACCCAGGGTCCTGGATTCTTTAAGTTACTTCTGATTTAAAGGTACCATCTTCATCATCCCTAAAAACCATAAATTGAACTTGATATCCTTTTTACTGTTTTGGTTTCAAAAATTGCATTTTCCATTTACAGAAGCCATATACCTATCCTTTGTTAATTCCTGGGTCTTAGTTTTTTGTTTGGGACATAGAAGAAGGAGGTAAGCTCTTCAACAAGAAGGCACTTCACAAGTTGCATTTGTTAGCACGCTTTCATTTGAGCAATTAGCGGTTGAAGGGAGGAAGAGTTTTGATATCCCTGGCTTGATCCTCCAACCAGCTGCTAATTCTGTTGTCACTATGACAACTATCAACAGCCATTTACTGAGTGTTTGCTATGAGCCTCTGAGCTAAACACTGCAGTATACTGTACTTATTTAAATCTCTGGACCACTCCATGTGTTATGGCTACTCGTGATATTCTTATTTCGCAGATAATAAATCTGAGGCACAGAGAGGTTAAGTGATGTGCACGGGAACACACAGCTGATAACTGGTAGGAACTGGGCTTTTAATGTGGTCTATGTGGTTTAATGTGAGCTCTTAACTACTATACTATGGTGCTTGCAACAAGGGAGCCA
Source organism: Homo sapiens (assembly GCF_000001405.40). NCBI lineage: Eukaryota > Metazoa > Chordata > Mammalia > Primates > Hominidae > Homo > Homo sapiens. The sequence goes on from NC_000016.10 coordinate 7,325,432, forward strand.
GGCATGGTAAGAAGTTGCCAGGAGGTGAGAGAATGTAATGCCACAAGAATAACATATGCTTAGTACATACTTGTCATTCTCATAAGAACTTCCCATGGAACGGCTCATTTGCATACACTAACTGAAAGCAGTCTCTAAGTGGGGAGATGTGACTTCTCTTCTCCGGGTGTCTTTTTTTGCTAGATTAGTCCTCCACTGAGATTTCCAATGGGGGTGGTTGTAATCTGGAGAGAGGTTGGTTGATGGTCTGGTGTATCCTGTCCACAGTCTATGGAAGCTTTTCCTATATTCCCATCTTGATAATTTGATGCGGTTGTGACTTGGGTGTCACATTGACAACCCTTTTGTAGCCATCCTCTCCTTCACTGGGAATTCATTTGTTAGTCCTTGGTATTCTAAATATTATGTAGCATCTCAGGGAATTTTTCTTGCGGTCCATGCTAGGTAATGCTTTTCCATGTTCTCTTCTCACCTACGCTGGATGGAGTTTGAGTGCATGTCTGGCAGTGAGTGTCATTTCTCAGTTCTGGTTCAAGCTGATACCCTAGTGTCATCATTCTTGATGACTCAGCAGGTATTACAGGCATGTAGGGAAACCTGACTCTTGGTAACTGACCAGGCACACATTCTGTTGTTTAACCTTGGACAAGTCACTTGGACTCCCTGCGCCTCTGTCTCATCCCACAGGTAACAGATCATTCTCAAATACTTATTGAGCAACTACTCTGTGCCCAGTCCTGGGTGAATGGCAGGCAAACACAGGGATTGAGGAGGTGGTGGAGGGGATAGAATGGAAGCACACCTGTGTGATAATGCCAGCTAGGCCTTTACCATCCCAGGGCAAATCACTGCTGATGTTTCAGAATCTCAGCCCCATAGATCACGAGTGCTGGGATTGGAGCAGGAGGTAGTGCTGGGAAGACCTGGCATATGACTGCTTGTGGAAGGATGGGATGTATATATAAGCAGTTTTACTGGGGGGATAATAGAATGGAAGCTCGAACAGCAACATCTGTATGGGGTGTTGGTGGGGCACTGAAGACAGACAGAGCTGCCATGATGAGCAGAGAGATGAAAAAACAATTTTGAATGGGTGCATTGAAAACATTCTGAAGAATGAATTAAAATTAACTAGCACTTTCTGGATGCCTTCCAAGCACCAGGAACACCCACCTTCAGCATGTCATTTCACTGCTGTAATGCATTTATGAGAGGGTACAGGTGTTTTGTACCATCTTAGCCCTGATGGGAGTAGGGCTCAAGGATGAGTATATCGTCCTTAATCAGAAACATAAAAGGGCGACAGAGCCCAGATCCCCCAGATCCAAACCCAGCCTCTCCAACTTTGAAACGCAGGCTTTTCCTACTGTTGTGATGCCCTCAGGTCACTTGTGATGACCTTGGAAACATAGGTAGCTCTCAGTGGTCTGGGGGCCCCTGGCAGCCCCTCCACCTTCCTCACACTTTTTCAGTCAGTCATTTCTGGAAGGATTTGGGAAAACTTCATTTGCTAGTGGACATTTTAGTCATTGGGTGAGCAAGAAGAAATGGCATACTTCCTTATTTGAGCCAATCTGCCTTCTCAAAAGTGTGATCACTATTAAAAGAGTCATGATATGGTGTGGGCAGTCTCTGAACCAAACACAATGCTGAAATGACTTTCGGACAAAGGTGATGGTGCACTTAGTTCTGTCTTGGGTGGCAGGGACAACTTTGCAGAAGCTGTCATGGAACATTTGACTTAGGCCAACAAGATTGATCTAAAAGGAAGAAAGGAAGAGAGGAAGGAAGGGTATTTCTGCATAGCAGGCAAGTTTAAATGGAAAAGTGGATTCACAGAGGTATTTGGCAAAGATAATTTGCCAGTGTGGTTTGAAGAAAAGAGTGATCTGTAGAAAAACGGAAAATTTGTATCGGAGGATGAATTTGGACAGGGTAAAGTGAGGAATATTATGAAGGGCCTCAGATGCTGTAGGAAATTTTCCATTACCCACTTTTGTCTGGAAACAAAGTGAGTGATTGTGTGAGTAATTACATAATCTGCACAAATCTGTATTTTGAAATAAACATTGTCAATATCCAAAAGATAAGAAATGTGATGATAGGATCAGGGAAACACTCTGTTTTATGCATTTTGTTTTGTTCTGTTTTGATAGTCAACAAATGGCAACTGACAGCTTCTTTTTAGATAGCTTTTTAGAAAGCAAAGAATGGTTGGGTTGATCCTACAGTGAGCTCCTGACCTGTGGGAGAGGCAGCTTTTTCGCAGATATGATTATTGGTACAAAGAAATGTGGCTCAACATGCCTAGATCTTCCAGTGTTTCAAGAGATAGCATAAATCTAGATTTTATATGAGATGCCCCCATTAAACAATATTACCTTTTTTTTTTTACACTGTGCAGACAAATCATTATCATGATCATCATCATCCCCTTCTGTGGACTGGACTTGGTCCCCACGGCTGCAGGTTGCGATGTTGACCGACAGAATCCATGAGGCAGGAGTTGGTCTTCTCTAGATACCCCCTGTCTCTCATCTTCCAGACACAGCCAACACTTCTGTTTCTTCCTTCTCTTTCATTGACGTCTAAACTTTGAGAGGCTACCACTCAGAAGGGCCAGTCACTTATGTTGGCTCTCTTTGTTAGTCTGGTGTCAAACTCCTGGGCTCAAGTGATCCTGCTGCCTCAGCCTCCAGAGTGGCGGAGACTCAGGTGTGCACCACTGTGCCCAGCTTATGTTAGCTGTTAAGATCTGGGAAAGGAGGTTCTGGGCGCGGTGGCTCATGCCTGTAATCCCAGCACTTTGGGAGGCTGCGGCAGGTAGATCATGAGGTCAGGAGTTCAAGACAATCCTGGCCAACGTGGTGAAACCCTGTCTCTACTAAAAATACAAAAATTAGGCAGGTGTGGTGGCGGATCCCTGTAATCCCAGCTACTCGGCAGGCTGAAGCAGAAGACTAGCTTGAATTCGGGTGGCAGAGGTTGCAGTGAGCTGAGATCATGCCATTGCACTCTAGCCTGGGACAGAGCGAGACTCTGTCTCAAAAAAAAAAAAAAAAAAAAAAAGAAGACCTGGGAAGGGAGATGCAGTATCTGACAGCCAGAGCTAAAATGCCTTTATCTAGAACAGGAAAAGAGGAGTTAATACCTAAGAAGGAAATGTCATCATGGAAGGTGGAGATAGATGGAAGAATTTTTTTTTTTTTTTTTTAGGTGGAGGGATGAGATTGAACTATCAAAGCCTGGCTAAGAAAAAGCAAAATCCTTGATGGAAATCTCTGGCACAGGGAAAATGAGCAGAACTGGCACCAAGGAAGCATTAGGAGAGAGAAGAAGATAGTGGGGAAGCAGAAAGGAACAGCAAAGGAGCGAGTATTTGCCATTGTCTTGAAGTCTGACTTCTTGGATAAAATACATACCCTAGATTAAGGGTTAGCAAACCATGGGCTGTGAGCCCAACCTGGACCATTGCCTGTTTTTGTATAATCTTCGAGGTAAGAATGGTGTTTGCATTTATAACTGGCTGGAAACTTTTTTTAAAAAAAGAATAATATTTTGTGACCTGTAAAAATGATAGGAATTTAGTAAATACAGTATTACAGGAACATGGCCACAATCCTTCTTTGGTGTATTGTCAACGGATGCTTTTTCACGCTACAACAGCAGAATTTTGAGCAGTTGCAGCAGAGATTGTAAGTTCTGCAACACCTAAAATATTTATTATCTGAGTGTTTACAGAAAAACATTTACCATTCCCTGCCCGTGATGGGCAGAGCAGATGGCAATACACGGCTCTTTATTTGACTTCCGTATGTTTCAGGGATCTGCCTGTTTCTTAGCCACTACCAGAACTGCCCCACTCTCCTTTCACCTTGCTGTTTCTTCCACTATTTAAAGTTCCTGCATTACACCGTGAGCGTAATACCACATAATAGATGTTGAGTAGCCCGACATTTGCCATGAACCATGTGCACTGCCACTGGGGAATGGAAAGACACACGACATAGTGTCGACCTTCTAGAGGAGGCTCCAAGAAGGAAGAATCACAGCTCAGCAATACTAGGTGCTTCCCATTTGGGAGAGCAGAACCTATGTTAAGAAAAAGAGGTTTTGTTTAGTAGTTGTTATTTATTTACAGGCTTTATGATTAGTGGAAGGTTTTGAACGAGGACGAAGTCAATACAACTTCAAAAACATAAGTACCGCAATCATACAGGACAATAATATATAAATACAAAATCAGAATCAGAGAATGTATGAGTAATGGTGATCGCGACTGGAGGTGGGAGGGACAGCCCTTATTTTCACACAAGATAAGGAAGATATTTGTAACTCAAGAACAGCAAAAGGTTATTGTATCATGGCGTTCTTAAGAAGAAAACAGAAAATATCCCCGGCACAAGGTATAACTATATATCTCTATCCTGTATGTAATATATCTCTTATTTCTATCCTACTAAAATCAGCAGATTCTTTTATATATAAGCATATATACACACAGTCACGTGTCCCTTAACATTTGGCACTGGGTATGTTCTGAGAAACTGGTCAGGCAATCTTGTACTGAATACTGTAGGTGATTGTATCTAAACATAGAAAAGGTACAGTAAAGTATAACATTATAATATAATCTGATGTGACCAGCATGATATATCCAATTTGTCATGGCCTGAAATGCCATTATATATACAGTCATCCCTCAATATGGTGGGAGATTGGTTCCAGGACCTCCCCTCAGATACCAAAATCTGCAGATGCTCAGTCCCTGATATAAAATGGCCTAGGATTTGCATATAACCTATGCACATCTTCCCGTATACATATTAAATCGTCTTTAGATTACTTCTGAAGCCTAATACAATGTAAATGCTGTGTAAATCATTGTTATACTCTATTGTTTAGGAAATAATGACAAGAACAAACAGTCTGTATATGTTCAGTGCAGGTGCAGAGGTTTTTTTTTTTTTTTTTTTTCTGTTTTAGATGATCTGAGGTTGGTTGAATCTATGGATGTGGAACCCCAGAATATGGAGAGCTCTGTGTGTGTGTGTGTGTGTGTGTGTGTGTGTGTGTGTTTGTGTGTGTGTGTGTAGAGAGAGAGAGAGAGAGAGAGAAAGTTACATAAATACAATGGATCACTATCTTCTCTGCAGTTTCCAGCTACCTCTTCCTCAAGTTTGCTTATTGAAGCATTCTTGATTAAGAGTAAGGGGATATAGTTACCTCTCTTCTATGCTCAGGAAACTAAGAGTCTAAAGCTGTAAATTTGTTGCCTGAATGATGGAATTAAGTCTCCTGCCTTCTGGTCCAGTGGTCTTTCTATTTTACAACACTAAAGAGACAATTTGATCTGACACAGGCCTTACCTAAGTAAGTAAGAGCTCTCCCCTCCTGTTGATTGCTAAAGGAAAGCAGACGGGAGAGACACGTCCGTCTCACAGTGATGCTTCTGTCCTCCCCGGTAACTTCTCAGAAATGTGGTGTTGAAAGTCATCGTCAAAAGCTAAAGTTAGAAACAGTATCGGGCTGTTGAGTAAGAGGGGTCAGTGCGCAGCTGTTATGGGAGCTTTTTGAATTGTACAACGTGGCCACTTTGATGCATGAGAATCAATTACAGAGAAACCTTGTCAAGATGGCCAAAATTCAGCCTTAAATAATTGAATTCTCTGCCAAACCCTGTCCGCCGTCGTTATCTAGAAATGCAATTATGCAGCTAAATCAAGCAACTAAAATTAGTGTAGTGTAAAAACACCTTGGCTATCTGAAAGTGGAGGAATTGACATTTGGATTTAGAAAACGCCAATAGTTGGATATGTTTGGCGGTGTTTGAAGCTCTCTCCCAGTTTCAACAAAATCTATATCAAGTGTCCTGTTTAGAGTGAGCAGTGGAATGTGGCCAGTGAATGTTTCATTTTGAAGGTGATTTTCAGTGATTCCTGGGACTTGGGCATTATTTGAGTGGATTCACTTCATCAGAACTTCATATTATTGCTTTCAAAATTGTGGAACTACACACACCCACATGTCTTTCTAATAAGAAGATTAGAAGACTGACAATTTGATTGTTATCTGAGCCTTCAGTCTCAGGTCAAAGCCTTCAATCTGAAACCAAAGATGTGTCTGTACCAATCATCAGGAAAACAGGGAATACATGATAAAAGTGGCTAATAGCTGCCGGTACTGCACACATCATGTTATGGTTCTAGGACTTCATTTAATGATAACACAGCCTTTTGAAGTAGGGACTATTATTATCTCAGTTTTCCAAATGAGTGAACAGGGTTCAGAGAGGCTAAGTAACTTGTTCAAGATCACACAGCTAGTGATTATACTGACACCCAAGTCAGTATAATTCCAATTATATTAATTAATATATTAATTCAATTGGAATTAATTCCAATTCATGTCATCCCCTAGGAATTTATCTGCTCCTATGTAACATATCCCAAATGATTGCTTGGGTATTTTCAAACACCAGAAAGATTTCAAATCTGTGCTTGAATGTATTTTTTATCCATAGTTTTGGTGCTTGTTAGCTATGCCTTGAAACTCTGAGAACAAGAAGACATCTCTTGTTAATGTATTGCATATTAATATATCACAGATGAAAGCTCAAAATAAAGAATGTCGTTAAAAACACAAAATAAAAGGCATAGAAAATGTTATTACAGACTGAAATACAGCAGTGAAAACAGTGTTGTGGTTAGGAATCGGGCTCTGGAATGTGTTTGTAGCTTCGCACTGCCTTGTACGAGCTATGTGACCATGAGCAAACCATTTAACTAGTATCAGCCCTGTTTCCCATTTGTTATATGGGACTGATAATAGTACTGACTTCAGAGACTTGTTGTGAGAATGAAATTACATAACACGTGTAAATAATTTAACTCTGTCTCTCTGCGTAGCACACATTGTGCAAATACAAGCTGGCTGGTAGTTTTATCTTATTTACAAATTGCCACTTTAAATTTGAAATCAGAGAGAGAGCGGGAGGAAAACTAGACTGAATATCTTCTTATTTTTTTTCTATCAGTGCCAAACGTTGCCCACATTAACCTGCTGGATTTGAATTTTAACTCGGAGGCGATAATCACATTAATTTACATTTCTCAGTTTATTTTTCCCTAAAAATCCCATGTAGACCCCATCCCTTGCTCTTTTGGCCAAATTCAGTAGGATGAGCTTATATCTCATAGCCTGGTTCCCTCTGTCACTTGGTCTCTTGGTCTCTCTCTCTGTCTCTCTCTCTCTCTGAGAACTAAATTAATGAAGAGTATTTGGTTAGTCATGTTAGGCAAGCTGTTCCCAAAATAGCACCTTCCATTTTGGTAGCTTCAACTTTGCAGCTGCTGTGTCTCTTCGTCGTCTGGGAAGAAAACTTTCACATTAAGAGTTGCTGATGCGGATTTTCTTTCTTTCCTCTCCCGGCGTTGATGAGTGCTTGGCTCCTGACAGAAGGGATTTGGCTCCCAGCTTTGTAGTTCGGAAGAAGTTGGGTCTATAGATTTCCCCCTAACTCTCCATTGATGTGTTGAGCTTCAGAGGGAATAATAACTCTACGTAAAGCATGCTGGCGTCTCAAGGAGTTCTCCTGCATCCTTATGGCGTGCCTATGATTGTACCGGCAGCTCCTTACCTTCCTGGACTGATTCAGGTAATTCAAGGCCTCTGCCAGCCAGCAACTTAACTCCAGAGTGCTCAGAGTAATAATTGGAATTTTTATGGTTGAGAAAGCAAACACTTTTAATACAGGAAAAAGCCCTCGCGTAGTCAGTGAGAAGACAGTAGGAAATCAAAAAGATGGATCACCCTAATCTAGCTATCGACATCTCTCATGGCTGAATAAATGGTGTAGTTGAGCTATATTTGCTTGTATTGATCTGACTGCTATTTAACATTCATGTCTTAGCTTCAGGAGGTTGACCACGGGGCAAAGGATTTGCTCTCCTTCTCAGCTTTCTGAGGGACTCAGTCTCCCAGAGCAGATCATGAGACAAAGTAACTTATCATGAGGTGACTCAGTTAAGAGCTTTAACCCAGGAAATGAAAGGAGCATGAAATATGCATTAATTCATAGGACGCCTCCACACGGATTGTCTATTTTCAGAGAAGGCTCTCCCCACCTGAATTTGAGTGGTGGCACTGAGGCAAGAAGGAACACTCTATTGATGGGTAATTTATGAAGCTCAGAGATTATTCTAGGAATCCCTTGCCAGATGTGTACATCTTAATGATGGCAAGAAAGTGGAGGGTTGATATGTGTGCTGGTTTTACTTTGAAGTCTTTTAATTCTGTGCAGAGAGGATTAATCTACCAATAAACAATTGGGGACCTTTTTTTTTCCCCCTCATCATAAGGTTTTCTTTGCAAGCAGGTATTGCCTTCCGCGTTTATGTCTGAAGTTCTCCGTTGAAAGCTAACATCTACTAGCGATAGAACCCACAGATCATAGAAATCCAAGGTGGCTTTTTGTTGTTATAATTAGTTTTTTGAGTATAATCATCCCTTTGCAATAAATTCTGTATCTCCTTTCTACAGAAAAGGAAAACAAAATATATTTAGGTACGTCCTTTCACCTTTACTCCTGTGCCTCCCTCTGTCCCCTCCAGCCCCTCATAGTTAAAAACTATATGATACCCTAGCTCATTAATTACAATTTCTGGGAACCATTCTGGTCACTTTTCCCCCTACCTCTTCTGAACTTTGCTGTTACCTTTTGTTAAGTGTACGAACCTGGGTGATTAGAGTCATCTGGGGGTGATTCCAAGTCACAACAAAACATTCTCTCTTTCTGGATTTATGGCCGTTCCTCTGTTTGGAAGCTTTTCTCTGTATTACCTGTTATAAACAAATGGGTCATCTGGAGAACGGTCCTTTGCAGCGTGGAACTTGTTGCGTCTTCCCTGGTATACACAGGCCGGTATGATAAGGTTGCCATTTCTGAAGTAGGGCTCAGTGGCAACTTAGAAAGTTAACAGGCCTGTTGCTGCTACTGGAAACGTGGGGTGAAGGTCGGCTGTTGGAGCTTTGTCAGACCCTCTGCCGACCCATCTGATAAATAATTACAGGCAAATCGTGGCCTTCACTCTATGCTGATTGATGCTGAAATTGCTTTTGAAAGTTCTCATAAGTTCCTGTTATAGATTAAGTGCCGGTGTAGGAAAAATAACGGCACCCACTGAAATGGGTGAATGTAATCAGGTTTAATGGACTCCAGAGCTTGTTGGGAATTAAATAACTATCGATTTGTTGGAATGTTGCTGTCATTACGAAATGCCACTCTGGACGTATTACCCCAGTGATAGATGAGAAGATGCAAGGGCCAGCTGAGAAATTGGGGAGGCCCTATTTCTTCCTCCTTTGCAGAGCATTTGAGAAACATAGCCAGTTATTTTTGGAAAGAACAAGTGGTCTTACTTGTAAATCTTAGCCTGATCATACTGTGTTTTTCCAAGCGACACCTCTGGTAACTAGTTACCCATAAGTTAGGAGAGCAGTTTAGTGAGGAGCCTCTAGACCAGCTGCTGTGATATGTGTTATCTCCTTTCTTTCTCACTGCTGTGGAATGCACTGGAAAGCTAACACACAGAGAGAAACTGGCTTTACTTATGGTTTGCTGAGACAGCCCATGTTATTTACCCTTTGGCATCAAGTAGCTAAAATCACCCCAGTGCAGTAATATTTGCAAGGGGAGAAAGGGCAGTGCAAAGGGAGAAAAAACTGTATCACTCACAGATGCTCAGCTCTGAGCCGATGTTTCTGCTGCCAGCTGTCCTGCATTGCTGCAGACTCCACTTGCTCACTAGTTTCTTGACCTTATGGGTTTCTTCCTCACTCAGGAGGCAAAGTATTTCCTCTAGGGAATTAAGGTTCTATCACCACCTAAATATGTCATTGGCAAGATGTTAAAATGAGCCAAAATAAACCATGTGTACTCCATCACTGGGAGTAATTTCTCTGTGACTGGAGATGTTGAAACAGAGTTCATAGTGTCCACTTGGAAGGATTGTTGTATTATAGTTGGAGATTACTTTTCAAGGTCTTTCCAACCTCAAGAGATTTTGTGGCAGAGTGCTCCCTTTTCATATTTTCAAGAGTCATTTTGAAAATTCAGACCAGCATCGCCCTGTTTTAGTTGCCTCAGATAAAGAAAAAAAAAAAAAAAAAAAAAAAAACCAAGTGATTTACCAGTCATTTGGTGTGCCAGACTTTAAGACGGCATCCACCTAATCCTGCAAAGGCAGTGGATGGAGGTATTTACTGATAGCTTCAGGAAAGTTACTCATACAGGATCTTTTATTCCAAGCAATAATTGATAGTTATCATCTGCCCTACCCTTCCTCCTTTAGGAAAATCAGAATCTTTATCATATTGGATCTCCTGAACCCATTATTTTATGTCTACACTTGTTGTGTGTAGCCAAATAGAGAGTTTTTCCCTCCAGCCAGGTAGAGAATGACAGAATGACTATGGAGAATTCAGCTGAACCTGTCTGGACTGTCTCATGTGCAGAAAAAGCAGAGAGGAAAGGATAAGAGTAGTATTCCCAAGTGCATTGTACAAATATTGGCTGCTTTCCCCCTTGATAGAGATCCCGATGTTGATATCTTTGGATAAGAAGAACCAATGTACTACTTAACACTACTTATTTCTGAATTTCTAGTGATGCCTTGAATGATCAGTGAATTGTCTGACCTGGTAACACAGGAGCCTCAGTCACTTGCCCAAGTCAGCCTCGAGTCCAGAAGCTACTCAGAGGTCTTAGCCAAGCCATGGACCATGGCCAAATGACATAACCAAAACAACAGCTTTGTAACTGGTTAGGCTATTTGGTTAGTGTTTGGGTCTAATGTGTTGGCTCTGGGCTGCAAGTGTGGACCCTCACCCCTCAATCTAGGTATCTACCTCATAGATATGCCCTTGGGCCATACATGGCCAAGTCACTTTCACTATTGGACAAATCGTTCCCATTTCATCCAGGTCTGACAGATGATGAGTCAGCAGATTATTTTCCTGGATGGTTGATGGTGTAAATAGAGCCATATTCACCTCATCATGCATTTGTTCCTTCAGTTATCCATTCACTGTATACTCAACCTATAACAAAAGTGACAGTCATAGCCACTGAACTGTGGGTTCACAATCTAGTGGAAGAACTAGTAGGTAAACCCCAACTATAAGACTATAATGAAGTCAGAGGGAGGAAATGATAGGTAATGATTGTTGAACACAATATTGTCATGTGCCAGGCTCTGTGCTAAACACTTAGATTTAGGATCTCAATTTATTTTTATAATAAACGTAATGCAATTGGGCAGTATTTGTCCACCTTCCTATATCTGTAATTGTAAATTCCAAAAAGCTCTGAAAATCAATTTCTTTTGGAAGTTGGGCACCAAAGCTCATTTAGGAACAGAAACTTGACCTGAAATGATGTGTAGCTATTTATAGACTTTCTTTATCCCAGCTAATGTAAATATTCATGTATTTTGCTGTAGGAATATTTATGTGTTTGATTTTCAGGGTGTTGTCCTAGACCCTGCTGAGGGCTTTACATAATCAGCATTTCCACTGAAATAACTTTCTGAAAAAGCCCCCAAAATCTGATTTTCAAAATGCTGGTGACTCCAACGGGTCTTAGGTAAGAAATTGCAGTCATGCCTTTAATTCCCCTTTGCCTATGGAGAACCTAAAACCTACACTTAGACAAAGCTAGGTAGCCCAAGGTCACAAAGAATGCGAGTGGTATAGCTGGGATTTGGACTGGATTTGTTGAACCAGGGTCTTTTATCCACCAAGCTACCCTCTAGGTTGAGGTATTCAGGCAGGGTGGCTTATGAAAACACAGGAAAGGAAGTAACCCAGTGCCTCTTAGAGTCGGGAAGAGGGTGGTTTCAAAGGAAGGGAACTGGTATTTGAGTTGGGCTGTGAAGCATTAGTAGGCATTCACAGGACAAAAAATAATAATACGACTTGTTTAGTAGAGCAGAGAACTTGGGTGAATTCATGGAGTTGGCTTGTGATACTGAGATAGAGCCTTGGCGTCTTTTCCAACTTACTGCCACTGTAGGATGTGACGATGTTTAAACATAGATCTCAAGAGTGAAAAAACATAGGTCAAAAGGAGCTGGGAGGAATCTCAACAATGGAACTCCTAAGCACTGCGTCTCTGCAAGCTCACAAAAGAATGGGCTTCATCTATACCATCCATGACTCACGCAGGTGAATGTTTTTTGTGTTTGTTTTTGTTTGTTTGTTTGCTTGTTTTGAGATGGAGTCTCACTCTGTCACCCAGGCTGGAGTGCAGGGGCGCAATCTCGGCTCATTGCAACCTCCACCTCCCAGGTTCAAGCGATTCTCCTGCCTCAGCCTCCCAAGTAACTGGGATTACAGGCACGTGCCACCACACCCAGCTAATTTTTATATTTTTAGTAGAGACAGGGTTTCACCATGTTGGTTAGGCTCATCTTGAACTCTTGACCTCATGATCTGCCCGCCTTGGCCTCCCAGAGTACTGGGATTACAGGCATGAGCCACCATGCCCAGCCTAGGGCTGGTGAATGTTTAATTTTCTGGGTTTGTGCATCATTTACCATTCCTTTCTCTTTTAAAGTATTATTTTATTTTTGTAAGTTCCAGGGTACATGTGCAGGGTGTGCAGGTTTGTTACATAGGTAAAGGAGTGCCATGGTTGTTTGCTGCACCTATTAACCCATCACCGATGTATTTAGCCCAGGGTGCATTAACTGTTTTCCCTAATGCTCTCCCCACCCCCACCTAAGCATGGCAATTATCATTTACCGTTTCTATGCCTTCTTTTCTCTCTGAGATGGTAAGCTCTCAGAGGGCTGAGATTTTTCCAGCCTAAACTTTCTATAGCTAGACAGTGGCAGAAAAATGCCAATGTATGCCTCTCTGACGTGGATAGCAATGGTTTAAAGAAACCCTATACTCCATGTTTTTATTTTTATTTCTTTTAGAGAAAGGGTCTCACTCTGTCACTCAGACTGGAGTGCAGTGGTGCAATCATAGCTCACTGTAGCCTCGAACTCCTGGTCTCAAGTAATCCTCAGCCTCCTGAGTAGCTGGAACTACAGACATGTACCACTATGCTCAGCTTTTTTAAAAAAAATTCTTTTGTAGAGATGAGGTCTCATTATGTTGGCCAGCCTGGTCTCAAACTCCTGGTCTCAGACACACACACTGTATTTTGAAGCAGAAACCAGCGTATGTATTTTATGAGACATCTACATACCTATATGTAGTAACAATGCAAATTATAGAAACATCGGCCTTAACAATGGACAGAGAGTAACCATCCTTATAGAAAGATAAAGAAATCTATAAAGAACTTACAAGTAATTTGGGTAAGTTTCTGGTTGAACTTGAAAAACAACAGCTTGTTTGGCTCTGTGGCTGGCATTTCAGGTCTTGATATTGCTGCCCTGCGATTTTATCTCCATGTTTGGAATGTCTGTTGATTGGGAAAGACATCAGCATGCACACCTGATATAAATGCTGGTGGCGTCATTTACTCTGAGGCTGCTCCATCTTAGTCACTAAGCGGACTTTTCTGTACTGCCAAAGAGGCCATGTCAACAGCGGACTAAATTAAAGAGTCAGGGAGGTGGCAGAGAGAATTTGGAGTCAAACAGGTCCAGGTTGATATATAGGCTCTGGCATTTACTAAGCCTGTGGCCTGAGGCTTGTCAATTAACCTCACCAAGCCTCAGTTTTCTAGGCTGCAAAACAAAAGCAGGAAGGCCTAGCTTGCAAAGTCACTGTGAGTTTTCAGTGTGATTCATCATGTGTTTATTCAGCAATTATCTATTGAGCACCTACTGTGTGCCAGGCTGTGAACTAGGACTAGGTGATGTGGTAGAATAGAACACACTCTAGATCTCTTCCAACAGGAAGTTGATATTCTAACACATGGGAAAAGCTAGCATATAAAGTATGTTTATTCTGTATTATTCTGGAGAGAGAAGGAGAGAGGAAAGATATTTATGTATTATTATTATTTTGTGACGGAATCTTGCTCTGTAGCCCAGGCTGTAGTGCAGTGGCATGATCTCAGCTCACTGCACCTCCACCTGCCAAGTTCAAGTGATTCTCCTGCTTCAGCCTCCTGAGTATCTGGGACCGTGGGCATGCACCACCACAACCAGCTTATTTTTGTATTTTTAGTAAAGACAGGGTTTCACCATGTTGGCTGGGCTGGTCTTGAACTCCTGACCTCAGGTGATCCGCCCACTTCAGCCTCCCAAAATGCTGGGATTACAGGTGCAAGCCACTGTGCCTGGCCAGAAAGATATTTGTTAAGAATTCTTTTGTCTGCGATGAAGAAAATTCTAAGTCCTATTGGTTAAAGGGGGAAAAAAAGCATCTAGCTCCAGCTTCAGGCACTATTGAATTCAGGAATTTTGACAAGCCAAGGGCTGTCACTCTCCACCTCTCCACAGTGGTTATCTCTACTTGATCCTCACTCACAAGCACACCATGTCCAAGTGGTGGAAAAGATGGTTCTTGGCAACTCCAAGCTTACATCTCATCTCCTTTTAGAAATTCTCTTCCCAACTATTCCAGCAAGAATTCCAGATTGCAGTCTCATTGGTAGATCTTATAGTCCATGCACATCTCCAAATCAATCATCTAATCTCTGGTTGCCCACTTTAGAGCCAGAGGGCAGGGTCAGCCCCAAGAAAGCTGCATAGACTATGAACGGAGGCCAGATCAGGGACCTCTTACCAAAATGTGTTGGTGGATAAGCAAAATCTAGGTTCTTGTTATCAACAACAATTATAGTTAAAGCTGTCACAGACATTCAAACCTGTGCTTTCTCCCCCATAACTTTGCACACACCATCCCCTGGGGAGCAAGTGGTGGGTTTCAGATCTTAATTATCCTGATCACTTGTTGCCATTGATCATATTTACTAGGTAGTTTTATTGCCTTCCACTTCACTTGGCTTCTCCATTCATGATCAGATTTGCCAAAGGCAGGGATGGCTGTTTTACCTGGTATCTTCTCCGTTGCACTAATTACAGTCATGTCTTCCACTCGTGTATTTGGGATATTCCAACTCTTTTTACAGACTAGTAAGTCACAACCTAGGGAAGTCAAGACAGTCCAACCAGGACATCCAACAACACAATAATCAGTGCAAGATTGTGTTTCTCAGATTCATGATCCATGCAGCCACACCACTTCTCTTCACATCAGTGATGCATAAATAAATATATTAAAAAGAGCAAACAGAGCCTTCCAGTTATTAACTTTGTCATGACGTAGACCTCCCATCATTCCAAAGCACTCGAAGATGCTAGTGACTTGTCCTATTCTGTTTTATATAAATTCACTTTTTTAAATTAAGAGATTAAAGGGACACTGTCAATCTCTTCTGATTAATATCAGTCCTATAAAAAGGGTGTCTTGCTGCAGCAGCCATCTGTCATTTTGATCATTTTAAAGGCATGCTATATCAGCAACTATGCTTTTTATAATACGTTGGCACAGGGCAGGGAGGGTTGGAAGACCTACGGATTTCACACTCTCTGCTGCTGCTTTGGTGTTCGGCAATGTGAGCTTTTGATGGTGGAGCAGAGTCCCCTCCCTGTCTTTTAAAGGTTGTTTTGGGTAAGTGCTTTTCCTGGGTGATTTATGATGGAGATACTCACCCCTATTTATGTTTTTCCCCCGTCTAAAGATAGACCTCTCACACACACATCCCACCAGCTTGCAAGGAGCCAGCATGTTCACTTGATTCACTGCTGAGCCCTAAGAGATGCCCAGAAACATTGAACTCAATACTCTGAAGGTCTTTTCCTCTGAGCAACCGAGACCATTATCTTCAGCAATGGTCACTGTCTAGATTGAGCTTTTCAGGCTTGTAAAACTAGGAGGCAAAGGCTCCATGAAACTCATTCATTTATTAAGATAATGATTTATCAATCATAGATTTCGTGACTGTTGTCTTGCAAGCTCTGGAGGTATTGGGATGATCAAGTCCCAGTCTCCGTCCTCAGAGGTTGCGTAGGGGGGCCATGCCATTCGCAGTAGAGTCAGAGGTTAAGCACAACTGTTTGAAGATAGAACTCTTGAGTCTCCACCCCACTGACCGACTCAGTATGACGTCTTCATTGCTGTCAGTGGTCTGACACTCAAGACAGGTTTATGCACAGTCCAAAGAAGATGGCTTCCTACAGAGAGATACTCCAAATGACAGAGTTCCTGCTACATTTCAGAGAACAATGGTCCTACCTTCCTTCCTTCCTTCCTTCCTTCCCTCCCTCCCTCCCTCCTTCCCTCCCTCCCTCCCTCCTTCCCTCCTTCCCTCCCTCCCTCCTTCCTTCCTTCCTTCCTTCCTTCCTTCCTTCCTTCCTTCCTTCCTTCCTTTTTGAGGTGGGAAGATGACAGCAGGAGCTCCTGCCCCCGGCCCCCTTCCCACCTTGCATCCAACTTAGACTAAAGTAATAGAGTTCAACACACCCACTGCTGTGGGAGAAGGTGTTGCTTGGCCATTCCTTCTCTTCTGCTCTTTAATCTGTATTGGCTCCTGGAGGAGGGGAGAATTGCAGTGAGGAGGGGGATCACTTGTTCATTCCACATTGTTCTCAGGAACTGCTCTCTGAAGACCTATTTCTTCTTATTTCCTGAGGCAGCACAGTTAAATTTGAAAAGAACAGGATTTACAACAAGGAAACCTGAGTCTGGCCATTACTCTCTCTGTGTTACTCTTGGTAAGTTGCTTGACCTCTCTGAACCTCCACTTCCTCATCTGTAAAATGGGAGTAATACCAAGTGTACTCTACTCACAAGGCCTTTGCAGTGTAGTCATGGTGTCATTAGGGCAGCAAGACAGGATGCCTAGGGCTGGGCTTCCAACTCAGATCTTCCCACTCAGACGCATCTGAGTTGGCATCCTGGCTCCTGTGTGATGCGGGGCTTCAGCTCTCTGAGCACCCATGGTTTCAACCTGTCTGCGGGGATGGTCACATCGACTGCAGAAGGGAGCAATCCGATTTGACAATCAGCTCATTGTACCAACGCCACAACTGATTGCCAGCAGTGTTGTCTTGGTTTGTTCATGATTTCTGGAGTTATTGAATGTTCATTTTGATAAATCGAGATGCTCTAGGTTGGGAAAGGAGAATGTTTACACTTCTCTGCTCCCATTCTTGGTGGAGATTCCTGGTGAGCAAGGACACATGTGTTTGGCCTGCGTGGACAGTGCAGAGATACAACTGGGGAGGTGGCGAAGGAGAGGGAGAGATGCCACCATGGAGTTTGACATCTTGGCTCATGGCTCTGGGTGGTGTGAAACCACCATCCTCTTTCCACATGGCTGGTATAAAAGCCACCATCCTCTTCCCACTCCCTAAGCCAATAGCCTGCATAGTTGGAATGACTAAGTCCCAGCCTCTGTCCTCAGAGGTTGCATCAGGGGGCCATGTCATTCTCAGTAGAGTCGGAAGTTAATTACAAGAAACACGTGAAGGAGAGTTGATCAGTTTCAATAATGTTGAATCCTTGCCCAAATCTTTGTCCAGAACATGCTGGGACTGGAACTGGAGCTGGGTTGCAGGACGGGGAGGGTGGACTTTGTAGGGGGAAGAGAGGCCTGTCCCCTCCGTTCCATGTGGCCATAGCCTTCTGGGGACAGACTCTTTAGGACCACCCACACCCCTGTTCCATGCAGCTCTGGCACACCGTGGGCGCTTAATAAATGTTAAATAATAAGAATAGCTCCCATCTGTCAGTGCCCGGTGGCAAGGAGGATGTGTGAGTGCCAGCCGTCACTGGGCAGCTTATGGGAAGCCTTTCGGGGGGAAATTGTAGCTCTGAGTCGCTTCGAAGTCCCGCTGCATCCAGATGTTCCCCCAAAGCTGCTATGGATCAGTGTCCAGGCAAGGGAGGAGCATGGGACTCCAGAACATCTGCATCAGAGTGACAGGGGGCGGGACCAGAGAGATGAGAATCTGACCAGCAGTGGGATTTGGGAGCTGGTATTGACCAACAGTACAAGGGCTTTGTTGAGGTTTAAAAGGGCTAGAGGAGCTGCCCTCTGAGCACACAGCAGCATAAATTCATACTTCCGTCATATTCTTGGAAGCAAATGCCAACTGGGACTTTTCAGATTTTGTTATAATAACAACAGCAGCTGCTGTTTTTAGGCATTTACTATATATGAGGCTGTGTGTGAGGGGTTTCACTTGTCGTACCTAATTGAAGTAATATATCTTAGGGAGGAAAAAACAGGCAAACAGGAGGTGGTATGGAGTAGGGTGTGAGCTCTAGAGCAGACTGCCTGGTTCATCTGCTGCAACCATTGAGGCCTCCACCTCTGGGACCTTGGATGCCATTTGCTACCTGTGTGACCTTGGCACAGTTTTTCCCTTCTGGGCAGTAGTCACCCTCTTTGAGTGGTTGTTAAAGGAACCAAATCATGTAAAGTCCACAATATAGCACCTGGCACATAGAAAGTCCTCAATAAATGTATTTACAAGTTTATTTCCAAGCGTAAAGCAATACCACCACAACCAACACCAATGCAATTAAATAATAGCCTCAATCTTGAGTGTTTTCTATATAGGGAAGCCAATACCTTCTACTGGCTAAGAGTATGAGCCCTTGAGCCAGACTGCCTGGGTTAGAATCTCAGCTTTACTTTTTTTTTTTTTTTTTTTTTTTTTAACTCCTAAGCTACTCTGAACTGCAGTTTTCTCTTCGGTAAAATGGCCCATATTAAAAGTGCCTAAATTCAAGCTTCGCTGTACTCTTCTGTAGGACAGGGATAATACCAAAGTCATTTCTGAGGATCAAATCAATTAATACTCCCTAAGTACTTAAAATAGTAAATCCAATATAGTCAGGGCTAAAAAAAACTGATAGAAATAATAATTGTTACATGATTATTTTATATTTTATATTATTTGTATTATGCATTATTCATAAGATATAATGCAATATATATTTCAATAATATATGCAATAATATGTATTTTATGTAACACATAGTTATAAATATATAAATATATAACTACATAATGCCATATAGTTATAGGATAATTATATATAATGATTAGATGACACATATCATTGTGTAATACTGTATAATAGTTACATAGTAATGATTATATGTAATATAAATGATAATAATAATTATTATTTCTACTCTTGCTACTATGACAAGTTACTCCATTGGGGATTTTTTCCTAAATAATTTCTACCACTTTGAAGCATTCTGGCCAGACTTATTTTAAAAGGAAACTGAGGCTCAGCAAAGTGGAACAATTTGCCCTCATTCTTAGGACTGGGGAAGGGCAGACCAGCCAGGTGTCTGGCTGCAGAGCCCGTCCTCCCGCAGACCACACAATTCTGCAAAGCTTTGGTGTCTGTCGTCTCCCCATCCTCCATGGGGAAATGGCCATGTCTCTTGCCCGTACAACCGACTCTGAGCAGAAGGCTAATGCGATATTGTGCCGCTGTCATTTCTGATCAGTTTTTCCCCCACTGTCTCACAGCGGGCTGTCAGGAGGCCTTGTTCCCCATGGAAGCCTGGCTCCTCGTGGAGAAGATCAAACCTGGAGGTTGTGTGGTGACAAAGGCTGAGGAAGGGCACTGCTGGGACTGGGTCTTGTGGCTCTATTTTCAAGACCTTTATTTTTGGTTATCAGTGTTGAAACCTGGAAATACACTTTCTGTTTTCCGTTTAAACACAAATCAAGCAACGTTACCAACACACATTCTCTGTCAAACATGTCAGTTACTCCCGGGGCTGTGGACAGCTTGCAAGCGATGTCTTCTATTGTTACTGTGGTGGTGTGTTATTTCTCCCTCTACAGCTCTGCATTTGTTTTGGCGAGCAGTGTAAACACTGAGGGGCCTGCTCTCGGGGAGGTTTTGACAGAACATGTGAAATTGACATGGACCGTCCGATGACCATCTTAATAAGGCTGTTCGGGCAGCCCTGTATTTGCCTGTAGCATTTTCCATGAATTTTGGTGGGGGCTTAAGGATTCTAATGAGCTGGGTTTTGTTTCACACCTGGTGTTTTGGCAGACAGTTCCCACTGTGACTTAGCAGAGGGACTTGGCACGGCTTGCCAGAGGGCCTAAGATTTGTGTGGGCGCCCAGCAGATGTTGGATGTGTTCACCCATCATACAGAACGCCAGTCATCAGCCGCCGAGTCCCCTCTCTGTCTACATTGTAAGGGACCAGAGCTCCCACTTGCTGCCGGTGATGGAGCCGTCTGGGGATGGATAAAAAGCCTTTCATTACTGAGGATAATGCAGAGCATATGGGATTCTTATCTGTCCAAACAGTTGTGGGATTTGGGTTAGAGACGCCGTCTGCATGTGTATTTTCTTTTTCTTTTTTTAATTTTAATTTTTTGTTTTTATTTTTATTATACTTTAAGTTCTAGGGTACATGTGCACAACGTGCAGGTTTGTTACATACATATACATGTGCCATGTTGGTGTGCTGCACCCATTAACTCGTCATTTACATTAGGTATATCTCCTAATGCTATCCCTCCCAGCTCCTCCAACCCCACAACAGGCCCCGGTGTGTGATGTTCCCCTTCCTGTGTCCAAGTGTTCTCATTGTTCAATTCCCACCTGTGAGTGAGAACATGCGGTGTTTGGTTTTTTGTCCTTGCGATAGTTTGCTGAGAATGATGGTTTCTAGCTTCATCCGTGTCCCTACAAAGGACATGAACTCATCCTTTTTTATGGATGCATAGTATTCCATGGTGTATATGTGCGACATTTTCTTAATCCAGTCTGTCATTGATGGACATTTGGTTTGGTTCCAAGCAATGCCCCTGGGCCACATGGGACACACACACCATGATGTGTCAGCAACGAGACGTCTATAGAGTAAACCACGATGGCAGAGGAGCATTCTACCCAAGAGGGCAGTGTATTTTCTTTAGTATTTGGTTCTAGCAAGTAGGAGCTTCATTAAGGAGCATTTTGTACAGTTCCTTCCTGGGAATGGACACGACACGCGTTTGATAATGTCTCTGCTTTCTGGCTTCACACCTTCCTCCCATGTTAGCATTGGTTCTAAACTCCCAAGCACAGATGTTACCAAGCCACTGCCCTCCTGTGTAGAATGCTCCTCTGCCATCCTGGTTTACTCTATAGAAGTCTCGTTGCTGACACATCATGGTGTGTGTCCCATGTGGCCCACGGGCATTGCTTCGTTCAAGCCTTTGTGTTCAGATCTGCCCTGTTATCAGAGACAAGTTGATGTCAACTTACCTCTTATCTCTGATCAATAACTGTTGGGCTTCCTGTGGGTTGACTGAAGACCCATAAGATTCATGAGACCCATACGATCATGTGGGTTGATGATCTCCACCATTCTGAATCTCAAGAAACCAAAGATGATTCTTGAATGTGTGTTTTTGTTAAGATCCCTTTGGCTGAAGGAACAGAACTCAATCCTGTCTAGCTTCAAAAAAAACGAGAGGGGCAGCATTTATATGTTTACTGTGTTTTGAGGTGTAGTGCATGAACAATTGAATGCACAGAAACTCTTGGACTCAAAAGAGAAAGAAAAAAGTCAAGCCAAGGAAAGCACAAGAGGTAAGACAGGCCTAGTGATCTCAGCAGGCAGAATTTATGGACATATTTTGCAGGCAAGTGGTTCTCAATCAGGGGTGATTTTTGGCTTGTAAGGACATTTAGCAATATCTGGACACATTTTTTGGTTGTCGTAAGTGGATGGGGGTTGCTGCTATCATCCTACAATGCATAGGTGCATTAGTCTGTTTTCATGCTGCTGATAAAGACATACCGGAGACTGGGCAATTTGCAAATGAGAGAGGCTTATTGGGCTTACAGTTCCAGGTGGCTGGGGAGCCCTCACAATCATGTTGGAAGGTAAAAGACATGTTTCACATGGATGACAGCAGGCAAAGAGAGCTCGTGCAGGGAAACTCTTGTTTTTAAAATCATCAGGTTTCATGAGACTTGTTCATTATCAGGAGAACAGCACAGGAAAGACCCGCCCCCCAAATTCAGTCATTTCCCACCAGGTTCCTGTCATGACACGTGGGAATCGTGGGAGATACAATTCAAGATGAGACTTGGGTGAGGACACAGCCAAACGATATCAAGTGGACACCTGGAATTATCGAGCATTATCCAGAATTATCAGTCACGCCGAGATTGAAAAACCCCACTCTAGGCTGTCACACTACTGTGACTCAGCTACAGAGACTATCAGTCTCTGCAAGTCTTCATTCAACTTTTGCTTTCTCAGCTAGGATCTGATGGACCCAACCTATCGTATGTCTCAATCTTTATATCAGTGAACTATGCCCGAGACCCCCATGTATTTGCAGCCCGTTCAAAGTATTGCTGAGTAGTCCTGGGAAAGCAGGAGTAGGATGTAGCTGGTTGTGAGCTGTTAGCCATTCCGAGACAGGCGTCTTGCAGGGTGTATTGATAGCCTTCAGTGCACCCTATCCTGTGGCTGACACTCATTCATGCTAGTGCCTTCCATGCAGAGCTGTCTGTTTGTAGAAAGCAAGGCCCACCTTGGTGCCAGTCTTAACGAGCAGTCAATTGATTTGGTTTTCGATTTAAGCTCGTTGCCTCCTTTGACTTCTGTTTAACAGAAAATTCACTTTGCAAAACTGTTTTAAAACATTGTTGCTTACTTTTCTTACCATAAAATTAATGTGGGCTAAACCTAAGTTTTCAGAAACAAAAAGCACAAACAAACATACAGAGATATATGCATATACCACATAGATACATAAACCACAATCCGCTACCCAAAAATGCCTACTACAAACCACTCTTTATGTATCCTGGATTTCTTTGTGGTACATATATTTTCTTCCCTAAATAATTCTTATCTACTCTCATCGTATTCACAAAGATTTGTAAAACTTGCAAGCAGCTGGGTTTTTAATAGGAACACCTTTTGAAATAAAATTAATGAATTTTTTTTTTTTACCTCATGAATATTTTCTGTTAGGTTTTTAAGACTAAGGTGATGTCTTAAACAAACACATATTCCGTGTCCTTTCCACATGCCCCTTTGCTCTTATCCCTCTCCTTCAGCCCATGGCAAGGTCGTATATGATATCCTAAGTAAATAGATCACCAAAGAAATGACATTACTTTAGTCAGTTGGGAAAAGAAGATAGGGACAAAGAAGAGAAAGTAGCAAAACAATCCTATAGATTACAGAATTACACAAAAGGCCGGTTGCCGTGGCTCACGCCTAGAATCCCAGCACTTTGGGAGGCTGAGGATGGCAGATCACCTGAGGTCAGGAGTTCAAGACCACCCTGGCCAACATGATGAAACTTCATCTCTACTAAAAATGCCAAAATTAGCCAGGGGTGGTGGCACGTGCTTGTAATCCCAGCCCCTTGGGAGGCTCAGGCAGGAGAATCCCTTGAACCCAGGAGGCGGAGGTTTCAGTGAGCCAAGATTACGCCACTGCACTCCAGCCTGGGTGACACAGCGAGACTCCACCTCAAAGAAAAAAAGAATGAAGAGAGAGGCAGAGATTGATCGGCTCCAGTCAACCGGGTGAGTAGGAGGCTTCTGCTTTCAGATTTTCTTGTAAATTTCTTGAAATGGGGACATTGAAAAATGTGCTAGTTTTGGAGAAAATAAAAATTTCATGACCACGATGGAGGTGTGGTTGCTCCTATGGTTCTCAGAACACAAAACCATCTCCTAGAGACCCACTGAAGTTCATGCTCATTTTAGGACTAAAACTTGGGTTAAAAATCAGGCGGCTCAAGAGATCAAGATATCTTCCTGGCAGCCTTCTATCACAAGTGGAGACTGGGAGACCAACCAGACTTGCCTTGTCAGCTCTCATCACTCCTTCTCTCAAACCAAACGCATGTCTAAGGCGCAAGATCGGTTTTCAATTTAAGTGACTTCGCTTTCTCTCTTAAAAACTAAATCCTCCTCCTAATTCCCCTAAGTCCTCAAAGTATAACATTTTTCCTTTGTAGATTGGAGAAAGAAGTCATGGATCGGGCTTGCCAATGGCATTAGGATGAGGTCTGCCAGCCAGTCCTTGTCAGAATGTGCACAGAAAATTTAAAAGACTTTTTTTTTTCCAATCAGTAGCTTACCAGTTAATACTCCTCCCTTTCCGTTTTGATAGCTGACCCTCAGAATCAAAATGAGGATGGCGACATACCACATCCGCTTGAGAGGCTGAGGAGGGTTGGGTTCAGAAAGACGGATGGCTGTGGCTTGCTTTCCATATGTGTTCACCGATTTAGTAAATATTTATTCAACATTCAGTGTGTGCTAGACAATACAGTTCCAGGTGTGAGTAAGACCACTTATATCCTATTAACAGGAAAAAATAAAGCAGAAAATAACCAGGAGAATATCAGATGCTGTTAGCTGCTAGGAAGGAAATAAAATAGGTTATGGGCCAGGCACGGTGGCTCATGCTTGTAATCCCAACACTTTGGGAGGCCGAGGTGGGTGGATCACTTGAGGTCAGGAGTTCGAGACCAGCCTGGGCAACATGGTGAAACCTCATTTCTACTGAAACATACAAAAATTAGCTGGCATGATGGCGCATGCCTGTAGTTTCAGTTCCTTGGGTGGCTGAGGTGGGAGAATCACTTGAACTTGGGAGGCAGAGGTTGCAGTGAGCCGAGATCAGGCCACTGTACTCCAGCTTGGGCGACAGAGCCAAATTCCATCTAAAAAATTTAAAAAAAAAATGGTTACATGGTAGTGACTGAAAGGGTTATTTTAGATAGTTGAAACAGGAATTAGAGCTCAGATCTGATTGACAAGTAGGTGCCAGCTGTGTACAGTCGTGGGGTATGGGAAAGAGGTCTAAGGGGAGGAAAAAAGCAAAAGTCCTGAGATGGAATGAAATGGGTATGTTTGAGAAATGACCGGATGGTCAGTATGGCTGTGACACAGTGGGTAAAGAGGGAGGATGAAAAACACAAAGTCAGGTGTGCAATCAGCAGCCAGGTCCCATTCCACCTTGTAGGGCATTGCAGGCAGTTTAGATTTTGATCTAGGGGAAATGGCAAACCCCTGCAGAATTTCAAGTAGGAGAACACTATGATCTGATTGTATCATGTTAAAAGATTCCTCTGGAAAGTGGGAGGAGGATGGACAAATAATCTTTAGTGGGACAAGATGCAAAACAGACAGGACAGCTAGTATGCATGGTACTGGTGAAGACGACCAGTACCATGTTATCCACGATTGGCTAGTGAATATCCATATTTCATGCTGCCATTTCTTTGATCTTCATTGACCGGAGAATTCTGCCCTAAAAAGAGGGCCCGTTTCAGGGATGTGGGGTAACAGAAAAATCACAGTGTTAATGGAATGAGAGGTAGAGGACCAGGGAGTATAGAAATGTATCTGTGTCTGTGCCTGAAGGTCTGGTATTTTGTGTGGCTTCAGGGGACTGTAGTATGTGTGTTTAATTGTTAATGACCCAAGAATGCATCCAAAGGGGTTACATGCAAACCTGCCTGAGCATGGAAGATCAGTCTTGAGTGCTTTATTAAGTCTGGCTCTATCAAAGCTGTAAGCAACATATGGTGTGCCATGTGCCCATGGACTAGGTTTTCCATCACAGGACAGTTCTGTCTTCGGGATGGCTGGTTTTCCTTTTATTTTAGCAGAAGTAGAGAAGGCCCCTTGGGACTGGATCTCTCACTTTTGCAAGTTATGACCACAGGGGACAACTTGGGAGTTTGGATTCAGATGGACCGAGGTTCCAGAGCCAGCCTCACTCACTGTTAGCTGTGATCTTGAACAGGTTCTTTTACCTCTCTGAGCCTCAGTTCATTCGTACCTAAAATAGAGGGAAACTTTTCTATGTCAAAGGGTAGTAGAAAGGTTATTACGCATTGACTGGTTAGTTCATTCCTTTGATAATTCTTTAGACATGTATTAATCACCACTACGTGCAAGGCACGATGGCAAACATTAGGAACGCAATGAAGTCAGCTTTGATTCTTTTTTTAGTGGAATTTATGTTCTTGTAGGGGAAGGAGACAAAACAAAGAATAACTACCATAATGTATATATAAACTGATTAATTTTAGATTGAAGTGAGTGCTATGAAGAAAATAATGTAAGAGGGAAGAAACAGTTAATGATGGTGCGGTGGATCATGATACTCTGCTCTTGAGCTCACATCCTTTATTGTCTTGAAATTTTTCACCCATTAGCTCACTTGTTCTCTTTTTTTCGCTTCCTGGGTTTGCCTTAGAGACACCTGGTACTTTACTCTCCCATGCCCTAAATACCCATGTCCACAGGGAGCAGCTGACTTACTGTGGTACAAGGAATGTGCTTTTCCAGATTTTAGGAGCCACCTGTTTCTGGGAGTGCCATGGAAACACACATTCTGCCTCTCAATCTTCAGGCCCAGGCAGGAAATTTTCAGCTGTCAGCAGCTGTCTTTCTGATCTGCTGCCAAGGAGTTTCCAACCCCAACCCCAGGAAAAGCCCACAGTGACCCTCACCAGGGACTTTGATGCCATTTTTTGGAGCTGAAAAGGAAGGAGGGGCTCCTGCAGAGTGATTCGTGGGCTCAGTTCTTGACTTGGGGTGGCTGAGAGTTTCCCCTTAAATAATATGTCACGCTGTAGGCATATGGTCTTGCAATTGCGGGGTGTATCATTTCCACTTGATTGTCAAAGCACCCCACGGCAGAAACATACTAAAGGATCTCTGCTCCAGATACAGCCATGGCTTTGCAGCATGGCAGATTTGCAGCTTTGAGGTGGAAAACATTTTTCAGCCTTTCCCAAGAGGTGAACTGGATACAGCTGTGCAGTGTAACCTAAATCTTTGCACGTGTCTTTAAACAGGGCAGAAACAACTGGCCCTGTCCTTCCACTCTGGGCCTGATGATGACCAAGTCGGAGAGAACTGAAGCTATATATCCTGTTCTCAGAAGTTGAATTTCCCCATCTTGGACAGAGTAGTGTGCTGTTGTGGGAATGCGTAGCTATTGCCTTACTCAGGTGAATGTCATCTGAAGACGTGGGGTGGGTAAGAATCTGTCACCACTAAACGCTTACTCCGGGCTGCCCATCACTGCTGTTTGGTCAGTCCTTTTGTTCTAGGGCCCTTTGCAGCCATTCTCCAGGAAGAGTCATCCTGGCCTTGCCTTCAGAAACAAGCTCGCTATATTTCCCATGTAGTTCTAGAAAGAATCCTGGTGCAGGGATTCTGAAGGATGCACTCTTGTCCTGGATCTGCCCCTCAATGTCTGTGTATTAATGAGCAAATTATTATTATTATTATTTTGAGACAGGGTCTCACTCTGTCACCAAAGCTGGAGTGCAGTGGTGCGATCATGGCTCACTGCAGCTTCGACCTCTTGGGTTCAGGTGATCCTCCCACCTCAACCTCCCAAGTAGCTGGGACTACAGGAGCATGCCACCATGACCAGCTAATTTTTGTATTTTTTGTAGAGATGAAATTTCACCATGTTGCCTACGCTGGTATCGAACTGCTAGGCTTCAGTGATCTGCTTGGCTTGGCCTCCCAAAGTGCTGAGACTGCAAGTATGAGCCACTGCACCCAGCCCATACCACTTTTCCATATGGCTTCAGGTTACAGGTTTGTGCATGAGTTACATAGTGGAACCCTAAAGCCATACCTTTGACCAGTTGTCTAAAGTTTTTAGCACCACTACTACTGTATAGCTAATATTTTCTTTGAATGGATTCAATTTTTGTAGCCTAAATTGATTCACAAAAACCATACTTTTCGTCTCTAATTTAACTGGACATTCACCATCACTAGCCATAAATAAATGGTACCTATTACAAATGCATTGATGACCCTAGCTAGAATGGCTATAATAAAAAAGATAGACAGCAAGAAGTGTCAGCAAAGATGCGGAGAAATTGGAATGCACATACATTGCTGGCAGGAATGTAAAATTCCGCAGCTACTTAGAAAAATAGTTGAGTATTTTTCTTAAAAAAATTACTCAGTTATTATGACCCAGCAATTCTGCTCCTAGGTATATATTCAAGATAATTAAAAACATATGTGTACACAAAAACGTGTGTACCAGTGTTTATAATAGCATTATTCATAGTAACCAAAGCATGGAAACAGGCTAAATGTTCATCAACTAAGAAATGGATAAACACGAGATGATATAGCATACAATGGGATATGTTCAGGTATAAAATGAAATGATGTCTTACATGCTGTAGTGTGGATGAACCTTGAGAATGTTGTACTAAGTGAGTGAAGTCAGATACAAAGGACTACATATTGTATGATTCGATTTATATGAAATGTTCAGCATAAGCAAACCTATAGTAGCTTAAAGTAGATTAATGATTGCTAAGGGCTGAGGGGAGAGAGTATGGGAAGCGATCCTTTTATGGATATGGATTTTCTTTTTGAGGTGATGAAAATGTTCTGGAATTATCTGGAATGTTCTAGAATTGTACAACTATCACCACTTTCATACACAGTTGTACAGTTTTGTGAATATGTTAAATAACACAGAATTGTATATTTTATTTTATTTTATTTTTTTGGAGACAGACTCTTGCTCTGTCACTCAGGCTGGAGTGCAGTGGCATGATCTGGGCTCGCTGCAACCTCTACCTCCCAGGTTCAAGCGATTCTCCTGCCTCAGCCTCCTGAGTATCTGGGATTACAGGATCTGCCACCACGCCCAGCTAATTTTTGTAGTTTTAGTAGAGAAAGGGTTTCATCACATTGGTCAGACTGGTCTCAAACTCCTGACGTCAGGTGATCTGCCCACCTCGGCCTCCCACACTGCTGCGATTACAGGTGTGAGCCACCATGCTTGGCCCGAATTGTATATTTTAAAGTGTGAACTTTGTGGAATATGAATTATTATTTCAAAAAATATGTTGAAAACAAAGCAATGTCATCAAATTCTTTCTATTACCTGTGTTTGTTGAAGGTGTTTGCTGTATTCAAGGCCTGTTTTCCCTCAGGAAATAAAACAGAGGTTGGAAAGTATTAAAGAGGTGTTGTTAAACACGGCCTAGCACCAGCTGAGACTGTCCTTCAAGCAGCCAGAAAAACTGAATGAGCTTGGAAAAAAAACTACTTCCTAAAACCTTCTAAACTCAGCTTTTCAAAGGCCACCAATGTGAAATGCTTAGGATTTCATTCAATTTAAGCACTATTACCGTGCCCAATTTTTGTTAGCTGTGTTTATGAGGAAAGAATTAGGATATTTTAGCTGGGGAAGATAGCACTCTCTGGAAACATACTGTGCGATATGACGGCCACTAGTCACGTGTCTCTATTTAAATTTAATTAAAATTCAGTAGCCCTCAAAACTGTGCCATTGACATTTTCAGTGCCTAGGAGCTACATGTGGTTTGTGTTGGTTGTACTAGACAGTATGATATAGGACATTCATTTTATTGCTAAAAGTTCTGCTGGACAGCTCTATGCTAAAAGATTAAATTAATTGTATTGCTATCTTGTGGTCTCTTTGCTCTGCTTTCCCTCATTTAAGCAAATTCGAATGCTGAAACATGACAAATAATGATTATAATAATAAAAATTAATAGTTAACGTTTGTACTTGCCCTGTACCAGACAGTGTGCTAAGCATTTAACGCATGAGGTCTTAGTTAATCCTCCCAAAACTCTAACAGGTAGCTACCGCTATCACCCAAGCTTTGAATGTGAGAAAACTGAGCATCAGAGATGTCAATTGCTGAAGTCCCAGGGCATTGGGAGGCCTGGATTTGAATCCCCATCAGTTGGCTTTGTGCTCCTCGTCCTTCTAACCTCTACTTTTTCCACAAATCCCATCCCAGGCCTCAGCCAGCAACTCAGAGTCCCTCTGTCAAGGTCTCTGAGAAATTTTACTTGTCACGTTTTATCATGACCGTATTTTCTCAGGACAGTTTCAAGAAATAAGTCAGAAAGCAGAGTAAAGTTTGTGGCTCTGCCTACTGCCCCCTTTCTCCTGTCCTACCTCCCACCCAGAGACAATACCTGCTAACGATTTGGAGTGTGAGTCCGAAACCCTCCCATACTTTTCCTATGTAATTACATGCATAGGTATGTGTACAAGGACACCATGCACGTGTGTTAAGCAAGTGGGATCTCATCACCCACATGATTTTGCTCATTGCTTTTATTTATCTAACAGCATGTTTTGGCCATCTCCCCATGTCAGTCTGTACAGGTCCACTCTATCATTCTATATTGTGACGGCACACAATTCTATAAACAGTAATACCATGATTTATTTGCCCTTCAGCAAATGGCTTTGCCAATTCTTACACACAAAAAAGGGTATGATGGACCAGTTTCTTGCATCTGTGCTCAAACTGGACATCATCAATCTTTTAAGTTTTTGCCAATCTGTTGGGTGATAATTTCTTTTCCTTTCAACCTTCAGGGTCATTTGCAGCTCCCTCCACCTGCTCTGCCCAGGCTTCTAGCTGCTGACAGCCAAAGGCAATCTGCCGGAGGCAAAATGAGGTCAAGGCCAAAAACCATATTTTCTTTCAGTGAGAGAGGGCATTTACTTGGGTAAATACGGCCCATGCACTGTGCTTTATTGGTTTGAAAAATGAAGAAGCAAGCTCCAACGAGTTCTCTCTAATGGGGCTGCATGTCTCCAATACCTGGTGCTCCAATGCATTGATTGACGCATTGTCATCACTTATAAGGTCAGTATGTTCATCCAATCCTTTATTCATCACGTAACTATCAGGCATTGATTCCATGCTAGGCAGAGTTCTAGGCACTGAGAATACAGCACTGAATAGTGAGTCAAGACCCCTGTTTTACGGGACTTAGATTCTAATGGGCAGGATGGAGGCCCACACAGGCATCATCGTTATAGATCTAAGCAACAAAAGACTGAAATGAGAGGTATGCCCCAAGACACAGAGGGCCCATCACAGAGAGGACAGTCAGGTAAGGCCTCTCTGAGCATGCACACTAAAGAAAAGAACTGAAAGCAAGAAGGAGCATCCCACTGAGAAGAAAGTGACTGGAGAGTGTTCAAAAGAAGCCAGGATGGCCAGGGCCTTGTGATGGAGGAGGAGCCTGGCAGGAAATGATGTCGGGTGGTAGGTGGGGGGCCGATTGAGGCAGGGCCCTGCACAGCATGATAATGAGTTTGGATTTTTATAGAGGTGCAGTAAGAAGCCACTGGAAAGTTTTAAGCAGGGCAGCAGCAGAATTTGGTTTATTCGGTAAGCTTTACGTTAAGGGCATTTGAAGTTCTGAAGTGCATGAATACTTTGCTTTTTAAATAAGACAAATACGTTAAAGAAGTGTTAACAGTTTTCTTAAAACAGGGACACTCTCACATGGCTTCTGCAGTGCCTTTTCCAGTGATGGAAGGAAGGGTTTGGAGCCAGGTTTAGTGGACTTACTATTATGCGTAGTCTTTCGTCTTCAGTATCTGGGTCACAGCTTATAACCAAAGCATGGCAAGAACCTCCAGCAAGGTTGATGCAGGGGAAAGAAGATTGAGATCAAGTCTTGTTGCCTCTAGTTTCTGTTCTTTGTGTGAATGCTGAGGGCCCCTCTGTGCTTGGCCATTTCACACCAGCAGAAAGCTTTTGGGCTCAGGAATCCAGGGATCTATCTGCCTTGGAACATTCTGCATCAAGGTAAACCAGTTTGGTCCAGTAGTGTCATGACCAGAGATGGGAGAAGAAACTGTGTGCTCGAGGTGCTGGGGCTAGCATGTAGGAACACAAGGATTTTGAATTCTGCAAGCATACACGCAGTTTTGAAATCATCCTGATAAGAGTCGGCAGGAGAAATGGAAAAAAAAAAAAAAATCTCTTGGATGGAGGATATCAGTCCTGTGGGTAAGAAGGTTCTTGGTTATCATCATTATACTCCCATTTTTCACTACAAAAACATTTTTAGAGAAACTGATGATGAAAACAAAAGATTCCAATGAATCAGAAGCATTGATTAAGCTTAACAGAGAGCAGAGTGGTGGTGAGGTGCATGAATTGCAGTGGAACCATCCAGGTTTTTTCCACTTTCTTTGGCCTCACCTTTTTGCCCTACAACTGTCCTGCTTACTGCTGTTTGAAGAAATGAAATCCAACCACCTCCACCTCTTTTCATACTTACCCATCTTGTTTTGCTGCATACATTTTGAGCCCTATATGTGCATTTCACCCATCTTCCTGGACTCTGAACTGAGCCTTGTTTCTGAGCCATTTTCAGTCTCTTGCGCAGGACTTTTATTCAGTCTCGGTTGCAATGTCAGTTTTCTTGCCCTGCCCATGCTCAGAGGAGACCAGGCTAGTGGAGGTGCTTCCTGTGACCAAGTGGTGCTTTAACTCTTTATTTTAAATAATTTTGGAGCATTCAGCATTGCTCCTTCTCCCCTTCCTTACTTTGTTACTCTCCTCTAAGGCTTCTTTTCCATTCATGGAAGATATTTCTTCAGTCTAGTTTTGGTTCCTCTTTAATTTTTTTCCTCTCTGAGGGAAGGAGTTGCTGTTTTTTACTTTTTACTGTCTCTGTCTTAATAGGGAGGGTTACTTTCATCTGCCTGAGAATCACGTTATCTTCCATGTGGGCTAATGACTAGTGCAGCCTGAGACCTGAGCTCGAACCAGCCTTGTAGAAGCAGAACAGTGAATAGGCTGATCTTCGATAGGTAATTTACAAGACTTCCACTTCTTACTGATTAACTTTCATAACTCACTCCAGAAAATAAATTGTGTATCTGTTATCATCCTATTGGATATGCAGAAGCTGTCCTGAGAGGGTTGATAAACCTTTGAAAGAATACATAACCAAGTCAGCCTCTGCTGCAAATAAACCGTGACAGAGAAAGAGGGTGGCCGTGCCACCGAAAGGGACAGGTGACAGTGGCATCAGAGCAAATAATTTGCAAATTGTTTAATAAATAATGATAAATCTCTAAGCAGCTCCTGCATTTTATTCAAGGAAAATTAAGACTTAAGTATTTTTGTGTTTTTTGTTTTTTGTTTTTTGTTTTTTTTTGAGGTGGAGTTTTGTTCTGTCGCCCAGGCTGGAGTGCAGCGGCGCGATCTCAGCTCACTGCAACCTCCACCTCCCGGGTTCAAGCAATTCTCTTGCCTCAGCCTCCCTAGCAGCTGGAATTACAGGAGTCTGCCATCATGCTAGCTAATTTTTGTATTTTTTGTAGAGACAGGGTTTCACCATGTTGGCCAAGCTGGTCTCAAACTCCTGGCCTCAGGTGATCCACCCACCTCGGCCTCCCAAAGTGCTGGGATTACAAGCGTGAACCACTGCGCCCAGTCTCTTAAGTACTTTTTATATGAATAAAGTAGTCACAGGTGGTAGGTGGTACAGCAATGTTTGTATGACAAAGCCCAGAAAGTAGCAGAGAGAAGGAAGGTTATATGTGCTCACGATGACTTATCTACATAATACGAGAGAAGTAACTTTCTAAGGACAAGACATGAGACAGTAAGACCATTCTGCCCTTGACTCTCTAAGACTTGGAATTTCGGATCCATAAAGTAAAACATTTCTCCTTTTAATAGACAATTAGATTAATGATGTTTTTGGAATGAAAAAATCTAAGATTAGTTGAGTTCTTTGCTGCCTCCACCTTCCTTCAACCTTGACTCACTTGGTAATTGTCAGCTACAGCATAGCCATCTAAGGAGGTACAGAAAACTGTGGGTGAGTTAAACATGTTGGCTTTGGGTCCAATTCCTAGCCATCCGTGCAAATGCTGTGTGACCTTTGGCATGTCTCAGAACCTCTCTTATCTGAGCCTTGGTTTCTAATCCTTACCTCTCAGAGGGACGATTATGAGAAGGAAATGAACTATCATAGGATATGTAAAATAGTATATAGCTGTATGTAGCATGTAGCTACATAGCATATGTAAAATGTTTATCACATAGTAAGCACCTGTTATATGCCATCTAATTGTGTGTATATCTGTGTATATGTGTGCCTCTGTGTGTTTGTGTGCACATGTGAATGTGTGATACTAGGGAAAATAATTTACCTTCATTAAATAACTAAATGCTTTTTACTACTCCCTGTGGAGCTTGATATATAAGGTTGCTCAGGAAGGGAGCAGTAATTTGGTGGGAAATAGTCACTTGTGTGTGAATCATCTGAAGTACCCATCCTTGTGTCCGGATTTGGGGCTCTTGAGTTAAACCACTGTTTGCTTCCCCTGTCCACAATGGCTTGCTGTCTACAGCACGTCTCTCCATCAGCAATGTCAAGGATGTTTTGTTGAATCTCAAATTTAACCACTCTGGACCTGGCATGGTGGCTTACCCCTGTAATCCCAGCACTTTGGGAGGCTGAGGTGGGTGGATCACAAGTTCAGGAGATCGAGACCATCCTGGCTAACATGGTGAAACCCCGTCTCTACTGAAAATATGAAAAATTAGCTGGGCATGGAGGCATGCACCTGTAGTCCCAGCTGCTGGGGAGGCTGAGGCAGGGGAATGGTGTGAACCCAGGAGGCGGAGCTTGCAGTGAGCCGAGATCGCGCCACTGCACTCCAGCCTGGGTGACAGAGCGAGACTCTGTCTCAAAAAAAAACAAAAAACAAACAAACAAAAAAACCACTCTGGAAAATCACTTTTTTTAATTACACTATATAGTCTTTCTATAGTTGAAACAACTTAAATATTCCCTCCCCCTATGATGAAAATGGGATTCAACCAAAAGACAGATGGATGGAACTTTATCTCATGTATATACTATTTAATACGCTACATGCATTCTGCATGTCACATGCTATATATAGCATGGTATTATGTTGTAATTACATTTAATAAACCTAGAAATGCCCCATTTTTTCCCAATAGCCTAGAATTCTTAGAATAGACTCAAAATGTGTCACATGTTAGCCAAACTGTGGTCAACTGAAAACAGTGACTCTGAGAAGATCAGAAATGGTGGCTCTGCTGCTTCATATGTGGCTGAAATAAATGAAGTGGTCTACAGTGTGCCTGTATGTATGATGTGGGTGTGCACGTGTGTGAATATTAGCGAGAATGGGAGAAGCCTTTACTAATTCTTGAAAAACTCACATAACCCATCCTAGCTACAACCTTCCTGGTATCAGAAAACCCAGGAAGGTAACGGGTGGCCTGAGGACCAAGCCTGTGCCTAGGGAAGTGAGGTGTTTGAAAGGACGTTTCCTGTAGGCCACAACAAAGGCAAAGGAATTATCCCTCCCTATGATACAAAGTTCCTCTCCCTTGCTTGGAATGCCTGTGTCCCTGGGATCTGTTGTAAATCTTCTCTGGATAATGCTGTCAACACACAGCCAATGTCCCACACACTGGGATCTCTTTTTTCCTATCTGTGTTGGCCAAGTCTTCTTTTCACTTTGCCTTTCTTCACACAGTGCCATTAATTAGGCTTGTACATTCCAGCCCTGCCTCCCAGAGATTTCCCAGGTCACCTTGACATCTTCGAGTATCTATTTAGAGTCCCTGAATGTATCCTTATCCTTGGAGAGTCTCATCCACTGCGTATGAGTTTTTCTTCTTTCATTCCAAAGGCAACCTGAGTCCTCAGCCTCTGTGTGCCATGATGAGAAAGAATGAATGGGAATCAACCCAACCAGGAAGCTGGCTTTGTGGCGTGGTAGATGTTTGTAAACTCTGCCTGCTGGGGGTTTCTTGGCCATTGTTGAAGACCACAAGCCCAGGGACAGAAAGTGGACACCTTCCTCCACCTGCCAGCCCTCTTTCCAAGCTTCTGCTCCTAACCTGGGTATGAACCTGCTCAGTGAAGCCAGTTTCGTTTTATGCAGGTTCTGGGCTCTGAAGGCCTGTTTGTGTCATTGCACACTTTGTAGCCATTCCGTCTCGCTGGGCCTGCCTGTAATAGCAGTGCAGCTTCTAGGTGGCACTTAGAGGATGCCTAAATTGACTTAGAAAGCTTTGCATTAAGCAGATGTTTGCTCTTGGGGAAGATTAAAACCATTTTGCATCAAAGAACGAGGCTGCGGCACTTCCCTAAAGCTTGAAAGAACGGTTTCCTTTTACTTGGCTGAGGGTTACCTGGTCCCCTGCTTGACACCCTCCTAGTCCGTGAAATGGAGTAAATCCAGGTTAGACCAGGTGAGTCCGAAGGTGGCAGGTGGCTAAGGAGGATATTTCCTTTGTAGCTGTTCCCGGCCTTGTTTCTACTTATAGGGATAACTAAAGCAACCAAACACACACCAAACAGGTGGGAGACAGCAGGGAAGGATGCTTGGATATGGCTGAGCCACGTTCCTGCCTGGTAGTATGAGAATTCGAAGATGCTTGAGGCATGCTGGTGAAAGTAGGCAAAAGCAGAGAGACTCGAGGCTGCATCAAGGGGCAAACCGTGTGTATGTTTGTGTGTATGCCAGTGTGTGTATGTGTGTTAGTGTGTGTATGATTATGTATATATGTTTTGTGTGTCTGTGTGTTAGTGCGTGTGTTTTGTGTATATGTTAGTATGTGTATTTTTTTGTGTTAGTTTGCATATGTGTGTTAGTGTGTATGTGTGTGCATGTTTTGTGTGTATGTTTGTGTGTATGCCAGTGTGTGTATGTGTGTTAGTGTGTGTATGATTATGTATATATGTTTTGTGTGTACATGTGTTAGTGTGTGTGTTTTGTGTATATGTTAGTACGTGTTTTTTGGTGTTAGTTTGCATATGTGTGTTAGTGTGTGTATGTGTGTGGATGTTTTGTGTGTGTGTTAGTGTATGTGTGTTAGTGTATGTTTTGT
Organism: Homo sapiens; assembly: GCF_000001405.40. NCBI lineage: Eukaryota > Metazoa > Chordata > Mammalia > Primates > Hominidae > Homo > Homo sapiens. The sequence goes on from NC_000016.10 coordinate 7,362,167, forward strand.
ATGCTTGCTAGTGTGTGTGTGTGTTTGTGTATGATTGTGTTTGTTTTTTATGTGTTTGTGTGTTTTGTGTGTGTTAGTATATTTTTTGTTAGTATGTGTGTTTTGTGTGTATGTTAGTATGTGTATGTTTTTCGTGTGTTTGCGTGTGTGTGTGTATGTTTTGTGTGTATGTTAGTGTATGTGTGTTTGTGTGTATGCTAGTGTGTGTGTATGTGTTAATGTGTGTGTGATTGTGTGTATATGTTTTGTGTGTATGCGTTAGTGTGTGTTCTGCGTGTACGTAGTATATATATGTTTTTGTGTGTGTTTGTGTGTTTTGTGTATATGTTAGTATGTGCATGTTTTTTGTGTGTTTACATGTGTGTCAGTGTGTAGATGTTAGTGTGTGGATGTTTTGTTTGCATGTTAGTGTGTGTATTAGTGTGTGGATGTTCTTGTGTATATGTTTTGCGTGTAGTATGTGTTTTGTGCGTATCTTAGTATGTGTATGTTTTTTATGTTAGTTTGCATATGTGTGTTAGTGTGTGTATATTTGTGTATGCATGCTAGTGTGTGCATGTTCTTGTATATATGTTTTGGGTGTATGTTAGTGTATGTTTCTGTGCGTATATGTGTGTGTGTGCATTTCAAGTGTTCACTGCCAGAGAAGTGGCTTATCAGTGGGTCAGAAGACAGCATGTACGTTTTATAATGTACCAGTTAAGAGTCCAGATGTGAGAGTCAGATATTGCTGGAGTCATTTCCTAACTCAGCTCTGCACTAGTGTGTGACCTTGGACAAGTCACTTAGCCTCTCTGAGCTTTTGTTTCCTAATTTTTGAAAAATAGGATGAGACCCACATGGAATGTCTCCTGAGGCTTAAGCAGGATGGCCTGTAAATCACCCAGTGTGGGGCCTGGATCATTGAGAGCAATGGGATGCGCTGATGGTGGTGGATACTGCTGCTCTTACGCTGTGACTGCTGGGGCTGTTGTTGCTATTTTCATTATGAGAGGCTTTGGGAGAGACAGAACTGCACAACGGATTGCCGTCAGCCTCCATCCTGAGTTCCTGGGGTCTGGGTTCTTTGTCTGTTGTGTTACTGGGCGGGGGGAAAACCTCCAGATAAACCTGTCAAGCTGTTGAGAAATCCTGTCTCCCATCTAACTACTTGTGTGTTACTTACAACGTGTGAGACTTAATGACTTCTTCTGTCCAAGGGGGTAAAACAAAGCCAATTGCATTACCTTGCCATGAGCAGCCAATGAAATGGCTAGCACAGAGCCGTTAGAACAGTGTCTGAGCCAGATTCAATCCTTCCTCCGAGGTCACCCCTGGAGCTAATAAAGGAAAAAAAAAATAAGTAAAGGCCGGGATCTTGTGGGCCTCTCAGCCTGGCAAAGTGCCTGGCATAAAATGGGTCGCCTGGCTTTTAAGGCAGTGTGCCGAGCAGCTGGGGAAAGGTCATCATGAGTTCACAGAACCTTTAAACACACTGGGACTTAAAGCCATCAGATCCCTTTTGCTGGCTCCATTTAAGTTGTTTTGTTGGAGGACAAAACCTTTTTGCTTACGGCTAAGTACATTTTATGGAGCATTTAATGATTCTTCTATAGACGTTTGAGTAGCTGTGTTTTGGTTTCAGGGGCCGAAAATAAGTGCCCAGAATCTCCCGTCAGTCTTCTTGATGTTTATTATCTGGGTGGAGGGGGAGGGACGGGGCTGCTTAGCACATGTTGGCTTCTGGGCTTCATTGTTGGCACTTCAGCAGAAGTGGGAAGAGGCATATGGCCTTCCTGGTGTCTTATGGTGAGGAAAAGAGGACATTTGAGGGGAAATATTTTTGAACAGGAAGACAGCAAGATCGTATTTGTAGGTGCGATGGAAAAGTAGAACAGCCAGTCAGCTTTGGGACTCCCAAGTCCTATTAAAGCTCACATCTTTTCAAAGCATTTTAAAGATTAGGAATCCATCTCTCCCTGTCTGTTGGTAATCGTGGGGTGCAGGAGTCTACAACAGCTCAGCTTACGTCTGACGAGCTCTTGTCTGTTACATCAGTACCTTGGGATGTGCCGGGCTAGCGGCTTTCCCATCTTCTAAGCACTTGGCTGCCAGGAAAGACGGAACCCTTTGAAGTATGAGATCTGTTTATCTTGCAGTTACTATGGAGAAAGGGCCCTGGAATTAATTGTAGGTTATTGAATTTGTCCTTTTTAAGAGGAAAAAAAATGACTACATTATGGTGCTAATTCATAGATCTTGAGATGCTAGCATTTTTTTGTGCGTGTTTAACATTTCATTTGACCATTATTAGCAGTATCAGGTTGGGTTGCTGAGTTTCAAGTACTAGAAATCTACTTGGACTATCTTTGGCAAGGGAGAGCATTTATTGGGAGGATATTGAGTAGCTCACATGATATCAAGAAGACCAAAAAAAAAAAAAACAAAAAAAAAAAACTTGGATCCCAGAAGAGAATTATTCAGCCATTAGAGGCTGGCTGTAGAATGAATGCCTTTTCTTCTATCTGAATGATCCTCTAGTCACTTTTTCTATCATCAGATCTCTCTGGTTAAAATTTGAAGTCCCAGGGCAGGGAATACTTGCTAGTTGTGTTCTCTCTCTAAGGTAATCTGTTGGAAGAAGTCAGAAGAAATCTTTAGAGCTCCCATTGTGAGGGCAACATACTTGTTTTTCTGCTTACTAACAAGGAAGAGACAATTTCTGTAAAAGGATATCAAGATGCTGTTAGGAAGGTGTAATGGATACTAGTGAATGTGTCAATTAGATGCCAAGCACTCTGACTGTTGATACATTCTTGAGACCTACAATGATCAGATGATTCTTTTGGGGAATCTATCTGTCTGTCTGTCTATCCATCCGTCCGTCCGTCTGTCCGTCGTCTATCAATCATCTATCTATCATTCGTCTATCTATCTATCTATCCATCCATCTATCCATCCCAATACAAACCATATACAACCTCATGATGGATAGGGTTTCAAGACTACTGTCACGATCATGGGAGACTTTTTCTTTCCTCTTTTTAACCATAAACATCTTTGTGAGATATAAATGTCATTAGAAACCAGAGAAACAGATGATACACTCAATGGGGTAATAAATATGTAAAGGACCTTGCCACTTATTTTGTAGCAGGGAAGAATGTAGAGTATATCTGAGACTGAGAACCTAAATCAGGACTTACCTTTTTTTATAGTCTCAGTCCATCCACCAAACCATAGCCATAGCCAGGCAGGACAAAAGAACCTTGTTAGTTATTAATGTTGAATTGCTGTATTAAAATTCTTTCAGTGAGTGATTCTCAAGAAGGAGTGATTTTTTTCCCCCCCACAGGGAACATTCGGAAATGTGTTAAGACATTTTTGGTTGTCTCAATTGTGTAGAGTGATGCTGCTGACATCTACGGGATAGAGGCCACGGATGTTGCTAAACATTTGCCAAGGCACAGAATCTTGTGCTGATTTACAGCATCATCTTTGCAAACATTAAGATGGCAGGGCACAGTAAAGGTACTTTACTTCCCACAGTACAGAATTATAGCACCCAAAATATCAAGAGTGCAGAGATAGAGAAACCCTGTTTTAGTAAGAGATGTAAACACAACTCAAGTCAGTGTATGCAAAGTGATGACTCAACAGGGAAGATACAGGTATCTCTTACGTGACTACATCCAGGGTAGCTGGGACCCAGGGAAAATATTAATACCCTAAGACTCTCCTTCTTTGTCTCCTTTCTTTGTGTCAGTTTCACTTCCACAAACTAGCTTCCTGCACATGGTGGGAAGTATGGCTGCTAATAGAAGGTGGGTGAGAAGACTCATCCTGTGATATCAGAACAGAAAGACTCTGTGTCAGAAACTCCCAGGGAAGGTTTTGATTGGCCTGGCGGAGGTCCAGGGCTCATCACTGAGCCAATCAGCTATGGCCTAGGTGTAGAGCTGGGTCATGTGGCACAGACATGGCAGCTGACCCTCTAAACAGTGTATTGAGGCCTTTCCCAGCAAGACCAGGATGATTTTAAGCCAGGCTGCCACCCCATTGGTGTCTGCTGCCATTGCATGTTCTCTTATTGCCAGGACATTTGTAAATCCGATGTTGTTTCCAGCAGAGCTGTGTCAGAGAATGTCACTTAGCCATTGCCAGATCGTTGAGCACCCTGGCTGAAAATCACAAAGGCACGGCACCTAGAGAGGAAACGAAGGCTGTGCATGTTTCCAGGGAAGCTGCGCCCTGACATTTATGGCTGAGCCGAGTTTGGCCTTGAAAAAAATCATCCGGTCCAGCCTTCTGCCTCCAGGCTTGTGAATTGATAAACCCTCCAGGACAGACAGGCTGTTGAGGCACAGCCTGAGATGATTTCTGTCCTTCCTCCCTGGTCCAACCATGGAGGCTGCCTTAGTCGGCTTGTGTCCTAGTTGATATATTTGTTGGAATGTATTTGAAACTCTGGTCAGTTTCTCTGATGATATTGATAGTTTTCTTTTTTTTTTTTCCCACTTAGATGAAATTTGTCAAGCCTGCATTGTGCTAAGCCCTATTAAAATGGTGCCAGAGACCCAATTATGGCAGCTACAAAGCCGTTCAAGAGTAAGCAGAGAAAAACACATAAAGGGATTAAAGATCAAAAATGGGATTCCAGTGAAAGTACATTAGGAGACATCAGGCAGAGACACATGAAAGAATTAGAATATGAAGAAGAAAGCGCATAGAGCTTTTGGGATGTCCTTACTTTTCATCCCCCCAAATCATTTAATTTTGAGCATGTTTACTCTTTTAAAAATGAATTGAAATGATCGATTGTACTTTTGTCAGGTGGACATGTTTTTAACTCTGGTGTGAAATGAATTGCAGATGGGTTTTCTGGCTTGATTCCCTCCCCCAAACCCCCCAGTTTTTTTTTTCTTTTTGTCTTAGACAATATGGTGTCAGTGAATCATGAAATACTGCCGGTGAGCCCATTTAGTGAGTTGGGAAAGATGGTCTCCTGGGCTAGGTGGTGTTGGCAATGACACTCTGGGGAATGGCTGAGGCCCCCACCCCCATCTTACTGTTTGCAAAGACGAGACTGTAAATCAGCACAAAGTGTGCATTTGAGAGTTGCTGTTTTGAGATAAAGAGTGCAGTTCAGTTTGTAGTCATCATCATGTTGGTTCTGAAGAAGTCCTGTCACAAGCAGAGCTGCACAGAATCAGGTGTAAATCTGTCATTTTGGCTAGTCTTCCTCTGGTCCCTCTCTCTTCGATGGATTCCATGACAAGTCCTTAGGCACATGTTTGATTTGCACTCTGTTGTTTGCTATAGAAATGTGTACGTGGCCTCTCAGGAAAGAGAAGTGACCCTCTGCCTATATCATCGTGAAACATCTCTTCCAGGTTTGCATTCTGGAGTTAATGGAAGAGATGGAAATCTAATCAGCTCACAATAGTCTCTAACTCCAGACTCTGATGCTCACAACATTCTGTATATGTGCATCAGTCAGTTCAATGGGAATAGTGGAGAAACAGAGAACAAATGTCCCATCCCATCTGTTCTATCTAAAGGAGGCAGCTTCTCCTTAGCTGCAGTCATTTTTTTCAATGCAATAGTGCAGGCTCTGCGTTGTCAGATTTTCTGATATTTCAAAAGAAGGTAAAAATCCAGATTTTTGTGGGGATATTCATTATGATGATATATATATATGCATATATATGTGCATGAGCACGTGCACACATGCGTGCATACACACACACACACACACACACACACACAGACACTACACATGATCAAACACATCATTAGCCCAAGGGTCACCAGTTTATAATCTTTACTCTAAAGAGAGAGCCAGGCATGGTGTCTTATGCCTGTAATCCCAGCATTTTGGGAAGCCGAGGATGGTGAATCAGCTGAGGTCAGGGGTTTGAGACCAGCCTGGCCAACGTAATGAAACCCCATCTTTACTAAAAATACTAAAATTAGGTGGACATGGTGGCACACACCAGTAGTCCCAGCTACTTGGGAGGCTGAGGCAGGAGGATCGCTTGAACCCGGGAGGTGGAGGTTGCAATAAGCCAAGATCCTGCCACTGCACTCCATCCTGGGCCACAGAGTGAGACTGTCTCGAAAAAAAAAAAAAAGAGAGAGAAGAAAGGCCGTAAGTATTTTTCAAATTAGTGTTTGATAGTCTATCCATTTTGGGGTTTCTTTCCCTGTTTATCTTCAAAAGTGCCATATTTTGAAAGTTTACGTATTACCAGAAAACCAGCATCATTCATGGAGTCTTTATATGCTTAAAAAGTTTTCTTGGAGGTCTCGAAACACCCTTAGTCTTAATTCACTTTAAAAAAAAATTGGAGCCGGGAACAGTGGCTCACACCTGTAATCCCAGCACTTTGGGAGGCCGAGGTGGGCAGATCATGAGGTCAGGAGATCAAGACCATCCTGGCTAACACGGTGAAACCCCCTGTCTACTAAAAATACAAAAAAAATTAGCCAGGCGTGGTGGCGGGCACCTGTAGTCCCAGCTACTCAGGAGGCTGAGGCAGGAGCATGGCGTGAACCTGGGAGACAGAGCTTGCAGTGAGCTGAGATCACGCCCCTGCACTCCAGCCTGGGTGACAGAGCGAGACTCTGTCTCAAAAAAAAAAAAAAAAATAAAAATAATTGGAGTGTATGTCCTTCTACAGTTTAGGGAATTAATGGTGAGAAAAGCAAGCCAGACAGTTATCTTCAGATTAAGTAACAAAGAAAGTGCCCTCTAATGGCCTGGGAGGTTTCATTCATTTTTTGTGGAATGAGAAGGGAGGTGAATCTTTCTTTTTTTTAACACAATGATCCTGCAGCTGAGCAAGAAGTGCTAGATGATCCTCCTGGCTCGAACAGGATGATGGTGAAGAGATAGCATGGTGGTGGTAGAAGTCGTAATGAAGGTGAAAGAGGAATACAGAAAAGAAGGAAGAAGGAGGTTTTTCACAACTCAGCGTGGATTGGGGTATCCCACTCCGGTGGGACCCACAGTCTGCTTAATATAGGAGATTGACTCCAAGTCTTGCCACCTTCCCCCAGCCCAATAGTAAAAAGCAAACACACCCAAACAAACAGAAACCACGATGTTCCTGCAGCTCTCGGGGGCTGACCATGTCTTCCAGAGGAAGCTCAAAGCCTGTTGTTGCATGCTTCATCCAGCTTTTCTGCAAAGTGGAGGCCCTAGCAAGAAGCAAAGGCAGACAGATGGTGTCCCGCAGACTCTCCCTCAAGCCCTTTCATCTCTCCTCTCACTATTAATTCATCTGTTTGGATGGATATGTTCACGCATGGAACCAAGATGAATAATAATGAGGTTTTTAATAACTCCCTGCATTTGCATTCCTAGTTACTCTTTACATGGTTCTAGCTGATTAAAATGAATCATTTACATAATTAACATATGGTTATAGTGTTGGCTTTAATATGCTGATTATCTCAATACTTTTGTCTGGAGTCAATTGGATTCTAACTGTAACAATTGTTTGAAGTGAGACTAGTTTATTCCTGGGAGGATGGAGGGGCTATTTGCCATGGTGTCTGATTAGCAATAGCATACCTTTCCAACAAGTTTGTTGTGCTTCTGTTTTGTAATGTGATTGAAAAATAAGTAAATAATAATAATAATTGCAGTGATCATAATAGCTCCCATTAATTCTGGGACAAGTACTATCAATTTCATTATCTCACTTTCTTGCAGCCAGCCTGCAAAACAGCAAGGCTTATCCCCACTTTACAGAGGAAGAAATTGAAGCTTGGAAATGTTAACGGGCTTGCTTGAAGCCACCATGCTATTATGTGTCAGAGCCTTGAGCTAGGCTTTCTGATCCCAGAATTCATACTTTTTAATTACTCTAAGTCAGCTTCTGAACCTTGAGACTATTGACATTTTCAAGCTTGGCACTATGACTATGGCCAGAAAATTCTGTTGTTGAAGGGTTTCCCTGTGTACTGTAGGACAATTGGCAGCAACTCTGGACTCCTCCCTGTGGATACCAGTAGCACCCCTTCCCTCATTATGACAACCAAACATTGCCATTGTCCCCTGGGGAGGGGAATGGGGTAAAGTGGCCATTGATTGAGAACTACTGCTCTAAGTTATTTTCTTGGTACCCATTAAGACAAAATACTAAGAAGCAGACATGTTATCTAGGTTGGTCTTTCAGTGATGGGTAACTAGGGCCTAACTGCAGTAATGGTATTTGGAGGTACATTGTGATGTGTGTGACTCCTGTAACTGATTCTGAATTTTCCAATTATATCTGCCAGGAATCACTGTATTTGTCAATCAAAGCGATCTTTGTTTTTTATCAACGCGGGTAAGTTCTGTCTCCCTCACTTTCCCTTCTTCCCCCACGCTCCCTCCCCACTCTTTTTAACTCCTCTAAAGGGCATGCTTGATATTTTCAGATGTGCTGCCTTGCAGAGTTGATAGCATGCATTTCAGGATACCATTCTCTCATTAGCACATCCTAGGCATGGGTGCCATCCGCTATGATCTGATTATCTTGCTAGTTCATATTGAATTTGAAAGGGACTTGTGAACTAGTGGCCAGTTTTCCTGTTTAGGTACCCGAGGTTTTGGAATGTGAGTGCTTTCTGAACATTCATGCATATTTGAAACGCATTTTTGCTAATTGCAGGACTGTTGTCCACAATTAGTCTTTGGTAGGCATGATTAATTGCAAAGAACACTGACATTTATGCATAAAATGCTTGAGGTCAAAAAGAAATGGAGAGAAATGGTGACTGCAGCCAGGGTGAGTGGAATACTGATGCATGGTGACCCCAGAAGCAAAGCCCCAATCAGGAAATTGTAGCATCAGCAGGACAGGTATTTTATTGGGATGGATGTGTCTGTATTTTTGACTTGCCTGTATTTTGTTCTCCTCTCCTCTAAGCACCTTTAGTTTTACGCAGGTTTTCAGAAGCCTGTCTGATGTTTTCATAAATGCCAAGGCCTGCCTTTTACTCTCCTTCTGCCCTTCTCCCTCCCAAACTGGCCCCATCACTTGAAGCTCATAATTTACTTCTTTAACATAACATTTGTGTGTTGTATGTGTCCCAGGAAGAATCAAGAAGTAAACAAATGTGCCACAGTCCTACCACTGAGATTAACCAGTAAACTTTTTTTTCTGCTTAAAGTGGTACGTGCCTGTGATTAATAATTCAAATGATGCTAGTAACGGAAGACGGGAAATGAAGCCCATCTCCAAATCTTGGATCTTACTAAAGCTAATCAGTATCAGCGGCCATTAGGAGAAAGAAAAAAGCACCATTGTGTATAGATATGCACATATATGGCCAGGTGCGGTGGCTCACGCCTGTAATCCCAGAACTCTGGGAGGATGAGGCAGGCGGATAACCTGAGGTCAGGAGATCGAGACCAGCCTGGCCAACATGGTGAAACCCTGTCTCTACTAAAAATACAAAAATTAGCTGGGTGTGGTGGCAGGCGCCTATAATCCCAGCTACTCAGGATACTGAGGCAGGAGAATCGCTTGAACCCATGGGGCGGAGGTTGCAGTGAGCTGAGATCACGCCACTGCACTCCAGCCTGGGCGACAAGAGCAAAACTCTATCTGCAAAAAAGAAAAAAAGATATGTAGATATATGATACATACATGTGCATACAGATATATGTTGTTTTCACATACTGACAAAAAAAGCCACATCAGTCTAAATGCCCTGTGTGACTTTATCTTGCTTAATTTCACTTGATGATATGCCATGGAGCCTCCTTCAGTTTTTCTACACTAGGTGGCTGTGACATACCTTATTTAAGTCATTCCCTTAATTCCTTTTTTTTTCCATTATAAACATTACTGCTACACATGCATACACTGAGTTATCTGATAGAGATATTTAAATAAAACATATATATGGGCCCTGATTACTTTTTACTGCCATGTTAATTTCCTAGCAGTGTGATTGTTGGGTCCAAAAGTTGGTGTCTCATAACTTCCATTTAAAGATGTGATTCAAAACTTACCTCCTACTATATATAATGCTATTCAATTCACATCACTTTCTCACCATCAGTGCAGACATCCTATTTGGGCCTCGGAGCTGGAGTTCACGTAAGGATGAGTAACCACTTCATACTTCAGATCCCATGAGAGCGGGATCATGTCGGTACTAGCAGGCTCTAAAGGACACAGTGTTCACCCTGCTTAGGATCAGACAACTGCCTAGTCTGTGCCAGGCATCTGATACTTGCCTTGGTAATAGGATTTTGCTTGAAGTTCTCCTTATGCCTCTTTATTTCTTTTATTTATTTGTGCTGACAAGTTAGAGTGTAAGCTCATTGAAGCCTGTGGCCATGTACAGAAAGAGAGGTCACATCTTCTGCCAACCCTGATTGATTAGTAGTGGCTGTTAGGAGCTCTGTCTGGAGAAGGATTGCATCTGACTTAGGAAGAAGGAGTTTCAGAATCAATTAGTAATGTCTGCTAAGTGCACAGAATGGTGGAGGGGCAGCCTGTGTCCCCAGTATTCTTTTTCCATTCTTCCATAATAAATTAGGATTATTATTATGGTTATTGAGGGCTTACAGAAAATTTTTGAATCAATATAAAAAGCAGCAATGGGAAAAGGAGAAGAGAGGGAGAAAGGGAGGGAGGAAGAGAAGGAGGAAAAGAGAAGAGCAGGAGACAGAGAGAGAGAAGTTATACTCAAATATACGAAGAATATCTTGCTTCTAGGTGGCTTTATATTTGAGCTTTTCTATAGTTTTGAAATTTATAGGAATTTAAAAACATAGAAATTGCATTTTTTTTTTTTTGAGATGGAGTCTTGCTCTGTTGCCCAGGCTGGAGTGCAGTGGTGCATTCTTGGCTCACTGCAAGCTCCGTCTCCCAGGCTGTAGCCATTCTCTTGCCTCAGCCTCCCGAGTAGCTGGGACTACAGGTGCCTGCCACCATGCGTGGCTAATTTTTTTGTATTTTTTAGTGAGACGGTGTTTCACCGTGTTAGCCAGGATGGTTATCGCTCTCCTGACCTTGTGATCTACCTGCCTTGGCCTCCCAAAGTGCTGGGATTACAGGTGTGAGCCACCGCGTCTGGCTGAAATTGCATTACTTTTAATTCTAAAACAACAATTAGTTTTGCACCAACCTAAGGAACATACGTTACATTTGAATTTAGAACATAAAGATCACAATACATGTTATAGTAAAGACAGTCTTTTGAAGCAAAGCTACAGGTACTATTAAGAGGCACAGTGATCCTGAGATGGGAAATGGAGGGCAGTTCTCTGTCGTTCTGCAGTTTCTTGGTTTTGTGAGACCACTAAGTGATGTCCGTTCTCTCCTGGCAGAATAGATGGTGTTAATCTCCAGTCCCTTGTAATAAATGCTGGACTGTGAACAGGAGATGGCTAAAAGAGAGTGCCCGGGCAAGCCTTTATCTTTAATAAGGTCCACAGCCAGTCTATAATTGTCAGAAATGACAGAGGAAACAGGGCTTCTGCTATTTTGCTCAGAATAAGAAGTGGTGTCTGACCTGTGTTGGCAGCAATAATTGCAATGGTCAGTTATTGAAGTTGATCATTGCAATAGTTGATACAGGGGCCCAGCTCTTTGCGCTGATATTGAGGAAGCCACCAGGCCCCACACTTTGGGGTCTGGAAACATTCACAGAGCAACTTTTTTCAAGAAGATGGACACATTCACGTTTTAAAGATGCTCAGCTTCTCGTGAGAGAGAGTTTAGGTACATTCTCATTCCACTCAAATCTTAGCTTATAACTTAGGCTCCTCGTAGCAGCCCTTTGCAATGAAACTGTATCACTTTTGAAGCTTAGCAGATGGGAATTGTCATAAATGATATTTTAGTCACAGATATGAGCCATAAAACTTGAAAGATAAAGTATCTTTCTGAGACACACATGGAGAGGCAGATAGACCCAGATACAGCGTGAGCTTTTCTGCAGCTCTGATGGTGTGGAACGAAGGGCCACCAATAGGTACTTTATTGCAGGTGACAGGGTTTGCAGATGATGTGGAATAGTGGGAATGGCATGGAGCATGAATTTTGGGGATTCAATATGGGGTCAAATATTTACCATCCCGTGGAATCACATTTCTTATCTTTTTCTGAGGCTCCGTGTTTTCGCTGTGTAAGGGGAATAGCGGAATGTCCTTCTTAAGGTGTTTGGCACAATACAGATAAACACTAAATAAATATTCCTGTCTGTCCTCCCTACAGCATTCCCCTCAAATGAATGTGTTGCTTATTGCTAGTTATGCTGGATTATTCTGCTCAGTTGAATAATTCATTAGGGCTTGAGTTCCAAGATATGGTGTAACTGTATCCAGCAGACTCTAGCCTTAAGCCAATATGTATATTAATGCTTTTTACTCAAGGAATCTACCTGGCTCTTAGCAATCCTAACCCCACCCCCACATTTTTAACCTGACAGGAAGATTAATCTGCATGAGATGAAGGGTGATTGTCATGTCCAAACTAAAAACAAAAAAATTAAAAATAAAAAATGACAGAAATCTTCTAGAAATACCTAAACATTCCCTCTTTTGTCTTCAACACGTACTCGGTCCCCTTCTTGTGCTCCCAGGAGTCTTTTAATGCCTTTGTTTTCACAGCATCAAGATATCCTGGCAACCTAGAGTTACCGCCATGAGGTTTGGCCACCTTATCTCAAACAACTGCGTATTTTGAAATAGGTGGTGATAGCATGCTTTTCATTCCATCCAGAAAGTGTCTCTTCCATGACCTGCCAGCACTAGTATTTCAAGACCTCTGCACTTACAAATTTAAACGGAGCCTGGAGTAATTTAAATTAATGTGTACAACATCTGTCTTGGTGAGAGGAGATGTAGAGATATTCTCCGTTTATGCCCATCTGGCTTTGTTAGAGTAGATAGGCGTATGTTTCAGGAGGAGAAAGAACATTTTTTATTTCTGCTATGTTTCAGACATTATGCTAGCCATTACGCATTATCCTGCTTAATCTTTTCAGTAACGTTGGTAGATTAATATCATTATCCCTACCCTATGATAAAGATTCTGAAGATCAGAGAAGTACATCGTTTCAGTGACCAAGTCACTGTTAAATGACACAGTCTGTATTCAAAGACAGGACAGCCTGATTCCAAAACTACTTCTATGCCATCTTATTAGTCTCAAGGTAATACAAGTCTAATGTGTTTTTGCTTCTGATAATTATAGCAGTAACTACTTAGGGTAAATTAAAATGGAATATCCAGGAACCCCATTATGGTGGTAAGAGTATAAAGACAAATTAGCGGCTATGGAATCTCAATCCAGGAAAGAGAGACCTGCATTGGGCTCCCATGTGTTACGAGAGGTTTTGTTTTTTTGTTTTTTTTTTTTTTAATCATCAGATGTTTTGGGTGTTCCCAGCTGTGCTTGAGTGCATTTGAGAAATGGGTTTATACTCTTCTCGATCCCCTAGTTCTTCCCAAAAGGTAGATAAGGGGACTCACATAAACAGTAACTGAAAGTCATTCTGTGTGACAATTCTGTATTCCTTGTTGTTTTAGTAAAGTTTGTCCTGAGAGCACCTTGCCTATAAATAAATACAGTGACAAATAAAATGAATGATTTTTCTGGGTTCCTTTCCTACTCTCTCTCCCCCCATGCTTTAATGAATAATTTTAATCTACTTTGTAATTAAGACACTAGCAATAATTTTATTATTTGGTACTACTTGGGAAAAGTAATCTTTGATATGAGATACTTTGCAAAGGGAAGACCTTGTGCCCACGTCCTGCCTTAAATGCGAAGTAAAGGGGAAACCTGGATTCAAGAACTAGAGCCATTGGTAGGCCAAACCCCTATCCCACAAGCCAGGGAATGGGATCTTTTACCAGACACTCAGACATGAGGTTTGGTTTTATTTTTTATTGTTCTGAAAAGTACATTGTAAAAAAGGGAGTGTACATTTCTAAGGCACTTTTCTAAAACAACAAGAAATAATACAAATATTTAGTAAGCAAGGGATGATTGCATTTTTGGAACATATATGTTTATGAGCTATGTCAATATATATGTTGATGTGATACCATGAAAGCTGTTTTAGATGAAATTCTGATAAACAGGGCATTATATTGCCACTTACTTGCTCTTAATTCGATTCTATTAGCAGCTCAGCTTTATTAAAATTTCTCAAATGTATTCCATGTGAAATCATTTTATTTCATATCGCTAATGTATGACTCAACGCAGCATCGCCTTTGAGGTGATCCAGGACTTTCATCCCCATTTCACAGATGAGCACTGGAGATAAGAACAGGTTAAGTGATTTTTGCCTGAGGTCAAACATGCTGGGAGAAAGATTAGAAGTTGGTGAGTGTTTACCACAGCTCTGTGTCTGTGATAAGTCCCTAAATTCAGATTTTCCAACCTCCGAGTTTTCTGGGTTAGACCTCCAGCTAACTACCAGGGGATGTCATGTTATGTAATTAATTACAACTGTAATTATCTTGGTTTCTGGGTCATTTGAAGATCATCGGTGCTTTTTGTTTTCATGGTTCATGCAGCAGAGGAATTTTTTTTCCAAAGTACAAGTATAATTAATCCAGGTTTTAGACTCTTAAATAACCGGAAAGTTAAAACGTCAGTGCAGAAACTGAGTTCATCTTGGCTGATGTCCCTTGCAGTAGAGATGGGGAGAATTCAGAGCTGTTAAAAGTCGTGGTCATCTCTCTTGAAACATAAAACTTCCCTACCAGTGTCTGGATTTCCTAGGAGGTACCCAGTGCATAGACCCATGTTGTATGAATGACTGGCCTCATACAAGAGGTAAACATAGTATCCTTGTATGTCCCTAAGTGTCAGGTGGTTGCTTGGAAAAGCAGTGATTTCCATAGGTCCCTGTAAAGATTTCTTCAAAACTGATGGAAGGTATAAATGTTTAAAATTAGCTTTCAGTTTCCACTTCTTTTTCATGATATCTTACATGAAGGTAATCTATTGAGGAAATTACCTTTTATATCAGTTTAAATGAACTTATTTAGATAAAATACCAGTTTAAGGCATTCTTGACTTTGTTCTATTCCATTCATGGAGATTTGCTTGACAGGAAGTGCTCTGGCATATGTCAGTGACCTCCAATGCTCCTGGAGCAGATGATACTGGGACACAGGTGGTCCGTATCACCCACGTGAGGTGGTGGCATGTATTTATGTGCTGAACCAATCGGAAGACATCTCATTCAGAAGAACCAGGCCTGTTTACCTTATTCGTATGTCATTATAGGTGACACACAGGAAGAGTTTCTGAAGAATCATTTCATCATTAAGATATATTCAATATGACAGCTTGGCTAACACATCAATCATTTGGAAAAAAAATACTGTAGTAACAGCCTAAGGAGAATTTAAACCCTTGTGCTCTGGAATCTGTATTTGCAGGGCAGGAAAAAATGTTTTAGATTTGTCTATGGCATTATTCTTTATCAGTATAACTTTATAGCGCTTGAATGTCTGAAAGATGACTCATTCATTTATTTGTGTATTCATTAATTCATTCCACATATATTTGTAGAGAACCTATCTGGGATCTAAGAACAATTTCAGGCACCAGAGACACAGGGGTAAACAAGACGTCTAGGCCCCTGCTGTCTCAGAACTTAAATTTAGTGGGACAGATAGGTGGTAAACAAATAAGAAGGAATTGAGAGTAACAAGCACAGTGAAGTGAAATATGCCAGGTGATGAAATAGCAAATAGGAGATTGATGCTCCCATAGTTTGGAGACTCAGAGAAGTTTTAAGGAGGTGATGTTTTAGCTGGGACAGGAAAGAAGACAGCCAGGGAGGTATGGAGAGGAAGAGCACGGGGAACAGAATGTGCAAAGTCTCTAAAGTTAGAATAAGCTTGACATGTCTGAAGAAGAGCAAAGAGACTCCGGTGGCTAGAGGATTCTAATGGAGAAGTAGGAGGCAGAAAAGAATAATTGAGAAGTAGATCAGTCAGATGGAGGAGGACTTTGATGGGCGGCAGAGTAAGGCAGTATGAGCTTTATCGTTGCTGAGCCGGAAGTTGTTATGTTATGCAGGAAGCTGCGATGAGTGTGTACACAAACCATCTCCTGATCTCGAGCCTTTTCCTCCTGAGGGCAAGGAGGATCGGGAGGCAAGGGAAACGTAGTGGTGATGACGAAGCTTCTATCTTTCAGGGTCTACGGTTTAGGGATTGAGAGTATGTGTTTGCTAGCGAGACCTCACGAAACCAAGCCCCCTGGAGAGTCCCTGACAAGGACGAGGTGCAACACTGTTAGCGGAATCCATTTCATCGCAGAACTGCTGTCTTCCAAGCCTTCTGAGCCGGCTGGTACTTGTGTAACATTTCTGTCTTGGGTGATTTCCAACTGGATATGTCATTTCTACCAAGCCAGTGGCAACTCCAGCCTAGGGATGCATTTAATCTGGGACATGGTGGTGGGAGAAGCATTAGGCACATTGTTTTTCTTCCTTTTTTTTGAAGAATGCTTGGTACAAATTCAGTTTTGACCTCCCAATGTAGGCTTTTATTTCCCAGGCACTTCCTTTTTCCCTGCATCCGCCAAACCCTGGTGAGCTTTCTGCTGCTTTTCTCAATGGCTGATCTAAGTACTGCAGAACACGGACACTCTTGGGCACACTGCAAAGTCAGCCTGGCTCCTTGGCCATTCCTCTTGCAGGGCACAAAAGGACCTTCCAAAGAGGTGGGGTAGTGTATTATTAAGTGGCAATAACGAAGGACTTCTTTAGATTATCACTGTTTCACCAGAAGACACAACAGGAGAGCACACAGACCTTGAAGGAAATCCCACCACTGACATTTAGAATCTGGTGGACTGCAAGCTTAGATATCTACTCTCTAAATGCAGTTACTTTATCTATGACCTGGCAATATTAACAGTACTTATCTCATAGAAATGTAGTACTGGGTATGTTTCTGGCCAGTCATAAACATTTAATAATGGTAGCCAATGTCATCACTTGTTGTTAATAGTGGGGATAGCAGTAAACTCTCTTTCCTCTCAAGGTTAAGGGGAGTGTTTGGAAGAGAAAAAAAAGCTGAGACTGAATGACGTTTAGCTTTTTGATTTCACCATAAACTAAAGAGTTTCATTGGTAACTGTGCCCTGCCTCTTTCTGTCCAAAAGAGTATCTTATTTTTAGACTGTTTTAAAATAATAACAGTATTATCTGATGGAGGAGACAAAAATACTTCAGTAATAGCCTAATTGGAGCGAATAAGAAAATAGAACACTTGTGTGCAATGGAATACTAGAAAGCAGTGGGAATGAATGAATTGGAGCTTTATATAAGAAGAATGGCTTCTGCCATTATGACTGTGGATAATTTACTAAAAAATTTAAAATACACTGGAGTTTTAGTACTTTCTGCTGTCCAGAAATGCATACATATGTGGTAAATATATATAGACAATAAAGAAACTCAAAATTCAGGATATTGTCTGTTGTAGAGGTGAGGCAGAGGGCTACATCTCAGGAGGGTTTTAGACAGGGTATTTAGCCACACTGAAATTATTTCTTAAGCTGGGTAGTAACTACAGGAATTCCTTCCTTCCTTCCTTTCTGCCTGCCTGCTTGCCTGCCTGCCTGCCTGCCTTCCTGCCTTCCGTCCTGCCTGCCTGCCTCCCTGCCTGCCTGCCTCCCTCCCTCCCTCCTCTTCCTTCCCTTCCTTCCTCTTTTCTCTTCCTTTTCTTTCTTTCTAGATAGAGTCTTGCCTTTATCACCCACCTGAGGTGCAATGGCACCATCATATCTCACCCCACAGCCTTGGCCTCCTGGGTTCAAGCACAATCCTCCTGCCTCCTTCTCCAAAGTTAGGACTAAAGGCACACACCACCAAACCTTGCTTATTTTTTAAAGAAAATTTTTAGAGAAGAGTGTCTTGCTATGTTTCCTGGGCTGGTCTGGAACTCTTGGCCTCAAGTAGTCCTCTGACCTCAGCTTCCCAAAACACTGAGACTACAGGTGTGAGCTGTGCCTGGCCAGTATTTATGTTTTGCTGTATACCTTTTGGTATGTCTGAACTATATCACATCATGATTTTAGAGTCAGAAATGCTCAGAGTTTAGAAAATAACCATCTTCACCACATAGAATCGTATAAAATAAAAAATGTTTTTTCTCCTTCCCTTTCTTCCTCCCCCATCATTTAATAATTGTTTAGTACATACCTTTGCAGATATTTTGTGCATATTAAAAATATACACATTTAGAACATATATGCTTAATATAAATGACTTTATGTCTATGACTCTGTTACCACTTAAAAATAGTGTACAGGCTTTTCAATGTTGGCACATATAAATTATGTACTTCAGTCTTAACATCTGTCTGGTAATCATCTTTCAGTGTACTGTAATTTAAACAACCAGTTTCCCTATTGATAGACATTTGTATTTAAAAAACAAAACAAAACAAAAACCAGTTTCCAAACTCTGGTCTGCTTTCAATTCAGACGCTGGCAGCAGCTCACACCGCTGATCATCCAAATGTTTTGTCTTTGCTAGGACGATAACCCAGTCGTTTCATACAACTGTTTTCGTTTGCACCTGAATATTCCATGGCTATAGCCACAGCTAGAAATCCATTCTCTAGGGGAAAATAAGAAATGTAATAATAAACTTAAAATCCCTAATGAGAAATTCAGATTTCATAGAAGCAGGGGTCTTCTCCCTCTTGCTAACCTTCTTTTCCAAGATGTTAGTGTTTTTCAAGAATCGCAGGCTTTTTAAATGTCCTCCGTAAAGTGTAAAGGGGAAAATGGAGAGAAAGAACAGTATTTTGAATCTCCAGAGTTCTCAGTGAAAGTAGACAGGTCTATCCTAGTGTTCTGTCTTGCATGAAACACTTTCTTGGTATTTTGTCTACATGAGTGTTTAATATTTAGGTCATAGTTTGTGAATACACTGGAGATGTTATGCGTCAAACAAACCCAGTGTTCTGGCTTCACAGCAGAGTAAACAGACACAGATAGTTCTAGATGCTTGAACTTCTCCCACGTTAAACTTAAAACAGCCTCTCATCTCAGGGCTTCCATCAAAGGGATTGAGGCCGTGTCTCTCAAACCCAGGTGCAAGTGGAAATTTTTATGGGCCCTGACTTTTCTTGTTGTCCTTGTTGGCTCATAATATTGCCTTATTGTGCAAGTAATGCATATAACTTGTGGGAAAAGGTATAGTACTATAAGTAATTAGAAAGAAAACCATATTTGAAATTTAAAATCCTTAAACACATACCTAATTCCTACTCTTCCTTTCTGAAATTCCTGTTTTCTCAATGATCTGTTAGTAAAATATATAGACTACAAAAATGGGTTCATACATCGTTCCCCCCCGCCTTTTTTTTTTATTTTATTAACAGCTTCACAGTGTTCTGTTGCATGAATATACCCTAAAAAGAGGATTTGTTTTGGCATTGGTGCCTGTTCTTTTTCAGTGTTATTCATTATTTTGGGATGTTGCTTTTATTATTTTTCATATTTTATTTTATTTGGTAGGAAAAATGCAAATGTCCCACCGTATGGATTTGGGATTTGCAAGTCAGGAACAGTGGGCACACTTTCCCTTAATGGTTGGCGTAGGCATTTGGATACTGAATTTACTGTTTATATCACGGTTTCTCCACCTTGGCAGTGTGGACGCTGGGCTGGATCATTCTCTATGTGGGGACTGCTGAGTGCTTTGTTGGGCATTTGGTGGCATCTCTAGCCTCTCCTGACTAAATGCCAACTGTAGTTCTCCCCACACTGTGATGCCCAAAGATGTCTCTAGACTTGGCTCACTGTCCCCTGGGGGATGAAATGTTTCTCCCTTTGAGAATCCTGCTTTTACGCGATTGGATTCTTAAGTTGTCTGAAGGATGATCTTTTCTTGTAGCATTTATAAATCAGTTGGAAGTTGGTTCTGGATTACTGCCTAAAATAAAATTCAACCTATTCTGAGAAAACAATATATTTGAGTAGGGACTAATTACCTCTTTTTTATTTCAAGTGACAAAAGCCAATATATCACACTTAGCCACTATGAAGACTCCATTTCAGTAAACTAATTAAACTAATCCTATCTGGACTCATTATTCTCAGTTCCACTAAATATTTTAACAGTTGAGATTTATCTCATTTCATAAATTATATCATACTTAAAGCTATCCACAGCCCTCAAGAGTTTATTTTGGACTTTTAAAAAATGTGACTTTAAGCTGCTCTGGAATGTATATTTTTCATATCTTTTCTAGATAATCATTCACCTTGATTATGACTAATTATTAAACATGATATATGGCTTTAATTAAATGAAAGTACTTGGTTTCTTGTTAGCGCTTATTAAATACTGACAGTGTTACAAAGATAGTGCAGCAGAGGAAATGGCATAACTCACCGAATTGATTCCATTTTCTTGCTGTAAGCCAGTGAAGATACACATTTTAAGAGACTGATTAATGCGCAAGATGGCAAGAACAGTGTTTTTCATAGTTAAAAGGAATTAAAATCTGTGTCCATCCTGGATTCATTTTCTAACAGAGGATAGTCACCTAATTAAAACGTTAATACACATCCCGCTATTTGTATGTACGTTCCAAAGCCAGCATACATTAAATAGAAATTTATCCCAAGTGCTTCATGGAGAAGCCAAGAGGAATAATGCCTAAGTACCACTTCAGAGTAAATTGCTCCCTACTTATAATCGTGTAATGCAATTAAATTGAGGAGCTGTAAGCTGCCTACATCAAGTATGTTTAGTTTAGATATTTGCCTTTAGACATCTCCCTGTAAAGGGTTCCACATTGAAGAGAAAAGAAGGAACATCTAGCCAATGAGCTGTTCATTAAACTTGACATATGGTAAGCAAGGCCAGAAAATGCCTAAAGAGTAGAGAATTTTCTTTGGTATCTAAAGAAAAAAAAATGCAATATCCAGTTGATCTTAGATTCTGATTCTAGCAGGTGTTCATGGTACAGTCTTGTTCTGTGCTTCATTCAAGAATGGGAAATTCTTGTTTATCCCGTTGTCCATGATGTGCTTATTTCTCATGGCATGCCTGTATCAAAACATCTCATGTATCCCATAAACATACACACCTACTACGTACCCATAAAAATTAAAAAAAAAAAAAACGTAAAATGCAACAACACTAGGCACGCATTTTATAATATAACTTCTCTGCTTGGACAAAATTAGGCTCCCCAGTGGAGGCAAAAACAAAAAAAGCAGATGGCAAATATGTTAGTGACATTGTTTTAAGTGTTTGAGGTCATGGAGTCTTCACATTGAAATAATCTCTTGAATTATCTGAGTTTTAGGCTAGCCAGGGCCAAGGTGCCAGCTGAATTAATGAAACTTGGAATTCATCTTTTGAGTTCCCAGTGAACATCAGGAAATACTTTCCTGACATATTGACCTCCTTATTATCCATTTCCCATTCTCCATGTTGAAAACCATTTCATATTTGAGAGCTGAGAATATGACACCTTCATGATAAATTTAAAAATAAGATGCAATATTATTCCAGAATTGCCTTAAGTTCCCATTCTGTATATTAAACGCCTATTCAAAGGGTATTCAGATCCAAGTTACATCATACAAAGTATGTTAAAGTATCCCAAGTATGGCCTGGCGAGGTGGCTCAAGCCTGTAATCCCCGTACTTTGGGAGGCCGAGGCGGGCAGATCACAAGGTCAGAAGATCGAGACTATCCTGGCTAACATGGTGAAATACCATCTACTAAAAATACAAAAAATTAGCTGGGCATGGTGGCATGTGCCTGTAGTCCCAGCTACTTGGGAGGCTGAGGCAGGAGAATCACTTGAACCCAGTAGGTGGAGGTTGCAGTGAGCAGAGATCGTGCCGTTGCACCCCAGCCTGGGCAACAGAGTGAGACTCCATCTCAAAAAAAAAAAAAAAGTATCCCAAGTATGAGAAACATCAGTATAAATAGTGAGAAAACATATATACATATGTTCTTCTTATATTTACGGGAGAGATATGTATGCTTATCTGTGCTTTTCATATATATATGAAACATATATGAAATATATATGAAACATATATGAAATATATATATGAATATGAAAAGCAAGGAGTATGAAACTTATATATGAAATATATATGTATGAATATGAAAAGCAGGGAAAAGGGGACAGTCATTTAGTGTTGCTGCTGAAAATTTCAATATGAAAAACGAGGAATATATAGCTCAGGTGCAACAGGCACCTTTATATTTATACCATTACAAAAACATGGCTCTCCTGGTATTTTGGTTCTTGAATTTAGGCTTGGAGCTGATATTGAAGAGCTGCTTATTGCAGTGGGTTTTCATGCCAAACATAGCTGAGTTTGAATGACATTTCTGTTACTCTGGCTACAGAATCTTGGGCAGTATCATTTATCTATCCATCTGGGCTTTATTTTTCCCATGGGGAAATAGGAGGGAGAGGGGTCATGGAGTGAACAGCTTTGCAGGCCATGCCAACTTTGGAATTAGTGGAGAGAATATAAGGTAAATAAGACCATCCTGTAATGACAACCTAGACTTAGACTTGCACGAAATAGAGATGTAAGTCAGGATGAGTCTCTCATTCACTCAACAAATATTTATTGAATGCCAACCCTTCTCAGCCGCTGGGTATTCAGTGGTATAGAGTGTGAACAAAATGCTGCTGGCATAGAGCTTATATTCTAGTTGAAAGGAGGCAAACAATAAATAACTGTGTAAATTAATATATGGTTAGTGACAGGTGCAAGTCAGATAATTAAAACAGAGAGTGGTGGGGAGCTCTAGAAAGGCTCCTATGAAGAGGTAAGTTGACATTTAAGCTGAGCTCGCAATGGCAAATCATGCCAAGGCAGAGAGAAAGAACATTCCAGGAAAATACCCTAAGAGGAGAGGACCTTGGAATTTTTGAAAGATGAACAGATCCCTGGAAAATAGAGAGAGGGGCACCAGAGAGGTCTGAGAATTGGGCAAAGGCCAGGTCATACAGGATTTTGTTAACCACGATAATGAATATAAGTTTTATATGAATTACGGATGCAGAGATTTGCATTTCACAAAGATGACTGCTTGCCACGTGAAACATAGACCAGTGGGGCCCAGGAGAAGAAGGCAGGAGAGCAGTTAGGAAGCTGTCTGGGAGTCCAGGCAAGGGGTCATAGTGGTTTGAACTGGAAGGTGGTTCTGAAATGGAAGGTGAAGGAAATGGAAGTACCGTTGTAGAAAATTAACAGGCAGATCTGGGAAAACCCAGTGGAGGTGAAGGGAGTGAATTAAAATGATTCCAGGATGGAGAGGTCGGGGCTTGGGTGAATGGTGCCATGGAAAGTAATGGAGGTATCTCAAATAGAAAGTAGTGAGTGGGAAGAGCAGGAGTGAGCTTGCAGAAGTTCTAGCAGAAATGTGAAAGGCCATGGTTATTTGCCAAGATGGAAGATAGATTAGGTGGTGGTCATCTCATTTGGGCGTTGAAACTTGTTTTCAAAACCTGTACCTGGTTTTGATTTCTACACAGGGATGCAACTGGCAGATGACATCTCAAGAGGTGGGTTTGTCATGGTGGTTATTATTGTACATGTGAGACTTTTAGCTTTTAAGGTTTTTGGTTTTTTTCGAGATAGAGTCTCGCTGTGTCACCCAGGCTGGAGTGCAGTGGTGCGACCTCGGCTCACTGCAACCTCCGCCTCCTGGGTTCAAGCAGTTTTTCTGCTTCAGCCTCTGAGTAGGTGGGATTACAGGCACATGCCACCATGCCCAGTTACTTATTTATTTATTTATTTATTTATTTATTTATTTATTTATTTTTTATTTTTAGTAGAGACGGAGTTTCACCATGTTGGCCAGGCTGGTCTCGAACTCCTGACCTCGTGAACCACACGGCTCAGCCTCCCAAAGTGCTGGGATTGCAGGTGTGAGCCACCATGCCCAGCCAGCTTTTAAGGTTTTGCCACACGCTAAACAAGGCATGGTGAGGACTCTTGGGTTTGAGATCCCAACAGCCTCAGAGATATCAGATGTAGGGCAAAGCGGGTATCTGCATCCCCCAAGTTCTTTCCTTCTCACTAAAGTGCTTGAAGTACTGGTCCTTTATGATACTTTCAGTTCTGGAGTACATGTGCAGAATGTGCAGGTTTGTTACATAGCTATACATGTGCCATGGTGGTTGCTGCACCCATCACCCCGTCATCTACATTAGATATTTCTCCTAAAGCTATACCCCCCAGCCCCCACCCCCCAACAGGCCCCAGTGTGTGATGTTCCCCTCCCTGTGTCCATGTATTCTCATTGTTCACCTCCCACTTATGAGAACATGTGGCGTTTGATTTTCTGTTCTTGTGTTAGTTTGATGAGAATGATGGTTTCCACCTTCATCCATGTCCCTGCAAAGGACATGATCTCATGTTTTTTTATGGCTGCATAGTATTCCATGGTGTATATGTGCCACATTTTCTTTATTCAGTCTTTATCATTGATGGGCATTTGGGTTGGTTCCAAGTCTTTTTTATTGTGAACAGTGCCACAGTAATCATACGTGTGCATGTATCTTTATAGTAGCATGATTTATAATCCTTTGGGTATATATCCAGTAATGGGATTGCTGGGTCTAATGGTATTTCTAGTTCTATATCCTTGAGGAATCGCCACACTGTCTTCCACAATGGTTGAACTAATTTACACTCCTACCAACAGTGTAAAAGTGTTCCTATTTCTCCACATCCTCTCCAGCATCTGTTGTTTTCTGACTTTTTAATGATCTCCATTCTGACTGCCATGAGATGTTATCTCATTGTGGTTTTGATTTGCATTTCTCTAATGACCAGTGATAAAGAGCATTTATTCATATGTTTGTTGGCTGCATAAATGTCTTCTCTTGAGAAGTGTCTGTTCATATCCTTTGCCCACTTTTTGATGGGGTTGTTTTTTTCTTGTAAATTTGTTTAATGTATTTGTAGATTCTGGATATTAGCCCTTTGTCAGATGAATAGATGGTAAAAATTTTGTCCCATTCTGTAGGTTGCTGAAACAGGCAGTTTTTTGAGTGCTTGCCACACACCAACCATTGTGCAAAGTACCTACCATGCATTATCTTGCTAAATTAGTATAGGATTAGTAATAAATTCTATGAGCTATGTTCTATTTTTATCCTCATTTTATAGATAAGAAAACTGAGACCCAGGTATTTGATTAATTTCACACAGCTGATAAAGAGAGGATGTGGATTCTCTAAGTCCAGAATTGAGGCCGTCAGTCACTGGATCGTACTGACATGATATTCATTCATATACCCCTGTCTTCCAAATGCATAGATGTACAATAGCTGTCAGGATTGTATCTCCCTGGGTCTCGTTTCTTATCAAAATTGCACATTTGCTGGCAAGAAGAGAGTGGCACATTGATCTCAAACTGTGAAATAAATCCATACGCCTTCAGAGAGGTTCTTCGAATGTATGGTCAAGCATTGCAAAAGCCGCTGTGTGTTTGGAAGAAAGGTGAAACTGGAAGGTCTTTGGCTCAGGGTGCCATTAGGAGTGGTGTCGGTGGCAGCTGTGGGCCATCATGGTACACATCCTGCGTCAACTCCAGGCCTCCCCACAATCCCATGAACAGCAAAGCCCCTCATCTTTTGAATGCTGGAGAAAGCTCCGTACGTGTAGGGCTTCGCCATCAGTTTAAAACGTCTCTGGAATTCTTTGATTATTTTAATGTGCTAATTTCTTGAGCTTTGTTTTTGTGCTGTCTTTGATTTTCCACTTTCGCCTTTATTTTACGCCATTGTTGGAAGGGTCAAAGCATCCCAGAGCTTAATGGCTCTCTTGTTCAGCTATTGTGGGGGGAAAAAGAGCAAAGCAAACAAAACAAAACAAAATATCCTTTTTTTTGTTTTGCTTTTTTTTTAATTTAAAGGCATCCAAAAAATTGTTTCTTTTGCCTTTGATCAAGATCATATAAACATAATCAGTGTTTATTGTGTTTGCATAATCGAAAATAGCAGGAAACTGATCTCAGATTGCATGGAGCTAGAAAAGATTAAGCCTTTCCTTCTTGGCAGAGTTCTACAGACACACAAGGTTGGTGTGATGGATGCAGCACTCGGTATCCATGATGTGTTCGGGAAAATCCTCAGAAGAAACTTGCATTGCTTTCTGGGGAAATTCCTGAATACAAGTGGCAATGAGATGCATGAAAATTATTTTCAGCTGATGAATACTGTCTGAACATAACTATTGCTGGGGTGTATAATTTAAAATCTGTAGAGTGAAGTGTGCAATATATGGGCTTTGGGATACAACAAATATGGATTTAAATTCTACTCCTCCTTTTTATCATCTCTCTGCCCGGGATAACTTGTTTCATCCCCTTCCCTGAGCTTAAGCCCCCTCAACTGTAAAAGAAAGATAACAACCCTTACCTCATATGGTTCTAGGGAGGACAACATGAGATAATACACATCCAGGCAGTCCCCAACTTAAAAGTGGTTTCACTTACTTTTTTTTTTTTTTTTTTTTTTTTTGACATTATGAATGACGTGAAACCTTTCTGTTTTTTCACATTTGGTATGGTATTCAATGAATTCCACGAGATATTCAATACTATTATAAAATTAGCTTTGTGTTAGATGAGTTTGTCCAAATGTAGGCTAATATAAGTGTTTTGAGCTTCTTTAAGGTAGAGAAGACAAAGCTATGATGTTCAGTAGGTTAGGTGTATGGAATGCAATTTTGATAGAATATTTTCAACTCACGATGAGTTTATAGGGACATAACCATATCATAAGTCAAGGAAAGCATGTACGCAGAGCTTAATAGAGTGCCTAATACAGAGTAAGTGCTTAAAACATTTTTTTAAAGTGTGATACAAGTTCTTTGGAGAGCCTGAATGAATTGGGGGTATGGCCATATGTAATATGTTCAGTGCAGCACCATTCTTTAATAAATTACAAGTTGGTCTATTTCTTTGTTCCTTTTTATTTTTATTTTTATTTTTGGAGGCAGAGTCTCACTGTGTCACCCAGGCTGGAATGCAGTGGTGTGATCACAGCTCATGGCAGCTTTGATCTCTCCAGGCTTAGATGATCCTGTACCTCAGCCTCCTGAATAGCTGGCAGCACAGGTGTGTGTCACCACGCCCAGCTAATTTTAGTATTTTTGGTAGAGACGAGGTCTTGCCATGTAGCCCAGGCTGGTCTTAAACCCCTGGGCTCAGGTAGTCCTCCCACCTCAGCCTCCCAAAGCACTTGGATTACAGGCATGAGCCACAGTGCCCAGCCAGATGTAACTATTTAATGAAATGTTGATTGGGGTGTGCTTGCTTCCCCTGAAGCCTGATTCTTGATCTTTGTTCTGGACTCCAGGACCAAAGATATCATTGCTTAATCTTGCGAACAACTCTGGAAGATCCTTACAGAATGACTTGCTTTAGCCAAATCCTATGGTAAGGCAAAACACTACCTAAAAACAATAATAAGCATAATTGTCATCCAGATATGTTGGGACCCTACAGAGAAATTCAGAAGACAATCTGGCTGGAGTTTACAGTATGTACAACAGCAGTCTTGGTTAGGCCATGGTATTATAATTCAGCAACAACACCAATAATAATATTGGTGGTTAAAATTTCTTGAGTATATAGAATGTTCCTTCTAGTATGCTTAAGGCTTGATATGCATACAATCTTTATGGCACCCTGCAAAATCCATGAGTCCACTGCTGTTTTCCAAATAAGAAGATGGGGGTTGTAGTAGTCCATTCTCATACTGTTATAAAGAGATACCTGAGTCTGGGTAATTTATAAAGGAAAGAGGTTTAATTGGCTCACAGTTCTGTGGGTTGTACAGGCTCTGCTTCTGGGGAGGCCTCAGGAAACTTATAATCATGGCAGAAGGTGAAAACGAAGCAAGCACATCCTCACATGGCCAGCAGGAGAGAGGAAGACAGAAAAACAGAGCGAGAAGGGAGAGGGGCTACATACTTTCAAACAAACAGCTCTTGTGAAAACTCTATCAAAAGAACAGCAAGGGGGATGTTTGCTCCCATTATTCTGTCATCTCGCACCAGACCCCTCCTCCAACACTGAGAACTACAGCTGGACATGAGATTTGGGGAGGGACACACAGCCAAACCATATCAGGGGTCTAGAAAGGTAAACCAATTTTCCCATAACAATAGAGAGAATACATTATAATAAGTAGGACTTGATCCAAATCTGAGAGACACCCAAACTCATGTTCTTAACTATGAGATTTCGATACTTGGAGTCAGAAGACTTGGGTTTAAGTTTCAGTTGCAGGGACCTTACTCACATCTTCTAACCTCTCAAAGCCTTGCCATATCATCTGTTCAAAAGAATACCTTCTTCACAAAATTGTAAAGACTGAATGAGAAAATGCACCTAAAGCATCTTTGCACATCGCAGAGATTATGCAAGTATAAGGTGCTATATTTCGCATTAACACCTGAGCATAGATCATTTTCGGATTGTGTGAGGGATGGTGAATTTATAAATTTGGTGATTTTTGATGAAAAGAATCAATATGCTGTCTCTTTACAGAGGAATTAGTGGTTATAAGAACTGACAATGCATTTAGAGATTTGTTTTTTTCAATAGGACAGAAAGAGACTATTTTCTTTCCATTTATAAGAATATGAATGTGCTTAAGGGAGGACAGATTCCAACAATCGAGTTGTTTGCTGTGATTTGTACGCCCTGGGGATATGGAGAGTTGGGAATGTAGAAAAATTACAATTATGGAATAAAAAAAGATCCAGGGAGAAGGATTTTTTTTACTGCCTGTTTTGCTTGTGTGGCTTGGAACAGGGAGTTTCCTGGAGGGTGTGGGGTCTTCCTTGCTGACCCTCGTGCTTTTTGGAGGCTCATTGGTAAGCCTTGTTGTGCCTGTTCCTTCTGCTCCTAGTCCTTAAGAACATAGCTCTTATCCTTAACTGACCTTTTGCACTGAATATGTGACAGTTAATCCACTGGAAGGTTTTAGATAGGCAGCATGTCCAGACACTGCCCCCTGCACGTGACTGGCCCCACCTCCGTCCCACCTTGGTGTTAATCCCATGGGGTGGATTTTCTAGGCCAGTCTCTTTTTAGAATAGCATTTGCTGATGTCCCTCTAAGAGAGTTTTTGGGCATGTGCCCTGGTTTGTAAAAGAAGGGCCCTCATGGAGGTAGAGGAAAGAAGTTTCGCGTCCCAAGATCTCCAAGGATACCAATTATAGGGGTAGCTGGGTACCTGCCTCCCTCTGCTCTTCGTTTCTCACCGCAAGAGCTCTGCTATGATTTTCTCCACATCTGGACTTCTTTCCTCCCTTTCTTGCATAGCTAACACCCATGTGTGCTTTTGGACCAGTTTCCTTGTCCCGTTCACAAAATTAAAACTTCCTTGACCTCACTGACTTGGTTAAGTACCTTTACTGTATCACTTTATAACTTCAGTACCTTCATTTGTAGCTTGCATCATCATTTCAGTTTTACAACTTTTTATGTAATGATTTGGTTTATGATACTCTTCCCCCAAAAGACTGTAAAGGCCATGCAGATGAGGACCAAATGTGTTTTTTCTTCCTACGCATCCTCAGCATATGTGCCTTTTATACAGTAGGCTTTTAACAGTGACTAAAAGGAAGAGTGAGTCGGTGGATGGATGGAGAAATGAATGAATGAATGAATGGGTTACACAACCAGCCTGTCCAGACACTGATTCTTTTACGTAGGCTGAGATTCCTGAGGTAAGGGACAAGGATATCAACTTGCGTTAGTTTACCTTATGCACTCCATCGCAGCCTAAACTGTCACTGATTACTTGCTGCCCTTAGAATACAAGCTCTCTCTGTCTTCCTTCCCCTCCTGCCTTTTGCAATCTCATTTCATGCTTTGCTCATTTGCCACCACAATACTTAAGCCAGGCCAGAATTATTTTCAGTGTTTGAAAGTTGCACACCCACTTCTCCCTTGCAGATTCTGTACACGCTTTTCCTCCATCAAAAATGTTTTATTCTGCCTCTTCAAACATTGCATTTTCATAATCATTTTCAGACCTCTGCCTACATGTCCCTTTTTCATGGAAGCCCTCCCTCCCTGAATCCTCTAGGTTGGACAACTTTCCCCTGTAGTCCCCTTGTATAGCACCTTGCATTTCCCTCCAGATCACGTCCCAAAATTATAATGAATATATGTTTGCATTTGGACAATGGCCTGTTTCCTCCACTCAGGAGTAATAGCTACTTGAGGAAATGCCTTGGTCATCAAAAAGTGTCTGGCTCCTAGTAGGTACTCCACAAGCAGTTATCAAATAAAATTGTAAAACCCAGGCACTCTTTATGGTCCTACCAAAACCAGTGACTTGAATGGGAGATATTTAGGGTCAAGGAAGAAAGAAGGCAGGCATGTTCATATTTATTTACCTCCTGTGGGTTTGTGATGGCCCCTCCTTCTTCTTGGGCTAGAGTCAGAGCCACTTTCTCCTAATCCCCTATAGGTTAAGCTGAGTAGGTGATAAAGCCCAAGTCATAGTAGCATAAGCACAAGGAATTCTGATTATGTTAAGAAACTGAAAACTTCAGGAGTGGTTTTGGCTATTGGTCATTGCTGAATCTAAGGGTTTGCATAATTACTGTAGGGATGTCCTCAGTCCGTGGATTGTTTTGACTCTCTTTGGTGTCTTGGTTTTTTGTTGTTTTGGTTTGGTTTGGTTTGTTTGTTTGTTTGTTTGTTTGTTTGTTTGTTTTGAGACAGAGTCTTGCTGTGTCCCCCAAGCTGGAGTGCAGTGGCATGATCTCGGCTCACTGCAACCTCCGCCTCCCAGGTTCCAGTGATTTTCCTGCTTCAGCCTCCCGTATAGCTGGGACTACAGGCCCATGCCACCACACCTGGCTAATTTTTGCATTTCTAGTAGAGACAGGGTTTCACCATGTTGGCCAGGCTGGTCTGGAACTCCTGACCTCAGGTGATCTGCCTGCCTCAGCCTCCTAAAGTGGTGGGATTACAGGTGTGAGCCACCGCACCCCACCTGGTGTCTTGATTTTTATTGCTCCTTGCATATAGTCAATGGTTCTGAGATCTGACAGGAAATGCCTGATGGAAGAGCTATGGCCCATGCAGGATCTCACTTCAGACCTTAATCCTTAAGTTTGTGTCTGGGAAGATGGGGTACTTGATTGGCAAGATGCTCGTCACTTCTTGCTCACCTCTGGATGTCAATCCACAAGTTTTCTTTGGTATCTTCACTGTATGAAAAACCCAACTATAATATTACACTCAAGTACACACTTATAGGAGCACACTTTTTATATAGTTTCTATATAATTTTCCTACCCCATCTGTCTTAGGTCAGATTTCCTAGGGATAATGCCATGCCTGAGATGGGTGCAAGTGGTGAATTGAAGGAATGCTCTCTGGACAATGCTATAGGGGGTGGTGGTAATGAATCAGGATAAGGCAGAGGAAGGTATGGTTTCAGGGGGAAACATAGCCTCAGCCTGATCTTGTAAGAAGATCTGGATTATTCATTGTGCCAAGGATTATTTCACTGAGTCTTATCCCCACCCCGTTTCATCCATCTGTCTTTGGCCACAAGGTGTCCCCCAGGAAGGGGTGGTAGCCGCCTTACCCCTTACCTCCACCTTTACTCCAGGCATCTCTGGCTAAGGTGAATCATGCCAGCCAAGTCCAAACATTCAGAGAAGAATTCAGGTTGTCAGCAGTTAGCTGCAAACACCCACGTCAGCAGGAAGATGGTTCATCAAGCTAGGGAGGATGGCTGAGGCACCAGCTTTAAGGAGTCATAGAATGGCCTGGTGTGGTGGCTCACACCTGTAATCCTAGCCCTTTGGGAGTCCAAGGTGGGCAGATCACCTGAGGTCAGGAGTTGGAGACCATCCTGGCCACAATGGTGAAACCCCATCTCTACGAAAAATACCAAAATTAGCCGGGTGTCCTGGTGCGTGCCTGTAATCCTAGCTACTCTGGAGGCTGAGGCAGGAGAATTGCTTGAACCCAGGAGGCAGAGGTTGTAGTGAGCCAAGATCGTGCTACTGCACTCTAGCCTGGGCAACAGAGCAAGACTCCGCATCAAAAAAAAAAAAAAAAAAAAAAAAAAAAAGAGAGAAAGAAATAAAAAATAGTCATAGAATGAGAAAAAAATCTGAAATTAGAGGGATTGCTGTATAAATAATGACCTCTGCTTGTATTTTCTGAGTAGTTCCAATTTTACCCAGTCCCTTCTGTCTCCTTAGTCTTCAGCCTGAATCTCTTGCTTACCTCCCCTAATGGCCATATGGGGAACAGGATTTTATTAAGGAAACCTCGAAAGGGTTGACACAAGAGTCAAACCCCCACACCTTTAGATGCATAGGCAGTGAAACCAACCTGTACTTCCCATCTTCTTGCGTTTCCATTTATCCATTCCTCTTGGGGTCCAGGGTCATAGCCTCTCTACTGTACCTCCAACGGGTGCCACTACAGTGTCTGGATTCTCGATCACCACCTCCCTTTTCAGTTTACTGATCAGGCAGTTTCGGAGACCACGCCAGGGTTTCATGTGCCCCGGTTGAGGCATGAATAACAGCAGTTTGAATTCTCCTTTGTAATTCTCATCCAGGCAAGTCACTCTTTTTTCCTGGTATAAATGATCAGATCGCTGCTGCAGACTCATCCAGGATTCCTCTGCCTTATTGTTTTTCAATCCGTCTACTTCCACGATCCTCTCTTCCCACCCTCCTTGCCGTCCCCTGCAGCCTTCATGTCTGTGCATACATAAATAAGGCTGTTATGCACGCATGTGAGAATATATACCCATCATGGTACTGTGTGAGCCTGTGTACGTGCTGAGGAAATGTAATGGGCTGTGGTTGTGTGTTTGTAGGTGTATAATAAGTTTGCCGCAGACTAGGGGGATAAATAGAGCCATTTGTTGATTCAAACCAATTTTTTTTTCTCTTGAGTTAGTATCCAATCTGTAGCTAAGAACTGCTGACTACAGCATATTTCCAAGTGTGGATTTTTTTTTTTTTTCCCTGACAGCCAAGACCTAACTCTTGCCTGATCTATGTAGATGCATTGTTCAAATTACAAAGCTTAGGTGACAGAATTGCTCTTTTTACTGGGAGCCCCCAACACACCTGTCATCAGATAGAAGGGAGAATGCAGAAGTCATCACTTTACTTAGAAACTCAGCAGATGATTGAAATTATTTCTTACTACTAATTCCCCTTTTAGTGGAGATAAGCCGCTTTGTTCAGCTGTAAATGAAACATTAGGGTATTAACTGTGGAGCCAGAAGTATTGGGGAAGCTAAGATTTTATCTGCAGTAAGAACATTTTGGGCAATAAATTGTTTTGTTGGACGGAATACTAAATCTCTTGAGTTACAAAGAAGCAGAGCTCATTAAGGGGAATGCTTAAAGCAGAAAACAAGGCGAGACAAAAGCTTATTACCTTTGTTGTGGGGATTGAGGGGGTGTTTGCAGGTTCTCATGTATATGTAGCATGGAAGACTTATGCAGTACAGTTATTAAATAGATGTGTCTATAGACTTGCAAATGCTCTATGAATATGTCCAAGGGACAAATACATTTCTGAAATATCAATAGCAATCTGCAATAAGTTATGAATTTTGGCGTACATATTTACCCTCAAAGACTAGATTTTTGTTTCCTGCGGGTGAAATTTTCCCGTCTCTTTGCCACATCCTTCAGATTAATTGACTGGCATGGTTACATAAATGTTTGTAATAGAGAAGAGTAAGTGCCAGGGTTATCCAAAATATTGTCGCAAAATACACACCTAAATTAAGATAATTATGTGTTGGGAGCATCTATCGGCAGGGCTTGGCAAGGAGGGGAGCTTTCTCTTGATGGAGAGGAGGCTCTTTCTGGGACACTGAATTCATGAATGGTGGGTTCTGGATTCCCCAGGGTGCTCTCAGCTTGTAAGTGTCAGGGGAGGGGATTGAGGGCTGTTCTTTTGCCAATAACCAGGGCGGAAGGAGGACGAGAGGAAGAAGACAGTGCCTTCTTTTCCCTGGAGTTAGCAACCCTCTGCTGTGTCTCCAAGAGCAAGGCTGTGGCAGTACAACTGTCTACCTGTCTACACCGGCTGCTCCTTCTTGCCTTTGGACAGAAGATGACACTCACAAACTGTGGCCCCTGAGCAACAGTGTAAACGGGCATACCTCAGTTACAAGCGGATTCAAATGTAATGAGAACAATTTCAGAGCTATGCATTTTATTCTTCTGTTTTTCTCCCTGGATGACTCAGGGCATCTTTTCACAGACTCCCACCCTGAAGGTTTTTATTGCCATTTCTGCGCTTCCCTACACGTCCTGATTCATAAGTGGATGCTCAGGACACAGTCACTCAGAGTAGCTTAATACTCTGCGGACCTCACGTGCTGAGTTCTCATTCTGGACTTAACGTTACTTTAAGCTCAGTTTGTACCTTTCCTTGGTTCTGTCAATGGAAATAAGGACAACACTTCTCAAAACACAGCAGGTGGGCTGAGAGTGGTGACTTACACCTGTAATCCCAGCACTTTG
This sequence comes from Homo sapiens, assembly GCF_000001405.40. Classification (NCBI taxonomy): domain Eukaryota; kingdom Metazoa; phylum Chordata; class Mammalia; order Primates; family Hominidae; genus Homo; species Homo sapiens. Next base: position 7,396,699 of record NC_000016.10, read on the forward strand.
GGAGGCTGAGGTGGGTGGATCACTTGAGGTCAGAAGTTCAAGAACAGCCTTGCCAACACTATGAAACTGCATCTCTACTAAAAATACAATCAATTAGCCAGGTTTGGTGGTGTGCTCCTGTAATCCCAGCTACTCTGGAGGCTGAGGCATGGGAATCACTTAAACCCAGGAGACAGAGGTTGCAGTGAGCCTAGAAGATGCCACTGCACTCCGGCCTGGGCTATAGGGTGAGACTGTCAAAAAGAAAAATAAAAGAAAAAAAGAAACATAGCAGGAAGGTAGCAGTGGACAAATGAAGTATTGGAAACACATAGCCTACACATTCATGTGAGCTTTAGGAGAACGTGAGGTCTAACTTGCTTAAAGAAAACTTAGCACATGAAAAATGAAAACTATTTTTTTCAGTGCATGAGTGATCATGATCTCTTTAATTAAAAGTGCACTGAATTGTAAGATCTTTTACCAAAATGTTACCATCTTTATCTTCTATCTCTGGTGCTGAGTGTAGTAACAGGAAGAGATTTCGAAGTGAAGACTTTAGTAAGATAGAATTGTGTGTATTGTGTTTAAATCTGGGGTGTATTTAAAATGTAATTGAAATCACAAGATATTTAACATGCTATTCACTTTGCAAGTGACTTTTCAGGACCACTTATCTGCAGACTGTAGGACACCAGTCTATGAACGTTGGCTTATAGGAGCACCAGGTCTCCAGTTGAGTTAATTCCTCATACTTGTCACATAGGGGGCATACTAAGTCTTCCTGAGATGAGTAGAAACATAGATCCACATAAAAATGAAAAGAACCCACTGGTGACAGAGGGTCTCAGAGCCTCCAGTTTTTTTCTGAACTTTGAAAGTCAGTACCAAAGAGTCAGAACTGAATGGAAGGACACTAAAATCAATACTTTTCAATGTAACATCACAAGCGTTGGGACTCTGAAGAACTTGATGACACATGATTCAGAAGCAAAGTGATATTTACATAGGAAGACTGTCCTCGCCCTCTGGAATGATTTTGACATGTGTATTCACTCTTAGTTTTGGCTCTTAGAGTTTAAGTAATAGATTTACGGTGGTATGAACACAGGTGTTAAAGAGTTCTGGGTTCAAGTCTTGTCCACGTCCCAAGCTGTGGAACTCTGAATAAACCTCTTAGTCTATTGGAACCTTAGTTTTCTCATCTGTAAAACAGATGAAACTACCTGATTTTTTAGGCCCTACTTGGCTCTTAAATTTCTCGGCTCAGTGAACAATGCAAGCTTTATGTTATAAACCACCAAGACATCTAAGCTTCTTCCCTTACGGCCGTTAGTGGATTAAGCGATATCCTCAGAGCAACTGTTTGGTGATTTAACCTCCCCCAGTTGCTCTATTTCCTGGGTTGTTCATGAGTAATTGATAAAGAATTTGCAACACTAGGATTCCACATGGAAGAAGGAAATGCCTCTTTTGGACCCATTTCAAACAAGCATTGGTAGGAGATGCCTCAGACGCTTATGCTTAAAGCATCAGTATCATTGCCTGACAGCTTATCACAGTGGCAGGAGCATAGGGTTGAATCTTATGTTTTTCTTTCCCTCTGGGTGACACTTACAGGATGCTTAAGTTTGCTGGACCTCACTTTCTTCATCTGTAAGATGGGGACAGAGAACTATCTCAGTGTTACAGAAAATTTGAAGATGAGGCTGAAGATGTAAGATTTTGTTAATGTCTACAGTGTTAAAGAATCTCAATATATGGTGGCTATGATTATTGCTATTCTTATATTAACTTGGTGATAGGCATCAGTGGTTGAATTATCTGGAGAACCCAGAAAACAGAACAGATCTTGCAAATTCAGTCGCTTACCCAGATGTTAGTTGTTTGATCCCCAGTGTGACAAATGCCACCTTCAATCTCTCTAACATTTCTAGGCAAGAAATTATTCTCTCAGGAGACTGCCAGAGAGGCAATTTTGAGCTTGAAACTTATTGATGTGATGGGCTATGACCAGGCAACTTCCGTAGTCGGGGCATGTGCTGAGTCTGACTACAGTCTGACTACAAATCCCAGCTCTAGCCCCATGTGGCTGGGGGCCAGCTATTTTCATTGTGGGGTTAGACTCCCTGGAGGGAATAATTCTGAGATGACCCTTTTAAAATGTAATCCTTGTACTAAAGTGGGGCTAGAGGGTTCCCTATTCATTCATACGGCTACTGTAACAAATGCCCACAAACTTGGTAGCTTTATAACAATAGAAATTTACTCTCTTCCAATTGGGAGGCAAAAAGTTTGATGTCAAGGTGTCAACGGAAATAGTAGACACTAGGAACTACTTGGGGCAAGTGTTGAGTGACTGTTGGGTACTCTGCTCACTTTGTACCTCAAACCTCAGCATCACGTAATATACTCATGTAACAAAGCTGCACTTGTACCCCCGAATCCAACATGAAAGTTGAAATTATATTTTTAAAAAGCAATGTCGGGCCAGGTGCGGTAGCTCACGCCTGTTATCCCAACATTTTGGGAGGCCGAAGCAGGTGGATTACCTGAGGTCAGTAGTTTGAGACCAGCTTGACCAACACGGAGAAACCCCATCTCTACTAAAAATACAAAATTAGCCAAGTGCGATGGCGCATGCCTGTAATCGCAGCTACGTGGGAGGCTGAAGCAGGAGAATTGCTTTAACCTGGGAGGCAGAGGTTGCAGTGAGCCGGGATCAGACTGTTGCACTCCAGCCTGGGTAACAAGAGCAGAACTCTGTCTCAAATAAATAAATAAATGAATAAATAAATAAAAATAAAAATGCAATGTCAGCAGATTGGCTCCTTATGGAGACTTTGGATACTTTGAGGGAAAATCCATACCCTGGCTCTCTTTTAGCCTCTGGTGGTGTCTGTCAATACCTGACATTTCTGGGCTTGTAGATGCATCTCGTCCATTTCTGCCTCCATCTTCATATGGCATTCCCCTCTATGTCTTCTGTTCTGTGTGTCTTCTAAGAATTTGTCGATGGATTTAGGGCTCACTTAAGTTTAAGATGACCCCATATCAAGATCTTTTAACTTGATTACATCTGCAAAGACCCTCTTCCCAAATAAGGTCATAGTCACAGGCACGAGGGGTTAAGACTTAGACATACCTGTTGTGGGGACAAAATTCAATCTACTGCCATTTTATTGTGAACTATCCTTGCATGGAGAAACAGTTCATTTTAACTTAGAATATTCAACAACACAAAGCTAACACTTTTCTGTGGGCGATGACTATGTACCAGGCATTGTGCTAATTGATAAAGGGCATTATATTTTAAAGTTTTATCTTAACAATTATATGAGGTAGGGATTATGGCCTTCTCTGATTTATTGATGAGAAAATTGACCCTCAGGAGGGGAAGACCATTTTTCTTAGTCACCCAACTAAGAAAGTGGCACAGTTGGTATCCTAATCCGGAATTTTCTGATTCTGCCATTTATGCTTTGAACAATTATGCTAGAAGTTCTCAAATTTTGTCATGCATAAGAATCTCCTGGGGTTGTTAAAATTGCACCTTCCCCAAAGCTCCCATCTCTACAGAGATTCCGATTCTGTAGGTAGAGGGGAGGGGCAAGGATAGGCATTAAAAATAACTGCATTATGCAATTCTGCCCCCTCTCTCCTCCCACTGAACCCATCTTTAAGGAAACTGCAACCTCAGCACAGGGGCTAGCAGACATATTCAGATCATCTCTGAAGACAGAAATCCTCAAAAGTGAAAAAACACAAGAAAGTCCAGGTTGCTTTTTTTTAATTTAAATTTATAGTGAAAGCTACCTTGGCCCACAGCTTTCTCCCTCCTGGTCCCTTACAAATATATTCCTTTCCGGATTCTTCAAGAACACAGTTTGTATTACCATCTCCCAGCAAGAAGAAATTTGGAAATAGGTGGTATTGCTCCTAACCCCTTCCTAAATTTGAGTCTGCTCATTCTTCAGCCATTTGGAGGTTTTCCACTTGGATGATGTCCACAGAGCTAGGGGAGGAAAAATTCTTCTGCAAAGCACAGTGGATGAACCATCAGTCTGCAGTAATCCAGTCAATTAAAAATGGATTTCAGTTCCCAGCAGCATGGTGGTGATGTTAGGAGGAGTCAGTGTCCACAATGCTGTTGGTGCGCTTGCCCATTAAGTGATATTTAGGGGATCTTCTGCCATAGCAGAAAACAGTGCGGTTGATGATCTTTGCAACTAAAGAAGCAAAATTGAAGTCTCACATACCACCACGGTATTTTATTTCTAATATGTTACCCTGCCAACCTTGGAACCCCGCATGAAACTCAGGAATGTGAAGGGACAGAAGTATGATATATTGCCCGATGCAGCTGATTCGAGAGGGGGTATCCAAAATACAGTCCCAAGACATCCAGGAGAATTTGCCTGAAGAGAGGGAACATGTAATGGTATTAGAAAATCCAGAAGATCTAAGCTGCCTGATGAAGCTATTTTTTAAAAAATGTATCTTCATTGCATTTATTTTTCATCACACAGTAGTTGGCGTAAAACCATTCTCTCTGTGAAAGAAGTCAAACTACAAATAACTATGCAAAAATATATAGAGAAAAAGGTGAAGCTTTTCATATTTTAAATAGCATCTGAATTACATTGCTTCTTTCAAGGAGGTAAACTTTGTTGAGTATTTAGCAGTTGTTCCAGACTTTTCTCTGATAAACTTTCAACTTCAACATAAAATAATGATAGGTGTTTTGGGAAGCCATAGATGGGATGGCTGTATGGATCGATAGCTAGATGGCTAAATATGTTGATAGACCCTCAAACAGATTAGGTAGGTAAAAAATAGAAAAATAAAAAGATAGAAAAATAGTTAACAATGCAAGCCTCTGGGCAGAAGAAATTTTTCCCTATGTTGTTTATGCTCTGTGTGATTCTGGCAATAGGTAAATGCATTGATTAGCTTCTTTGAACCCACTTTTCATTATCTATCAAGTAGAGGAAAACAGTGTCTTTGTTGCTTGCCTCCAGAATTGAGGATGACAGTGAGGTAATGAGGAAATGTATTTGAAAATATTATGGACTCAACAGACATATTGGCACAACTCAGGAGATGTCATAGGCCCAGCTTCTATAAGATGATATAACCTAGCACAGGAGGCCAAAAGAGTTTCCAAATTGCATAAAGGAAACTTGATTGTCCTTTAAAAATGGCTCTGGAGAAATTTTATACCCAGGCTCATGTCATCTCTCAGTGAGGTTAAATCTCCAAAAGAGGAATGTCATCTGTTAATAATACATCAAGCATGCAGCAGGTAGATGTTCTTTTCCTTCCCTTTAAAAAGTTATTTTTATTTTATTTTCATTTTTAATGTATATTTTAATGATGCAGAGTGTCATGTTCCTCAGAGTCAGACTGTATCCTAAAGTAATGGTTTGGTTAAAATATAGAATGGATTTTTGCCAAATTGAAAAATATATATATTGTGTTATAAAACTCGAGCTGTGATGAGCAACTCTTTGAAAATACATTTAAGTACTCACTGAGTCTTGTCTGAAGACTCACCTGTAAGGGAGGGTCAACTAAGTTATTCAGTCCCGGACGTTGTTAACTGCCCTGAAAGTGGTGGCTAATAATTTCCTTTTGAAGTGAAAAGTAGTAAGTATGTTCCTGAACTCCATTATCAATCTTTAATAATTTCAGATTAAGGCATTGTACTTCTATACAAAGGAATATCATCTTTGAAAAGTGGTCTTAAATAAAATTTCACAAATAATAGTATCCCATCCTCTTGCATTTGAGAATTTCTGCCGAGAGATAGGAGAAAATAAAGACTCCTTGCTGCTGTCAGGAGGTCATCGTTGGGAACAGACTTCAAAGTATGTGAACTTTGGTAGTGGAAAGATGATTATTCCTTGGTTTCCAGATCCTTATGCATAATTTGAATATGAGTGGCTTTCAATGCTAAGTATATGAGACTCCCCTCTGTTAATTATGCTGTTTCAGATGAGCCTAATTGGACAGCCACTGGCACCTAATATGGTAAATATTTCATATAACGTGACTTTGAGAAGAAGGGTGCCCCCCTCCTTAATCCCATTTGATAGGATGGTGTAACCTCAACAGCAGGGATAGCTTAACTCTAGAAAGAGTTGTTATTTATCTGAGGGCACCTGTAAGGGGGACATCACCTAACTCATTCAGTCCTAGACATTGATGCCTAAAGTATAAACTGTGGTCTATAGATGTAGGAAGGCTTGGAGGCAATTCTAGAAACACTGCAGAAAATTTGCAGTTTCTCCTCCAATCTGATCTTGAAGGAGGAGGTGAACCTGGAACTCCCCGTTCACGATGCAGTTGTGGAATAAAATGAGGCTTGATTTCTCCTGGATTATCTGACCACTTCTTTTTATTTTCCCCCGGCTCTATGGGGGTACAATTAACAAATATAAATTATGTACATTTAAGGTATACCATTTGATATTTTGATATATGTATACATTATGCAGTGACCACCACTCTGAATCCAGTGAAGGTATCTATCAGCTCAGAGTTCCGTTTTTTGGTGAGATCACTTAGAATCTAGTCTCTCAGCAAACTTCAAGTATACAATACAGTATCATTAATTGTAGTCACCGTGCTATACATTAGACGTCTAGAATTCAGTCATCTTGGATAACTGAAATTTTGTATTCTTTGACTAACATCTCCCCATTCCCTGCTCCCTTCAGCCTCTGGCAACCACTCTTCTCCTGTCTGTCTATTCCTACGAATTTGAGTGTTTTAGATCCTGCATGTAAGTGAGATCTTACAGCGTTTGTCTTTCTGTGTCTGGTTTATTTTCTCTAGCATAATGTCCTCCAGGTTCACCCATATTATTGCAAATGAGAGAATCCCCCCCCCCCCACTTTTTTTTTGCCCAGTCTGGAGTGCAATGGCACAATCTCAGGTCAGGGCAACCTCCGCCTCCCAAGTTCAAGTGATTCTCCTGCCTCAGCCTCCTGAATAGCTGGGATTACAGGCACCTGCCACTACTCCATGTGAATTTTGTATTTTTAGTAGAGACAGGGTTTCACCATGTTGGCCAGGTTGGTCTCGAACTCCTGACCTCAGGTGAACCACACACCTCAGCCTCCCAAAGTGCTGGGATTATAGGCGTGAGCCACCATGCCGGGGCTCCTTGTTTTCTTAATAGATGAATAATATTCTAGTACGTACATAAATTTTAATTAAATATTATTCTTTTATATATATATATAACCTTTTTAATTCATTCATTTGTTAATGGGTGCTTAAGTTGTTTTTATTATTGTGAATATGCCGCAGTGAACATGGGAGTGCATATCCTGATTTCATTTCCTTTTATTTTATTTTATTTTATTTTATTTTATTTTATTTTATTGAGACGGAGTCTCACTCTGTCACCCAGGCTAGAGTGCAGTGACTCATTCTCGGCTCACTGCTACCTCCACCTCCCAGGTTCAAGCGATTCTCCTGCCTCAGCCTCCTGAGTAGCTGTGATTACACGTGTGAGACCCCATACTTGGCTAAGTTTTGTATTTTTAGTACAGACGGGGTTTCACCATGTTAGTCAGGCTGGTCTCTAACTCCTGACCTCAGGTGATCTGCCTGCCTCAGCCTCCCAAAGTGCTGGGATTCCAGGCATAAGCCACCGTGCCCAGCCGACATAGGAATTTATTTAGTGTCACCTTGTAGGTCACTGACCTATCAGGGACAGGCCTCCAAGCTTCTGACATCCAGTGATAGCTTCTTAGAGGTGAATGATGACGGCTCCTGTTAACATTTTCTGGCAGGCACTGCGTGAAGCACTTGGCATAAATGACCTCCATAGATAGGTGCTATTATCATTTCTGCTTCACAGTTCAAAAAGTAAAGGCTTAAAGAATGTAAATAATTTACACCTGAGTGACCAGTACCTACACCTCAGAAGAGACCCTGTCTCTCAGTCATGCTGTGCTGCCAGCGTTGGAAATAGGTAGCAAGTCTGTGGATATTAAAAGAATGCTTTTTCAGAAAAAACAAACAAACAAACAAACAAAACCGAATGCACTTTTTAATTATCTGATTCCTTGTTGTCACGTCTTTATCAGGTAGAATGCACAATAGGTTATCATTCCCTTTTCACTGACGCAGAAACAGATGTGGGCTCTCCTGGAATGTGTTATGAATTGGGTGAGGGGTGCCGTTCAGGATGGCGTTCCTGGGTCAATGGATTTTATTTCCAGTGAGTAGATATGTGGGCGTAGGTCCTCGTTTCTCATGTCTACTCCCTCTAGTAGAGATGATTTTACTCCACAGCAGGAAAGATGCCTGCTACACCACAAAGGGTATTATTTCGGTTACGGTAATAACGCATAAGGGTGTGTTTTCAAAGCTGGGCAGTGCATGCTTGCCAGGTTGCAGGGTGATTCTTGAGAGCTTTCTGGGCCCATCCTAGAGAAAAATCTCCAGTGAGGCTGCAGTTGCAATTTATTTCCTCATTCTAGCAAGAAAGCTCTTGACGATACAGCAGTGTTTGTTTTCTGCTTGGTAAAGTAGAAAGGAAAACAGCAGAAATTAGCACGGCGCAGCGCTGATGCCAGCCCAGAGGCAGGGCCTCTCCTGGTAGCCCCCCCGCTGCAAACCTTTGCCGCTGGAAAGCCTTCAGCTGCGATGAGATTAGCAGATGCAGCAGTTCACTCCAAGGCGCTGTGCAGTTTTTTCCCTGTTCCACCAGGTGTTGCCAGAGAACATTGAGCGGAGCTGAGCTCCGGGCGAAGTGTGTTCCCAGCTGCTCTGGAACACTCGGGCTGTTCTGAAGGCAGCAATTAAATGAGTTATGCTGACCGGAGCAACCCTCTTCCTTGCACGTTTAAATATGCCTCCCGTGTGCGCCTCATGCCTCACATTTCAAATAAACACATTTTTGATGTGCCTTTGGATCTGCTCACACATTGTTATATTGGAGGAATCAGAGCAAGCAAGGCTGTGCGGATCCAGGCTGCAACTCAGGTCCCAGCTGCACCTGTGGTCAGCCTTCCCTGTTACCAGAAAGTGGACAGTAAGCTTGGATGACACAGAGGGGGTTCTCAGTGCTAGGGTTTTTGCCTGGTAAGTAAAGGTAGTTCCTTCTAACACCTGTTTCCTTTCCACTCTTCCATACCTGGAGCATTGAGATCACAGTCCTAGGTCTGTGATTCTCAGGCAGTTGTGGCTCTGTGTCCCCAGGGTGCATTTGGCCATGTCCAGAGACATTTTTAGTTGTCACGACTGGGCAGTTGAGGGATGCAACTGACATCGAGTAGGTAGAGCCTGAGATGCTGCAATTGATCCTGCAACACACAGAGCATATCCCCCACAACAAAGAATTACCTGGTTTGAAATATTGGCAATAGTGAAGGGAAGGGGAGAAACCCCATTCTGGAGGTGAAGGCTTTCTTGGCAAGATACCCGCATTGCCCAAAACACAGAGTACAATCTTTGAAACTGTGGTTTTTCCAGAAAACCTCATCTAGATCATGACACCTAAACATCATGCCTCACCAAGGTAACATCCCCACCAAGGATTAAAGAAGAGTTGCCATATGCCATGGGCCTACTATGTGCCAAATACCTTGTTCATACGGTTTCTAATCCTTACAGAAATAATGTTGAGTGGGATTACTGCACTGCGTTATAGAAGAGTAAACCGAGGCCCAGAGCTCTTGCTTTCCTTGTTCAGAATACCTGGCTACTACGTATGGGAGCCTTGTTTTCATCCAGTCCCTTCCTTTTACTGTGTCACCCTGTGGCCCAGAGGGTGGATGGATGTGGGTTTCCAAAAGAAAACCTACTTTCGAATCTTGCTTTTGAGTGGACAGTAAATTAGAGAGTGATGCAAAAACATTTAGAAGGAAAAACAATTAAAAAATACAAACTTTCCGGAATCCAGTGTTGGCCTGCCTCTAAAACTCTCTGCCTTCCAAAGTGACCACGCACCCACATGGCAGATTGTTACCTGACACCTTCTGAGTCCCTTTTCAGTTACTGCTTTGGCAAATTACTACAAATTCCGTGGCTTACAACATCACAGAGTGACTCTCTTAGCGTTCCAGAGGCAAAAAGACTGAAGTAGGTCTTACTGTACTAAACTTGAGGCTTCTGCAGGGCTGTTTCTTCTGGAAATCTAGGGGAAAGTCCATTTCCTTGCATTTTCTAGTTTCTAGAGGCCACCTGCTTTCCTTGGCTCATGGCCCCTTCCTCCGTCTCCAATGCTATCAGTGTAGCATTTTCAAATCTCTCTCTGTCTCTGCCTCTGCGTTTGTATGTCCTGTGATCTCTTAAGGACCCAAGTGAGTATGCTGACTAACCCTAAGATAATCAAAGATAATCTCCCCATCTCGAGACCCTGATCTTAATGTTTTTTATTTTCATAGGTTTTTGGGGGAACGGGTGGTATTTGGTTACATGAGTCACCTTTAGTGGTGATTTGTGCGATTTTGGTGTGCCCATCACCAGAGCAGTATACACTGAATCTGATTTGTAGTCTTTGAATCACATCCATAAACTCCCTCTTGCCAGGTAAAGTGAGGATTAGGACATGAGCATGTTTGGGAGAAGGATGTTACTCTGGCTACCACAGGTAGTTTAGAGCTGCCACTGCTAGGGATAATGGGAATAAAGTAAAGGAAAAGCATAGAATTTTGACTTCAAGGGATTTGTATGGGTGTGTGTGTGTGTGTGTGTGTGTGTGTGTGTATGTGTGTGGTGCAGAGAAGAATGGCACACAGCAAAAAGAAGCCATGATACTAATTATTCTCAGACAGGTATGATTATCATCAATCATATGCATCTTTGTATCCCCAGAGGCTGCTATGTTGCCTGGTAAGTGGGGTGGTAGGGGCACAGTTTGTATTTCCTGTGTTAGTTTTTGTAGGGAAGGTAAGAGCAGTGTTCAATAGAAATACAGAAGAAAGACTGCTTATTATAGCAACCAAAATATGGCAGCATACCTATTATCTTAATTGCCGTTAACATTCACCTTAATACAATGCTGGTTGATATGCAGAATAATAACCTAGAGACTGTGCAAGTCTTCACAGTGCCTTCTGTATCTTCATAGATTCAGTCTATTCCATTACACTCTGGTGTTGTACAGGTTTTCATATTTCACTGGGGGTGGGAAAACTATGGCCCTGGGACCTAATCTGGCCTGCGGACTATTTTCCTAGACAGAACATTATGGGAACACAGCCATGCCCATTTGTTTACCAATCGTGGGTGGCTGCTTTTGGGCCGCAATGGCAGAATTGAATAATCACAATGAATGTATGGCCCACAGTGCCTAAAATATTTATTCCGTGGCTCTTTACAGAAAAAAAGAAACTGATAACCCTTGCTTTACACAACTGGATGCTGGCAAGCTCCCTTAGGGAGGACAGAAAGGTTGATTAACCAGAACACAACACTCTCACAACATGGGGGTCAGAACATACACATTCTTTGAATTACAGTATTTGTGACAACCTCCTATTGAACGTCTTACTGCAAATAATAAAAGTCTCAAGTTAAGGGAGACTGACACTCAAATCATTTAGATTTTTTTTTCTCAGCTATGTTTAGTGAGATAAATTGTGCTTCACTGCAGTGACTTGTAGATGACAATACAGCAGAAGAACTTTTAATACGGCGACTGTATTCATTTTGAAATTTTAAAAAATGTTAGACTGTGTCTGAGCACAGTAAACCATTCAAAACTGTCACTGCACAGAGATGAATGGGAGAAACAGTGCATCTCTGAAAATATTCCGTAAATATCCTTAAATTATAACGTCTGTTTGATCTGCTGAGAAGTAGCTAATTCCCGACACTTTTCATCTCTCTAGACTGCCCATCGATTGTCCTGAGTATTGCGATTGCTGTTCCTGATAACTGACTTGATAATTTAATTTAATAAGACCTTATCTTGGTCTAGAGGAGCAATCAAGGCTGCTATCTCCTACAGCACGTTTCTCCACCATTGACATTTTAGGCCGAACATGTACTTTTTTGTTATAGGTAGACATCCCATGCATTGTAGGATATTGAACAGCATCCCTGGCCTCCTATCCACTTTATGCCAGTAGCATCCCCTCCCTCCTTGTTGTGTTGTTACTACCGAAAATGTCTCCAGATACTGCCATTGTCCCTAAGGCATGGGGGCAGGGGGGTGGTTAACATATTCCCCAGATAAGAACCATTGTTCTAGAGGTATGGTGTTGGAAGCGCTTGGCACCTTTCATGTAAATCATTGCATGTTGTCATCCCAGGTGAACTTTTCTTCTTTTCTTTTTGCATCCCCGCCCGTCAATTCTTCCCCTACTTTCTCCTGGGCTGGGCTTTTCTTCATGTCTAAATGCACTGCAAAGACGAGATTGCCTTGAACTCCTCCAGCTTTTCCCGATAACCCTGAGCTGCGCTGTCGCTCTAAGCCAGATCAGCAGAATCCGGCCTGTGATCAGGTTCCGGGAGCTGGAGGACCTCTCCGTCTCAGGCTGCTGTGATCAGAGAGTCTGGAGAATGAGAATCTCTCTGATGTGGTCTTATCAGGCTGAGCCTAATGTCAACCCTGTTAGAGGAGCTTTGTCCGATCTGCCTGTAGCTTTGTTCTGAACCGTTCAGTAACAGTTCACTGGAGCAGAAAGAGCCCTGTGAATTGATATTATAAACCCACATGCCTGTTTTATTCATTGTGGAGGCAACAGAATATAACACAAGTATTTATTTTTAGTGGTTGGAGAATGGCATTTCTTTCCCCGTCCCCATTGTCACAGAATGCAGAAAACAGCACAGGGCTCCTGAACACAATTCTATTAGAAAGCTGTTGCCAGTTGTTCCTGGTTTCGATTATTTTGCACTATCCTAAGCAGTGTATGTCTGTGCATTGAATATGTATGTGTGCGTAATACATATTACGTTCGTTTGGATGGTCTTAATAAGGAGCCACATACCATCAGATGTAATCCAATCACTATAGGCCAGACCTTCTATCCTTGGCTATTCCCTTAACCCCATCACCACCTTGATTTCGTTGGAAGTTAGATTTTCTAGAAAAATTCATGAAACTTCAACATGCTTCATTCATTCCTTGCTCTGGGCATTCCTTGCTGAAGGTCAGGAGCTGTGAAATTTCTCTTTAGTCCCATTGCTTTGATATGGCAGAGGCTGGGCAATGAAGAAATTGAAGTGTGGAAAAATGGAGTTCCGGCAATGTCTTAAATGAGGGGAGGGGTCTTATCGAGGAGGCTGTGCCTGTGGTCTGAGCTGACATTTCTCTAACAGTGAGACCAGGAAGAGGACCAGGGGACACAGCTGGATGGCTGCAATACCAGGGTCCCTTCAGCTGCAATTAAAGCTGCATCTTACATTGGAGTCTTCAGTGATGATGATGATGATGATAGTAGTAGATTGAACATAGGAAATTGCTGTCATTTGACAATTGTTAACCTACATAAATGTCACTTTCCTACAGCGCAACTTAATAATTGTACACATAATAGCTCATCTGCGCTGGGTGACCGCTATGGTCCAGGCACAGTGCTGTAGGCACTGCATATGTGTTGGCTCCTTAGACCAACACAGCCACTGTCTATTACAGATACTGTTATTGCTCTCACTTGACAAATAAGGATGCTGAGCTGTGGGAATAATTTGCCCAATGACACTAAATGGCAAAACTGGGATTAAAACCCAGGACCTTAAGACTGCAGCCTCGGCTGAGCGTGATGGCTCACGCCTGTAATCCCAGCACTTTGGGAGGCCAAGGTGGGTGGATTACATGAGGTTGGGAGTTCGAGACCAGCCTGACCAACATGGAGAAACCCGGTCTCTACTAAAAATACAAAATTAGCTGGGAGTGGTGGTGCGTGCCTGTAATCCCAGTAAGGAGGCTGAGGCAGCAGAATCACTTGAACCCAGAAGGCAGAGGTTGCAGTGAGCCAAGATTGTGCCATTGCACTCCAGCCTGGACAACAAGAGCAAAACTCTATCCCAAAAACAAAACAAAACAACAAAAAAACAAACTGAGGTCTCTTCTGTTAACCCCTATCCTCCTCTCTTGGTTGGATAACAGTTTTAGACTGATGCTCCTAATTCCCACAGAGGGGCCTGCATTTTCATCAGGCTTGAGGATCATGAGTTTTCACGTGTGTGTGTGTGTGTGTGTGTGTGTGTGTGTGTGTGTAAATCACCCTAATTGTGGGGAGTACTAATAAGTTCCATCGATCTACTCTTCACCTAGTAATCAACTTGAATTATTTATTTATTTATTTATTTTTCGAGACAGAGTCTCACTCTGTCACCCAGGTTGGAGTACAGTGGTGTGATCTTGGCTCACTGCACCCTCTGCCTCTTGAGTTTAAGCAATTCTTGTGCCTCAGCGTACCGAGTAGCTGGGACTACAGGCGTGAGCCACCATGCCTGACCAATTTTTGTATTTTTAGTAGAGACGGGGTTTTGTCATGTTGGCCAGGTTGGTCTTGAACTCTTGACCTCAGGTGATCTGCCCTTCTCAGCCTCCCAAAGTGCTGGGATTACAGCCACCACACCTGGCCAATCAACTTTGAATTCTAAGAATGGGTGACAAAGAACTTTGTCTTGAGGGTTGTGTGTTAAGCAAGAGCCATCAGGTCTCATCCTCCTCAGTTTAGCCACAATTCCACATTAGTTTCCCCGACAGTGTATGGAATTTCAGTTCTACACTCTTCCTTCTCTAAATTTCACCCGGTCTTTCAGAGAGGAGACAGGGCCCTAACAGACTTAGCAAAGATGTTGAACACATGAAAATGGGAAGTACTGTTTAAAAATGGAATAACTCTTTTCTTCCCCCAAATCTATAACCCCAGTCTAATTGTAAGAAAAACATCAGTCAACTTCCAGTTGAGGGACATCGTGCAAAATATCTGACTGTCAAGGTGATCAAAGACGGGGAATGTCAGGCCAGGCGTGGTGGCTCACACCTGTAATCCCAGCACTTTGGGTGGCCAAGGTGGGTGGATCACCTGAGGTTGGGAGTTTGAGACCAGCCTGACCAACATGGAGAAACCCCGTCTCTATTAAAATGCAAAAATTAGCTGGGCGTGGTGGCGCATGCCTGTAATTCCAGCTACGTGGGAGGCTGAGGCAGGAGAATCACTTGAACCCAGGAAGCAGTGGTTGTGGTGAGCCAAGATCATGCCATTGCATTCCAGCCTGGACAACAAGAGCAAAACTCCTTTCAAAAAAAAAAAAAAAAAAAAAAGATAGGGAAAATCTGAGAAACTATCACAGACAAGAAGAAACTTCAGAGTCACGGCCGCCCAGATGCCATGTGGTGTCTCAGATGGGATCCTGGAGCCGAAAAAGGACATTAGATGAAAACTAAAGCAATCGAAGTATAGGCTGTAGTTAATCGTGATGTATTCATAGTGGTTCCTTAGTTGTGAACATGTACCATGCTACTGTAAGATGTTAATAATAGTGAAAATTGGCTGGACACCGTCGCTCACGGCTGTAATCCCAGTACTTTGGAGGACTACCTGAGGAGTTCCAGACTAGCCTGGCCAACATGGTGAAACCCCATCTCTACTAAAAATACAAAAATTAGCCAGGCGTGGTGGCGTGTGCCTGTAATCTCAGCTCCTCATGAGGCTGAGGCAGGAGAATCACTTGAACCTAGGAGCTAGAGGTTGCAGGGAGCCGAGATCGCACCAGTGCACTCCAGGCTGGGCAACAGAGTGACATTCTGCCAAAAAAAAAAAAAAAAGTTAATAATAGGGGAAATTGTGGAGTACATGGAAATTCTCTGTACAAACTTCACAACATTTCTGTAAATCGAAAAGTATGCTGCAATTAAAATTTTATTTTTAAAAAGGGAAAATAAACATAAGCCCACACAAAAAATATGGACTAATCAAATACTTTCTAGATTTCGTGTTTATAGCGTTTCTCACTTAGTAATACAAAGCATTCTATCTTAGATTTCTCCCATGTCTGTTAGACTCCCAAAGGCTTTTACCCCATGGTAAACAGCATAAACAAATTTGTATGGCTTTTTTAAATTCAGATTTTCCCAGGCTGATTTAATCATGGAATTACGACTGGGCATGGTGGCTCACGCCTGTGATCCCAGAGCTCTGGGAGGCCGAGGCAGGCGGACTGCGAGGTCAGGAGATCGAGACCATCCTGGCTAACACGGTGAAACCCCGTCTCTACTACAAATATAAAAAATTGGCCAGGCGCCATGGTGGGCGCCTGCAGTCCCAGCTACTCGGGAGGCTGAGGCAGGAGAATGGCGTGAACCCGGGAGGCGGAGCTTGCAGTGAGCCAAGATCACGCCACTGCACTCCAGCCCGGGCGAAAGAGCGAGACTCCGTCTCAAAACAAAATAAAAATAAATAAAAATAAAAATAAAATAAAAAATAAAAAAATAAATTATGGAATTATTTTACTTGAGAAGCAGTGATGGGGAAAAAAAATGTAGGTCACAAGCCTCCCTGATGACAATTCCTTTCATAACACCAGCTTTTCCCAGGACACACCATTGAGACACCTTGACATCACTACCCAGAAGCATTGGTAACCTCTTTGTGCCTCAACACTGATTCTCGCCTGTAAACCATTCCTCTCCCCTGGCCACCCTCCTGCATCTGACCCCCTGCCTCCCTTCCCCAGTCTTCCTCTGTAGCAATGGGTCCCACACATCCCTGAATCACTTGTTAAAACCTAGATGTCCAGCCTTGACCCCCAGAGTTCCTGATTCACTGGGTCTGGGATGGGGCCCAGAAACTTTGCATTTCTCACAAGATCCAAGGTGAGGTCAACACTACCAGCCTGGGGACCACACTTTGCAAGCCACTGAGATGCCCTCTGTCTCCTTGTAAGGCTGCCATCCATTCCGCCATAGATTCCACGCTTTGCTGCCACCCCCCTGCCCCCTGCCTGCCCCTTTGCTTGTCCTCTTGCTATTCCCAGGCACTGGTTGCCTGTTTTCTAACATAAATGTCAAAAAAGTATTCCTCAGCGGGTGTGGCATTCAGAAATGGATAGGATTCAAACAAGCAAAGGGGGTTACTTGGTTTAAGAGCTCAGTTTAATGACAAGAGTATTTTCCTTGTAGCTTTGTAGAGCTGGATCCCAGGTACCTCTCATGAAGCCCATGAACTTGGTTTCTACCCTATAAATTGAGGTTGATGAGACTCATCACTTTGGCTTTTGCGAGGATTAATTGGATTTGCATTCGTTAAGTGCAGAGCCTGGCACATTGTAACAGCTCATTAGTAATTACTTTCCAAACTCCAAGGAGATGGTTCTCAGATGTTGGTGACTATCATCACCTCCTGCAGAGATGTGGAGGTGCAGAGTCCTGACCCTGCCTCCAAAGACTCTTACTCATCAAATTTGGGAGTGAGATAAGAATCTGTACATGTTACAAAGAAACCAGAAAATCCCAATTCAAGGGGTCTACAGACAATCCATTCATTCGTTCTTCACTTAGTTATCCAACAAGTGTTTCACATACACTTCCATGCACCAAGATGGGATTGCAGGTGGTAGGGATACAGAAATGGACAAAACCGAGTGCTCACCTTGGTGGAGATGATTGGCAGCCTGCCTTACACAAGGAACTCTATGTTCACTGGCCAGGTTATGGGAAGTGGTACAAAGTTGGAGTAAAAGTAAGGTAAGAAGATAGATTGGTGGTCAAAAGTCTTTCTGAGAAGATTACATGAGAGGAAAGATGGAATAAAGGAAGAAAAATATTGAAAAATCTTCAATTAAAATGTGATTCTTTCTAATGTGAGCCACAGAATTTAACACAGATCTGTAGTAGTCATCTTGAGTGTTTTTCTTTTGATAGAAAAGTGTGACTTTCCAACCAATATAGTAGGAACTTGTTGAAGGTCTACCATATCCCAAACACAATGTTTTTCAAATATTGTTTTTATTTTATTTT
Organism: Homo sapiens; assembly: GCF_000001405.40. Lineage (NCBI taxonomy): Eukaryota > Metazoa > Chordata > Mammalia > Primates > Hominidae > Homo > Homo sapiens. The sequence continues at coordinate 7,414,619 of NC_000016.10, forward strand.
ATTTATTTATTTATTTTGAGATCAAAGCTCACTCTGTCACCCAGGCTGGAGTGTGGTGATGCGATCTCAGTTCACTGCAACCTCCGCCTCCCGGGTTCAAGCGATTCTTGTGCCTCAGCCTCCAGAGTAGCTGGGATTACAGGCGTGTGCCACCATGACTGGCCAATTTTTGTATGTTTAGTAGAGATGGGGTTTTGCCATGTTAGCCAGGCTGGTCTTGAACTCCTGACCTCAGGTGATCCGTTTCCTTCAGCCTTCTAAAATGCTGGGATTACAGGTGGTGAGCCACGGCGCCCAGCCCTTATTTCTAATCCCTGTAACAGATTATGCAAGGGAAGGTGTTTCATCCCAACATTACAGATGAGGGGAGTTGTGAGGAGCTTATATGATCACATAGTGAATGGCCAAAGATGGCTCTTTCTATACTCTACAGCCTCTGACATACAAAGATTCAGACTTCATTTCCAAAGTCATTAGCAGTACCAACTGTAATCCTCTTAAGGAACTAATTATTTTGTTACCATTTTCTGTATTTATTATATTGCCATGCCCCATGGCTTACAATCCTGGCTGTGCCTTCAAATGTCCCAGAGGCAGGAACTGAGTGTCTGGGGTATTAAGGTTTTCTCAGATGATGCATCTGATATGCATCCAATGACAGGTACCACTGGCTAGCATTATAATCCAAGATAAATCCATATCTTCTGCCTGTGGAACCAGATGGAGTTCTGGTATCAAAATACAGATCTAGAGGGTAGCTCTGAGCCAGTGCACTTGAAGTTTGTGGTCATGATGAACTTCAAGCTCATGTAAGAGATTACTGAATTTCCCAGCAATGAGTAACGGACCAACCTATGGAGAAGGCAGACAGAATGGCAATGTGGAATAAGCACAGGCCCTGGCATCCAAACTGGGTTTGAAACCCACCTGTCCACTTTTCTGGCTTTGTGATTTGGGGTGACACACAAAATTTATAATATACGTAATATTATTAAGAACACAGTAGGTTCCCAGCATTGTATTCTCTGTTCTCTCTCTTAAAAGTGCCACCCTCTACCAAGAAGCACTAGTTGAATTCCAAGAAGGCAAGAAAAGGGCTACCATTTCTTCTCTACCCAGCAATGGTTACGTTAATTTTCCAGTGCAGGAAAGTGGAAGAAAATAAGAGTATATATATATCTTTCCAGGCCCTTCTTTCCAAAGTTATTTGACTCTAAACTTAGCATCCTCTCCCGGGAAGATGGAACTGTCCTTTTTGTGCATTTGCTGTGATAACTTTGGGCCCAGTTACGCTTGCTACGAAGCTTGGGCTGGTAGTGGTTTAGGAGAAAAAAAAATCAAGTGAAACTTAGGACTGTCTTCTCTCTTCTTTCCCGAACTTCATCTTTGCAGAGATGATCTCCTCTTTGACATGCAGAGTACTCAGGCCTCTTTTTCTCTTCTTGTCCTTTCTTTCTTATTAAACCTCCAGCCCCCCAATCTGAAACGATTGCTCCCATTTTGTATTCCATGGAGCTGTAATATTTGCCCAATGATGAGCTCCATTCAGCAGTTTGTTAACTGAAATGGGAAGTGACAGATTCAATAAAAGGAAATCTCTGTGCCAAGGAAACAGATATTATTTCTCCCCTCGCTCTCCCTTTCTGTGTCTCTCAGACTACTCTGTGCCCGGAATCCAGAGACTCTGAGCTTACGGACAAGTCAAAGCTTTCTGTTGATCCATGCCCAACTAATTTGATCAGAATAGAGGTTTTTATTCCCTGTAGTTCTTCTCTCTCATGCTTACTGATATGATTGAGTGCCTGGGAGTCACCCCCAACCTCTGCTGATTGTTAGAGGGAGGAAGTGATGTACAGGAAAGTGGGTACATGGTGTGCTGGGAGGGGGGCCTTGTAGACAAGATGGGGACAATTGTAAACAGAAGATCGGGGCTAATGTAAAAGTGCAAGATCCTCTTCTGGGGACAGCCTTCTTGTCTTCATGGATAGTGCATATAGAAAAGCACCCACGATTCCCAGTCATTGAAAACCAGAGGACCCCAGTGGCAATGGATACCCATTTAATCTCTGAGAAAATATTAATGAGTAAAAGGCAAGCGACTTTAGGGATGTTTTTTTTTCTTTCCACATATATGTGGACACTAGTTGTGAATAATAATGACAATGACGATAGTGAGTAGATATCATGTATCAACTCCCTACTAAATGCCAAGGTTTGGTCTATGCACGTAACACATATTATCTCATTCAATCCCCGACAACAACCCTCTGAAGGAGGTGTCCTTATTATCCACATTTTATAGCAGAAAACTGGGGCTTAGAGAAGTAATGTGTCCAAGAACTCATAGCTGGCAGGTAGGAGCCCTGAGATTCCAGTGTGGGGCTCGTAAACTTACACTTTGCCTAAATTTTTTTTAAATGATTGAGTTCATTGTTCATTTATATTTAATTTTAAGAAATAGCACAAAGAGTCCGGGCATGGTGGCTCACACCTGTAATCCCAGCACTTTGGGAGGCGGAGGCGGGTGGATCATCTGAGGTCAGGAGTTTGAGACCATCCTGGCCAACATGGTGAAACCCCATCTCTACTAAAAATACAAAAAATACTGGCTGGGCGTGGTGGTGTGTGCCTGTAACCACAGCTACTTAGGAAACTGAGACAGGGGAATCACTTGAACCTGGGAGGTGGAGGTTGCAGTGAGGTGAGATTGTTCCACTGCATTCCAGCCTGGGCAACAGAGCGAGACTCTGTGTCAAAGAAAAAAAAAAAAAAGAGATGACCCCATATCCTGTTCCCCCAGTTTCCCCAGTGGTAACATCTTATATAACCAAAGTACACCACCACCACCAGGAAACTGACCTTGATCCAATGCATCCGCCTTATTCGGATTTCACCAGCTTCACATGGTATTGTGTGTGTGTGTGTGTGTGTGTGTGTGTGTGTTCACTTCTCTGCAATGTCTCACCCATGTAGCCTCCTGTGATAGCCACCATAGCCAACATACATCATAGCTCCATCACAAAGATCCTAGGCTCTACTCTTTCGTCCCTGCAGTGACCTCCCTCCCTGCTCCATATCTCAGGAAACCTTAATGTGTTCTCCATCTTTATAATTTTGTCATTTCAAGAATGCTATATAAAAAGTATGTGAAAGGCTTCATGTTGGTCACCCTCTGTGCATGTGTGTGGTTGCAGAATTAGTCCTCACACAGAGCTTGATTGTCTACTTCACTTCTTGACGCACTTTCGTTCCTCTGTCATCTCCCATCTCCCTTTTCCTGCAGATGTATTGGGTTGAGACTTCTGGATTAGGTACCCTGTTGGCCCTAGTATGCAGCCTATCACCCAATCACCACAACCACCCTCATCCCACAGATGGGCTCCAGATGTCACTGTGTGGAGGTCCTCTATAGATTTTCAGATCACATTCAGTCACTGGAGGCCAAGACACTCCCTGTCACTCTCTGCCCAACCCTCCATTCCTAACCTCACCTCTCCCCCACGGCCAACCTAGGTCCATTAGCCATGCTGAGCTTGAGGATAAGAGGACTAGTTTCCATTGCTGGTCCATAGTTTCCACCCCAGAAGCCTCCATGCCCCATACTGGTTAAAAAGTTATTGCAGAAGAGGTTTGCCAGAGGTAAACCAGGTCTTCCAGAGTATACCAGAAAGGACTGCATGTTGTCTGTTTGAGTGGGGGACTTCATGCCCAATTTTCACAGGGCAAAGCATCTCCTGGTGTCTTGTGTGGCAAACAGCTTTGATACTTGCCCATGTCCCATGGTGTCCAGGAGACTTTTCATTAAATGAGGTGACCACTGCCCCTTTAGGGCGTGAGCCAGGCATCTGAGATGGAGATTACGCATTCTGTGTCTCTGCCTGACACAACATTTCTGTTTTCCTGATGGCTTATCTGATGCCATTAAAGTCTCTACCTGTAAATAGTCAGTAGACATTGGGTATGAAAGACCCAAACAATATTTGGCTGAACTGTTCGTTGCCACAGAGTATTATTAGATTAGATTGGATCTTAGATATTGAAGAATTTTTACTCCCTTACTTTTGCAAACCTGGAAAAAAAATTGATGCTATCTGCTCTCTAGAACTAATACTTTATGGTCTTATCCTCTTTTCTCCTCTCTCTCACTGTGTCTGTGTCTCTATCTCTGTCTTTCTCTGTCTTCCTCTGTCTCTCTCACCTCTTTTTTCTCTTCTCTCCTCTAAAGGAAGGCATTGACTCTTCCAGAGCCACTAAGAGTCGAGGTTTTTTTTTGTTGTTGTTTCTGTTTGTTTTGTTTTGTTTTTGAGAAAGGGTCTCAGTCTGTCACCCAGGTTGGAGTGCAGTGGCACAATCAGAGCTCACTGCACCCTTGACCTCCCGGGCTCATGCTTTCCTCACACTTCAGCCCCTGGAGTAGCTGGGACTACAGGTGTTCGTCACCACGCCCAGATAGTTTTTTTTGTATTTTTACTAGAGACAGGGTTTCGCCATGTTTCCCAGGCTGGTCTGGAACTCCTGGGCTCAAGCAGTTCACCCACCGTGGCCTCCCAAAGTGCTGGGATTACAAGCGTGAGCACCACCACCGTCCCCCACCCCCAGCCAAGAGTTGTTTTTATCATGTCCTTAGTCTTGTTGGTTGCTGCCTTGTCCCTTTACCTGTTGTTCCTCTTCAATCATTGCAACAGTGACACTCCCCTTAGCTGGGCATCAAACACAGACAGAAGCATATTCAATTCCAGGAGTCTCCACTGTCTCTCATCTGAATTTAAGCTGGACACCTCGCTTGTGAATGCAGAGGGGCCAGCATCCCACTCCCGCCTTGGCGCAATGCAACCGGCACCTTTGAGGGGGCAGATTGTATTGTGCCTTGTCAGGCCCACCACGGCTTTTGTTTTCCTGCGCATTTGAATAATACATCTGATTACCATGGCAAATGTTGCGGCATATGCAAGCTTGGACCTCCTGCCTAATTAGCTGTTGATAACAGGGCCCCCTGCCCTTTCCCCTCTCCGCAGCCCTCAGGGACATGACAGTTCTTTTATCTTTCTTCAAAATTGACTTGCTCTCCCGACCCTCCAGTAGTTCCTGTTTTGTCTGTTTACCTCTCCTGCATTTTGCAAGACTGTTAATTTTCCGTGGCACCTCCTATCTGGTTGTAATTAACACATCGCACACTGAAGAAATAGTTCTGCTTTTTCCAGATGCCTAATGGAGGCATGTCCTTTTTTTTCTTTTCTCCACTAATTATACCACTGTATTTTAGCAACCTGCATTGACCTAAAAGGATCTGTTTTCTTTCTTTCTTCCTTTTTTTTTTTTTTTTTTTAATTGTTTTGGTTGGAAGAATAAGTATGGTTTTAGAACCCAGTTTGGGCAGAAACTGGGAAGAGAATGAAATCATTAGTGATATATGTTGTCACTGTTTCTTTTCATAGCCTTTAAAGTAACAAATGAGGGTACATTTGTTGTCAGCCTTCCTGTTCAGCGTTTGACAACTCTTTGTTAGATGTGGGTAACGTTTGCTTTGGATATATGCTCTCTCTCCAGTCTAAATATTCTGCCGTGGTAATTATACAGATGGGGCACATGACCTATTCCGTAGAGTGTGGAAATTCTCAGCAGATTGTAAATAGCCTCTCGTCCTATTAGATTTTAAGGAAGCTAAGCCCTTGCCTCCCAAACATGAGACATGGAATCTGTTTATCATCTTATGCTTAGGCTTAAGATTTAAGCTGTAATGAATACTGGTTCAAAGAGATTGAGGTATAAGAAGGAGGTTGGTAGTTACAGCAATAAAAACAGGAGCAAAAAGAGCAGCTTTTGTGAAGGACTCCGGCTGGAATAATGATGATAGAATTGTCTAAATCGATACATCTCTTGTCAGACTCATGTCTGATGTTTGAATCAACCAGGCCTTTTCTGCAAGAGCTTTCCTCAAGAATATTGAATTATTTATTATTTGTATCTTTTTTTTTCTTTCCCTTTCTGATGATTTTTTTTCCTTCTGACTTAGTGAAATTTGTTTTTCATGCTGCCAGGTTGAATGTTGTCTACTCTTTGATAAATAGCAGTAATTGGGCATATAGCAGGGGTCATGTACAAATGTATGACTTCAATTACATCTAGAGCATTTTTTTCTTTATATTGATCTTTTTTTTTTCTTATAAGATCTGTTCTCTATAGCCTGTGGTACTGAGTACTTTAAAGAATTATTCTTTGTCCATGTATGTCAGCATGCACTTTCAAATCTATATATCTTTTAAAATATATATATATATACACACATATATATACATATATATATATACACATATATATATACACACACACACACACACACACATATATATATATATGTAGTCCTGCGCTTTCCTGAGGCTGTACAGACGTGGGAGGCGAAATTGTGACGCCTCCACTTGATGAACCATACCTGACTCTTTTGCTCATCTTGCAGTCTTGTGGCGGTGTCATTTCTACGGTTGGCTTTTCTTGCTACAGGTTGGGCCAAGGTGGAGAAGGCACTGGTATTGACCAGGAAAGTTGTATGTAATAGAAATTGTAGAGCACAGTAGGAGAAGAAAAGTGAAATGAAGTAGACATGGGAGGCAGAAAGACAAAGAGAGAGAGAACAACCTATGTTGTAATTGAAGCTTAAGAAAATACCATCCTTGGACACTTTCTTGTTTCTGATTTTATCTAAGTATCTTCTGGTTGATTCTTAAACTGCATGTATTTATGGCACATGTATTTGCCAGTTTAATGGACACTTTTCCATCTAGGACTGTTTATATTCAGGCACCCATACGTACACATATTTCCAAGGGTAAATAAACACCAGCCTGAATGTTTGGTGAGATTAGCTTTGGCAATAGTGACATTTCCCAGGCACAGCCAGGTTTTCTAAGGCAGGAATCTGAGGTCTGATGATATTACTGCTCTGAGCGTACCTAACCTACAGTTTGAGGAAATAAAAGGTAGGTTGGAAGACTGCCGAGGCCCCCAGTTGGCTGCTGCTTCCAGAGACTGCAGGCTTACTCAGTGCTTACTGTCCCATTTCCACTGGCCTGGAGATGGCCTTTGCCAAAGGGCAGTCATAGAAATAACAACTCCACATCATTCCTTGTTTGGTTCTGCGTTTCTGTACCATGGCATCGTGCTGTCGTCAGCAGTTTTCTGACATGCAAAATAATGATGGGGCACTGAATTATATTTTGTAAGGGCATGCAAATAGAGAGTGTTCATTTCTTCAGCCTTTTTGAAGGAGAAGTGAGCCCTTAAAAGTCATTTTCGGGTAGGAAGTGTACACACATTATTTTATGTCATGCCCAGTCCCTAAAGCCATATCTGTTCCATATTTTTCAGAGGGAGAAAATAGAATAAAAACCCTCAGAGGCTCTGAGTGATAAAGGAAACACAGTCTCAGTTATTATGCTGTAGGAGATGAAGCTGGGACTTAAATAGACAAAGAGAAATGGAGTTGGCTTTGGTCGAGCCTGTGATTCTGGGCCACATCGTATTTCTGTGTGTATGTTTGTGTACGTGTGCGTGTGTGTGCGTGTGCTTGTGCGAGTGAGAAACACTTGGATAGAACTGCCTCTCCCACCAGTAGGCTGTTAGGCACGGCACTCAGAAACAGCCCTATTGTTTTAGATTTCCTTTCATATCATGTAGGCGTCTATACCATGCCACCCACACAGGAGAGCAAGTGAGCTGTGAAATATATTCATTGTTAGAGTACTGGGGAAATGGCGGCAAGCAATCGGAGGTAATAATGTCCGACAGGCAAGGGAGGCTGCCAACATTACCTGCATTATTTCGGTTGCCTTTTTCATTATAGGTTCGGGAAATAGGCAGCAATTCGATTATGGCATGATTTGGGGTGGAATTGCTTGCACTCCGTGACCCCGTCACTGGGGGATCAAATGAGAAGTCAAATCAAATAAAGTTCATAGTGCATTAACCGGATGGAGCAGTGCCTTACCCACTCAGCACGATTTTTCATCTTCCAGGGGTTTGTGACTGCAGCCTAGATATCTCTGCACCTTAAGGCATGGGGAGGATTGGCTGAGATGTATAGGAGTGAGGAGAGGCGGCCAATAGTGTGCAAACCCCTCCCCTCCCATGTGTAGCGCCGAGTTTCTCTGCAGCTTGAGCAAAGCAGTGTGATTAATAACAAGGAGGAAACCTGCTTGTTGGATTATTAATTTCCCATCCCCTTTGCCTTATTTTTTTTCTTTGCCATATTCCTGATGCTTTTTCTTCTGCCTCTTTTCTTTTTGCCATTTGCTAAAGCCTCTCCACCCCTCCTTTTCCCTCCTGTGGCCCACACTTTTGCCCATGGAGATATCCACTAGTCCTTTACACTGACACCTGGCCACCCAACCTCGTGCCGGCTGGCTTCACACCTGGGGTGAGTTTATCTCTTCCCTTCGGGGATTCTGTCTCTGAAACTAGGAGAGAGAGAATGAGGGAGAAAGAGAGAGAGAGAGAGAGAGAGAGAGAGAGAGAGAGAATATGAATATGGGTCCAGTGGTGTTGGAGCCCTGCTGTATTTTAATCATAGACTTGGCCTTCTTTTAGGAGTGACCCAAAAAGCAAGACCAGTTCGTGGGGTACCTGTATCCAACCCCATTTCAGCTGCTGTGTGGAAAAGTAGGATTTCTCATAGTTAACTGATTAGGTATTTTCTCACCAGTTCTAAACACAAAGAGTGCATCTTGCAAAAATATAAAAAGTTGTGGGGGGTGGGGGTGCAGGCAGGGGAGATAATGACTGGTAATTGCAAGCTGTCATACTAAAAGATATTTGGGGTGCAAGAGTTACTTCTGCCAGCAGAATGGTAGAATGGAGGAAGGGGGAGATTTGGAAGGCTTTGGGGTAGCTTGTGAGGGGAGGTACTTTGCATTAAAACTTCTGTCACCATCTGTACTTTCGATTTCACAGTCCTACCCTCACACTACTGGAAAGGAGAGTTTCATACTGACTGTGGGCACAGGGGAGTGGTTTGCAATTGCAGCTTGTGCTGTTTATATGGTGCATGTGATTTGGGGACCTTCTGGGTTCTGATTCGCTGACCTGCCCAGAGGAGGAGGCTGGGCCACTTTCTTTTCCACATTATGTATTGCACACCTCTGTTCTGTGTCTCTCCTCACCTGCTTTGAAGGATTTCTTTCCCTCTCTGCAAATCTCTCCCCTCCCGTAAATCAGCATGATTAAATAGCAGAAGGGTGGAGGTGGCGCCATGCATTATGCACATGAGCTGTCTTTACCAGCCTGTCCATATGTCTGAAGGAAACCTTGTGTTTTAATCCCAAGAAGTCACCTTTTTTGAAGATTACCTTGAAGCATCCAAAAGCTAATAGGATGGAGAACTAAAGGCATTTGACATTAATTGTTCTGTCTATTTATATAACTTAAGCACAAGGCAGCGAAAATCTTCCAAGCTGATTATTTCTTTGGTTTATTCTGAGTCTCTTTTTTAAGCATTCAGAGCTTCTTAAGTAATGAATTTTTAGGAAAAAGAGCCATGCAATGATAAAGTGACTCCAGTAGCAGATTTTTGTCATTTTTTTTAAAAGAAGTGCTCAAATAGGGCAGCCATGAATTTTATTTGTGTAATTTACACTTGAATATGAATATATATATATACATATATATGGGGGTGGGGGTCTAGCTCTGTCACCCAGGCTGGAGTGCAGTGATGCAATCTTTTCTGACTGCAACCTCTGCATCCCAGGTTCAAGCGATGCTCCTGCCTCAGCCTCCCGAGTAGCTGGGAATACAGAAGGGCATCATCACACCCAGCTACTTTTTGTATTTTTAGTAGAGACAGGGTTGCGCCACGTTGGCCAGGCAGGTCTTGAACTCCTGGCCTCATGTGATCCACCCACCTCGGCTTCCAAAAGTGCCGGGATTACAGGTGTGAACCACCTCACCTGGCCATACGCTTGAATATGTTTTATTAAATATGAGATTACTGGTAAGGACTTGATGTTTACATCATAGCTGTTCACAAGGTACATAATGCATTTATTTTGTTTCTTATGTAGTGCCCAGGATAAGAAGGAAATGAAAGAACCTATGGAAGGGGATACAATTTCAGCTTTGACAGTTTGGGATCATAGTATTATCCTAAAAGCAAGCAAACAAACAAACAAACAGTGCCAGCTGAAACAATCACATAATCACCTTTCTAGTTATTTTTTCTTCAGGTTCTGGGTCTCCCTCTGGAAATAACAGGTGTTATTTTGACTGAATGACCCCCTACTGAGGTAAAATTTGGAGCAGAATATAATACAAATTATATTCCAAAGGTGATAAGATACTTGGGAGTTTGAGCACCAAGAAGAATGTTATCTTAGAGATGGTATGAGTATAATACAAGTTGGCATTATTATTATTTTGACATAAAAGGGGGAAATTATTGTAAATCTCAGTGTGTTGTCTGTATCAAGTACTCATTTTTTAAAATATGTTTTTTTTCCAGGGAAAGGCTTATACTGTTGGGAAATAATTTCTTTTAGACATTTAGAGAAAAAAATGTGAAAATTATGTTTTGAAGTGCATTTTTGCTGTAGAATGCTAGAAGTCCATTGTTGTTTAATGCTTCATTTACAGCATGCGGATTTACAACACACTGAATGAGAGAAGTGGGGTTTAATTTTTTCACTATGACTTCTTATAAACCCGCAAGGGGTCTATTTGATGAGTAATAGTTGAGTTGACTTTTACCTACGAGTTACCTTCTCCACGTCTTCATTGCTTCATTTTTCCCTCAACCGGATCATGTAATAGAAAACTTCCTCAAAACCTGTTCCTACTTGAGAAATTTCAAAGGATGGAAACCCTTCTTTGAAGGACTTAAAATTACATTTATATCAGGATGAATCATGTTTCGACTTTAAATATCACCTTATTTCTGGCGGTCTCTTTTGTTTCCAAGTGGCAAATGTTCCTTCTGAAATTACATAGTTTCCTCTTGCTCATTCTGTTTCTAAACTTCTCTGGATAAATGTGTGAAAATAAATGAAATTGTTAAGCCCTGAGAATAAGCTTGGAAAATAGAAGTTATCCTACCTGGGCAAAAGCTCCAAACATTCTAGGGGGGATAGAGACCCCTCCTCCCTCTTTTAACAAATCCTCCCTTGAACTGGGGAGAGAAAGGATCGCCTTCCAGGATTTTTTTTCCCTGACGTGTAACAGTTCTTAAAATACTGCCTTGTTAATTTGTTTCTATTTTACATGAGCATTATACAAACAGTGATAAACGAAATGTATCATTTTTTCCCCATAAAGCCTCCTCCCAGATTCTCCTCAGTGTTTACAGAAATGTGCTGTATCCATGAGCTCAGATCAATTGTTTATACACATTGGTGTTCATTTGTTCAAGGCGGCATCTGGGCCTCGGATGTCGGGAGAGACCCACTGAGGCAAAGCACTATTAATAGAAAGGCTTATCTCGTTTAAGGGAGTAATCATTTTAATATACTCAGGAAAAAGCCAGCGTGCAGGCTCTTGGCCCACCCTTGCCTAGGCAGGGTCTACACCTTCCAGAAGCAAACACAGCCGAAAAGAGCTCTTAAAGAAGTGATTACAGAGTCATGATTGCTCTACAAATTGAGTCTTTTTTCTGCTTGACAGTGATCCTGGCATCGTCTCCCCGCTTAATCCTTACTAGCAATTTGCCTATAGTTGCAGCTAACAAGAGGTGATTAGAGGGGAGTTGCCAGTCACCACTTAACACCCAGCTCTGGGGGCACCATGGGCACAGGCTGCCGAATTGGGCCTGTTTTCTTATTAACTCCCCACCTCTGAATGCATTAGCCCAGCTCTTAGCTAATGATAGTTTTCAAGCAACAGCGTGAGTTCCTGAGCAGCATGGTGATCTGACTCTCCAGCATGCAGCTAGGAAAATTAGGAAGGAGAGGGAGAAAGCATGTTGTTCTTCAAACCAAATAGATGCGCCAAGGGAGAGGATCTCCCCCAATAAAATTAGGCGCACGCTGTGCTGCGTGGCTGTCTTGGTCTTGGAGGTTGTGGGTTGACACAAGAAGGGGACATGATGCGTTGCATATTTTATCTGTCCTGTGGAAGGTCCTGAGAATACCAACAGCAGTGGATCTTGGGTTAGAAGCTAGAGTGAAGTGGTCTGCAGACAGGAGACTACACCTACAGGGGTGTAAGCAGAGAGGCAAGGCAGGCTGTCTGGGGGACAGGTCCTTGGTTATCATACATGAGGGTGCATCAGCATTCCTGCACGGCTTGTTAAAACCTCTGAGTCTGTGGCAGATACACACCATGGAATACTATGCAGCCATAAAAAAGGATGAGTTCATGTCCTTTGTAGGGACATGGATGAAGCTGGAAACCATCATTCTCAGCAAACTATTGAAAGGACAGAAAACCAAACACTGCGTGTTCTCACTCATAGGTGGGAACTGAACAATGAGAACACTTGGACACAAGGTGGGGAACATCGTGTGACCGGGGCCTGTCATGCAGTGGGGGGAGCGGAGAGGGATAGCATTAGGAGAAATACCTAATGTAAATGACGAGTTAATGGGTGCAGCACACCAACATGGCACATGTATACATATGTAACAAACCTGCATGTTGTGCACATGTACCCTAGAACTTAAAGTATAATAAAAATTAATAAAATAAAATAAAACCTCGAGTTTCTGATTCTGTAGGATGTAGGACGGGGCCAAGTAATTTGCATTCTAACAAATTTCCAAGAGATGCTGATGCTGCTGGTCTGAGAACCCCCAAGTTTGAGAGCCCCTGCTGAAGTTGGACAGGCTTGGTTTTGCAAAAATGCGAAACGTACCAAATGTACCCTCCGGTGACTTGCTTAACAACTGTGTGTAGCTCTCCCAGTGCAGAAGAAAATCCCCAGTCTCTAACCAACTTCTGAGACATTAGGCCATCCTTTCCCCTCCAATTTTACCTTCCCTTGCCCAAGCTAATTTAACTCTTTCTTTCTTTTCTTTTCTTTTTCTTCTTCTTTTTATTTTTTTTTATTTTTATTTATTTATTTTTTTTGAGATGGAGTCTCTCTCTGTTTCCCAGGCTAGAGTGCATGGAGTGCAATGGCTGGATCTCACCTCACTGCAAACTCCACCTCCCGGGTTCTAGTGATTCTTGTGCCTCAGCCTCCCGAGTAGCTGGGATTACAGGCATGTGCTACCACGCCCAGTTAGTTTTCATATTTTTAGTAGAGATGGGGTTTGAACATGTTTCCCAGCTTGGTCTCAAACCCCTGACCTCAGATGATCTGCCTGCCTTGGCCTCCTAAAGTGCTCAGCCACCATGCACAGTCTTAATTTAGCTGTTTCTTGAACATACTCCGTGCCCCCATATCAGATATCTTTTTACATTCCAAGAATGTTTCTCCCTCCTATTTGCTCATCCTAAAAGTTCTTACCTGTCTTTTAAGTTGTGGCTCAAGTATTGCCTCCTCCAGGAGGCCCCAGCTGCATTTGTCATTTCCTCCAAATCTGAACTCCTTATATGCTGTTATGTGATGGATGTATCACGTTGCATGATAGTGCTTACGTATCTTTTCCCCTGAAGTCAGGAATCCCTTTTATTCATTTAGTTTCTCCAACACCTAGCATTGCTATTGGCATATCGTCACTGCAGTCAACTTTTTTTGTTGAATAAGTTTTGTATGAGATATATTTGACCTATGAGAATTAATATCTTTTTTTTTTTTTTTTTTTTTGAGACGGAGTTTTGCTCTGTTGCTCAGGCTGGAGTGCAATGGCATGATCTCGGTTCACTGCAACTTTTGCCTCCTGGGTTCTAGTGATTCTCCTGCCTCAGCCCCCTGAGTAGCTGGGATTACAGGCATCCACTACCACTCCTGGCTATTTTATTATTATTATTATTATTATTATTATTATTATTATTATTATTATTTGTAGTTTTAGTAGAGACAGGGTTTTGCCATGTTGGCCAGGCTGGTATCAAACTCCTGACCTCAGGTGATCCACCTGCCTTGGCCTCCCATAGTGCTGGGATTACAGGTGTGAGTCACTGCACCTGACCAGAGAATTAATATCTAATAAGCGAAGACCAAACATTGGAGTCAGACAGCTTACATTTGAGTGTTCACACAATGATATATGTGGATTTTTCTTTCTTTCTCTTTTATTTTGGCTTTGAGGGCAATTCACTTCCCCTCTCTGAGACTCAGTCTTACTCATCTTTATAATGGGAATAATGATAATGATAACAGTAGTAGAAGTAGCAGCAGCAGCAACAGTAGTAGTGAGTGACACTACTCACATCTGCACATGTAGGTCGTAAAGTACAACACAGTACAATGCCTGGCGCTCTGCAAAGAAAAAAAGTGTATCAACAGACAGGAGGATTTCTATTGTTGTCCTTGATTCTACTGTGAGACGTCCACACTGGTGGAAAGGTGACCTGTCTTGTGGAAATGAATGTGTGGAAGTGGAGAGGACCCGACTCCAGAGCTGGTGGGAAATCGAGCGGCATAAGGCTTTTCTGACATCTCCTGATGTGAACACTGTGAATATAATCTTGTGAACCAGAGCAAGTGGAGGGGACATCTACTGGACAGAGGCACAGCAACATCCTCTCTCTGGTCACCCCTTCCCTGCTCACCCATCCCCGGCCATGCTGGCTTCTTCCTCCTGCTGAAGCACTCAGGGATCTCAAGGACTTGGCACAAGCCATCCTGCCTCTCCTTCCCTCACCCCCTTTTCATTCATCAGCTGTTGATTTTGGTGTCACCGTCCTCTGAGAAGCCTTCCCTGGCTAGCCCATCAAAAGTGATCCTGCCCAGCCAACTTTTATTCTCTCTGCCAGCACACTGTACTTTTCCTTCATCACATTCATAGCTGTCTGCAATGATATTACCTTGAATTTTAGTTTACAGTAAGCTTCAAGAGAACAGGAAGCCACCTATTTTGTCCTCTCATACACCCAGAGCCTAGAATCTAGAGGAGGTGAGCAGAAAATAGTCGTCAGGTGGATGAATACAGGATGGGAGGAACTGATAAAAACTGCCATATAACCATCATGGGACATGGCAAAGGTAGATAATATATCTTTTCCCTTGGGAATTTACAATTTTTATTGGGAAAAGTGCATGGGTAGAGTATCACTCAGATATTTCTTTCTGTGCTTCCATAGACCCTATTATTTCCCTAACAGCAAACTCTGCCTTTCCATTCTTCATTACTCCAACTAATAATTATTGAGATATACTATGTATTGCACACTCTTCTAGAAGCTGCAGAATGTATCAGTAAACAAAATACACAAAAATCTCTGCCTTTGTGGGACTTGTGACAGTGTTGCATTGACCTACTTACTTTCTCCCTGCAATCATTGAGTTTCTCTTGGTCTAGGGCCATTTGTCATCATAGTTTTTCCCCAGCTCCTAACATGATTCTTCACAGAGAGTACATGCTCAAAACAAATTGGCGGAATGAATTGATTTTTAAAAACTTGTTCTACTTTCTTGCCACTAAGTCTATAATCCAACCAAATGAGCTTATCATTAATCTAGCACATTTAAATATTTTTGGATAAATAATGTTCCATTGGCCCACAGTAACTATTCCAGCCTCATGTCTTCACTCATAGCCATTCCCTATTTCGAAAATTATTTATTGTTTTGTTGTGGTGGTGGTTTATGCAATTCCCAAAAGCAAAGCTGCAGCATCTTACTGCTGATAATATTTTGAAACAACTTCCTTCTTTGAATTAAAAATGGTACCCACCTAGGCTGGGCGCAGTGGCTCATGCCTGTAATCCCAGCACTTCGGGAGGCTGAGGCAGGCAGATCACAAGGTGAGGAAATCAAGACCATCCTGGCTAACAAGGTGAAACCCCGTCTTTACTAAAAATACAAAAAAATTAGCCAGCCGTGGTGGCACGTGCCTGTAGTCCCAGCTACTCGAGAGGCTGAGGCAGAAGAATTGCTTCAACCCAGGAGACAGAGGTTTCAGTGCCAAGATTATGCCACTGCACACCAGCCTGGGTGACAGAGTGAGACTCCATCTCAAAAAAAAAAAAAAAAGTACCCACCCATTCTGTGTTTCATCAAGAGTTGCCAGCATGGCATGGAATAGTACATTGGACTTCAAGTTCAGTGGCCAGGGTCCACACAGGAAGCCTGGTCGTCTTGCTACCTGGATGGCCAAGTGCAAGTCACTTAACTTTTTATAATCTAAGCATCCTTATTCATAGGAAGGGGGCTTGGTTATCATGAATATTAAATAACGTGTATGATGTGACTGGAAAAGAACCAGACGTAGGGATATGCCAAAGAATGTTTGTTTGCTAGTTTCTTAGACTCAGAAAAATAGAAGCACGTGTACTTGAATCTATGTTGTATGGTAGTTTTGCTTTCACAATCATCAAACAGGAGTCTAAGCCCACCCTGGTCCTCTGGCTTTCTACTAAGGCACAGGCAGCACCAGCTTTTCCATAACAACAACCTCAAACCCAAACTGACTAATTATCTACTGTGTGCCATGCACTGTGCTAGTGTTTTGCGTGATTATCTCGTTTGATTCCTTACCTTAACTCTAACAAGGGATCCTATTTTTTACATGTCTTTTATTATTATTGTTGTTGTTATTTTGAGTAGGACTCTCACTGTGTTGGCCAGGCTGGAGGGCAGTGGTGCAATCATAGAGCTCACTGCAGCCTCAAGCTTGTGGGCTCAAGGAATTCTCCTGCCTCAGCCTCCTAAGTAGCTGGGGCTACAGGTCTGCACCAACATGCGCAGTTAATTTTTTAATTTTGTGTGTGTGTGTGTGTGTGTAGATGGGTTCTTACTGTGTTGCCCAGACTGGTCTCAAGCTCCTGAACTCAAGTGATCCTTCCACTTTGGCCTCCCAAAGTGTGGGATTATGGGCGTGAGCCACCGCGCCACTGTGCCCGGCTTAATATGTCTTTTATTTTTAAAAAATGCTGGTAAAATACACGTAACATAAAATGTGTCATCGGTGATATTTAATGCAACCGCCATCACTGTCCAGTTTCAGAACATTTTTATTACTTCAAAAGGAACCCCATATCCATTAAGCTGTCCCTCTCCATTCTGTCCTCTCCTTAGCCTCTGGCAATTGCTACAGAACAAAGACATGGAGAGGTTAAGTGGCCTGCTTTAGACCCACATTACTGAGTGGCAAAACTAGTATTTGAGGCTGGGAAGTCTGCTACCCTAGTGCAGAACACTTAACTGTTAAGGTAATTAGCTCCCCATTAGAAAGACCTTTCCCCCACCATCCAGTTCACAGGAGGCAGGGGCTTGTTTCTAGCTAACACAAAAGATGATTTTCTCTGAGGCCTCATTACGGGATGCCAAGCATTCCCACCAGTGGGCAGCCTGTGGCACCTAGAAGGTCCGCTCCTTCCACTTGCTTTCCTTACACCCAGCCCAGTGGGAAGGAGGGTGTCACTTCAGCAGTGGGGGCAGATGGGTCTTCAGATCCCACAGGATGCCCCCACACTGTGCTGGTCATCCAACTCATTGTCAGGTCAGCAGGGGTGCCTGCTGGCACCCAGAGCTTTTGCCTGGGGCGGAAATGTGGCTGTCTGACTTTTCTTAGTTTTCATCCTTGTCTTAAAGGTAGGATGAGTCTCCCAAGGTGGGATAGAATGCTGGGAGAGAAGTGAACTTTGGGATTTTGGTAAAATTCTCTGCACAAATAACTCCCAGAGAGAAGGGTAATCTGCTACCCCACTCATCTTTACTCTTTGAAAAATTTAGGATCCCAATCCCAGAAGAGAAGCTTTTTGTGAATTCTCCTAATGCAATCGTTGTGCTTACTGAGGCTGCTTGGAGAGACTGTCACTCAGGTTGCATTGCACCTTAAAGACATAGGATTTCTTGTCTTAACAACAGGTATGCACAAACATTTTTTTTATAAAGGACCAGAGAGTAACACTTTTAAGCTTTGTGGGCCATCTGGTCTCTGTCACAACTACTCAGCTCTGCCATTTTAGTGTGAAAGCAGTCACAGACAATACATAAACACATGGGGGTAACTGTGTTCTAATAAAACTTTATTTACCAAAACAGATGGTTGGCTGAATCTGGCCTATGGGCCATAGTTTGAGAGCCCTGTCCTAGACTCCAGCTGATGGCCTTTTCTGTGATGTGTGGAATCTCCCCCAAGCATTCTGTTGATTCCTGGAACTATGGCTCCTTTGCTCTCTCTGCTGCTTCCCAGCTTGTGAATTTGCATTCATGGTCATCTCTGTTTTCAGGCCATCATAACACAGAATCAACAGCCTTATGGTGTTGCCCCAGAGGATTCAATGTGTCAAGTGGCATTTTCGAACTGTGTAGAAGACTTCTCTGCAGCTTCTGTGGAGGGAAACAGGGAAGGAGGTTTATATCTTGTAGCCCCCAGCAAATGCCACGCAAAATTCCCGCATAATCTTGTTTTCCCAGGATTCTTTCTCAGCAGCCTTGGAAGTGGGATAGTTGGGGTTGGTGTGCCCATTGAATTCCCCCAACCAAGTACTCAAACTTGCTGATCCTCCCTTCTTTCCTTCTGGGACTTCTTAGGAGGAAGTCTATAAAATCTCTTGTCTTTAATATGCAAAAAGGTTTTCTTGCCTCTTCTAGTAAAAACACATAGTGGGCAGAGACGGTGAGTAAGGGTCCAGTTCTAATTCAAACCCTAAGCTCTTAGTTTGCATTCTCCACAATAAAGGCAGTAGTCTCTCTAAAGGAAATTCTCACTGATACTTTTTCTCCTCCCCACGTCATCATAGAGACATGGCATGGCCTTTGTTCTAAGGAACTTCAAGTCTAATAGGGGATAATGAATGTTCCATGTAGAGCAGATACAAAACAGTGGACTGAGTCCATAATGCTGTGTTGGAGTACAGACAAATGCGCGGTGAAATCTTGCTGAAAGACTGCATGGAGGAGGAGGCATCTGAATTGAGTCTTAAGGGGTTCATGTCACACAGGTGAAGCACACTGACTTCACGTGTTTGAAGAGTTGTCTGGGAGATAGGTTACCAATTTAGTTTCTACAGTATCAGAGATAGAAAAATTCATCCATCCCTTCTACCATCCTTCTGTCCATCCATCTGTTCATCCACCCATCCACCCAACCACCCATCCATCTAATTATCCAGTCATCTAACTATCCATCCAGCCAGCCAGCCAGACAGCTAGCCAGCCAGCCTTTCTAAAAATACTTATTTAACACCTGTGTGTGCCATGGAGTAAGCCAAATGACAGGGAGAGAAAGGTAAATGAGGCCATCTCCAAAGGAGTTCAGAGAAAGGTGGTAGATAGGTATGTTAGACAATTCATTTATAAGCTGAATAGTTAAGTGCAATTTTGAGTATTTGTGAGAACGATGAGAGGGAACAGTTAATACTATTGGAAACTGCTCTTGGAGGAGTCAAGCCTGAATGATCAGAAAGACACTAAAAGATGTAA
This sequence comes from Homo sapiens, assembly GCF_000001405.40. Classification (NCBI taxonomy): domain Eukaryota; kingdom Metazoa; phylum Chordata; class Mammalia; order Primates; family Hominidae; genus Homo; species Homo sapiens. Next base: position 7,434,072 of record NC_000016.10, read on the forward strand.
AGCAGGTAAAAAGGAAGAAAGATCAGGGCTGATTTTGGAGAGCACGGAGTAAAGTTTCATAAACCAGGTAAGAGCTTAGGAGATGACAGACATGTGGTGGTATAAGAGATGAAGGAGGGGCGGGGCGCGGTGGCTCACGGCTATAATCCCCGCATTTTGGGACGCCAAGGCAGGCAGATCACGACTTCAGAAGATCGAGACCATCCTGGCTAACACGGTGAAACCCCGTCTCTACTAAAAATACAAAAAAATTAGCTGGGCACAGTGGCGGGCGCCAGTAGTCCCAGCTACTCTGAAGGCTGAGGCAGGAGAATGGCATCAACCCGGGAGGCGGAGCTTGCAGTGAGCCGAGATAGCACCACTGCACTCCAGCCCGGGCGACAGAGCAAGACTCTGTCTCGTTAAAATAAATAAATAAATAAAAATAAAAATAAAAAAAATCATCAGGAGATGAGGAGATGGACTGGGAAATAAGACAGAGGCCCAAACACTAAGACCACCATGACCTACTGGACTGCATCCTTTAGAAGCCCTAAGGGGATCCTAAAGTTTAGAATTCTAAATAAACATTTTATTTTAGAATACTTTTACATTTACAGAAAAGTTGTAAAGACAGTCCAGAGAGTTCCCATCTACCCAGCGTCTAGTTTGCCCTCTTGTTAACATTTTTTTTTTTTTTCTTTCCTGAGATTGAGCCTCGCTGGATCAGCCAGGCTGGAGTGCAGTGGTGTGATCTCTGCTCACTGCAACCTCTGCCTCCCAGACTCAAGTGATTCTCTAGCCTCAGCCTCCTGGGTAGATGGGATTACAGACATGCACCACCACACTGGGCTAATTTTTGTATTTTTAGTAGAGATGGGGTTTCACCGTGTTGGTGAGGCCGGTCTTGAACTGTTGACCTTCAGTGATCCGCCTGCCTTGGCCTCCCAAAGTGCTGTCTTGTTCACATTTTGCATTTATCATATTTTACATATGGTACGTTTATCACAACTAATGAACCAATATTGATACATTATTGTTAACTAATGTCTACATTTTATTCAGATTTCCTTAGTTTTTACCTCGTTCTTTTCTGTTCCAGGATGTCACATTACAATTAATTGCCATGTCTTCTTCTCCCCTTCTGGTCTGTGACTGTTTCTTAGACTCTGCTTGTATTTAACGACCTTGTCTTTTTTGGAGTACTAAGCAGGTGTTTTGTAGTGTGTCCCTCCACTGAGGAGTTTGTCTGATGGTGAGACTGGAGTTATGGGTTACGGAGAGGAAGACCACAGAGACAGCGTGCCATTTGTATCACACCATGTCAGTGGTACATATTATGAAAATGACTTATCGCTGTTGATGTTCACCTTGGTCATCTGGCTGAGGCAGTGCCTGTCTCATTTTTCCTCTCTTTGCATACTGTGCTCTTTGGAAGGAAATCACTATGAGCAGTTGACACTTACGGGTGAGGTGTTTGTTAGGCTTCACCTCCTTGAAGCAGCAGCATCTACATCCATGAGGCTTTTCAGCAGGACCTGGGTAAAGGACCATCAGGTGGAAAATGCAAGATGAACTATTGCAAGCCACATTGAAGGAGAATTTGGCTCACTACCAGGAACATTGCCTGCCCCCGAAGCTATTTAGCTGTAGGTTTTGGCCTTCAGGTGGGCTTAGTTGCAGGGCTAAATAATTTTCTTTAAAGAGCTTCATCATCCAGGCAAACATCACAGCCACAGTGCCAGATCCTGTGTCAAAGAAATTAAAGGCTCATTCCTCCATGCACTAAGTTGTGTCATAACTGTAGGAGTTGGCCTGCTGGGGTATGTGTGTGTGTGTTTTCCCATGGAAATGACCAAAGCAGGCAGCACTTGTTGAAGTACGTCAACATTACTGCAGCACGTCATTCCTTTTATGACATAGCGACCTCTTTTCTTTTCTCTGCGCTGTGATCTTCAGTTAATTTTTAGGGAGGGTGGGGCATGAAAGCTCCCTGAACATCGTGAGAATTTCTTTCCACAGATGCAAACAACTCTGTTATGGAGAGTGTAACTCAAGATAGCCTTTTTGGAGGACAGATTGGAAGTACATTTCCAGTTCTCACATTCCTCTCTTTTGACCGAGGAATTTATATTTTTTCAGTAGAAGTCATTCTATTCTTATTGTTTTTGTTTTTATTTTTCTATTTGACAATGAATCGTGAGCATCTTTCCTATGGGTGGATGTTTATGTTATTTCCGGTTGGTTTTCCCATCCTCTTTCATTGTATGCCAAATTACTGTGGTAGGCAAACTTGGACAAACGTGTTTGAACACATATAGTGCGTGTCATATATTTTGTAATAACTGGAATTTCCTGTTCAAAGGTTGGGGATGTGTGAAATTTGGACAGTGTCCATCAGATCACTGTCAAACACAGGTGGAGACATGTGTCTTCACAACCCAGTGCAACAGCATGGCGTTATGCCTCATCCATCCAACAACTCTAGGGGGCAGGCATAAGTAGTCCCATTTTAAAGATGCATAAACTGAGGCTCCATGAGGTTAAAGGATTGGCGCTGGGTTAACTCTTTCTTTGCTATCAGGCATTTGCGGAGGATCACTCAGGAACCTTTGAGGATGAGATGTCCTGAGCTCCAGCTCCTGGTGTCTGACCTCCCATCTCAGTGAAATAGCTAGAAAATTATTTGGTCTCCTTGCTGAGATTTTCTTAACATATTTTAAAATCTCAGCCTGGTGCAGTGGCTCATACCTGCAATCCCAGCACTTTGGGAGACCAAGGCAGGCGGATCATCCTAAGTTAGGAGTTTGAGACCAGCCTGGCAAATATGGCGAAGCCCCATCACTACTAAAAATACAAAAAAATAAATAAATAAATAAAAATAGCTGGTCATGGTGATACGCGCCTGTAATCCGAGCTACTCAGGAAGCTGAGGTAGGAGAATCTCTTAAACCCAGGAGGTGGAGATTGCAGTAAGCCAAGATCACACCACTGCACTCCAGCCTGGGTGACAGAGCGAGACTCTGTCTCAAAAAATCTCCTGACACCAGAAAGCCACAGAGCAGAAGCATCACAGGGCTCTCTGATTTGCCATAGGATCGTTTAATCTGTTTTATGATACTGTGCTAGTAGAATTTTCCAAGTTCACAATCACAAACAAACATACTATCCTCAACTGTGCTAGAATTAAATTATCTTTGCCCCCCCCCCCTTTCTGTTATATTAAATTAGTATCCTTCTTCTCCAAACAGGCAGCTCCCACTTTGAGGGTGGGGGAGGAGTACTTGTCCATCAAACATGGGGAAAATGACTCCTACTTCCATCGCACAGTGAATCATAGGCTCTCCCATGTCAGATTCTGTGGAAAGGATGTTAATAGAGACAAAAGGACACTGTTGGCGCGTTATTAATGTTAAAAATTGTTGACGTTCCATGCAGTGTGTTTTTCTAATTAGAGCCAAGCTGCAGAGTACCATTTCCATAATCAACATGGGAACGGAAACTCAGCAAAATTTCATGTATTTGCAATGAAACTGCTCCCCGGCAACATAAAAATGGCTTTTATAACATAAAGGCTGTAATTAGAATAAGTCAAATCAGTTGGAAACGATTAAGGCCGGAGTAGGCAAAGCTGCCTTCTAAATATTTGTCTGGAGATTAGCCTACTCCTGCAGCTCTGAGAAGCATCTTTGATTTACTTATACTGCTCGACGTGGCAAAGATAATCTTGTGGAAGGCAAACGAATACAGATTTAGATGTGCTGGTCGGCCCCTTCTGCAACTTGACAGGAGGCAGTCCATTGGAAGCAAAGTCAGAAAAAAAAAATGAATATAGGGTCATATTAGACAAATTGCTTAAAAAAAAAAAAAGCACACCGCGATCATCAATTTAAATTCTTTTAAAATGTGCTAGGTCTTTGAAGCTTTTAGGATGCACTTTAGAAGTCCACGTGGAATAATCCCTGCATGTCAGTGCGACAGTTGATGTGCGTCTCATTGTATTTAAAATTATAGTTCTGAGATGGGACTTGCTCCGCGATGCTTGTCTGACATCAGCTATTAAAATACAAGTAAATCTTGGCAGGTGGGAATTTAAAAAAGAAAAGATTATATAAGAAAAATCAGAATGGTTAATGTTAATTTACTAACCAGGGTACAGTGGCTACAGAGAGTTCTTCATGTCCTCTCTCTATTAAGATGCTGATGCGAGAAACACCTTATGTTTGCCAGGGATGGGGATGGAGATTGTAAAGTGGATGTGAGGGGGTAAAGAGTGCTACTTTGGATGTCAGTCCATGGTTTGGGTCCTCTGGGGCCACGGTGAGCATGATGGTGAGACAGGTTCATTTTATTAAATTCAGATTAGCCGTTTTGCCCTGTCCTGGGAGGGCAGAAGAAGGTAATCAAGGAGAGATGGCGGGACAATAACTGCTCTGGGGATCAGACTGGAACATCCACGGACTCCAGCCTTCCTTTAGAAGGGCGTAATTCGTCCTCACAGACTCCTCACTCATTTGTAAACCTCTCTGAATCCCAAACTTGTGTGCGTGTCTGCATTTAGCCATTGAAAATATAATCAGGCTAATGCATTCTCTTACTGAATTTTAAACCAGCCCATTAAAACTCCTTTAACGTGCTAAAGTCGGCTTCAGAGAGGGTTTCCATTTCATCTTTATTGAGCTGAGGCTATGGTTCATTCTCCCTTTGCACCACAGTGAGCGCCTGTCAATAATTCAATAGCGTAGCCTTGATGGGCCCAGGCCCAACCTAGACTTTCAACCACGCCAAGCAGCTTGTCAAAGCCTGATGCTCTGTCAATGGCTGAGTGATCTATACTGCATGAATCCCCCCCTTCAGCTCTTGATGTGTCCCTGGGAATAAAAAGAAAGCCATTTCAGAAGTCAGCCCAGTGAGAAGCACCTGTATGTAGAGAATCTTTAATGAGGGCAGGTCGCGCTGTGGTGGAGCAGAGTTCAGCGGAAACCACCGCACTTTGTTTTGTTGAGCCAACGCAGAGTCTCTCTGTGCACTCTCAGTGTGCACAGAGGAGCATGGTCCTCGCGCTGGCAAATGGATGCCCTTGTCCTTCTGCTTAAGTCTTCTTTACGCAGGCCTTCGCGCTGTGTCGTCTTCACCATTGCAGGAGGCCTTGAACTCAGAAAATCCAGTGCAAGGAGCAAAACATCTGAATCATATGATCATGCCCCAGTGGCTCTTCTTCAGGTGCCAGTGACGGTGATTTGAACCTTCATGTCCCTCTTTTCATGGAACGTCATGAGTCTGTACTGGCTAAAGAGTGCTGTGAAAGGCAGATTAAAAAAAAAAAAAAATCCAGCCTCACCTTTCTTTCTGGGTGGAGGAAAAGGCATCCATTCACTTTAAGAAGAAAACAAATCATTTGTATTCTTCTTGTCTGGACACAATTTTTAACCCAGAATTATCCACCTAGTTCCTCCCATCTCCAGGCCTTGTAAGTCGATAGGAGATTTGCAAATATCTCCCTTAAAGAAAGGCAACGAGGAGAGCATTTAATCCATGCTTTAAATGCAAAATGTCTTGAGTCCCAACGCTGCTCAGTTTTTCCTGAAGATAAATTTTAGCTGGATTAAATAACTGTTTTAAAGGCACTATTCATGCAAGTGCTGTCTCATTTGTGACTGTATCTGCATTGCTAATGGATGTGTCTTTTCCTCATGCATATTCTTTCCTGAGCATCTACCGCCAAATTTACAGATTGCTTGCTTGTCAAATTGGGATGGGGTTTGAGGAAGAGGTGACAATGATCTAGGTGGAAAAGAGAAGTGCCAGTGTGTTCAAAGCTAATAGAAAATTGTTGCTTTGTATTAGCAGTCAAGGCTCCAGGTTTCCTGAACCACAAAACAACCAAATCTTTTCTTTCTTTTTTTTTTTTTTTTTTTTGAGACAGGGTCTCATTCTGTCACTCAGGCTGCAGTGCAGTGGTGAGATCACAGCTCACAGCAGCCTCCATCTCCCGGGTTCAGGTGATCCTCCCACCTCAGCCCCTCAAGTTGCTGGGGTTTTGCCGTGTCGCCTAGGCTGGTCTCGAACTCCTGGGCTCAAGAGACCTGCCTGCCTCAGCCTCCCAAACTGCTAGGATTACAGATGTGAGACACTGTGTCTGGCCCCAAATGTTTTATGGTAACATAAATTCATGCCACTGTGGCCTGCTGGTCTTCCCAATTAAACAGCAGAGAGTTTGTTATCCCAGCCACAGCATATTAGGGTGGAGCCAGGTAGGTATGTGAACTAACACTGTGAAAAAACAAGATTGTTTTTAAGGTAAGCTTTCGAGGAGGGGGAAAGGAGGTAGAAAATGAATATGGTGATTTCAGAGAAGAAAATCTCTCCCAAGCCTATGTCCCTTTGTATGTCCACAACCCCAGTTAATGATGGGTATGGCTTATGAAGGCACTGAGAGCCCAAGGAATGTGGCCAGCATTAGGCGGCATTTGAGCTGGGTCAGTGAATCCTCAGGCGTATAGGCAATTAGGACTTAGAGATCCTGTTGTGATTTTCATACTTTTAATCTGGAGAGTTGCTTAATGAATTTATTAATTCATTTATTTTTAGCCTCACAGGTTTTGCTCCAAGACTCAGGTGAATGAGTAACACAGTACTGATAAAGTTGAGCTTTTCTGTTTAGGGCTGGGGAGGAGGGAAGAAGGAAAGGAAATGAAACCCAGGGCTTTGCATCTTCCTCTTCAACTTCATCCCTTCCTCTCTATTCCTCACATTTAGCAGCCCTCAAGGGGGCTACAAGGAATTTTTCAGGGTCCAGCGTGGCCTAATATGCCAACTTCTGATATAGTACAGCTCAATTAGCCTGGCATGGTTGTGCACAAATGTAGTCCTAGCTGCTTTGGAGGCAGAGGTGAGAGGATCAGTTAAGCCCGCCCAGAGTTTGACGTTGCGCTGAGCTAGGATCATGCCACTGTGCTTCAGCATGGGTGACAGAGGACCCATTTCTTAAAAACCAAAGAAAAAAAAAAGACAGCTGTTATTTTCCTAAGATATCCTCTTTAAAGAGAAATGGAACAAGTGACCTGCCTTCCTCTATATGAGGTGGGGCTCACACCAGGGTTCTCCTGCTCACCATTGGCCCAGGAAACTCAGGAAATTAATGCTGCATGCGCATGACTTGGCGATTCGACCTCTGAAAGCTCTGCAAGGCTAGGAATTTATGCTTTAAGAACAATCAGCATCAAAGGCCTTGGCAGTGGTGGAGCTGTTAGCATATTAGTTCCATTTGAGATGGTGAAATGCCTTGGAAACTAAAAACCCTACCTAATAAAGTTTATTTTCAAAGGATTAGAGGTAGAGTTTTGCTCTGAGAGATGATGTTGCCTAAGCCTCCCATTACAGAAGAGCAGAGATGGGACTCTAGGGATTCATGGATGTGCCAGCGTCACTGGGTAGTGGTAAAAACTAAAACTGGTATCTGTTTCTCTCCTACTATAATATCTTTTTCACGTCAGGGCTTGTAAACCTGAAATCTACACTTTAGTTTCACCCATATGATTTGTTTTTGCTTTTTTCCCCCCTGTTATTAGCTGCCAACATTTAGATATGTAAAGATTACATTTAAAATCGAAATTTTTGGCTTCTTGCAAAAAAATCAGACGATCTGGCATATTGAGCAACATCCGCACACTTCACCCACCAGCTGGAGCTCTGTAGCACCTGCACACCTCAGTGTGGAGATGAGCTTTCCACTCCCAGGTCAACACAGACCCTCTTACTCAGGACTCACCTTCGCCCAGCCTGCTTCACGATCCACTGGCTGTCACAGGCATTTGCCTCCGTAGTGCTCTCCTCCCACCCTTCCACAAATAAACGTGCCCAGAGATGCTGGCAGCCTGGAAGCTTTGCATCTGCATTGGGGCTGCCCGTTCTTTGCTGCCATGCCTGAAGATTTCAGTAGCTCTTTGTCAGCACAAATGAGCTTTTCCCCTAGTTCATGGGGAGAATGGGATCCTGGCACATAGCAGAAAACATCTGGTAATGAATCCATTAGGCAGGCTGTTGCTCAGCCTCCAGGTGCCCAGGGGTCTGAGTGCTGGGCTGAACATGATGCATGAACGGGACCCCAGAGATTTTACCTTTTGGCCTTCGTTCTGCCAGAGCTCCGGCTTGGTCCTAAGGGGTCTCCTGACTACTCCAATGCCAGGTGTTCTCCCCAGCCATCCCCAAGCGAGAAGCTGGCCAGCCTTCTGGATTCCCTCCTCTGCCTTCTCCAGCAGCAGTCCGTCTCCCAGCACAGCCTTCCTTAGGCACACAAAGGAGAAGACAGAGATCATTTTTGGCAGACGTAAGGAGCAGCATTTGTCGAACTCTGGGCCCTGCAACTCTGTGAACAGACCTGCATGCTGTACAAAATTATTAGAAGCCCTGTGTCTCAGGGCTCAAGGAGGTTGGGCAGGGAGGTGAGAGTGAATAAAAATGAGGAGGCCGCAAACTGCTTTTGCCCAAGGGCTGGTTTTAATGAGCTTGTCCCTAATGAGTTGTCCCTGCAACTAGCTTCAGGCCTAAACAGATGAGGCAGGGATTCTGCTAAATTTTTGATAGGATTTGCACTGGTTTTATGAGAAAGCAAGCAGTAGAGAGTGCAAAGTTGGGTCATGAATCTTTTACGAGGGTGGATGGTTGTCCGTCTTGTCAACCGGAACGAGAAAGACCTGGTTGCTAATAGAAACCATGGCCTCAGACGTCGATCGTCACCCACCAGATCAGCTAATTTGGTCAGGGTGGCTGGGTGATTTGTTTTTTTTCTGATTCAGGACCTGGCCTATGGCCCCTGAGAAGGATTTATCTGAAAACTCCATCAAGGAGATGATTTGAGCCATTGCCTGTTCCTGACTAATGATCTTTTGTGGAACTCAAGCCATATTGGGGATTTATACCTTTCTCCCATAGTGCACTGGGAAGGAAACACCATCAAACACTTTAATTAACATCCTTTTTACTTTGGGCAGCCCCATTCGTATCAAAACCACAAACCTTACCCTTCAGTTGCACGAGAACACTCTTACCAAGGATAAAATGTGATTTTCGATTCCTATGGAGATGTTTCTAATGTTTCTAACACCCGTCAATTCTAGGATCGCGTGGTACAGGAGATTTCATGTACTACCACCTTTTTTTTAAATATTAAAAGCTGCCAACAAATGCATTTCTCCAGTTTGATTCATATACCAAAAGGCAATTTTCTTGGTGGCTTAGAAGGTTACAGAAAATGCTTGATCAGCAGCCTTTACTGTGCTGAGTGAATTCCTACCCCATCCCCCTCCTGTCTCACACACTCTCTTTCACATTAATCATGTAATTGATTTAATAAGCTCTGGCTTCAAGAGCTCCCCCTCCCCTCTTTCTTTGCCCCCTCCCCCTCTCTTATAAGATTTCAGTTCAGCGTTTGACTGGTAGGCTAAGAACCTTGAATCCTGCCAGATATGAACCCAACAACCTTGTTGGTGTAATAAGTATCCTCATCTTATATTTCTGTGGCTCCTTGAAACATAATTTTTAAGCCATTTCATTAATAGAGTTCAATGTAATAATGTAAAAAAGTGCAGCGTATTTCTATATATGTCTGTAGATGTAGACTTCTGTATATATCTACTTTTCACAAACTTGAAATCATTTCACATGTGTTGTCTTATTCAAACCTCTCTAAACCGAAAACTTTGAGAGTTGCCCAGAAGAGATCCGTTGCTCCTATTTTATACATTACAAAACCGAAGTACAGACAGATGAACTATTTTAAGACCTTGAGGCTAATTAGGGATGCACGTGGCGTGAAAATTTTGGGCGTCTGAACTTCCTACAATAGGGCACTACTGATTCTGTATTCCTTTGTTGCCTGAGGCATTCCTTTCTCTGGGAGAAACCAAAGCTGTACATATTTATCTTCAAGAGAAACTTCCACTTTGCCTATGAAGAAATAGTTAGAATTGTTTTCTGTGGTTGCCTCAAGTTAGAGGTGCTAATATACATGGAAGTTAAACAAGACCACACATGTGCAAAACTCTTGATGAATCACGTTATTATACTAAACCAACGTTATACTAAACCAACATTAGCTAGGGTTATTAGTTCAGATTATAGTTATGCAGGTCTTCCGTGTTAAGTCTCATGTAAATATCTTCTGGAGCTTACATGTGTAGTTATCTATGTTCTAACCTGTTTCCTAATGGGTCATCCAGAAAACGTGGGTGTGGTCTGGCTGGAACAGAGTCCCTAGGATTGTGTCAGAGTCATTGTCGTAAGATATACCTATTCAGAAGTTAGTTATCTAGATGTTAGAGTCTAGAGATGGGGCTTCAATGAGGGATGTCAATGGCAGTATGGGGAAAAGAGAACAGAGTTGAAGACTGAACAGCCTAGGGGGAGAGCAGAAAGCAAAGGCAGCTTTATAAATAATAAAGATGTTCTGCAAAAATTCCTCTGACTGGGTTCTGATTGGCTTGGGTAGCCTTTTTTTTTGAGACAGGGTTTTGCTGTGTCTCCCAAGCTAGACTGCAGTGGCATGATCCTAGCTCACTGCAGCCTCAACCTCCCAGGCTCAAGTGATCCTTCTACCTTTGTCTCCCAAGTAGCTGTACCATAGGTGCACACCACCACACCTGGCTAATTTTTACATTATTTGTAGAGGTGAGGGCTCCCTACGTTGCCCAGGCTGGTCCTGAACCCCTGGGCTCAAGTGATCCTCCCACCTCAGCCTTCCAAAGTGTTGGGGTTACAGGCATAAGCCACCGTGCCCCACTGACATTTTACTCTTAATCCTGGCCTGTATTTAAAGGGTCTGGGTGAATGCAGATAGATAGACAGTTACTACGCGTAACAGCTTACCATGAATTCTAAGTCTCAACAAATCCGTAATCATGGTGTGTCATATGAAGAACATGTTCTAACTCTTATTGCTGAGCCTGACTTTGAAGTGTTTGTTTTTTTTTTTCTTCTTTTTTTCTTTTGGGAATAAGAAAAAGCAACGTTCTTGACTGCCCGGAAAAATACTGTCTTGTCAGCTGGGGATGCTTGGTGCTGATGAGGAATGTGGTACAGGGTGGGGATAGTCCCTTTTAAAGGGCTCAGCATGTGCCTGGGCAGTTAGCAAGGATTAAACAAAGGAAAGTTGGTAATATTACTGCTAGTATGAGTATGAGTAAAATGAACAGTGGAAAGAAATTAATAATAGGAAATTAGTGATACTATGTGTTTAATATGCATAGAGCCTCTGTAATCTTAGCTTCTGAACAATAGCACTCCCCGCTACTCCTCTCTTAATCTGGAGGCCCATGGGTCTCCAGTACCCTTATGCACCAGCTCCATTTGAGGAAATGAAAGTAGGAATCACAATATTTGCCCTGGATCTGCATAACTAGGACAAGCTTTTGAAAGTGGAAGAGGCCCATAAATGAACTTCTCAAAATGCACTTGATACAGCATCAAATAGGAGTGACAGGTCCATAAATCAAGGGATTGGGGTCATTTGATTCAAATGTAAATTGTCCCCTGCCCAGAAAACTCATTGCCATGAAACCCTGCACAGAATCCAGAGAACATTTTCTTCTGGTCTCTTAGAAATTCAAAATACAAGATCTACATGGTACCACAGTTTTTGTTGCTGTTACTGTTGTTGTTGTGTGGTTTTTGTTGTTGTTGTTTTTGTTTTGTCTTTTCACGCGGGTGACGTTTGGAGATGCCCAAAGACTGATATCCCAAAAGTACCTAATCTACAACAACAAATATTTATAGAACCTTTATCTCAATATTTGCTCATTGAAGTGGGTTAATAAATGTCTGTTGAATGCTCTCAATTGGATGGTGAGTATTTTCCATTTTAGTTTAGCTGTGAAGCTTCGCTTTCCCTCCTATGCCTTTTGTTTTCTTGCCTAAAGAAGCCCATTTCAAGAGTCGGGGATCTTCTCTTTCTAATCTCAGCCTGCCCAACAATTTGTAGCATGGTCTTGCTACAGCCGCTTTGCTCCCCTGCTACTCCATCTTGTCTGAGATCTGGGTTAACTGGGACTTAACTCCTTGTCAAAGATGCTGTGTGAAATGACTAATTAACACCAGAGAAGGAAAGAGCATTGTCATTGACAAATAGGGCTTTTAATAACCAGCAGTTCTCCTGGTTATTAAAGTTGGCTCTTGAGTCTCCCCAGACCCATGCGAATTGACAGGAAGGAGGATATTTTAGTTCCTTCTATGATTGAGTTGCTTGTCACTTGAGTTTGTAATCTCAGGAGTCACTTTATCCATGTTGTCCCAGGAATGAAAATGGTGTGAATCTAATTTCAGAAGTTGAGGAGAAGTAGAACAAGGAGGCCATGATTTTCTAGTATAACTAGACAATTATTTTCAGCAAGTTCTCCCTCACTGTTGTGGGGTGAGTGCTCACATTTGCCTGCCGCTGAGCTATGTTTTAATGAGGTTGGAAGAAGCAAGAAGGTTGGGAAGATTGATGTTAATTGCATTTCTACCATACACTAAGCAGTGAGCAGATTTAGGATGACTAGTGTCCTATAGTTCTCTTTCAAGATCAGATCAAGCTTCCTGAACCACATGAGCCTGTCTTCTCTTTACACCAGCAGCCTCAGTAACTCCCTGTTGGGCAACCCCATAGAGCAAACACCAGAAACCCCAGAATTTTTCTCTTACTAAAGAAGACCCTCCACTGTCAACTTAAGCTCACGTTTTCCTATTTCTCAAGCCAAGGTAGGTCTAGGTATTTTTTTTTTTTTTTTTTTTTTTTTTTTTTTTGAGACAGTGTCTCACTCTGTCACCCAGGCTGCAGTGCAGGAGTGTGATCTCGGCTCACTGCAAACTCCACCTCCTGGGTTCACAGCATTCTCCTGTCTCAGCCTCCCAAGTAGCTGGGACTACAGGTGCCCGCCACCACACCTGGCTAATATTTTGTATTTTTAGTAGAGAATGGGTTTCACCATGTTAGCCAGGATGGTCTTGATCTCATGACCTTGTGATCTACCCGCCTTAGCCTCCCAAAGTGCTGGGATTACAGGCGTGAGCCACTGTCCTCGGCCTCAAGGTAGGTCTGGGTTTTATGAGATGTGACACTTACAGAATTTGGGAGCCCTCCGTAAGAAAAACATTCACACTTTGGGAGGCCAAGGCTGGCAGATTAATTGAGGTCAGGAGTTCGAGACCAGCCTGGCCAACATGGGGAAACCCCCATCTCTACTAAAAATACAAAAATTAGCCAGCTGTGGTGGCACACACCTGTTATCCTAGCTACTTGGGAGGCTGAGGCAGAAGAATTGCTTGAGCCTGGGAGACGGAGGTTGCAGTGAGCTGAGATCATGCCACTGCACTCCAGGCTGGCCAACCGAGTGAGTCTATCTCAAAAAAAAAAAAAAAAAAAAGAGAGATTCCAATGAGATTCAAAATTACTAGTGCAGAGTTGCAGAGTTAGGGGTAGCATAAAAACACATTGCCTGAAGTGATGGTCTCTGAAGCCTAAGCCCAGTCACCTTCTCATTATCCATTTCTGTTCCCAGTTGAAACTTTGCAGTAATAAAGCTGATTTTATAAAGTGGTCAAGAGCTGTATCCCAAACTTTTCCTTGCATCTTCAGCTCTTCCTGTCTATGAACCTCTGCCTCTGTTGGCCTAGTCTCTCACTATCCTCTTCTTTTATTAAGCAATTAAGTATTGATTAAAAGCCAAGTCTAGTGAGAGCTAAATGCATTTGTTGAAGGTTATAGGTCTTGTTATGGGAAAGCAGGAGTGGAATGTAGTTGAATTAACCTAGCCTAGAACAGATTTTTCTGTGTGTTCTATGAATTAGCTGTATCAGCATCAACCCCCTGGAGGGGAGGGGCCAACAGGCATCTGCGTTAAATATGTACATTCCTAGGTCCCTTCCAAAGTACTGAATCAGGATCTCTGGGGTTGGGATGTAGGGATTTCCACTCTTTAGAAACACCCACCCTCCTTTCTTCTGAAGCATGTGAAAGTTGTAAAACAACTGACTAATCTAAGGGCCACTGAAAGCTACTCTTAAGATGCAGCATTTACTTGAGACTCAAAGGATGAATGGCAGCTGCCAAGTGTATTAATTTCCTACCCCTTCCATAGCAAATTACTGCAAACAGAGCGGCTTAAAATAACAGAAACTTATTCTCTTAGTTCTGGAAGTTGGAAGTCGTAAATCAAGGTGTAGGCAAGGTGGATTCCTTCTGAGAACTCTAAGGAAGGATGTATTAGTTGATTCTGATGCTGCTAATAAAGACATACCTGAAACTGGAAAATTTACAAAGAAAAAGAGGTTCAGTGGCCTCACAGTTCCACATTGCTGGGGAGACCTCACAATCATGGTGGAAGGCAAAGGAGGTGCAAAGACACGTTTTACATGGCGGCAGGCAAGAGAGTGTATGCAGGGCAGCTTCCCTTAATAAAACCATCAGCTCTCATAAGACTAACTGACTATGGTGAGAACAGCATGGGGAAGACCCACCTCTATGATTCAGTTACCTCCAACCGGGTCCCTCCCATGACACATGGGAATTATGGGAGCTACAATTTAAGACGAGATTTGGCTGGGGGCACAGCATAACTGTAGCAAAGGATTTGTTCTTTGTTTCTCTCCTGGCTCCTGGTGGCTCCCCAGCAATCCTGGGTGATCCTTAGCTTGTGGCTGCATTACTCCAATCTCTGCCTGCATTGTCACACATACATTTTCCTTCTATGTTTGTCTGTCTTCACCTAATCTTCTTGTAAGGGCACCAGCCATTGGATTTAGGGCCCACTTTAATCCGGTATAATCTCATCTTAACTAAATACATCTGCAACAAATAAGGTCATATTCCAGTGTTCTTGGTAGACATTTTTCTTTCCCCTGTTTTTTTTTTTTTTTTTTTGAGATGGAGTTTTGCTCTTGTTGCCCAGGCTGGAGTGCAATGGCGCGATATCGGCTCACCACAACCTCCACCTCCCGGGTTCAAACGATTTTTCTGCGTCAGTCTCCGGAGTAGCTGGGATTACAGGCATGCACCAGCATGCCCGGCTAACTTTGTATTTTTAGTAGAGACGGGGTTTCTCCATGTTGGTCAGGCTGGTCTCGAACTCCCGACTTCAGGTGATCCACCTGCCCTAGCCTCCCAAAGTGCTGGGATTACAGGCGTGAGCCACCATGCCCAGCCTGACATTTTTCAAATAAGGTCATATTCTAAAGTTCTAGGTGGACATTTTTAAAATAATGTCTCATTACAAAGTCCTAGGTGGACATCTTTTTTGGCAGGGGGACACTCTTCAACCCACCATGCCAAGTGAAAGTAGTCAGTGGGGGAGAATGGCAGTGAAAATAGATGGATGAATTCAGAATGAATAGAAAACTTGAAGAGGTTTGGCAGGAGTGAGCCCTGCTTAGTTATCATCCAGGTTTCACTAACGCGCCCCTTGCCAACATGCAGTAGCTCTGAGTCATGATCTATCATATTGCCCTGTTTTGTAATTTTGCATTGTTTGTTTACTTGTTTAGGACCATCTCTTTAACCTCGTTAGACTTGAAATCTCTACTCAATTCAAGCCTGCACATCCCCAGTGCCTGAAACCATGGCTGTTACATAGTAGGTCTTGGTGATAATTTGTCAGTTGGATAATTTTAGCTGGAGAAAAAGAAACATGTATGTGTGTGTGTGTGTGGGGGGGGGGGGTTGTTTTGTTTTGTTTTTGTTTTTGTTTTTTTCACCCATCCTGCAGAAAACACTGCTTCTGTGACATAAAGAGAACACCTTCACAGGGTAAAGTGTTCTTCCCATGAGGTCTAAGAGGAGTCTCAAATGCGAGGGGCTTGAAGACATTTGTGAAGGGACACTATGAAACATATGAGAGCAGTGAGAAGTGGAGAGTTGTCTCTCTGACTGCAGTAGAAGGATGGCGAAACATCAGGGAGGGAGAAGGGCACTCCGGGCCAGTATTCAGGAGGAGAGCCTTGTGGCAGCTTTTCTGGGTGTGGATTTCAGAGCCTGTCATCATAGAAAGAAAAGAAGGAACTCAATCTAAAGTATAAATAAAAGGAGAGACTTGGCCGAATGCGGTGGCTCATGCCTGTAATTCCAGCACTTCGGGAGATGGAGGTGGGTGGATCACAAGGTCAGGGGATCGAGATCATCCTGGCCAATGTGGTGAAACCCCATCTGTAATAAAAATACAAAAATTAGCTGGGCATGGTGACATACGCCTGTAATCCCAGCTACTTGGGAGGCTGAGGCAGGAGAATTGCCTGAACCAGGGAGTCGGAGGTTGCAGTGAGCCGCAATCGCGCCATTGCACTCCAGCCTGGCGACAGAGCAAGACTCTGTCTCAAAAAAAAAAAAAAAAAAAAAAGGAGAAACTTACAGAAAGCAAGTTCAAAAAGGAGGGACTGTGGATGATAAATTCTATACCACTGTGAATGTTAACTCGTAAGGATTTGAAGATAACGGCCCCCGACTCCCACTTAGGTTACAGATGAAGATACTATGGCCCAGGGATGCTGCGTGAGTGTCTTAAGGAGGAAAAGAGCGTTAATGTGACATCTGGGATTCCAGGCTCCTTTCCAGACCTCTCCCCTTTTTCACTTTTCCGCCTGATTTAAAGTGAAAAGAAGGGTGTTGGCATCTATTAATCACCTACTGGGCGCCAGGCATGGATGCTAATGGTTAGGTCTTCAGGTTGCTGAGTGGGTGTTGAGGAGGAGGAACCAGTGACCCCAGTAGACATTGAAGAGGCTCAATGACAGCAGGAGGATTCAGGGGTCTGGTGGGGTGGATGGCATGCGACGGGCCCAGCATCAGCAGTGAGAGGGTAGGAGAATGGTGAGTTTCAGGGCATGCATCCACAGCGTAGGTTGGTAACTAAAAGGCCAGCCCAGGAAGAGGCCTCTGCACATGAAACATAGAAGTGGCTGCCTCCTTCAATCACTGTTCTGATTAGATAAGACCTGGGCTTCGCTTCTGAGTGGTAAACTCAGAGGCAGCTGGGAGTCCCTGAGTGACAAGGAGGAGACTGGCATGCCAGGTAGGGCAGGCTGAGGGTTAAGGCTCTGGAGGGAGAAGAATCGTACTCAGAAAACATCCAGCTTTCTGGGGGATGAGGTTGTGCAGTCTGGGTGAGGGACATCGGATTTCTATGGAGGCTTTTTGGATGGGACCTGATATAATCATATAATATTGAATTCAGTTCTATGAGCTTTTGCTATGTACTTATTCTGTGCAAATTCTGCAAGGGATGTCTTGAACGGATGGTTCTTTCTTGCATTGAATGCAAATAGTAATTTATTTTGATTGAGATAGTTTTGGAAATTTCGGAGCAGTGAAATCCAAGTATTTCAACCTGGCAGGTTGAGGCAATAGGTAAGTTAACTTGGGCGGGCTCACTTTTCTATACATTTTGTGCTCGGGACCGTAATGCAAGCCCACTGCAAATGGCAACTTCATGTATCAACTTATAAGCAGTGGTGGAGGAGATCTCAACCCTACACTCATTGCTCCCTCTGGCTCTTAGAGACTGGCTTCTAAATTCCTGGTGAGTTGCAAATATTCTTAGATTGGACTATGCTAACATTTTGAAATTAAACCTACCTGTCTTTAAATGAGTTGTTGGCTGCCCCTCCCCCCGCCCCGTATTCTCTTTGTGAAGTAGAGGCTTCCAGCACTTTTCTGAAGGAGAAAACATTTATTTCTCATTTTGTAGAGGCAAGACCAAATTTGTGTCAGCTTCAGCTGAGACCACTGGCCAGCCCTCCTTCTCACCTCCCAGTTCCCTAATCTAATTTATCTCAGTGGGGTTTGTGGGGGTTCATTTAAGCAGCAGAAGCTCTGCTATAATTGTTGCATGTGCCAGCAACGATTTGTACCATCTGGGTATGGAATGAGGTGGGGTAAGGTGGTTTGGAAAGAGAAAGGAACAGAGAGAGACAAAGAGACTAGTACGACCAAAGAGAAAGATTCTTATTCCATGACCAAAGCAATATCATTCAAAAATGGCTACAAAGCAATTGGATACTAAGGAATGAGAAGCAATGTAGTTAGAGTAAAATGTCAAAGTATAATGAAACAGAGGAACATCACTACTTTATGATCCAGCCAAGTTACAGGCAGGTGGCAGCTGTAAATACGCATATAAATAACAATATGGATGAAATGTCAGACCTTTCAGCTGGCTTGGTTAAAGCACTTTAGTAATAGTCTATTTAGGGTAACAATGTAGCTTGACAATTTCCATGAAAAATACATCATTGGAGAATGAGTCAGCCCGCGTTAGCGTGTAGGTGATGTGCATTGTGCTAAGAGCTTAGAACAACACACGGTGCCTGGTGCATCCCCCACCTGCCTAGAATGGCCAGTTGCTTCATATTCCATGAGGTTACGTTGGTTTTCTGGCATTGGGTTGCAAATGCTTGTCTTTCCCATTACAGAAAGTACCTTTTCTCTCTTATCAGTAACACAGGAAAATAAATAAATGATCAATGCCTCAGATCCGGGGTCTTACCTGTGGAAAGGTGTGGATTGATATCTTTATTTATTCATGCATGAAATGTATCAGGCACTTGCTGTGGTGCCAAGGATCTAAAAAAGTGAACAAAAAGATGTATAGGCTCAGACTTCATGAATTTTAGGCTACACTGCTTAAAACCTTTAATGATTCCCTATTCTTAGGATAAAGTCATAACTCCTGATCATGGCTGCCAAGACCATGTAGATTACTTAGAGTCTGGTGAAAGAAGAAATAACTGAATAAAATGGTCACAAAAGGTAAATGTAAAATTGCAGTAGTGAGGCCAGGCACAGTGGCTCATGCCCAGAATCCCAGCATTTTGGGAGGTCGTGGTGGGTGGATCACTTGAGGCCAGGAGTTAGAGAACAGCCTGGCCAACATGGTGAAAAACCATCTCCACTAAAAATACAAAAATTAGCAGGGCATGGTGGTGCATGCCTGTAATTGCAGCTACTAGGGGGGCTGAGGCAGGAGAATCTCTTGAACCCGGGAGGTGGAGGTTGCAGTGAGCTGAGATCGCACCACTGCACTCCAGGCTGGATGACAGAGAGAGGCTTTGTCTCAAAAAAAAAAAAAAAAAAAATTGCAATCATGATACATGCTACATTGTTTGGTAGCCAGGATGGCTTCCTGAAGGAACAGGTGCTAGACTTGTGATCGAAGGGGTAGGAGGTTAAACAGAGAGGTATGAGAGTAGCATTCCAGGCTGTGGGATTGGCATGTATGAAGATCCTGTGGTAGGAAGGACATTAGTGAGTATGAGGAATGGAAGAGATCATTGTCCTCATAGTTGAGCTAGGGAGGTGGAGAGTGGCCCAAGTCAGGTGGGGATAAGTAGGCAGGAGCCTACATGGTCTTGCCGGCCATGATCGGGAGTTATGACTTTATCCTAAGAATAGGGATTCATTAAAGGTTTTAAGCATTGTAGCCTTAAAAGGACGAGCAGGGGCTGGTCCTTTAGAAGGCATTGTGTTCATAGTGTATGACAGTAAGCCAGGAGCTCTGAGAAAACAAATGGCACTTTGATGAGCAGGCACTGTATATAGTTTCATACACATGTTAAAGCGTGTATAGAGGATGTGTAAAACATCCACTTCATGCCAAGCACTGGTCAAGGTACTGAGGGTGCCTGAGTGTAAGACAGCATCCTTGCCTCTGAGCAATGCACAGACTAAGGAGATGGAAGTCATAGAAACCACTGACTGAAGTGTTGGGCACCCTGATGAGATTATGAAGCACGGAGGAGCACCTTCAGCCTTAAGATGGCATTCCTAGAGTTCATGTCCTCTAAACAGAGTCTTCACCAAAGGCTAGAAGTTGTCCTCGCAAAGAAGGAGTGGAGGAAGTGTTGGTCTTCTGGTAGGGGGATTAAGAAAGCCATAGCCAGCTGGGCACAATGGCTCATGCCTGAAATCTCAGCAGTTTGGGAGGCCAAGACGGGTGGATTGCCTGAGGTCAGGAGTTCCAGACCAGCCTCACCAACATGGTGAAACCCCGTCTCTACTAAAAATACAAAAATTAGCTGAGTGTGGTGGCCCATGCCTGTAATCCCAGCTACTCAGGAGGCTAAGGCAGGAGAATCGCTTGAACTCAGGAGGCTGAGGTCCCAGTGAGCCGAAATCATGCCACGGCACTCCAGCCTGGGCAGGAGGGCGAGACTCCGTCCCCCACCAACCCCCCCAAAAAAAGTCATAGCCAATGTCTTCCCAGGAAGTCAAGGAAGCAAGGAAGATGCCCAGGATCGGTAGACAGAATGCTGGTGAAGTAGATGGGGGTGGGCCCTCTTGACCAGTGTCTTGCCAGATTTTCTTAAAACTGTACCATATCAAAGGCAGATTGTCTCCCAAGTTATCAAGTCAAACTCGTGTTCTAGCCCTGCAGCTCACCCTGTTTTCCATCATATGTGTGTTATAGGCTATTATAGATATGATCAAGTTGAGTTTATAAGGTCCAGAATTCCCATGCATGTGAGAAAGTGTAAACTGAAGCCACCTGTTGGGTTATGTCCCCTACCTTGGTGCATGAAGGAAAACTACACAAAGATGTGTGGTATCAACTCATGGAGACAAGACTCTATCTACAGGATAGCAAACATTTGGATAGAACTTGAGAAGGAATATGGTGGAGGAATGAGTTTTTATCTAAGCCAAGATCCAACCATCTCTCGATGTATACATTTCTACCATGAACATGTGCAATTGCCCATCTGTGTTTTCTTTCCCTTTTGAGATTCCTCTTGACCTTCTGGGTCCTGGGGAAGTCCTCAGGACAAGGATGGACCTAGGCGAGTTACATCAGGTACCACAGTGTTAAAGAGTGATTATCACAGTTTGCTCCTCACACTTTATATTTGGCCAGCCCTGGGCCAACCCCTTTTCCCAGCCCTGGGCCATACCCTTTTCCAATAATAAAGCCCATTTTTTATGATTTTGCTCATGGGTTCATTTATTGATTTGTTCAAACACAATAGGGCACTACCTATGTGTCAGGTACCATGCTAGGCACAACGGATTCGATAGCAAACCAGACCATTGTATTTTCTGCCATCTTGAAGCCTCAGATTGCATCTGGAATGAATATTATTAGAAGCAGCTAGATTTTGATTGGAAATTCTCTCTTCTGAATCCTTTAGCCTACCAAATGCTTTGGTTCTAGCTAAATAAGTGGTGGTTTTATTTCCTTTGTAATACCTGAATATGTATTCCTTGGATACATCACCCTCCCTATATTGAGAAGTTTCACGTTTCAGCAGCCTCATTCTTTCTCATCCTTGTGGAATGCATGTGCATGTATGTCTCTGTGCACATGCATGATAGGTTTCTATCCAGCCTTACTCTCCATGCAAGAATATAACAGCTCCCAGAGTTGTTTGCAAGAAAATATTAAATATTTACATAGATATGGACATTTTGTGGGGATAATATAAGAAATCTTATTCACACTTGGCCGGGCACCGTGGCTCATGCCTGTAATCCTAGCACATTGAGAGGCCGAGGAGGGCAGATTTCTTTAGTTCAAGAGTTCGAGACCAGCCTAGGCAACGTGGTGAAATCCCATCTCTACTGAAATACAAAAAAAAAAATTAGCCAGGCGTGGTTGTAGTCCCAGCTACTCAGGAGGCTGAGGTGGGAGAATTGCTTGACCTCAGGAGGTAGAGGTTGCAATGAGCCGAGATTGTGCCATTGCACTCCAGCCTGGGAACAGAATGAGACTCCATCTCAAAAAAAAAAAAAAAAGAAAAAAAAGAAAAAAAAAACTGATTCACATTTCAATCAATGATAGTCACTGACATTGAAACTTACTATGAGCCACTGTGATGTCTAAGATTCATTCTCTGTTTTTATTCTTACAGCACCCCTATTAGGTAAATATTATTAATGTCCCCTGTTTGGAAATGTCAAGTTCAATCCCTTTTATTAAGGGCAGGGCCAGCTTTAAGGGCACATTCCCTGCATGGTCATGCAGGGCCCCAGGCTTTGAAGAGCCCCGCATGTGGTCTTATGCTATAGCTGGAATTCTTAATGATTTTTGAACAAGCGTTCCTACATTGCCCTTTTGCACTGCCCCCAGAAATTATGTGGCCAATCCTGATTAAGGGGCAGGGCAGGGCTCTGTGGAGGGTTGATGTACCCACAGCATCCATCCCTTTAACAGTTCCTCCACGTTAGGACCCTCCTCTCAACATTGCCTATCCTAGAGGGACCCCCCCTTATACAAATACAGAAGGTACCTGGTTCATTCTTCAAGCTGTGTGTGGATTCTCATTGTGAAGTGAATCACCTTTTAATGTATAGTCACCCAAGTACATCTGCTATGTTGATATATCACTTGTTTTATGGGCCGGGATTAATTCCAAAGTAAACACTAAGTACTCAGCTGAAAAGCTGTAAACACAAGACAGGACGTGCCTCTCCAACTCCCAGCATTGTTTGCCAAGGTTGCAAGTCCCTCTATGCTTTATCCTGTTTGGCGTAACAAAATCTTCGTGTAATTTGGTCTCAGCAGTCATTTCAAATTGATTTTAAGAGTTGCAGGCAAGGGGGTATTGTGGTTGGGAGAACACACCTTCACGTGCATTTTGCCTCCCTTTCTTGCCTCAGCATCACCCAACGGTCTTCCTGGGATGTTCACCTTCCTGAGCTTGATGGGTGCCCGTAGAATCGCCACCTATGGCTGTGCTCTGTGCAAGCAGGCCTGCAGTGGTAGCAATTGCAGGAGGCAGTCTACTCCAAGCCTTCTATTCAAGCCCTGAGCCCTGGAGCAGGGCTGTATCAGCTTGGAGGAAAGGGCATATTTTGGGTATTCTTCCACTCGGAAGGTGTACTTTTTTTCTTTTTTTTTTTGAAACGGAGTTTCGCTCTTGTTGCCCAGGCTGAGTGCAATGGCGCGATCCCGGCTCACTGCAACCTCTGCCTCCTGGATCCAAGCAATTCTGCCTCAGCCTCCCAAGTAGCTGGGATTGCAGGCACGCACCACCACGCCCGGCTAATTTTGTATTTTTAGTAGAGACGGGGTTTCTCCGTGTTGGTCAGGCTGGTCTCGAACTCCTGACCTCAGGAGATCCGCCTGCCTCAGCCTCCCAAAGTGCTAGGATTACAGGTGTGAGCCACCGCGCCTGGCCTTGGGTATGCATTTTTATCACTCATACAGCGGGTCCATGAATGCAAGCAGTGGCTCCAGATATCCAGGAGGTCACACAGTTGACTGTTGTGTCATGGAATAGCAAACACTATCTTCCGATCTGTGTCCTGGGTGCTGGGCCTCCTGACATTGGTGACCCAGTTCTGAATTCCAGAATGACAGTTTTAACATTAGATTTTGTTAGTTTGTCCATCTTATTTTTATGGCATTAGTGTTGCGTGGATTGAAAATCACACGTACACGGACACATCTATTTACGTATAAATATGCCTTGCCTTGCATTCTTCTATCTTCTTTACTTAAGTGGTGAGATGTTTGGGTTTCTTCATGCAGTGACTTTGGGGAAGTCCCTGGAGCTCTTTGATGCTCTGTTCCTTCTTCTTCAAGCTGTATTTGATTGTGAATGTTCCTTGTGAAGTGTTTTAAATCACAGGTATCAAATCCCCTTTGCTTGGTTTGAGGGATTTGCCTCTGTTGCCCTCATATTTTCAGCCTAAGAGGGCCCTCCCCATTCCTCCCAGGGACATCTAAAAACGTTTATCTTCTTGTGTGCAGTCTGGAAGGTTCTTCTTACGAGCATCTAGCCTCACACCAAGCAGCCAAAGTTGTCTTAAAAAAAAAATAGCATCTTTGATATGATCCACTTGGCCACAGCAGCTTCATCACCCCCTCCCCAATACTCTAATGTCCAGTTAACGTATATTCTCAGTCCCTCCAACAAGCATGATCTTTGTGCCCCAGGACATTTGCACATGCTGTTTCCTGAAAGGCTACATTCCACAGTTCCTACCCTGGTGCCTGCTTGGTTGGTATATTCAGCCTTGCTCAGCTTGGACATCTCCTCTTTAAGGACATACTTCCTGATTCACCTTCCAAATCAGAACAAAGCTTCCTGTTCTTTGCCGTATTCCAGTAAGTTGCCAACTCACTGGACATTTTCTCATGGTGTGCACCACACGTCTATACTGCCAGAGCCATATGCATTACAAAGACAGGGACCTTGTCTCTCTGGAGCCCTAAGTGTGTCCTTAAGGTTTGCAAAGGACCAGCGTCTAATGACCATGTGAATGCAGGAATTATGTGATTGTGTGTCTCTCTGCCTTCCCCTAAGTCTGCCGTGTCCCTGGGCCAGTCCACTTTGTGCCCAGATGCTCACTTTCCCATGCTGTCCTGGAGCATGTGCTCCTCAAATCTCTCCTTGTTCATGTTCTGAGAAAGAAAATAGCTCATGCTAAGCTTTCCAAGTAGACAGAAAATGAGCCATGCCTCTCTAGCTGCTGTTTTTTAAAATTTTATTTTACTGTTGCTTATTTTTTGTCATTGTTAAAGGAAAAAAACATTGACTTCTCTGACCTACTTCCCTAGCATTCTTTCCCTTTCCTCTTGGCCCCTTTGCAAGCCCTTGAATATCATAGGAATATATTCCCCTTAAGGTCTTTTTGACCACTATGTCTTTTGTCTAGAATGCAATTTTTTTCAAGTTCTTACCTAGTTCACTCCCTCTCCTCCTTCTCAGCTTAGCTCATTACCTTTTCAGATAAGACCTCCTTGACTCCTCCATTAAAATCAGACCCCCTCTTCACTCCCACACACCCTGTGTTCCTTTCCTAGCTGACTTTTGCCATATTGCTTATCACCATTTGACATACTATGTATTTTATGTTTCATTTGTGTCTGTCTTTCTGCACTAGCATGTAAGCTCCAACCGGGTAGATATTTTAGCATGTTTTGTTTGTTGCTATATCCTTGCAGTGCCTTTCACAAAGTAGGTACTCATTGAATATTTGTTGAATGATTAAACCTATGAATGGATGGGTGAATGGATGGATGAATGATGGATGGATGGATGAATGCAATAGATGGATGGGTGAGTGGATGGATGGATGATGGGCAGATGAATGGATGTAACAGTTGGGTGGGTGAGTGGATGGATGAATGACGGGTAGATGTATGGACTGAATAGGTGGGTGGGTGGATGGATGGGCAAAAGAAAGAATTTGGCCTTGGGTTTTAACATCAGTAGTAATCTCTACTTTCTAGACATTGAGTTTTAGGATGGATACCAACAATTATTATGTTTTGAGACACACTTTCTGGAGAAAGTCCAGAGATCCTTTTAACTCACTTGGCATGGGCAATTGTTACCTTGCACTTGCCATTTTGTACAAAAGTATGTTTGGTTCCGTGCCTTCCTTCCTTCTCTGGCAAATTGAAAATTATGATGGAAATAAGAATTTCCAAAAACCTGTGGAGGTGAAAGAAGACATAAAAACAAAGCCACAGATTATTGTACATTTCCTGTTGCCAGATTAAAGCCTTGCATCCACTGTGTGGAACAATTTAAAATTTCATCTGTTAATTGGAAAAGTTACAGATATTGCAGCCATTCACCTTATATTGCGGGGGGACAGTTCTAGTTTAAAATATTCTACTATGCTGTGTCTGTAAATCACAGAAATTACCTAGAAATTGCACCATTTTGGCATTTCAAAATATTGCTTGCACCTGGAAATAGCACCAGAAAATCTTTCCCAGATGCAGTTTGATTTGGAAAATATAATAAATGTAGTTTTGGGATTTAACTTTTATTCTGGTCCATCTTCTTTTAGATGCTTACGGGCCACCATACATACACATTTATTACTACTTTTACCCTACCCACTTGGTAAA
Source organism: Homo sapiens (assembly GCF_000001405.40). Lineage (NCBI taxonomy): Eukaryota > Metazoa > Chordata > Mammalia > Primates > Hominidae > Homo > Homo sapiens. The sequence continues at coordinate 7,459,877 of NC_000016.10, forward strand.
AGTTTTGTATTTTATTTTTTTAACTGACAACTTGTTAAAGACAGAAATTATGTTTTAATAGTTTATTGGTTGGATACTTTTAGCAACAAGTAATTGAAAATGGAAATAAAATTAGTTTAAACAAGAGAAACAGGTATGATTTCACAAGAATGTTAGCAAGAATTCAAGGGATGAGGCAGACTTAGGGTTAGATAATTCAGTTAATTCATCAATTCGAAAATATCATTAAGGTTTCAGGTTTTTGCAATATTTCTCCTATGCTAGTCTGATTGTATTTGCTTATCCTCTTAGGCTGTCATTCCTCCTGTTTCTATTATAGCTGCCATTGCTCCAGACATCATGTGGAAACTGCAACACCCAGAAGAAGAACAAAAAATATCCCTGTTTAATTTTCCTTTTTAGGAAAATCTCCCTAGCCAGCCCACGTATCTCTTCCACAGACTTCTGGTATTTCATTGGCCAGATTATATGATTTGCCTTAATCATTTAGCAAAATATATATATATATATATATGTGTGTGTGTGTGTGTGTGTGTGTGTGTATATACATATGTGTGTGTATATATGTATGTGTGTATATACATATCTAATATATATCTAATTATGTATGCCTTATATATAATATATACATATATATATCTAATATACATATATATTAGAGGGGAACAACACACAGTGGGGTCTACCAGAGGGTGGAAGGTAGGAGGATGGAAAGGATCAAGAAAAAATAACTATGGGTACTAGGCTTAATATCTGAGTGATGAAATAATCTGCACAACAAACCACCATGACACACGTTTACCTGTGTAACAATCCTGCACATGTACCCTTGAACTTAAAAAATTTTAAACAATGAGATATCTAAATGAATGAATGAATAGATAAATAAATAAAAGCTATTGTGTTGAAGAAAAAGAAATTATTAGGTTCCCAAAACTGCATTTCCAGCCTCCCTCCCAAAATTTCTGATTTGATATGTCTTGGGCAGAGTCTGATATTCTGCAAGTTTTACAAGTTCCCTAGTGATATGAAAATGGCTGGTTCTTGGACCACATTTTGAGACCCATCAACATGGAATAATCAAGATTGATCTCCTTGACATTGTGGAGAAGCTCGACTCCCTTGAAGGACAAGGAAGCCATGTAGTGAGTGAGGTCTTTAGGTTTCTGTTAGCCAGATAATTATCTTTTGTTTAGTTAGCTAAGAATAACTGATACAGCTGACAACTTATGGCAATAACATTATATTTCACGTGGTTGATAAGAATTGACTGAGGATGAAAAAACAAAGGCAAAACAATTTTTTTTTTTTTGAGACAGTCTCACCCTGTCCCCAGGCTGGAGTGCAGTGGCACTATCTCGGCTCACTGCAACCTCCACCTCCCAGGTTCAAGCGATTCTCCTGCCTCAGCCTCCCAAGTAGCTGGGATTACAGATATGTGCCACCACACCCGGCTAATTTTTGTATTTTTAGTGAAGATGGGGTTTCACCATGTTGGCCAGGATGGTGTCCATCTGTTGACCTCGTGATCCGCTCACCTTAGCCTCCCAAAGTGCTGGGATTACAGGCATGAGTCACTGTGCCCGGCCAAAGTAATTTTTAAATAAAATTTTATAGAATAATTGAGGATGAATGTAGAATTTAAGTCTGAGTTGTGGTTAAGTGTATTTCAGATACCCTCCAAGAACTTAGAATTGACATTCAGCTCTACGCAGTATTCCAGGTCATTTGTGTGTCTGTTTTTGCATTTCCAAAAGCCGTACGTTTTCTTGGAATTCATAACAACCCCATTCACTGGGTTGAGCAAATATTACTGGAAGATGATATGATAATCCACATCCAGCAGGAGAAAGCTGGGGCTCACAGAGGTTAAGAGTTTCCCAGCCCTCGGAGGTAGTGAGTGTTGGCATTAGAGCTTACAGCAGCATCCTCTCATATCTCTTAGCGACTTCTGGGATGTGAGGGGGCACAGGCATTTTGCAGTGACTGTGAGAGCCCTCAGTATCAGACCATCCTTGGTACCCACTCCAGAGAGACTTCTACCCTCCCATTTGTTCTTGTCTTTTAATTTTTCAGCCTCCTGTGAGGTGAACGGATGTCAAGGAGGATTAAAGAATGAAACATGCTTATTTTCTCTCCTTACGTGCCTGAGGACAGGCCAGTGAGCTGTGGGGACAATAGAACTGTGAAAATCTTCTCCTGGGGTTCTTTTCTTGGTATTTGGCCTGACATACCAGGGAAGCTACTACCTCTGTGAAGTTGTGGAGGGCTCCTGCCCAGCCTTCGGAGGGAAACAGCGGGTCACAAAGAGAGTTTTCCATATTTACATGATTGCATTTGTTGCTGTTTTAATGGCTGCTGTAACAAATCACCACAAATTTAACAGAGTAAAAGAAACACCCGGGGTCAGGAGTTCAAAACTAGCCTGGCCAATATGGTGAAACCTCATCTCTACTAAAAACACAAAAATTTGCCTGGTATGATGGTGGGCTCCTTTAATCCCAGCTACTCAGGGGGCTGAGGAGAATCACTTAAACCCAGGAGGCAGAGATTGCAGTGAGCCAAGATCGTGCCATTGCACGCCAGCCTGGGCAACACAGCAAAACTCTGTTTCAAAACAAAAACAAAACAAACAAAAAAACCCGCCATGTATTATCTCACAGCTCTGTGGGTTAGAAGTGTAACTTCGGCATGACTCAACTGGGTCCTCTGTTTAGAGATTCACAAGACGGAAAGGCAGAAGTTAGCAGGGCTTTGTTTCTTACTAGGGGTTGTGAGAATGAATCCACTTCCAAGCTCACTCAGCTTTGCCTGGTTCAGTCCCTGGCAGTGGTGAGACTGAGGCCCTCAAAGCTTTGCTGGCTGTCAGCAGGGAGATAGCCCTGGCCTTCAGAAGCTGCCCGTATTCCTTCTCCTGCTGTCCAGCGACAGCTACTCGAGTCTCTTTTTGCTTTGAATCTCTCCATGTTTCTCTTTTGCCACATCACTCTGACTCTAGTTGGAGAAAGTTGTCCACCTTGAAAGGCTCATTCCATGAGACTGGGCCCACCCAGGTAGTTCAGCTCTTCTCCTGATCTCAAGATCTGTAACTTGAATTACATCTGCAAAGTCCTTGTCTTAGCCTGCTTGGGCTGCCATAACTAAATGCCAAAAACTGGTTGGCTTATCAACAACAGAAATTCATTGCTCACAGTTCTAGATGCTGGCAAGTCCAAGATCAGGGTAGAGTGAATGTCAGGTAAGGGCCCACTTTTTGGCTTATAGAAGATTCCCTCTTGCTATGCCCTCAGATGGTAGAAGGGACTTGCAGGCTCTCTGGAGTGTCTTTTAAAAGGGCATGAATCTAGCCAGGCATGCTGGCTCACCCCTGTAATCCCAGCACTTTGGGAGGCCATGGTGTGTGGATCACTTGAAGTCAGGAGTTCAAGACCAGCATGGGCAACATGGTGTAACCACATTTCTACTAAAAATACAAAAATTAGCTGGGTGTGATTGTGGGTGCCTGTAATCTCCGATACTCGGGAGGCTGACACAGGATAATCACTTGAACCCGGGACGTAGGGGTTGCAGTGAGCCAAGATTGCGTCACTGCGTTGCAGCCTGGGCGACAGAGTGAGACTTGGTCTCAAAAAAACAAAAAAAGGTACAAATCCCCATCAACAGAGTCCTACCCTTATGATGTAATCACCTCCTTAAGGCCCCGTCTTCTAATACCATCACCTTGGTGTTAAGATTTCACCATATGAATTAGGGGTGAGAGGACTTAAACATTCAAACCATAGCAGTCACCTTTGCCATGTAAGGTAACATATTTATAGATTCCAGAGATTAGGGCATGGGAATATTTGGGGGGCCGTTCTGCCTACTACAATGATCTCATCACAATGATAAATGTTAGCAGACATTGCTCTGATAACGACAACAGCTGCTATTTTTTAAATGTCACTCTATACCAGCCACTGAGATAGATACTTCAAATTGATTGGATCATTTAATCCCCATCACAGAAGAGCAAAGTAGAGACTATTATTCATCTCATTTTACATGTATATTTTTTAAAAAGCCAAGACATTGAATGCTTTGGTGTCTTGCCCTGGGTGACTCAGAAGGAAAGTGTGAAGCTGAGACCCTAGCCAGGAGGTCTGACTCCAAAGCCTTGGCTGCTAATCTTTTTGCATAACCCATGTCTTCCTTGTATCTATGCCATCTTTATGATCTGCTTACTTGTACATTGCCACTCCCTTCTGGTGCTCAATGGCTCTGATTTCCTTAAGATAGGGTTACATTATTCACCCATTACAGACCACTCCAAGACATGTGTTTTGCTCAATGATTGTGTGTGCACCTGTGCACCTATGCACATGTATATAATGGTGGACAGTTTAGCCATTGGAGCTCCCCAGTAGGAGCCAGTGACATTAGTCACATCCAGAAACACAGTAAAATGATCACCATCGCAGGTGAACGCTGACTCTTTTCCAAAGGAATATCGCAGAAGCTGGTAAAACAGTCGCATCCAAGATCAAACAAGACATCGGCCACTGGAGGATGGTGGTCACTTCTGCAAAATGGATCAGGAGGATTTAGAAAGTCATTATGGCAGAATGGGATTTGGGGTTGCCAAGGCCTATTGGACCTCTTTTCTAGTAATTTCACCCCTTTCAGGGACATCTACAAGCTATTGTTAAAAATCCCTGAGTGTTTGGCTCTCCATTTCGTCTTCTGTTAAATGAGGCAATATCTACAATGTCCTCTCTAGGCTTTTAATTGGATCCCCCCTCCCCGCCCGAAATACTTCTTGTATTGTCTGTCTTTTTTTTTTTTTTTTTTTTTTTTTTGAGACAGAGTCTTGCTCTGTCGCCCAGGCTGGAGTGCAGTCGCGTGATCTCGGCTCACTTCAAGCTCCGCCTCCCAGGTTCACGCCATTCTCCTGCCTCAGCCTCCCGAGTAGCTGGGACTGCAGGCGCCCGCCACCACGCCTGGCTAATTTTTTTGTATTTTTAGTAGAGACGGGGTTTCACCGTGTTAGCCAGGATGGTCTCCATTTCTTGACCTCGTGATCAGTCCACCTCGGCCTCCCAAAGTGCTGCGATTACAGGGATGAGCCACCGAGCCCAGCTATTGTCTCTCTTCTATCCCTTGGAATTGCCTTAAGCTAGCATGTTACCTCTTCCAGGGCATGGCACGCCTCCTGCTGTCTCTTACCCGGTGTCTGCTAAGCTCATCCTTAGAACCCCAAGTTATTTTCTACGTCAGGGGCTTTGCATATTTTACTTTTTCCACCTAGAATCCTCCTTTTGACATTCTTTACAAACCTAGCTCAATCTTGTCAGCAAACTCTCAGCTCACATGTCACTTCCTTAGAGGATCCTCTGATAAGCCCAATTGAAGTACACACTCATTACAACTTGTAATTAATTGATTTTCTGGCCTGCCTTCTCGTGTTGGGTGGGATCCTCTACAAATCTGTAGGCGCCATAAGGGCGGAGACCTTGGCTGCTTCATTTGTTCTTGTGTCTCAGTGCCTCAGCTGTACATGTAAGTGAAATAGGTGTTTGTGGAATGACTTGGGAGCAGCACCGTCATCTCTACTTTCCTATAAGGAGTCTTGTGCATGGCCTAGCACATATTCTGTCCCCAAGTCCATGGAAAGCACTGCCTGCCAGGCTATTTGTGTCATTTCAGGAAAATAAGACAAAGTTAATAGTGGTGGTAATACTTCACTAGCTTCCAAGATTTGTCAGGAATATGCTGTCTGCTTTTCTAAAGCCCACTCTTTACTGGAGTCTTAGAGTATACCCTGGGGATCCTTTGCTTCTGGGTCAATAGGAGCACTCATTAAATGCAGATTTGTGGGTCCCTCTTCAAGCCGATGAATCAGAATCACTAATGCTGAACCCCAGGAATATGCATTTATAACAGGCAACCCAGGTAATTCTTGTCTACACCGAAGTGCTGGAATAACTGATGTCGAGTGTTTGATATTAACTGTTATCTGTTCATACATACATTTTTTTGCCCCAAAGCATCTCATGGTGCTTCTCTAAGCAATTTTGTTGCTTAAAAGAATGACAGACTGGATAACTGGAAGCAGACATCTCTCTAACAGATCTCATCGTTCCAGTTTTAAGTAGAAAGTGCATCATCTGTGTTTTCTGATCCTGAGCTTAGGTTGGAGTAAACCTGCTCAGAGACTTTCTCCAGGATTAGCTAGCCCTGGGGCACAGGGGAAAAGATGCCTGGTTTTAGGCAACAGTGAACACCATCTGGGTCAGCAATAGGATTCAACTGCCAAAAAGCTAGCACAGTTGTAATTTGCATCTAATAAAAGGAGATTTATAGAACAACAATCCTTACAGCTCTACTCTGAAGTATTGTACGTACAGTTAATGTCATTGCTGTTTATGGTTTTACCAGACCTATACTATTTAATAGAGATAATAAAGGTTAAGTTAAGTGAATGCTTATTTCATGCCAAGCTAGCGCTTCTAACTGCATTATCTCATTAAATTCATACCACTTCCCAGTGAGGCAGGTACTCATGTTTCCATTTTAAGGATAAGAAAAGAGGGGCTTAGTAGCTCGGTTTTAAAAAGTCACCCCAGGTCCTAGGGTGGTTAATGGAGCCCAGATGTGAAGTTTGCTTCAACTCCACGATGTCCTGCCTTCATCTGAGCCTCCCCAGGAAGACAGGGCTCGGAATATTCAGGAAATGTCATTGATCTGGATCCCAGCTCTGCACTCACTAGCTGTGTGTCCTTAGCAAGGCATGTTACTTTCTGAATCTCAGTGTCCACATCTGTAAAATGGCAACAGTGACGCTTACCTGCATGAATTATTCAGTGATGATGCCCAGGTATCCACATCATTCCTAGGTGTGTGCAATCAAGGGAGTTATTTGATTAAACAAGCTGCTCTGATTATATACACAATGCTAGGTTGGGGACACCATACTTCCAAAGGAATAAGGACAAATTAGAGCAGGAAGAGACCAAAATGGTAGAATGACCAGGAATGGTCTCTATGAATTTGAGGATTTTCAGCCACAGGAGAGACTGATTTAATCAACACATATTTACAGAGCACCCACTCTGCTCCAGGGCCCTGTGTTAGGCACCTGGAAAACAGAGGCGAACCAAACAGATATGTCTCTTATCTCTATGTAGCTTCAGAATATTTAGCAAACACTGCATATAAATATGTACATATTTTAAATTGCGATATGAAGGATAAGTAACACAAGCATCTAACAGAGGTAACTGATAGAGTATCTTCTAGAGAGGAAATCAGACTTCTTTGCATCCCTATGTGCTAATATAAGAATTCTGAGTTAAGCATAATGACACGGAGAACTTTCCAATGAGTCTCCTAGGCGACCTCTCAATAGGGAACAAGTGCTAAAGACAGACAGCTGCTGGGTATGGCTGTTGCAGGGGGTCTCATACATACCAAGTCTTATAGACTTGGCAGTCTTTAAGGTCAACCAGATTTTATCTGTCTGCCTTCTAGGGTTTTCTTGAAGACGTGCACTTTGAACAAAGAGGACATTGGGATGTAACAACCACAGTGGTTGAAAAACCCCAAATGCCCAGAGAGAACATTCAACCCTTAGAATGTTAGAGAGGGCAGTATAATATAATGGGTGAGAACATGGATTTTGGAATGAAATAAACGTGGGTTCAAATCCCAGCTCTGTCATTTAGTAGCTGTGGGACTTTGGGCAGATAATTCAACTGTAAAATTGTGGTATGATAATAAGAGTGACCTTGCTAGGGTGTCTGAGGATTAAATAAGATTGTATACCTACAGAAAAGTGGGGATATAAACTCGGATCTGTCTACTGGGACACCCCTTATCTTCCCATGGTGCACATGCAACGTCTTCCCCACTTCCACTTCATCTCTTTGGAAATTACTTTTGCCCTGCCTGACTTCAGTCTTTACAGAGTCCTTCTTTGTTTCCTGAGAGCTCAATCTATAGCCAAAGTAATGAGCCTGATCTGATTCAGCCCAAGAACTCTGGTCATTGAACTTGACTTGGTATGTCCATCATTTGTACATTTTGGATAACAGGTTATTGCTAAGAGGGAAAACCTTTAGCTGAATCCAATACATTCACTGCAAGTGAAGCAGAAGGAAAATGCCTAATTCCGACTTGTTAGCCGCTGAACTTCTGAGAACAGAATCAGCTTAGCTGCTTGCAAATAAGCGAGCATCACAGAACTTGGTTGAGCTGGCAAGAAGGTAACAAGCTGTGTGTGAAAACCCTGGCATTAAATCTCCACAGTAAAGTTGCTTGGTACACAGGATCAAAAGAGCTGAAAAGGGTAAGGAGACAATGAGCAAGCTCCTTTCTGCATACCCGCCCGACCTTTACCATTGGGAACACCCCAAAGAGTGTATGCTCTGGCACCTTATCAAAAAATAAGACTGTGCTTTAGATTATAATTAAAACAATAAATTCTTCTCCCCTGCGTGTATCCCGATTAGATTGTTGACACTGTGTCAAGCTGTTAGGGAGATAAACTCACGCTGCTACTTGCACTCAACATGCCGCTTATTTTTGAGTCACTCGGAGGGTGTTTTTTTTTTTTTTTTTCCTGGTGACAACTTGGAAATAACCCATTGGAGTTTCCTTCCTTCTATTTCTCTATGAAGTTATTAACACTGATACACATGGAACTTCGGAAATGGGACAGCTTCCATCTTGGTGTTGATGTAGGTCCCAGAATGAGCCTTTTAGGAATCTGGGGAACTTATGTGTTGGTGAAAATGCCAGAGGACACATGCATGCATAGGATGCTTTAAAGTCTTCTGAAGATAGGTTGTTTAAACTGTGGCAGGAGGTCTGGGGTCAGCCTCTGAGCAGGGATTTAGGAGATTGTCTGGCTCCTCACCCTTGTTTCTCCAAGCATCAAGAGCAAACTCTTTCTTTTGGGTGGATGCCACTGATGGCTGACCAAGAGTCAAGGGTGGGGAGGTTGCGAGGATCACAGGGTCCCGTCCAAATGACCTGATTCAGGAATTTCGGGTCTTGAGCCATGGTCCCAGCAAGGCTGAGTAATTTTTTTTTTTTGAGGCAGAGTCTCATTCTGTCACCCAGGCTGGAGTGCAGTGTTGCCATCTCGGCTCGCTGCAAGCTCCACCGCCCAGGTTCACACCATTTTCCTGCCTCAGCCTCCTGAGTAGCTGGGGCTACAGGTGCCCAGCACCATGCCCGGCTAATTTTTTTGAATTTTTAGTAGAGACGGGGTTTGACCGTGTTAGCCAGGATGGTCTCAATCTCCTGACCTCATGATCTACCCGACTTGGCCTCCCAAAATGCTGGGATTACAAGCGTGAGCCACCTAATTTTTTTTTTAATTCTTAGTAGAGACAGGGTTTCACCATGTCGGTCAGGCTGGTCTCGAACCCCTGACCTCATGATCTGCCCGCCTCGGCCTCCCAAAGTGCTGGGATTATAGGCGTGAGCCACCGCACCTGGCCCCAGCCTGAGTGATTTTTAATTCCTAAACCTATGAGGCTATGTTTGTCTCATCTTCAGACCTTTGCCTATGAGGTTTTGTCACTTGCAATGACCTTACAATGGCACGCTTTTCTTGGGCCACCTCAGCTCATCCTTCATATCTCAGCTTGCATGTGGCATCCTCCATAAAGCTTTTTAAAATAATGCATATTTTATTTTGAAATAGTTTTAGATTTATTGAAAAGTTGTGATATAGCCCTGAGTTCCCATGCACCCACACTCCGTTTCCTCTCTTCTTAATGTCTCACATCATTATGGTACATTTGTCACAATGAATAAACCACATTGAACATGGAAATTTCCCCTTTTAAATATTTTTAGTGTACAATTCAGTAGCATTAAGTATATTTATATTGTTGTGCAATTACTACCATTGATCTCCAGAACTTTTTCATCTTGTGAAACTGAAATTCTGTCCCCATTAAACACTAATTTCATCCGTCCTGCTCGCAGCCCCTGGCTACTTTCTACTTTCTGTCTCTCTGAGTTTGACTACGCTAAGTACCTCATATAAATGGAATCATACATTATTTGTCTTTTTGTGACTGGCTTATTTCTCTTAGCATAACGTCTTCAAGGTACATTGATGTGTTCAAGGTGCTACAGCATGGGTCAGTTTTTTTTTTTTTTCACTTTTAACATTGCATAATATTCCATTGTGTGTATATAACACATGTTATCTGTTCATATGTCAATGGACATTTAGGTTGTTTACACTTTTTGATTAGTGCAAATAATGTTGCTCAGAAAGCCTTTCTTAATCTGACTGTATACCCCAGGTGCACCCTTGGGTCATCTCTATCATAGAACTTATCTCACAGAGTATAAGAGCTGATTTCTGTGTCTGCCTCTCACACTAGACTTCCACATCCTTAGTGCAGGTGCCCTGCCAGTAAGTTGTTCACCATTGTTTCCCTATGATGTAGAAGAGTTCCTGGTTCATGTGACATGCTCAGCAAATATTTGAAATGAGTGATTGTAGGAGGAATGAATGGATAGTTGGTTGGTTGGATGGATGGATAGAGGGATGGTTGGATGAATGAGTGGGTGGGTGGATGAGTGGATGGATGGATGGATGGATAGTTGAATGGATGGAAGAATGGTTGGATGGATGGAGGGATGGTTGGGTAGATGAGTGGGTGGATGGGTGAGTGGTAGGCAGATGAGGTGATGGATGGATGGATGGATGGGCGGATGGATGGATGGATGGTTGGATGGTTAGGTGGGTGAATGAGTGAGTGGATAGACGGATGAGTGTACGTATGTATGTATGGTTAGATGGAAGAGTGGATGAATATATAGATGGGGGGAAAGATGAATATATCCAGAGGATGAGCCCAAGCAGATTCCTCAAGGAGTAGAATTTGATTTATGCCATTGATCTCACTGGGGTGGTCATGTGATGATAAACAAGAGTTCAGGGCAAAGAAAACACACCAGGTTAAAGTAGCATTGAGCATAGAAAGAGTAGATCTCAGGGCGGGATGGGGGAGTATAATTTGCTTTACTTTTTTTTTTTAACCTAAAAATATTTTTATTTAGTGTTTCAGTAAATTAAATCAATGACAGTCTTTTCCATGATCCTACTGCCAAGATAGATTTTATTGAACTTTTAAGTATAAAAATAGTGCACAGACAGATAATAATAGGAGAAAATAAGGAATAAAATGAAAATGTTCTTCCCAACCAGTCTCTCTATAAAGATAACCACAGTAACTACGTCTTGTTTATTTGCCATTATTCTTGGGGGGATTTTCTATGATTTGTGAATATGTGTCTGCCATGCTCTTTTTTAACGAGTGCCTGTTTGTTCATTGCATAAAGTTAACACCACTTAACTGTTCCTCACTGAGGGGGACATTTAGCTTTAGGCTATTTCCAACAGAACTGCAATCTCTTTAAAATACCTTGTGAGTATATCCATAAGGTAAATTATTTGAAGGAAAACTGCTGGGCTAATTTTTTTTAATGTACATACACTTATACATTTTGGTAGATGTTCCCAGATGCCCTTCCCCAAAGTTTGCACCACCTGATGTTACCATGACTCATTTTTATTGCTGTCAGTCATTTAGTGTGGGTGAGGCACCCTTGTTAAAAGACATAAGGTTGGAGCACATAGTCCAGTTTACTTCTGAACATCAGTAGGACATTTCAAAAAAAATGAGTCCTGCTATTCCCTAATTTATAATAAATTCTGAGACGGGGGTGGAGATGGCTTCTTTACCCATGAGCTATGCACATTAGATCAAAAAATGGGGGAGAATCCAGAGATGTTGAACTCAAGCGTGATTTGAAATTCTGTCCATTTTCTTGCCCTCAGTGGATGTTTTTAAAGTAGAAGAGACAGGAAAGGTTAAGACTTTCAGTCTCTTTCCCTTAAGAGTGATGTGTGATTCTCTACTGTCTGGGAGCTCCAGGGCCTGACCCACAGATTGGCTGTCACTAATGCTGGGAAGAGGTGTCACTAGTTTAGCAACCCTTCATTCTATGCCATTTCCTGCTTCCATGGGTCAAATGTCAGCACCGTTCAACACGGGCTGAAGAAGCTGACAAAAAAGGTGCTTGGGACTGGATCTTTCACAGAGTACAAATGAGGTAGTAGTGGAACAATTGGTGAACACACTTTAGTATATATTTGACACAATTTAGCTGCTATGCCTGGCATCTCTCCTTCAGCATATCCTGCCTGGTAGTTATCATTAAAAAATCGAAGAATATATAACATGTTTATAATTTCTTCTTTTTATCCATAGTTCAAAGGGAGAAGCATAGCTTCTCTTTTAAGAGATAGAAAGATATAGACATAGACTTAGATGTATGTCATTATTCTCCTTTAGGATAAAAGGTGGCTAGGGCTTTATAAAATTTCAGTGTAAATACATGGAGTACCATGTATTTACCAAATTACCAAATAGTAATTTGGAGGAGGGGATCTTCGTCAACAACATAAACTTTCCATTAACAGTAATACCCTCTTGCAGTGTCACACACGAGTCTTTATAACTTAACTCATTTGGAAGTCAATTCTTTCCAGTGTGGCTGAACTATAAGTCTGAAACCAGTGTTATGAAACTTGCAAAGAAAAGATTAAGTTATTCTGATATGAAAATCTTTATTTTAGAATGCGATATTTATGCAGTACACAGTGCAAATATACAACATAGCGTTTACTGTGAAACGACTCCTTCCACTTCTGTCCCCAGCAATTCAGTTCTTCTCCTCCGAGACTGCACTGTAGCTATTTTTGAGCATTAATCCAGAGGCAGTCAATTAATAAACAAGCATATTCACACAAATAGTAGCATGTGATCATATGACAGGAAAACCAAGTTCCCAGACTGTGGCAAAATTGTTTCACTAAGGATAAAAGTTACAGAAAGTATACTTGTTTGGCAGAGTTTATTAGATAATATTATTAGATAAAAGTGTTAGCAGGATAGGATGAATTCATGGAAATGTGGGATTTCTCTTATGTATGTATTGCTTTATTAAGAGCAAACGCAATATTAATATCACAGGTTTAGACGTCTGAAAAACATACAGGGATTTGGCTATGCCTTTCATAGGCTGTGTGATGTCAGCAAGCTCTCCATTCCTCTCAACCTCACAGTCCTTATATTCAAAAAGCAGAAGAATGTCTCTGTCCAAGGGTTGATACAAACGATGAATAGCATTAGATTAAAAGGATCTCCGCTAGGTGCAGTGGCTCATGCCTGTAATCTCAGCCCTTTGGGAGGCTGAGGTGGGTGAATTGCTTTAAGCCCAGGAGTTTGAGACCAGCCTGGGAGCATGGCAAAACGCCATTTCTACTAAAAACACAAAAACTAGCTGGGCATGGTGGCGGGTGCCTGTAATCCCAGCTACTCAGGAGGCTGAGGCATGAGAATTGCTTGAACTCAGGAGGCGGAGGTTGTAGTGAGCCAAGATCACACCACTGCACTAGAACCTGGGTGACAGAGAGAGACTTGGTCTCTCATATATACATATATATATATTTATATATAATGTTATATATACATAGTATATAATATATATTTTATACATTATGTATTCAAGGTCCTTTATACATAATATATATGTATATATGTTTATATATGTACATATGTATTATATATATAATATATATAAAGGACCTTGACTATAGTAGTATTTAGCGAAAGCAGTTTGCTTGTTTTCCTCTTTACCTGCTACCCATATTATGAGTTACAGGAGCAGCTCCTCAAACAGTAATATCTTGTTGTGCTTTATATGGCTAAATTTAATGGTTAAAAAAGAAAGAGAGAGAATGTGGTGGAATCAAAGAGTAGTTTCTTCTGATTTACTAGTATGCTCCCTCCCCAACCTCCACTTCTTGGCTGTGTTCATACATGAATGGAGTGTGTAGACATTCATTCTCATCTACTAATTGCTTTCTTCATAGACAATTCTAGTGATTACAGGGACATTGATTCTAGGGGATGTGCCAAATTACCTAAGTGCCATCCAGCTCTCAAACTTTTTGTAACCTCCCTCAAGCACCTTTTGAACTCTACCTATTAACTGGCAAGCAATCGAGACGTTATTTAAAAATCAATATTATCTTTTCATTAAAAACAGCCCCCCGGCCGGGCATGGTGGCTCACGCCTGTGGTCCCAGCACTTTGGGAGGCTGAGGAGGGCGGATCACGAGGTCAGGAGTTTGAGACCAGTCTGGCCAATACGGTGAAACTCTGTCTCTACTAAAAATACAAAAATTAGCCAGGCATGGTGGCGCATGCCTGTAGTTCCAGCTACTCAGGGGGCTGAGGCAGCAGAGTCGCTTGAACATGGGAGGCGGAAGTTGCAGTGAGCCGAGATCGCGCCATTGCACTCCAGCCTGGGTGACAGGGCGAGACTCCATCTCATGAAAAACAGAAAACAAACAAACAAAAAGCAGCCCCCCATCTCTCTCAGCTGTTATGCTGCTGAGTAAATGGCCTCTTCTCACCTTTTTGTGTTCCCCAGTGCACTTCACCTTCACTGTGAAGGTCATGTATTCATGCTTCTAATGTTTTACAATTAAGGATAACATCTCCACTTTGGTGAATTTAATGAGACTTGGCAGTGACCCCAGTGACCTGGTGAACAGCCAACTATTTAGGTTGGTGCAAAAGCAATTACGGTTTTTGCCTTTTTATTTTTAAAATGGCAAAATTAAAGTGGCAGGACCGCAATTACTTTTGCACCAAGCTAATATTAAGGAGCCTGGCTCTAAAGTCGGACTGGCTTTCATCCCTTATTACTTGTGTAACTCTGGGTAAGTTACGAATATGCTTTCCCTTTCCAGTTCTTAATTTTTCTTCTGTAAAATGGGCATAATCGTAGAACTGGACTTCTAGAATGTCTGGTGAGGATTAGATGAGTATAAAGCGTTCACCATGAGGGTTCTAATCATTTAGCCACAGTAAGCATTCTTTGTGTGTTGGCTGTTACTGTGAATGCCATTTAGTTACCTGAATCCATTCATCCACTTCGTCTCATATATTTTCCAATATTTATGGAGTGCCTGTGTTGGTCAAAGCACCAATGCAGAGCCGCCATCTTTCCCTTTGATTTTTGAATGTCCCAGGATGGTACTCTAGATGGTTCCACACAATCCAGCTGTTGATAACAAAGACAGGTTGTTCACCAAATCAGAGAGTCTTTGAGAGTTCAGAAGAGTTTAAAAGAGACAGATGGGTGCCTCTTTCATGGCCCCGAGCTTTTCTGTAGAGGTTGTCTTTCACGTGGAGACATCTCTGTTCCTTTTATTTTCTGTTGACTCATAGCAACTCGGGAGGGAGATTATTGAAGAACAAAAGGGAGGAGTGTGTAGTTCTGTTTTCAACACTCCTTCAAAGGGAGGAGTGTGCAGCTACCGATTAATAGATTTGAAGGATGGGCATTCTTTTTTTTTTTTTTTTTTCTTTCTAGATGGAGTCTCGCTCTGTCACCCAGGCTGGAGTGCAGTGGCGCGATCTCGGCTCACTGCAACTTCTGCCTCCCGGGTTCAAGCAATTCTCCTGCGTCAGCCTCCTGAGTAGCTGGGACTGCAGGCGCATGCCACCACACCTGGCTAACTTTTTGTATTTTTAGTAGAGACGGCGTTTCACCGTGTTAGGCATGATAGTCTTGATCTCCTGACCTCGTGATCACCCACCTTGGCCTCCCAAAGTGCTGGGATTACAGGTGTGAGCCACACACCCAGCTAGGATGGGCATTCTTGTAGAGAGAGATAGCTAAGATCATGTTTCTGGCATCCAAGCTCTTGGTTATAACTCTGGGTTTGCTGCTTGCCACATGAATGGCCTCGGACAAGTTATTGAACCTATCTGGGCCTCAGATTCCCCATATGAGAATTTGATTGTGTTAAAGTATTAGGGTAGCTAACAGAGCACCTGAAAGTTATTAATTTGAATATATGTTGGTAACAGATTATAAAGTTGTGAGGTAGCATTTATTTGGTGCTTACTATGTCCCAGGAAGTGGGGTAAGAAGTTCACATCATGTCTGGCAGTGTAGTAACCTGCAGAAGAGCCAGTAGAGTAAGACATTATTTTATTTTATTTATTTTTTATTTTTGAGACAGGGTCTCACTCTGTCACCCAGGCTGGAGTGCAGTAGTTCGATCATGGCTCACTGCAGCCTCAGCCTCCTGAGCCCAAGTGATCCTCCCACCTCAGCATCCTGAGTAGCTGGGACCACTAGCACACATCACCACACCCAGCAAATTTTTGTAGTTTTTGTAGATACTAGAGATGCTGTTTTGCCATGTTGCCCAGGCTGGTCTTGAACTGCTGGGCTCAAATGATCCTCCCACCTAGGCCTCCCAAAGTGCTGAAATTACAGGCATGAGCCATAACTTCTGGCCTAGTCAGAATATTTGTTTGAATTCTTACCCTCACAATTACAAGCTGTGGCCTTAATCCCTTTCCTTAATGCTTTCTTGTCTTCAGATCCTCCATCTGGAATACGTGAAGATTTAATGAGATGATATCTATATAACACGCTTTGAAAAATGCCTGACACGTAAAGATCACTTAATAAATGTTGGTTATTCTTACTGTATTAAACATCCCAATTATTAGATGGTATAACTTGCCCAGGTTCACACAACTCAGAAGATACAAGAGGAAAACTTGAGTTGGTTTTGTCAGCTCTTCTGCAGACGTAGGGGGCTAAATGAGTAACATTCTGAAATGAAGTCTTCGGCATCTCCAAGGGATAAGGATGCCTGGAAATTTCACCTTTGGGGCACATTCTATAAACTGTACAAAATTAAATCCCTCACTTCATTTCCCCAGAAAGACCCCTCTGAAGCATTGCTCTGTATCCTTGCAAATCTGTACCACGAGACAAGGGGATGTCAGTAGGATTTGGTCTCCCCACAAAATCCCTGCAAAGATGTATGAGGCTGCATATAAATTGCATTGAATGGGCTAACATTGCTTTTATGCTGAATATCGGCAAAAAGTATGAAATGGAGATTACATTTTCAATTCTGGCTTTTTCCCCCAAAGCTTTACCAAGCTGCCCTCATCCTCACCCCTCCATCATAGTGCAATTGCATTGGTGTGGAGTCCTAGCTCTCCTTTCCTTGCTGGGAAGTGTACCTAACACTTGCTGTCAGGCTGGAACCGTGGGTAACATGTTCCTTAACAGCAAGTTTCTTTATTTTCCTTCCCCCACATCTCTGTCCTTTTTTTCTCACTACTTTTTGTTGTTAAGACCTGTCACACATGAGAATCACAAAACCAACTACAAATAAATGGCATTCTTGTGGATGCTAAAATCGGTATATCTGTCTCTTGGGTTGTTCAGGGTAGAAATAAGACATCGATGCAAATATGGTTCATCCACCGGCAATGAGACACAGGCTTATTATTTCTTCCTGAAATACATATATTCATATCATCTATTTCAGTTTGTATCTCCAAACAGCCCTAAATCATTGTGAGGACCTGGGCTCCAGTTTGGGTCTATGAAAAGAGGGTTTACCCGTGGGGGGTCGGGGGGTGGTTGTGCATCTGGTTTTACATCAGCATTAATTCCGATATTTCAACAGCCCCTTCCTGCCCACATTCCTTGCCTCTCCCTTCTGCCCCCTGAATATTATTGCCTGGCTGACTCCCCAAAGAGAAAATGTACTAAGCGAACTTGACAGATTCCGGCTGGCTCCATATGGCATGGCCTGAGTTTCGTGTTCCTGGGACCCCCAAGCTGCTCTCACCTTATTACGATGGTAGTAACTACATGCAAGTCAAGTCCACTGCATTGGTTTTAATTCCTTGGGCCCTGGGGACTAGCCTCAGACTTCAAGGTGGCATTGGATGCAACATCATCCACTGCAAATATGACCTTTCCCTTCTCTTCCCATAACCACACAGCTGGGGGGAAGGTAGGTGGAAAATAGACCCTGAGTCTAGGAAAATCTTCGAAAAATGCAGAGATAATATCAGAGGGCTTTGCTAGGGCTGGCAGCAGAGTCTAACAAAGACATCTTAAAGCATCTTGTTGTTTATTGCTTGATCTGAACCTTTGCACTCCCACACATAATTGAGACTTTGACTTTGATTCATAAGTATATAATTTGAATTCCTCCTTCTCTCTACACTGTTTTAAAGCCATGGAGAAAATTAACTCCAAATCGAATAAGTGCATTTCAAATGGATAAGCACTTGCAACCCGATGATTAAGGAGTGCAGTTGAATCCCATATGTTTTTAAATAATCAGAATTTGTTAGAATGCATCTGTAAAAGAAAGTTTTTTGACAGCTTTTCACTTCACCCAGAGTATATAGAAAATGTTGCTACCTTCATGTAATGTAGTCTTCCATATTCTGACAGAACTATCATTGCGTAGAATGAAGAGAACACAAAGAGGGCAGAGAGTCACCTTGTTCAAATAGCTAAAAGGGATAGCAAGAGGAAGATAGACTTTACTCCAGGTGGCCCAAGGGAAAAAAATACATCTAAAGGGAAAGATTTTTTAAGGGAGTGAGGAGTGGGAGGAGAGTTAGAGAAATAGTGTAGCAATCTGAGCTGCTGAAGAGAAAGTGCTTTAGTGTTCACAGTAGGGGCTGCAGTTTGCAGAGGCTAGAGAGGGGGAGTCCCTGGTACCATGTCTGAAGTTCCTTCTAACCCTGAGGTCCTTGATGCTGGGCATTGGCACACCTCACAGTGAGATGATTTCTGACACAAACTGGATTGGTCACCATTATAAATGATTCAACTTATTTCAGAAGCCACTTTTGCCAGCTTTCCGCTATATGCAACAAAAACCTCAACCTCTGAATATGAAAAATTCAATCCATTTGCTTTCCTTTTAGCTAAAAGGAACCCAAAACTGACTCCGCTTATTGCTGGATTTGTATGCTACTTGCTAAATAAATGGATCTAGTCTAGATGCCAACAATACCCTGAGGATGTAGAAAACCTCCTTTGCTTGAGTCGAGCGCCTTGAAATAGCTCTGTTGCATCTTGAACGGGGCTAGTTTGTTAATTCGATGAGTAAAGGGGAGAGTACCATCATTTCGTTTGTTCCCGTGCGGACCGAACACGGTATTAGCCTCTCTGCAGATACAATCTCACTTAGACGTACCAGCCACTGTGAGAGTGTAGAAGAGTTTATCCCGAATCCACAAACAGGAAAGTGGAGTCATAGGCAGGAATGCACTCAGGTTGTGGTGGGAAGTGGATCAAAACCCAGTTTTGTTTTTTTTTTTTTAATTTTAATTTTAGGGACAGGGTCTCGGTCTGTTGCCTAGGCTGGAGCGCAGTGGTGTGATCTCGGCTCAGTGCAACTTCTGCCTCCCGAGTTGAGGCAACTCTCCTGCCTCAGCCTCCCGAGTCGCTGGGATTACAGGCATGCACCACCACACTGGCTAATTTATTGTATTGTATAGTTTTGTAGAGATGGGGGTCTCACTTTGTTGCCCAGGCTAGTCTTGAACTCCTGGGCTCAGTGTATCCTCTGGCTTGGCC
This sequence comes from Homo sapiens, assembly GCF_000001405.40. NCBI lineage: Eukaryota > Metazoa > Chordata > Mammalia > Primates > Hominidae > Homo > Homo sapiens. The sequence continues at coordinate 7,479,386 of NC_000016.10, forward strand.
TCCCAAAGTGCTGGGATTACAGGTATGAGCCGGGGTGCCTGGCCCAAACCCAGGTATTTTACTCTACAATGCTTGCCCTTTTCTCAGCCCTTCCTTGCTTGCAGGACACCTGAAGTCCCTTGAGCTGCTGTCTATGGGAAAGGACTCAAGAGCCTGCCTTTTCCCGGGTGAAGGTAGCTGGTTGGGCCTGGGGTGTGAAGCATGAAACAGGTACTGTGCATCTCACCACAGCTCAGAGATGGAAGGATGCAGCTTCTTCTGCTTTTGTTCCACTTCAAGTCTAGCCCCTCTTGGGGCTGCTTCTCTCCGAGGGGAAGTGGGGCACCTGGAGGGGGGGCAGGTGTAGGTGATTGGAGCTGGAATTTCTCTAGTGTGATAGTGGCATCAGCTCCACATTCTCCCCAGCATGTCGAATTTGTAACAAAGCTAGATGTGAAGAGTCTTCCCCAGAACATCCCTCAATAATTTGTTTTAATAATAGACATTTTCAGCTTAAATGTGAGTTTTTATCGGAGATTTCCCCCTTCCCAATTTGTGTCAGCAACCGTTATTAAATTCCTAGGAAAAGGCAAATGTTGGGGCTTGGTCAGAAGTGAGGCCGACGTATAGGTGCCAGTTCCAGCCTGATGTTCCCCACCGATGTCCATGTGCTGACTCAGTAAACAACTGCCTTTCTTCTGAATGGTCTATGTGAGCTGTTGATTATCATGTTCTTAAAGAAGGCTGAATATCTTGTGCCTTTCTTGTTAAGCCTGTGTGTCTTGGGACAGCTACACACACTCTCTAAGTTACAGTTTTCTGAGCTTTGGGTGAGGGGATGTTCGTCTTTTTCTGCCTGCAGCACTGGGCCTCGGGAAGCAACTTAGGGTTTTGGCTAGAGCAAGGACAGATCTGACATCTAGTCCTTCTTCTGTGTTTTCTGTCAATCCCAGTTTCCCTCTCTTTCAACCTGAGCTGGTAGCACTATCCTTTTACTGTTTAGAGGGTTAAGAGAGATAACACCTAGTATATAGTAGCTGCTCAGAAAATTTCTCGTTTCCACAAATGAGAAAGTGAATGCAATAGACATTTGAGAACAGTAAATGTGTAATAGAATTATTAGTTCTTTGTTCTAATTGTCACCGGCTCCGTTTAAAAAAATACATATATGGTATTTACTTTGGGAAAGCTGCAAGCCCTGTCTCCATCACCTCCTTTTTTCAAGCGTGGACTCATTTTCATCTGCGGATTCCCTCTTGCCTGAAGGCCTTGGTGCCGCATGAGCAAGTGCAGTGCTGAGAGCTGTGTATGGAGCTGGAAGCACAGGCCACTTTCTGCTGCCGAGAAATCTTCTGCCCTCCGAGGGCACAGGCTTGACTGCAAGGGGATGTGGGAAGCCATTTGTGAGAAGTCGTAATTAATGATCTGCTGGGCCTTGGCACTTATGGAGGAAGCAGAAAGCAGCTGGGAATTGAAACAGCCTCTTGGATAAAAGTTGTCCTCCTGGGGCTGCTTCCCTCTGAGGGGATGCGAGGGACCTGGGAGGGAGGGGCAGGGGTAGGGGTCTCTGTAGTGCGAATTACTCAATGCTACTGTCTTTTCCACAGCTTATAGGGCTGCTACCTGCCATGCATGATATCCAAGTGATATGGCCAAAGAACCCTAGCTCTTGAGACAAAACATCCTGGGCTTGAATTCTAGCTCTTCCTATTGCTCCTTACATCTGGACAGTTGCCCTCCATCTCTGAGCCTATTTTTTTCATTTGTTCAATGAGGATGGTGCTACATACTCCGCAAGGCTGTCTGGATTAGAAACTGAGTAACATAAATGGAACAGAGTAAGGACTCAGAAGTACTTGGGATAAAATATACAGCAAGAAACATAGAGCCCCCGTCTTCAGGGTGCTTACGGTTTTGTGGATAATAGAAATCGCATTATCTATATAATGTGTAAACTTGTGGATATTTCTGTAGATATTGCTGTAGAATGTATGCACATATGTCAGGTGATATTAGATATAAATTGCTGCTAAATTATTCAGATACTTCTCATAATATAAATTGTTCTTCTTTGGTGGAATATTGGGATGCCTCTGTAGTGCAAATTACTCTCTTTTGGTGAGTTAGCAAGAATCTATCATACCTTAATTTGATCTTACTTGCTGCTAGGCTGATTTGAAAGTTAACTTACCCTTCAGATGACTAAGGGCTATTAAATCCCTGAAGGAATCTTGCAGATAACTACAGCAAATAACAATATCTTCTATTGAAAACATATTTGGTATTCCTTGTACCAACCTTATAAGAATGCTTTGAGTATGACATGAACTACAGATACTCCTTGACTTAGGATGGGATCATACTGCAATAAACCCATCATAAGTAGAAAACATAATAAGTCAAAAATGCACTTAACACCCCTCACCTACTCAACATCACAGCTTAGCCTAGCCTGCCTTAAAAGTTCTCAGAACACTTATATTAGTCTGTAGTTTGGCAAACCATCTAACACAGAGGCTATCTTACAATAAAGTGTTGAATATCTCATGTAATAATTGAATGCATTACTGAAAGTGAAAAACAGTATGGTTATTATGAGAACGCGAGATACGGTTTCTCCTGAATGATTTCACTTTCACACCATTGTAAAGTCGAAAAGTCTTGAGTCGGGGCGATCTGTATTGCCTACAAATCAAGCCGTGCAGCGTCCACACCTAGCAAGGGCTAGTGATGGTTATCATAGCAACAAGTCCTCCTGCTCTATAGTCATAACAATAATATTTTGTAGCATCTATTCCATTGTGTTGCATGAAGGGTTACAGAATCTAATATATGCAGAACGCTGGGCACAGTGCCTGGTGCATTGCATTGTAAGAGCTCAAACAGTGTCAGCTGCAATCATCCTCATTAATTCTATCTTCGCAGTAACTCTGTGAAGTGCTTTAGGGAGGCGTTACAGTCCCACTTTACCGGTGAGAAAAATGAGGCTCAAAGAGGCTTGTTCAGTCCGCACAGCTGACAGTGATTGCTGCGTCAGGGCCAGCTGTAGCCTTATTCCTGAATTTCTCCTTATACCTCTTCAGCCCCTCCTTCCATTTCATCCCAGTTGTTGTTGTTGTTGTTGTTGTTGTTTCTTAAATCAAGAGTTTGCATGCATCTTCCCTTTGATTGCCTGGGATTTTTTTTTTTTTTTTTTTTTTTTTTGGAAAGCAGTCATGAAGATATTGCCTAGCCTCGGGTACACAAATTCTGGATCTGCTTTCCAAGAGAACCCAGGAGGAAGAAGATGCTGTGACAGGCATTTCTTATCAGGGAGAGGCTCCCCTGCTTGCACTTCGAATCCACAATGATGAAGGAATTTTCCTTCCTGGGCGTATTTGCTTATGTTCTTGGATGTGCTGGTAAGCCCCTGCCTACCCACCTCTATGTAAATGAGTCCTCCCACAAGCTCGGGATGTTCTGTCCCCAAATCCTGAACACCATGTACAGGAGATGGGCTTAGATGTTGCAGAAGCAAAGACTGAGAGGGGGGCAGCTTTTGGCTGCAATTAACTCCCTTTTTGACTTTATCCTGGGTTGGAAAAGACCTTCACCTGGCTAGGAGATCTGAAAATGTGCCTATGATTGTCAGCTGATTTTCCCAGGTCATGAACCTGGGCCCCTCAGCCTGGAACACCGTGGGAGGAGAGGGAAGCCACCCTCGTCACTAAAAGGTGCTACCCTTTTATTCACCTTCCTCAAGTTAGAAGAACTGTTTCTCCAGCTGTACCAAGGCTGTGCTGGAATTGGGATCGCAGAGCAGTGCAGAATATTTATTAACCACCTACTATGTGACTGCGGAAATAGACTCATCAAACTATTTTGGGTCCCTCCTGGATGCTGTGAGAGACCTAAAGTAAATCGTTGCAATACTTGGGTTCTTGACGAAGAGCGTTGGCTTCACAATCTGGCAGACCTGTTGTCCTATCCCAGATCAGACTTACTGAACCTGTGAATTGGGGCAAGTTATTTATCTCTTCTAGATTCATTTCCCTTACTTGTGAAAGATGGTAATAATGTGTGTCATGTAAAAATATGAGGATATTAGATAAGCACTTTGTGGTGTCTTGGACCTAAAAAGCAGTTAGTGTGTGGTGGACATTGTATATCTTTAATATCCAGACCTTTCCTGGGATGCCAACCTTGTTATCTACAGACATACTGCCTGAGGGTGGAGGTTTGAATTGAGGATACAGATAGGACAGTGTTCTTATTGGGGTGGCTGATAATAGAATAATTGCTTATTTATCTTATAGGTTGGGAAATATTGGTATTTTAAAGGTGGGTTTTCCAGAGTTGGGTATAAGTTCAGCTACCCAAGACAACAGGTTACTGGGGCTGTATGGCTTTGCATCCAGAGTTAAAAGCCAGGCCTGGGAATAATTAAAATACTTTTCATCCTGGGAAATTCTGCTTTAACTGGTTTATAGCAGAGGCTGCGCATCAGATGTTTTCAAAATTAAGTGATGGTTTATGTACAATCTAATTCATCCGCTTAAGTGTACAGTTTGAATTTTGATGATTATATACAATCTCACAGTCTCCACTACAGTTCCTTGACCTTAAGTTTCCTTACGCTTTATTTTCAGTCTATTCTGCCCCCCCATTCCCTAACCCCTGGCAAGTATTAATCAGCTTTCTGTCCCTGTTGTTTTGAATTTCATAATAAATGGAATCATACTGTGCAGAGTCTTTTTTGTTTGAGTCCTTTCCCTGAGCATAAAGTTTTTGAGATTCAGCCATAATTGTTGCACATATTAACATTTTGTTCCTTTTCATTGCTGAGTGGTACGTCACGGTAGGAATATACCAAGATGTGTTTATCCATTCACCAGACCAATTAATGGACATTTGTTTCTAGTTTTTGGCTATTAAGAATGCTGTGGAATTTGAGTACATGTCTTTATGTGGACACATGTCTTCATTTTGGGGAGATAAATCCTTCAAAGTAGAAATGCTGGGAGACATGGTAAGTTCAGATTTAACATTCTAGGATACCATTATTGTTGTTATCCAAAGTGGCTGTGCCATTTTGCTTTTCCACTGGCATTGTAGCATTGGGTATTTATTTATTTTTTAGACAGAGTCTCACTCTGTCACCCAGGCTGTAGTGCACTGGCACGATCTCAGCTCACTGCAACTTTTGCCTCCTGAGTTCAAGCAATTCTCCTACCTCAGCCTCTTGAGTAGCTGCGACTACAGGCGCCCACTACCAGAGCTGGCTAATTTTTTGTATTTTTAGTAGAGACAAGGTTTCACCATGTTGGTCAGGCTGGTCTTGAACTCCTGGCCTCAGGTGATCCGCTCGCTTCAGCCTCCCAAAGTTCTGGGATGACAGGCATAAGCCACAGTGCCTGGCTGGCATTGGGTATTTTTCGCACAGCTCCCAGATGTTTATATTGTTATGTATCTAACTAGCATGGATATCCTCTGGGCTCTGTTTTTTCTGATTTAATGGCCACCTTTGGGCTATCAGATGAATAAGGATATTGTCAGTATCAGGAAAGTAAAGAAGACATTTGTCCCAACCCATATGCCCCAAGTTGTTCAAAACTATTGAGGAAAGAGATACTGTCTGGGTTTTCATAACTCAGTTGCATTTTTATGTCTTGCATATCAAAATTTGTATGCAGGGTTACGTTCCCCAACATTAATCCACTTTTTTTTTTTTTTAATAACAGAGGACTTGACTTAGATAAAGAGAAGTCTTATTCCCTCAGGTAGGAAGTTGTTTCCACCTGCTATAGACACATTAGTTAATAATCAAGGGACAGGTGTGTTCACTGACCTACCTGTTATTTTGTTTTACAACTATAATGACTAGTTCTGTTTATGCATGCACACACAGCTGCACCCTCGCGTGTTGCTTTTCCCTCATGTTTCCAGGCAGACCACGCAGTGACTATTTAATGCTTTGCCTTGCTATGCGCTGTTGCTTATACATTTCTGGAAGACATTTTCCCATCCTCTGCAGTTTACCTTGTACTTTTATTTTCTCCTTGTTGAATTACAAATAGATTAACACGCTCAATAGGTTTTCCTTGAATCCAGCTGAATGCTTCAACCTCCCACATGTGCTTTTTTTAGTTTTGTAACATGACAGGGAATGAGGTGAATGAGCTGAGGATGTGGCCTTTGTCTTGGGCTGAAGCAGTTCTCAACCCCCAGATGGCTTGTCCCTACTCCCCCAGGCAAGAGCCCATACCTCAAGATTATAAAGAGAGGTTTTAAATAGAAGATTGTTCTATCTAAACATGTGCCTAACTGACATCTATTTTGTTATTATGTGAAACACATCCATATATAATGTATATGTATCCATAATGTATGTACATATATGTATTTCCCAACTCTCTCATGTCTGAATATTACATCCCTTGACTATCTTCTGTGGCTCTCCGAGTCCACTTGGCATTTGGTTATCAGCTTATACTTAACAGCAAGTGTCGGTCTGCAGGCCCATCACCTATTTTTGTAAATAAAGTTTTATTGGCACATAGCCACACCCATTTATTTACATATTGTTCATGGTTGCTGTTTTGCTACAACTGTGAAGTTGAGTTGTGTCAACAGAAATGTATGCCCCATAGAGCTGAAAGTGTTTCCTGTCTGGCTCTTTACAGGAAAACACAATTTCTGATCCTTCTTCTGTGCTACCACTTGGTGTGTTTGCAACTTCACTGTGCTGTCTGTGGGTATTTGTGTGTTTGTGTCTTTTTTTTTTTTTTTTTTTTTTTGAGATGGAGTCTTGCTTTGTTGGCCAGGCTGGAGTGCAGTGGCGTGATCTCAGCTCGCTGCAACCTCTGACTCCCGGGTTCAAGTGATTCTCCTGCCTCAGCCTCCTGAGTAGCTGGCATTACAGTCCTCCTGAGAACCTGCCACCACGCCTGGTTCATTTTTGTTTTTTTTGGTAGAGATGCGGTTTCACCATGTTGGCCAGGCTGGTCTCGAACACCTGACCTCGAGTGATCCACCCTGTCCCCCGGCTTCCCAAAAGTGCTGGGATTATAGGTGTGAGCCATGGTACCCGGCCTTGTGTCTTTTCTACGTGGACAGTTAGATTTGTCCAGTTAATCTTACCTTGGGCCAGTCACTTAACTTCTCTCGGTTTTATGTCTACATCCATAACTTGGGCATAATAACAGCATCTCCCCTGTAGAGTGGCTTGAGGATTCAGGGGAAGGCGAGCAAAGCACCTGGCATTCACAGTGTCCAGTTCACATGACGAGCTCATTTAATGGCACCCAGGCTTGATAGAAGGTATGTGTTATGATCTGGGTGGTATCTCCTGCCATTTTGGAGCAGATGCTAAGAAGCAAGTCATTCAGCTGAGGTCTAGGGGAATAGACAGAGATCCAGGCCGTTACTAGGAGACAAGCTATGCAATAGTCAGGGTTCCAACATTGCCTGCCTCTTCCAGCATCCGTCACCTCCTGTTTTTGTTCAGCCTCCTTGCCACTCTGCAGTTAGTTCAAACACAATTCTCACTTCAAGGCATTTGTTTTTGTCTTTTTGAAATGGAGTCTTGCTCTGTCACCCAGTCTGGAGTACAGTGGCACAATCTCGGCTCACTGCAACCTCTGCCTCCCGGGTTCAAGCAGTTCTCCTGTCTCAGCCTCCCGAGTAGCTGAGCTTACAGGTACCTGCCATCATGCCCAGCTAATTTTTGTAATTTTAGTAGAGATGAGGTTTCTCCATGTTGGGCAAGCTGATCTCGAACACCTGACCTCAGGTGATTTACCCGCCTCGGCCTCCAAAAGTGCTGGGATTACACGTGTGAGCCACTGCGCCTTAACCACTTTCAGGCATTTGAACTTGCAGTTCCCACTGCCTCACCTTGTTTCCTCCAAGACATCCACATGGTATACTCCTTCCTCAACTACTTTATCTCAAATAGCGGCCCCATCACTGTCTTGCTCCACGCCCTCATACTCATCACATGTATGGGTCATTGTACTTCATATCAATGTGTTTATGTGTCAGTGTCCTGTCTCCTGTACTGAAAGGCACTCCCCATGCAGTTGAGAAATTCATCTTGTTATATGCCCAGCACAGTGAATTTCACCTGCGTGAAATAGGGGAGCACTAAATATTAGTTGAGTAAATGCATGAATGGATGAACATTCCTTAAAGTGGGAATGTCTTTCCATGTTTCAGAATTCTCATCTGCCATCTCTCTTCCCATGCATGAAGATAAGCAGTAGACTATCCACTCCTGCACCTGTTCATATACATATAGAAACACGCACTGAGACCGAGCACCACACGCACAGACACTCACACACACACATGCATTCAAACCTCTCCATGCAGACACATTCTCTGGAGCAGTCTGGATGCAGCTTGTAAAAGTGCCTCCTCATTCAGCACTTGGACAACCTAAGAGCCTCTTCAGTAAGATCCTGATAGCTTTATTGGAGAGGTCTTGGGTAGAAAAAAAGCTGCAGCTTAATGAAGGCCTTTTAACAGTCAATCTCAATTCCAAGGAAAAGCAAATCTATTACCAGCGTCCGATAATTTCTGCTCAGGGATTCCCACTCTTGGAATGGATTTTTTTTTCCAGGGCCTCTTTTCTAATTAACTCTGGAGCGTAGATTACAAGAGGCCGGCCTTGTGAATGAAGGGGGCACCTCGGCGGAAGTAATCACTGGAGGTGATGTTTAATTAAAGAGATGCTGTTAGAGGGAAAAGACCTGAGCAGGCTGGAGTGCTAATCCTCTTGCCGTGCTAGTGTGTCCCTGCGTGATTGTGATTGATGAGCTGGTCCTGCTCACATCTTCATCTGCAGCGTGCTCATCCCTGCAGGAGGGGCTTCAGCTCCCTCCACATACATGCTTAGCCTGGTGTTGTTCTGGCATGGTGAAAGGGATGGCTGTGCAGTTTCCCTTTCTCACTCTGCATTTTTCTCCTTTTCTTTTTCTCCTTTATTATAGCTAGATAGTTGGATAGATACACATTTAGATATACAACTATGTACAGATATATATGGACCTCTATATCTATCTACTGTCTGCCTGTCTATCTGCTATCATTCTTTCGTTGTTTGTCTATCATTCTATCACTCTGTACATTCATACATTCATTATCCATATATACATTCATCCATTGTCTACCTATCTACTATCTACCTGTCATTCTGTCTATACATACATCAATCCATCATATGTTTATCCATTCTGACATCGTCTATCTATACGTTCATCCGTTACACACCTATCTACTATTTACCTATCACTCTATTTGTCTGTACGTACATCAATCTGTCCATCATCTATCCATCTATCTATACATTCTCACATCCCTTATCTAGCTATACATTCATCTATTATCCACCTATCTACTATCTACCTATCACTTTATTTGTATATGTATACATCTATCTATACATATCCATACATTAATCTATCCATCCATCTATCCATCTATACATTCTCACATCCATTATCTATCTATACATTCATCCCCTACTTATCTACTGTCATTTTATCATTATGTTTGTCTATACGTTCATCAATCCATCAGTCTGTATACTTCACATGTCCACTATCTATGTATACATTCATCCATTATCTATGCCTCTAATCTCTCTATTGCTCTGTCATTATATCTACCTACCTATGCATCTATCTCTATCTTTATAAAATCTTGCTGTGAATCTCAGCGTGTCTGTCTCCCCATGTCTGTGTCTGGCTTTGTCTTCATTTTTCTCATTCTGTCCAAATCTCTCTGTTTCTCTGCCTCTGTCTGTCTCTGTTTCACTGTTTGTCCTTTTGTTTCTCCTAGGTCTGCCCTATTAGGTAATTTTAGGGAACGTGTAACTGATACCTTTTTTTAAATTCAAGAGTATTAATGGTTGAGTAATGTAAAAGCAAGTTTTTGGTTAAGCATTTACTAAATGACAGGAACTGCCTGAGGTACCTTTTGGCAAGTATTTCATAATTGTTCTTAAAATAGCAAATATTAATCTCTTAATATGTGCCAGGTCCTAATGCCAAGTACTTTATGTATTAATCCCATTTAATCTTCAAAATAGTCTTATGTTGTAGCTTCTTTTGCTGTTCCTATTTTGGAGATTAAAAAACTGAGGCTTGGAGAGAGAATTATTATTATTATTTTTTTTTTGAGATAGAGTCTTGCTCTGTCACTCTGCTGCCCAGGCTGGAATGCGGTGGTACCATCATAGCTCACTGCAGCCTCGAACTCCCGGACTCAAGAAATCCTCCAACGTCAGTCTCCCGAGTAGCTGGGATTACAGGCACACACCACTATGCCCAGAAAATTGTTTTTTATTTTTTGTAGAGACCGTTTTTTTTTTTTATGTTGTTCCGGCTGATCTTCAACTCCTGGCCTCAAGTGATCCTCCCAACTCAGCCTTCCAGAGCACTGGGATTACAGGTGTGAGCCACCACGCCCAGCTAAGTTATGCATATTATCTTTAATCCACACTTTCGCACACCAAGATAACATTTTATTTCCACCTTTTAATGATGCATGTACAATGGTTTTAAAAGTTAAGGTGAATTTTCCTTGGTCAGAGTTTTTAAAGAATGTCATTCTAGGGATCTTACTTCAGATGTGTCTCTCTCCAAAATGCTCCTTTTGAATGGACAGAAAGGTAGACCTGTGTCTCCCCATGTTTCTCTGTGATTGCTCCCCCTTTAAATCTGTGTCCCAGCTACATTTAGTGAACATCTTTGCCATGTGGCTTCTGAATGGAGGAGGCTGCAGAACTTCCTTCAGTCTTCTGAGCCATAATAAATTGGCAGAAATGTCTGATTTGACGTTTTCCCCCCCTTGTTCAAGGCAGATGCTTTTCTCATTACTGAGAAAAGAATGACACTTTGTCTCTCCAAGAGCTCAGGCGTTCATAATAGATAAGTGTGCAGTTTCTGATCTTGGAGCTGCTAGCTCTGCTAGACTAGGGGAGGCTCAGCTCTATCAGGGCTCTATCCCTGGCGAGATTAGGTTTGCAGAATCTCTACTGGAGCTTGTAGCTACTCACTAGAGTGGATTGGTCTATGATTCTAGTTTCACTGTTTATAGTTCAAAATTTTCCAGCCAGCCAGGCTGTCTTCTTAATTAGAGGGGTTGAGTCTGACATGGAAGGAGTGGATAATGTACCTTTACTCCCCATTTTCATCTATCAATGGAAAAGAATTAAAATAAATTCAACTGTGACTTGTTTAACTCCCACATTAACTTGGGTTAGCAAATTCTACTTTGTGGAAGGAACCATGAGGAAGAAAACAGATTGTAACTATGGTCTGTGCTAGTTCATAAGTCCAAGTTCAACTCTGGTTGAGGTGGGGGTGTTGATAGCTTTCACTAAACCTCAAATTGTTCATTATCTTCTAGTCTTGGTGAAACAAGCTTTCCCATGTCTCAAAAAGACCCACCTAATAAATATAATCAAGTCCCATCTTACCCAGAAACAGCACCTGCTGTTACTCTCTGATTCTCATTGTTTTGCTCTGACATTAGGGTGTCTTTATCAGCCTAAGGATACATAGATTCTTAGACAGTTTCAATCTCTTATCTTCTTTAGGTGGCCTAAAATCTAACACTGGAGATCTCTTCATCATAGCACCCTTGGAAAACTCTGAAAGCTGTCATAGGTCTAGAAATCCATCAACTCCAGATTCTAAAGAGACAACCAAATGGCTCACACTTCTTACCGTACCTGCACCCACAAATCTGGCTCTTAAATAAAGTCATCAGCCCTCTAATTATACTAAGATATTCAAATCATGAGATTCGCTCTGAAGCCAATTCTTCAACCACCCACTTACCCATCTTTGCTTTCCGGGCATTGCCACATCCCTTTTTCTTGGGGTTTCCTCCGCAGGAACACTCCTTATCTGCGACTTTGGTTGACTGTAAATCTTGTACTGTTGCTTTGCTATTTAATGCAACTTGTCATCTTGTTTTTGGCCTTGATTTGATATCCTAGTAAGGGACTCTTCTTGGGTTTTGCTTTAAGATTCAGTCTGCTGAAGGGCTGTGACTCCATTGTGAGCAGAAGCAGCCTGGGAAGGCAGGACTAGACACACCAAACATCAGCCAGACAGGTGATGTGATCCCTCTGATTTTCAGAATTCCTTTGAGAGATCACTTGGCCCTTCCCTGCTGATCTTTGGGCTGGAGTCAAGGCAATCTTTTGAATTAGTTCTGTCTCTCTCTAAATTATTTGCTTTATGTAATAGGAACATGCCTCATTTGGGCTCTTTATTTTATCTATTTTATTTGAAACAGGGTCTTGCTCTGTCACCCAGGCTGGAGTGCAAGTACATGATTGTGGCTCACAGCAGCCTCAAACTCCTGGGCTCAAGCAATCCTCCTGCTTCAGCCCCCTGAGTAGCTAGGACCGCAGGCACATGCCACCATGCCCAGCTAATTAATATATATATATTTAAAAACATGTCCTTGTATTTAACAGAATTTTAAGGAAGAATTTGATTTTTAGTAATTTACAACTTCTCTGGCCAATCTTCCAAATCTGGCTAATTTTCATTGTACCACTCCGTGTGTTCCTTTTTTGTCATTCTGAATATTGATGATTATAGTCTATGTTCCTAACGCCTAGGCTGATAACACTCTACTCAGCCTACTTTGTTCACATTTCCAGCATCAGAATCCTGTGTTCCATGCTTGTATGTTGTGGAACGAGCTCAATTTTCAGCATTAAATTTACCATGCCAAAAGGTGGAAAAAGACTCTGCAATAAACAGACTACTTAGCATGATTTTGTCTGCCTTCTGCATTTGGAATTCCCAACATAACCTAAGCAGGCATAAAATTCAGTTCTTTAAGATTCGTTTACCAATAAGAATGTTGTAAAAATTCAAATAAAAGGAATGCAGATTAGCAGAGAGAATGCTAAGCAAGTTTTTTGTTTCTGTCCTTGGTGCTGAAAAAAATGGGGGTCAACTTTTCTACCTTAGTGAATTTAATGATGTGGTGATTGTATTTAAATGACTATGTGACAAGGGATCAGATACTTCCCTATAATCATTCTTTAGTTTCCTAGAACTGTAGAAGCTTGGTGGCATAATGAGAGCTGCCTGTCACCTACCCTAGAACTGTCCTGTCTCATATGACAGCCACTAGCCACATGTAGCTACTTAAAACGACACTAAATAAAATTAAAATTCAGTTTCTTAGTGATATCATTTAGATATTGTCCCATCTAAATCTCATGTCAAATTGTAATCCCCAGTGTTGGACTTAGGGCCTGGTGGGAGGTGATTGGACCATGAAGGCAGATTTTTTTATGAGTGGTTTAGTGCCATACCCTTGGTGGTAGTGGCATGATAGTGAATTGTTGTGAAAGCTGACTGTTTAAAAGCGGTTGGCATCTTCCCCTTCACTCTCTCTTGCCCCGACTCTCACCATGTGACATGCCTGCTTCTGCTTCACCTTCCACCGTGAGTAAAAGCTCCCTGAGACCTCCCCAGAAGCCAAACTGATGCTGGCACCAACCATGAGCTAATTAAGCCTCTCTTTTTTGAGACGTCCCCCAGGCTGGAGTGCAGTGGTGCGATCTCAGCTCACTGCAACCTCCGCCTCCCAGGTTCAAGCGATTCTCCTGCCTCAGCCTGCCGAGTAGCTGGGATTACAGGTGCCTGCCACCACACCCGGCTAATCTTTGTAGTTTTAGTAGAGATGGGGTTTCACTATGTTGGTCAGGCTGGTCTCAAACTCCTGACCTTAGGGGATTCGCCCGCCTCTGCCTCCCAAAGTGCTGGGATTACAGGCGTGAAGCCACTGTGCGCAGCCTTAAGCCCCTTTTCTTTGTAAAATACCCATTCTCAGGGATTTCAAGAACAGACTAACACACTCAGTCAGACTGTCTACCTTTCAGGCGCTCAACAGCCACACGTGGCTAGAGTTTCCTGTGTTAGACAGTACAGATATGGAATATTTCTGTCATCTCAGCAAGTTTTATTGGACAGTCTTCCCCTAGAATCATTGCAATAGACTCAGTAACGCCCACAAATCTGTCCACATCATAATCACTGGAACCTGCGAGTGTTACTGTATATGGAAAAAGGACCTATGCAGACAGATTTAAGTAAGGAGAATTATTTCTTTTGAATTGGAGAGATTATTCTATAGTATCCAGATGAGTCCAGTGTAATCACAACAGTACTTACAAGGGGGAACACAGAGGTGTAGAGTCAGAGTCAGAGAGGAAGAAAATGTAATAACAGAATCAGAAACTGGAGTAATGCATTTTGAAGTTGGAGAAAGAGACCACAAGGTAAGGAATTAAGGTGGTCATTAGAAGCTCAAAAATGGCAAAGAAACCGATGATCCTCTCAGAGCCTCCAGAGCCCTGGTGACACCTTGACTTTACGTCAGTTGAGAAATCAGAACTAAAAGAGAATATGTTTGCATTGTGTGAAGCCACAATGTTTCTGGTAATTTGTTATAACAACAATAGAACGCTGATAAAATCATCATTATCATTGTCATCATCATTATCGTCATCTCAGTAGGTGCTTGGTTTTAGTTTGGGTTCTTATAATTTTGCATTCTCAAATAGAAAGTCAAAACAATTTCTTAGTTATTTGAAGAACCACACTGATAAGCAATGGCACCTTTTATTTTTTGAGATTTTCTTATTGGCTTGTGAATGATTTCTTCTCCGAGAGTGGTTATGGAGGCTTAAACAGTATGTCATGAGTTAGCAATGTCTAGTGGGGGAGCTATAATAGATAAAGGTGAGAAGAGATAATTCACATGGCCCCACTTTCTGATTTTTTTGGACTGGGATGTTTGTCAATTGCAATTCTCGTTTTGAGCATGGTGGTCAGATGAGATTGGCCTTGCTGAAGCACAGGCAAGCATCCCATTAAATGCTTTTAGGTGATTCAGAACCAAAGCTCAATTCAGTATTTTAAAGGCGCCCTTTGGGGAGACCATCTCTGGCCTTCCTACCATTGGCGGCTAGTGTGTTATTTTCCAAGCCCGCTGTGTGATGATGGGTGTGATGTGTCACACTCCTTCTCTGCTCCCTCAACATGCTCCTTTCCTCCCAGGCTGGGTTTGATGGATTATTTTTTCTGGAAAATTTTCCTAACCCCCTGCACACTGCCATCCAAGTCACTTCGCTTAAATAACAATAACAGCAATAATAGCACAGAGATGTTCAGCATAGTGATAAGAAATTTACTTTCATGACCTAATTTATTGTAGAAATAATCCTATGAAGGGTATGCAGTTTTTATCTCTCTTATGACAGAGAGGAGCCAACACTCAAAAAGGTCATGATACTTACTCAAAGCCATATACCTGGTAAGAGGCAAAGCCAGCATTTGAACAACAGGCCTTCTGAGTCTGGAAGTGGCTTTCATTCCGAAACTCAGCAGAAGTTTCTCCTTCCCAAATGCTTGAGCTCCTTAATATCAGGAACTGTGTTACCTACTTTTTTTTTTTTTTTTTTTGCACTATAAAATCTTCATTCTTTATTTTAGATACAGGAGGTACATGTGTAGGATTGTTACATGGGTATATTGGACCAAGGTAATGAGCATAGAAGCCAACAGGTAGTTTTTTACTCCATTCCTTCCTGCCATTTTAGTAGTCCCCCGTGTCTGTTGTTCCCTTATTTATGACCGTGTGTGCTTGATGTTTAGCTCCCACTTATAAATGAAAACATGTGATACTCGTTTTCTGTTCCTGCATTAATTCAGTTAAGATAATTGCCTCCAGCTGCATCCATGTTGCTGCAAAGACATGATTTCATTCTGTTTTATGGCTGCATAGTATTCCATGGTGTAGATATACCACATTTTCTTTATCCAGTCCACCGCTGATACACACCTAGGCTAATTCCATGTCTCTGCTGTTGTGAATATTACAGTGATTAACATACTTGTGCAGGTGTCTTTCTGAGATAACAATTTCTTTTCCTTTGGGTATTTCCCCAGTCATGGGATTGCTGGATTGAAGAGTAGCTCTGTTTTAAGTTCTTTGAGAAATACTCAAACAGCTTTCCACAGTGGCTGAACTAATTTTACACACCCACCAAAAGTGTATCAGCCATCCTTTTTCTCTGCAGCCTCACCAGCATCTATTGTTTTTTGACTTTTTACTAATAGGCATTTTGACTGGTGCGAGATGGTATCTCACTGTGGTTTAGATGGGCACATATTTCCCTGATGATGATTATAAGCATTTTTTCGTATGTTTGTTGACTGTGTTTATATCTTCTTTTGAGAAATGTCTGTTTGTGACCTTTGTCCATTTTTTTGCATGTGCAGAATTTATTCAAGTTTTAATATAATTCCATCTTTAAGTCTCAGAAACCTTTTTACATTTATTTTAAGACTACACATTGGGTACAGTACACACTGCTTGGGTAACGGGTGCACCAAAATCTCAGAAATCCGCACTAGAGAACTTATTCATGTAAGCAAACATCACCTGTTCCCCAAAAACCAATTGAAATAAAAAATAAATTACTTTTTTTCTTCTCCATTCAAAGATACTAGACTATTTTTTTTGAAAATCAGCAGAATTTCATTGAAGTTCCTCATTTAAATTTATGTTTGAATCCTGTAGATTCTTAATAAGTACTTCCATACAGAGAAGAAGCTAATAAGAACGTTCCAGAGAGATCCTACAGAACGTGGTGTGGTGGGAAGATACTAGGCTGGGTCCACATTCTGTCTCTATCAGCAGTGAGTCAGTGCACACATCCTACCTTCTGGGCATCAGTTTCCTCACCTTTTTATTTTATTTTGTTTTACTTTTGAAGTAGGGTCTTGCTCTGTCTCCCAGGTTGGAGTACAGTGGCATGATCTCAGCTCACTGCAACCTCCATCTCCCAGTTCAAGTGATTCTCTTGCCTCAGCCTCCCAAGTAGCTGGAATTACAGGCATGTGCCACCACATCTGTCTAATTTTTGTATTTTTAGTAGGGATGGGGTTTCATCATGTTGACCAGGCTGGTCTTGAACTCTTGACCTCAAGTGATCCACCTGCCTTGGCCTCCCAAAGTGTTGGGATTAGAGGGGTGAGCCACTGTGCCTGGCCAAGTTTCCTTATCTTTCAAATGGGGATAGTGATATCTAACTCAGAGCCCTTATGGGGATGTAATGAGGTAATAGATGTCAGTCACTTAGGGTGTATACATGAGTTTAATCATCATCATCATCATCATTAATACCATTTCTGTACCCCCAAAGTGTGTGTTCAAGTACTTGTCCACATTCAGTGGTCATAGCAAGGCCTCAGTTTACTTGAATGTATTTACATTCCAACAATGTAAACCTTAACAAAGACTTTTTTTTTTTAAATTTGACCACTGCAGTGTTCTCATAGAAAAGACTACAGAACAGAAAAAAAAAAAACAGTTTGCATTGTGTAATTGCTCCAAATTGTATTTTCTTTTAGAAAATAAAAAATAAATCACTAGAATCCTATTTAAATACAAGTTTAAAAATTAATTATTTTGCACTAGACACAGAATGGACTGAAAAAATTAGGATTAGAGTCATTGGTACCCATACAGATGTGAAGAAGTTGTCCTGAGAGTGAGCCTCTGGTTTCATCTGTGCTTCTCTGTCTCCACTTGGCTTTGTCACGTCTCCCATAAATGACCACAGTCATTTTATTGCCTCTCTCCATGTCCCCACCTTTTCCTGTCTCCAGCCTACCAGCCATTTAGTGGCCAGCGTGGTCTTTCTAAGACAAACCTGACCATGTGAATCCCATGCCTGGAACTCTTCAATGGCCTCCCGTTACTTAAAGGATCAAATACAAACTACTTTATGTGTCATTTTCTGATTCTCTTCCTATGCCCACAACCTTATTTTCTAGCCCCAGTTCCTGCTAAATCTTCACCACACCTATACTCCAGCCATATTATCCTGTTTTCTGTGTTCTTTTATGCCCTGATGCTGAGTGTGTGCTTTTCCTCTTCCTTGAATTTGCACCTAACTCACTCCATCATCTCCTCAAGATTCCTCTCAACTGCTACATCCTTTAAGAAGCATTTGATACCTCCTGTCTCTGAATTGAGAGCTTTCTTCTTTGCCCCCTATAATAATTTATACTTATAAAATCCATGACACTTGCTTTGATCATCGATTTTTTGGTATCTCTCTTTATCCAGATCTTAATCTGCATGAGAGCAGGACTATTTTCTTATCTCTGAATGTATTTTATATTAATGCAAAAACAAATGCTTATTGTGAACCTACTGGGGACCAGACACAGTGGATAAAGGTACCTCTAGTGCATTTCTAAACATAGTCAAAAACTACATTTCGAATGAATTAATGAATGCAAGATATCCTTCCATGTGTCACTGAGACTTTTAAAAAGAACTAGTTTCTTTCTGATCAAATTCAATGGATAACCTTGCAGAGCAAGATCTAACTCAGAATGTCTACGGATGCCTTAAGCATTCTGCATACTGGAGCGTTTTCAAGAGCCCTTCTCTGACCTCACACACAGCGAATGTCTGAGCTCTGTAGGCTATTTGTAGAGAGTTTATTTCATCTTTGCAGAAAGCTGCCCAGTATAAATATTAGTCAGTTGATTTCACACAGAGTAAAAACAAGCTTTTAAAAGCTTTTACCTCTCCTGTCCCCAAATAGGTGCTTTAGACAGATTCTCTGAGCCTTGGGAGCTTTGTTGGATTTGGTAAAGTGAAAGTTATGTTCTGTTCCGAAGCAGCCTTCTGTGAAGGCTGTCTTGGGGTTGATGCTGTAATTGTGCAGAAAGGTAAAATGAAGAATAACAAAGGTGGCGTGTGGGGTGGGATGGAGATCAAGCTTCCCTGTTCTGGATATATCTCCATAAGTCCATTTCAAAAAATGTTCACGTTTGGTGCCAAGGTGGTCACTTGGTATTGTAAAGGAGTGGTGGCTTCAAATTTAAATAGTCTAAGTTCAATCTTAGCTCTATTAATGAACTAGCTAATGGTGTACATGGGTCTCACTCAGCCTCTATGACACCTGAACCAATGAGTATAGCTAGCATTGTCCAACAGAAATATAACCATGGTCACAAATATGAATCACATATGTAGTGGGTTTTTTTTTATACTTTCTGGTAGCCATATTAAGGCAAAACAAAATGCGTGATTTTAATTTCAATATTTTATTCAAGCAGATATATCCCAATATATAACCAAGCATAATTTTATTTACCCAGTATATCCAAAGTGTTACCATTCAACATGTAATCAAACTGACACTACTAAAGAGATATGTTGCATTCTTTCTCTTGTATGACGTCTCTGAAATCTGGCGTGCAGTTGCCATGTACAGTACGCGTCATTTCAGACCAGCCACATTTCAACACCCAATGACCACACATGGCTAGTGGCTACCATGTTAGGACAGCAAGGTGAAACTACAATGCTTAAGCTGATCTAGCAAGCTCTTAAAGCTCTCTGACTAGGATTACAATATCTGCTTCACAGAGAGCAAATGAGATCGCATGAAAATTGTCATGCGCCCCAACTTTCTCCTCTGAAGTGTTAGTGTATAAGCAACAGATTAAGAGGATAAGGTGTCACAACATCCTTAGCTGTTTACCTAATTGTTGCATTTCTATCACTGGACCTCAAACTCCATGAAGTAGACAGTGACATCACTCAATACTAGGTCTTCCGTGACTAGCACGTAATAGATGTATTAATTTCCCAGGGCTACGAAAACAAAGAACCACAAACTGGGTGACTTGAAATAGAAATTTACTGGCTCACAGTTCTGGAGGCCTGAAGTCTGAGACAAAGGTGTGGATAGGACTGGTTCCTTCTGAGTGCTGGGAGGACAATCTGCCCCATGCTGCTCTCCTATCTTCTGGAAGTTTACTGACAATCTTTGGCATCCCTTGAGTTGTAGAAGCATCACCCATTCATCTTCAGATGGTATGCATATCTGTGTCCACACTTTCCCATTTTATAAGACACAGTCATATGGATTCAGAAGCCCACCCTGCTCGCTACTCAGGCATGACCTCATCTTAACTAATTACATCTGCAGTGACCCCATTCCCAGATTAGGTTACATTCTGAGATACTGGGAGCTGGGACTTTAGTATTGGAATTTGAAAATAAGACAATTCAACCAATAACAGTATGTGTTCAATAAATTCAAGTCAGATATATGAAAAAATAAAAATTGAGTATAAAGATAATTTTTGGCTACATTGACTGGATTCCAAGAATCTTCCATTCTGTCTAAAGAAGATAGACACGTTAAAAATCAAACGAGAAAAAACAGTAAGTGAAGAGGATGAATGCAGCCAGTGGGTAGTTAGACTATGCAAAAACAAGTGCGCCAGAATCACAACTCAACATATATTAAGGCTTTCATTTGGTGGTGTTTTGAATTAGAAATATTTAATGTCGATCAGCCTCAGTTTCCTTAGCATTATCTACTTCGCAGTTGTTGAGACAATTAACTACAATATCCTAAGTTGCACACAATTATTGGGCCAGACTTCTACACTGTGAGTATCTGCAAAAAAAAGAAAAAAAAAAAACATTGTTCACTGCTGTGCTTCTTCCCTCTGATTTACCAATAAGGGAAACATCTTCCATATTTCCAAAAACCCCTGGTTTTCCTTGAGTACACCTTGACATCATGCAAAACCTCTTCTTCCTCAAGTCAGCCAGGCCCTGCTGTACTCTAAGCTGCAACCCACTGGGCTCAGCATTCAATCAGGCAGACGTCCTTAAAAGATCACACATTCTTAGCTACGGAAGAATAATATTTATGCACTGCTTAATCATGTGAAGAAGCACAGACTCTCCAGTCTCAAGTGGAGACATTGGGTGATGTATAGGCTTAGAGATCCTCATATTGGGAAAGAGTCAGTTACTGATCTTGGCTCTTCACTTGCCAAGATGGAACTGTTTGGTTTCAATTCTGTGAACATACTTACAAAGTAGTAGGAACTTCAATACTGTGTGCTTCTGCTTAGTTGGGTTGTACTGAATTTGTAAGTCCAGTGAGGTTGTATTTTCCCTTTGTTCTGATGAGAGGTCTAGCCACTTTGTGTTTCAACTGTTATAATGTCCATATTCAGTTTTCTTATTCCCCCATAAAAGTTCATGAGATAGAAATGGAGGAAACGTAGATATGCATCATGCATCTAAGCCTATTGTTGTAGCTAGACTTGTCGGGTCATATGGATGAAAATATCTTAGGGAACAGTTTGATGCATTGGAAATACCTCTAGGGTTCATATCACTAGATATGATTTGGGCATTTCACTGAGTTACCTGGCTCTCAGCTTCTTCCACTAAATAGATGTGAATGATACCCATTCTGACTTTCTTTCAATATTGTATGTAAGGCTTAAAACGATTATGTTTAAATGCTCCCAATAACCTTTACAACCTATCCCATGATATGGTTTGTCAGTGTCCCCACTCAAATCTCATCTTGAACTCTAGTTCCCATAATCCCCATGTCTCGTGAGAGGGACCCGGTGGGAGGTAATTGAATGATGGGGACAGTTACCTCCATGCTGTTCTTGTAATAGTGAGTGACTTCTCATGAGATCTGATGGGTTTATATGAGGCTTTCCCCCTGCTTTGCTCGGCCCTTGTCCTTCCTGCTGCCATGTGAAGAAGGACATATTTGCTTCCCCTTCCACCATGATTGTAAGTTTCCTGAGGCCTCTCCAGCCAGGCTGAACTGTGAGTCAACCTCTTTCCTTTATAAATTACCCAGCCTCAGATATGTCTTTACTTGCAGTGTGAGAACAGACTAATATAACCCAGCTGAGATATTTTGATGATGGTGATGGAGAAGAGAATGATCATTTGTCCTATTTACCTAAAGTGACTACTTGTTTCCTCTGCTTATTTCTTCTATTTCAAGCACTAGAGTTACTTCCATTGAGAAGGTAATGTCAAAATGTAGCTTAAATTATCAGCTCTCTCTCTGTTCTTACCCTTCCTCTTTCCTTCCATTCATAAGACAAAGGAATGCATAAGACAGCTTTATCTTGGCATGTATCATTGTTGCATTTACTCTTTGATTTAATCAAATCGTGTTTGATCATTCACTCTGTGCTTGCCATTCCAATAGTGCTGGGGATATGCTGTCCTATAAGACAGACATAGGTCTCTGCTTTTGAGAGCTTTACAATCCAGTAGCCTCCAGGTCTTCAGCCCAGCTCTATATTTTATAGGTCCTATGTCTCTGTGAAAATGTCCTCATTGCTTTGTTCTACTTTGTTTTCTTTGATTCTGCCACTCAGACTATCAGATATTCTGTCCTAACATTTAGCATTACAATTGGCCTTTCTACATATTGTTTTGTCAGTCTGTATCCTACCACCTGGCTGCTTCCTGCTCTTCAAGAACATCAGGTTAGACATCAGTTCTTCTGGAAAACCTTACCTGATAAATCATTTTGTTTCTTAAATTTATCTTCTCTGGGCACATACCCTATTGCACTGTAAATCTCTAGGCTATTCTATGACTCCTGCCAGCCTGTAGCTATAGAGGTACCTGGGCTATGTCTACCTTATTCACCACTGTAGCCCCCAAACATAGCACAGTCCCTGACATCCAACAGATACTCAATACCTAACTCCTGAAACAATTGCGTGAGTATCATGCTCTTGCCCATTTGGACAGTTCATTGCCCTTGCTTTCTGGCAATCTCTCCTAATTTCATTTCTTCCAAGTCCGACTATCATTCATTTTATGACAGCCTTTTTTTTTTCAGCTGGCAAACTATGAGAGGCTAAAACTTATGCAACACACAATGAAAGACAAGGTCATATTTTATCGTCTTTGCCTGTTGCAGTAACCAGATTAGACATCTTTCTACAAGTGAGGCGAATGCAAGCCAACCGATATCTATCATGTCAAACACCTGATTACTATGTGCGGAAGAAAAAGAGGGAACCATTAAAGATACATGGACAAGCACCTGCCCTTAAGGAGCTTACAACATTGTGGGAGGTCTCTGG
Source organism: Homo sapiens (assembly GCF_000001405.40). NCBI lineage: Eukaryota > Metazoa > Chordata > Mammalia > Primates > Hominidae > Homo > Homo sapiens. Next base: position 7,502,356 of record NC_000016.10, read on the forward strand.
TTTCATGTAAGAAAATCGAATAATTAAAAATACAGGCAGATGCTTGGCTTTGTGCATTCTTTATAAACAATGTAGGGGTGGCAGGTGGTTGCTAAGTTTTCACCATATCATGCCTCCACAAAGCCATTGGGTTGTTTAGACTATGTTTACGTACCCAGCTTTGAAAAGGGGCTGAAGAAGAAATAGAAGATATGTTGATTCATGGTAGTGAGGCATAAACTTTTTTGTTTGTTTGTTTGTTTTGTTTTTTTAATTATACTTTAAGTTTTAGGGTACATGTGCACATTGTGCAGGTTAGTTACATACGTATACATGTGGTGAGGCATAAACTTTTATGATGGGTAGAAAACTTTATAATGTGTTATAAGAAGAAATGATTCTGAATTGGCTGGGAGTACTGGCTCATGCCTGTAATCCCAGAACTTTGAAAGGCCAAGATGGGCAGATCATCTGAGGTCAGGGTTTGAGACCAGCCTGGCCAACATGGTGAAACTCCCTGTCTACTAAAAATACAAAAATTAGCCAAGTGTGGTGGCAGGTGCCTGTAATCCTAGCTACTCGGGAGCCTGAGGCAGGAGAGTCGCTTGAATCTGGGACACTGAGGTTGCAGTGAGCTGAGGTCACACCACTGCACTCCAGCCTGGGTGACAGAGCAAGACTCTGTCTCAAAAAAAATAAATAAATTATTCTAAATTTATCCATGTCCAAGATTATGGCGTCCACTCCTTGCACTACTTTTTATCTAGAATGTTTATTTTTCTCTTCACTAGAACATTCTGTCATCTGTAACCTAATCCCATTGGGGAGAGTATTTGATTATCCTTTCGTTAGTGTGACTTAATGCTGCCAATTTTCCAAATCTAGCAAGAGATCCTTGGTGACATTCTTAGTGGGATACCGTAGTCAGCAACGTTCACGGCAGAGTTGCTGTCTCTCTAAGCGATTTGGTTTTCTTTGTATGTATAAGGACTTCCTCTCTTACAAAGAAAGTTGTGTCACATTCGATCGATCAATTTCCTCCTTTAGAAGCAGGCAGAGAATACTCTGGACAGCTATGATGGAATAAGTCACACAGCGATATTATCTCAAATTATATCTGTAGGGTAACTGCAAGTCAGGTATTTAAGGGGACAGAATCCATCCTTCTCCCCTTGTGGATTTGGTTAAATGTAGTAGTATTAGCAATGGCACAAGTCATCTAAATTTATCTTGAATGTGAATTTGACACTGATGTTACTCTGGTGGTAGTAGCAAGAACTTTTCCCCCTTTAGAAAAAGTGGGCTGGTGAAAGGAGATGGATTATGAAAGTCTGTTCAGGATTGAGGCTTCCCGCATACCCAGGAGGTGGAGAATCCCTATTGAATTAAAATTCAAAATGCATCTGTCTGTTCTTTCCCTTACAAAAATTCACTTTTGCCAATGTTTATTTGCATGGTTTGATTTTCTGCTTGTCCATATGCCCTTCTGTCCATACAAGTATATCTGTGACAGTGATGGGCAGCCCCATCTGTCACTCAGGAATGGATGGCAGTGGTGATGGTTGGTTGGTATTGATAGCCAAGTACTTACTACAGCTGAGCTTTCTGGTCTTGACTGTGTATTATAGTTATGCAAGAGGTTATCACGGGGAAAAATGGATGAACGGTGCCCAAGATCACCTTCTACATTTTTTGAAACTTTCTGTATAATTATATCTCTATGATTATTTGAAAATAAAAAATTAACAATAATGGCAGTCATAGGCTAGGCTCTGGGTTCAGAATTGGGTTGGTACAAATTTCTTCATGGAACCATCATGACCTGAGATAATTTTCTTAGCGTCTCAGAGCCTATTATTTATGAAATGAAGATAAAGTCGGTGCCCGTATCATCGGGCTGTGGGTTGCATTGATGGAAGTTCTATTTATAGAACATTTAGGGCAGTGGCAAGCATGTGGTTTAAGCCCTTCTAATTGTATTATTGTTATTATCAAGAATGTTATAAGTAACACTATCATCATTAACGTGATTAATCTACCTGGGTTCTGGATCTTAGGGTGGCAGGAACATGGTCTTGTGCCTTTTTGACAACCTCTAATTTTGCCTAGGATACTAAAAGACTTTGTCAGAATGTCTCAAAAATATTTTATGGTGAATTGTTCCACCATAACTCTCACAAATATCACCTCTTATCTCAGCCCACAAAAAAAGGTCAATTATAGATAAAGGAAAGGACCTCATTGTTGCCGAAAGACTTAGATATGAGGTCTGGATTTGCACTTATTCACTTCAAGACTTTATGTTTCCTTATCTGTGAAGTGGGTGTGCTGAAAATGAGTTTATTACTCTAGCTCCTGTGGAGATGAAGTGAGATTATATATATATATATATATATATATATATATATATATATATATATTTATATATATATATATTTATATATATATATATTTATATATATATATATTTATATATATATATATAGTGACTAACATTGTCTGATACTTAGAAGGTGCTGGAAGAATACCAGCTGTTCTGGCTGTTAGTTTGTATTAATAACAGGCAATAATACGGCATTTGAAGCAATTTCGCAAACAGACAGGTGAAGCCCTACGCAGCATGCCTTTCCAGCGCGAAATGCTTCAGTGCAATGTTAGGATATTCTAATGGGGAAACTTTTTTCAGTAATGCAGGGCAACGGTGGATGGTTTTGACCTTGCTCTCAGTGCCCCGAGGTGCTGAGTGAGTCAGAACATGTCTCAGTACTACTAAAAATGAAGAGACTAGCTTGGGATTCATTTTTTATTCAACAAAACATTTTGAATGCTTTTGTACATGTGTGTGTGTGCTCGCATGTGTGTGCACCTCAGACACTCTTTGAGATGATTGAGGCAACAGTGATGGACCAAAAAAAAAAAAAAAAGGAAACCAGACAAGGTTCCTATACTCATAGAGTTCACAGTCCAGTTGGAGATGGACACCAAAATGTGTATATAATGTCATACTTTGACAGAGGTTTTCAGTGGCAAGACAGGGTCCTCTGAGACCCTGGAAAAGTGAGAAACTCCATCTTCCTAAGTGCTTGATGCCGTTGGTTGGGAACTTCACTTGTTCTGGATGTCGCTCATTTTTTAAGGGCTAAGCACATATTTCCCTTTGGAATTATCACCTCAGAAGTGGCCATATCCAGGTCTCTGACTTGTACAGAGTACCATAAATATTTTATTGTCAGTGACTTTTAAAGAGTTGAGAAAAACAGCCTCTCCATTGCCTTCTGTAACTCCAAATGGAAAATCAGGATGGAACATTTTGCAAACATGACACCTCCTCACTGCAAGTCGACCGCCCACTCGGTTGGCTTGTGTTTCTGAGGCTGGTGTTTGTCAGCCATGGCAAGATGGCTTCCATCCTCTCTCTGTGCTTCCCTACTGAGCCGGAGAAGTGAAATGAGACAAGTAGCTTTGCTGGAATCTGTAACATGGATTCTGTCATCTTTGTTGTTTGTTGGATTTTATGAATTATGGCTTCAGCACAACTTTAGAGTTCTTTGTTCAAGAGATAATTTTCTGGCCAGGTGCAGTGGCTCATGCCTGTAATCCGAGCACTTTGGGAGGCTGAGGTGAGTGGATCACAAGGTCAGGAGGTTGAGACCATCCTGTCTAACATGGTGAAACACCATCTCTGCTAAAAATACAAAAAGATAGCCGGGCATGGTGACGGGTACCTGTAGTCCCAGCTACTTGGGAGGCTGAGGCAGGAGAACTGCTTGAACCCAGGAGGCGGAGTTTGCAGTGAGCAGAGATCGCCCCACTGCACTCCAGCCTGGGTGACAGAGCAAGACTCTGTCTCAAAAAAAAAAAAAAAAAAAAAAAAAAAAAAAAATTTCTGTAAGCTGGCATAGTTACCAGAACAAAAGTTTATATGTTTATCTAAATGAGGTCAGATCTGAATTCATCTCCAAGTATTTAAGAATATACAATGTAGGATTCTGACAGATTTGGGTACCTGGCACTAACAAGTTGTGTGAGCATGAGCAAGTAATCCCACCTAGCTTGAAAAAGAAGATAAAAATATGCGGTGTGTTGGATTCTTGTTAAATGAGGTAATGTAGGCAAAGCTACTTTATTGAATTTTGTATGCTTGGTGCTTAGAACAATAATCAGTTCATAATTGGTGTGCAAGAAAAGATTTCTTTTCCTCGTTACCAGACATCGTCATCACCATCACCATTATTACCATCACCTTCATCATCATCATCATCATCATCATCACCACCACCACCATCTTTGCTTTTATCTTCTTATGGATTCAGTAACAAGAATTCTTCAATAAGACTCATAATAAGATTGTGTTAAAATTCGGGTTCTTTCCCTTACTAATGTACGAGATCCATGTGTTGGAAAGTGTTTTCCATTTGTTTAGCACCTCAGTTTTCTTATCTGCCAAAGGTACCATAATGAGGTATGTGATCTGCCAAAGGTACCATAATGAGTTTAGTATTCACTGAAGTAGGTTAGAGTCCAACACACATCCCTTCTTCCTGGGTTCTCCAGAGGAAGAACTTCACTGGACTGGAAGGAGGATCAGTTTTATCCCCACAGTGGGACATATGTGCATACAGGACTTTCTAGATTATAAAATACATTCCAGTAGATTTTTCCCTCTAAAGCATCGTAAGAGTCTCACTGTGAAGAATAATATATATTACTATTTATATTTTATGAATAAGGAAACTGGGTCACATAAAGGTTGAATGACTTGCCAATAGTTTCACCATTATGCTCTTGATGCCTCAATATTTGACTTTGATTTCATAGTCACAGCATTAAAAGGTTAGATAGTAACACTAGAAATTACCTGGCCTATCATAGTGTTTTTCCATTTATTTATTTTTACCCCAATTCATAAAAGATTTTACACTCTGAACCCATTCCTCCACATAAAGTTTTCATGAAACAATATAAACTCTTAACTATTTTATTCTTCTCTCATGTGTGTAGATTATTTCATTTAAAGAATGTTGGTATGATGATCCCCTACATGGGTCTTACAGCCTAAGAGATCAGACTGACAGAATAAAAAACACAGAACATTTTTCTCCAGGATTGTGTATCAGAACTATCTGGGGCAACTTTTGACAGTGCCCATCCCTGGATCCCACCCTCAGAGATTCTGAGGCAGTAGGTCTGGTGTGAAGGCCTTGGAACGTGATTTTTTTTTTCTTTCTTTCTTTTTTTTTTTTTTTTGAGACGGAGTCTTGCTGTGTCACCCAGGCTGGAGTGCAGTGGCGCGATCTTGGCTCGCTGCAAGCTCCGCCTCCCGGGTTCACGCCATTCTTCTGCCTCAACCTCCCAAGTAGCTGGGACTACAGGCGCCCACCACCACGCCTGGCTAATTGTTGGTAATTTTAGTAGAGACGCGGTTTCACCGTGTTAGCCAGGACGGTCTCGATGTCCTGACGTCGTGATCCGCCCGCCTCGGTCTTCCAAAGTGCTGGGATTACAGGCATGAGCCACGGCGCCCGGCCGGAATCTGTTATTTTTAAAAGAATACATAAGGAGCTCATGCTCCACTGACTAAGGACCCATGTTCTGTTGCATCTATCTGATTGTTTCCAGCTGAAACTCTTTAACTCTTTGTCTATTTAAGTTTTTTTTTCTTTTCTTTTTGAGATGGAGTCTCACCCTATCACCCAGGCTGGAGTGCAGTGATGCAATCTTGGATCACTGCACACTCCACCTCCCGGGTTCAAGCGATTCTCGTGCCTCAGCCTCCAAAGTAGCTGGGATTACAGGCACCTGCCACAATGCCTGGATAATTTTTGTATTTTTCGTAGAGATGGAGTTTTAGCAGGTTGGCCTCAAAGTCCTGACCTCAAGCGATCCGCACGCCTCGGCCTTCCTAAGTGCTGGGATTACAAGCGTGAGCCACCGCGCCCGGCCAGTTGTTTTGTTGTTGTTTGTTTTTGAGTATTTTCTGCGTTATTCCCTAGGACATTAATGCTTTCACCAGGGAATTGTCCGTCTTGGTCTTGTCTCTCTTTCCAAGGTTGAAGGACAGAAGTTGGCCTCTCAGTTGAGGACAAGAGCTTATGGTTTGTGCGAATGGCTGCTGTCCTCGCATACTGAGCTGGAGTCTTGTGAGACAGGGCCTCTTGTCCTCTGTGTTTATGTGGTTAGAGAGGGGAGCTGACACATCCTTTTAAAGAAACTGAAAGGGCTGCTTGTTTTAACTCTCACTCTGTGATGCATTGCAGAGATCCCCAAGGTATGATTGGAAATGGAAACGTAAGGACGGGCACAAATACTATGTATCCAGATTTTCTTTCCAACCTTGTAGAGCTGGGAATTAAAAAGAAAAACCTCGCCCAGGGGCCACCTGAACTAGAACCTGCAAAACAGACAAGCAGAAAGGTTGAATTCTTCCAGGCGGTCTCTTCCACCCTCACCTCCTCCTCTGTTATACAATTTAATTACAACTTTATTCACTTCAGAAACCCCATCCATTCCTTCCAGTAGGGGAAGATCTCTCTTTCCATAGCAAGGAGCCTTGGTGATAAGCAGCTATCTGTAGGAACGGTGCATGGGACTCTCAAAACCTCTCCCTTGACAAGCAAGAAAGACATGAGCAAATAATAACTGAAATTATTTTGACATTTCACTCTGGTTGTTGTAGTTTTCATAATAAAGGAAGAACAAAGTACTTGCAGCTTTAAATAAAGAGGCTGCCTTTGGCATTGATGTGGGATTTCACTGGGGAATTTTTTGTATGAGTTCTTGTTTTTGCTCACTGGGAGAGAAAAGAAAACGATAAGCCATGAAAAGACAAAAGTCCAAGGAAAGGAGAAAGCAAGACCCCTGTACTTTTTCTTGATAGCATTTGTCACCCCTGGAATATTGCGGTCATCTTAGTATTTATTTTTTGTTTCTTGAAGTCTGCTGCTGCACTTGACTGTAAGGTCTATAGGGACAAAGATGGTTTTGGATTTTGCTTACCGTTGCATTAAATGTGAATGAATGAATTCGTTTACATAATGTGTACTAGGAGCCAAGCCCTGTGTGTGTGTGTGTGTGTGTGTGTGTGTGTGTGTGTGTGTCTGTGTCTGTGTCTGTGTGTGGTTTTTGGTGATGTGATTTTTAATTAGATCCTTACAATAATATGGTGAAGCTACTCATCATTGGTCCCATTAAACAGAAGCAAAAACTAGTGCTTGGAGTATCACAATAACTTGTCTAAGATTACACAGCCAGTCTGCAAAAGAGCTGGATTTCAAAATCTTCCAAGTCATCATCAGTTATGGTATTTTTAAGATCGATTTGCAGTTAACCACACAGCTTTATTACAAATTCATGCTCTCTTGATGTACTCACAGTATTTTTCAAAATTTACCTATTGCTATCTCTCTATCTCTTTAAACTTTTTTCATCCATCCTCTGTCTCTTCCCTTTTATCCCTGAATGTTTGCCCTCCCCTCTTAAGAAAAAATAAGATAGTAGCAAGCTCCCTGCTGGATTTTATAACTTTGCATACCATATATTTAGTTTAGTAATGAAAAATTCCAGCTCCAGGCGATGCATAGAATCGCATTTCTAATGTTTTTTAAACAGCTATTAATGTGGTCGAGCAGTGGGTTTTTTTTTTTTTTCCCTTCCTCCTCTATATAAT